>NC_000023.11:106212542-106837542 GCF_000001405.40 Homo sapiens
ATACATACACACATAGAAATAGAGATATCCTGATAAGGAAAGAATAAAACCATGAGTCTGGTAATAGCCAAGTGTAAGAATAAATCCCCTCAACCCTCAGCCTAGCAGAAGCAGCCCCCTTAAACCCATGCTATTGGAGAGCAGCCTCCCTGTTCCTGGAGACAAGCCAATAACTTCATCTAAGACACCTACCTCAAAAGAAATTGCTGGTGTCAATATCCAGCACTGACATTTTTAATTGCTTCCAACCCATGACAAAAGTAAGTTGTTACACAGCACAAGGAGCAAGATACAATCTCTAAATAGGTGGAAAATACCCTATATTTAGAAGGAAATACAGGAACTGGCTAATATGCATTAGCATCAGCTAGGATAATATATGTTGGAACAGATATTGAGGTTGTAAAACTAACAAGGAAAGGGAGCAGAATATGCAATCATAGGGGGAAACTTATTGGCATGGGATCACACACCTGTTATTCAGAGTTCACTGACTTGGAGCTGGCCTAATAACGCTGCTAGGGTGTCATCTTTAAGCCTTGACCATGACAGCCCACTCAAACTTTCTTGCCAGAGTACTGAGGAATTGGTGAGAAGGTCAAATGAAGTAGCAGTATTAGAAGTGACTTATTGAGTGAGACAAGAGGACCTATCTCTGAACTATTTTCCCTAAAAGGGCAGAGAAGATATTTTGATAAGGAATGTGTTGATGAGGAGGAACACTAACATTTTTTAGAAGCTTGATGTTGGCTCTCCTTTGCAAATCATGGTTGGAAGTAAACTATGTTGCAATGGAGATGATATGATTCCAAAATGGTAGGGCCCAGGTGACAGCATGAAACCTCAGTGGCATGGTAGGTATCATTACCTTAATGGAAAGCAAGGTCAGAGTGGAGTCTGGCTAACTTGACTGACAGAAATGTCAGAAGCTGTGACAATGCCTTATAGATAGTAGTATTCCAGGGCTAGATGTACAGACAGCTGGCTGATGTATTACTTCTTTTGTACAAAAATAAAAGATGTGACTTTGGGAGGCCGAGGTGGGCGATCGCAAGGTCAGGAAATCGAGACAATCCTGGCTAACATGGTGAAACCCGGTCTCTACTAAAAATACAAAAAATTAGGTGGGCGTGGTTGTGGGCTCCTGTAGTCCCAGCTGCTTGGGAGGCTGAGGCAGGAGAATTGCTTGAACCCAGGAGACGGAGGTTGCAGTGAGCTGAGAGCATGCCATTCCACTCTATCCTAGGCGACAGAAAGAGACTCCATCTCAAATTAATAAATAGATAGATAAATAAATAAATAAATAAATAAATAAAAGATGTGACCTGGCAAGCCAAAGTCTGATGTTAGCAGCTGCAGTGGAAAATAATGGCTCCCCACCAAGTTTGCAGATCTGCAGTGCAAATTGCCCTGCTACTCAAGCCATATGACTCAGCATAACTGATAATGCTTAAGGTATCTATGGTGGTTAAGCATGAAGTATCTAGCCATTATACGGGTGCTATAACACATAATTCTGAGGTTCTGAAGAAAACCCATATCTCCTGTAAACTACTTGCCATTTAAAAACATACCCTCATATGCTATTAAGGCATAATAGAAATAGAGTGCCTAATCAAGAGACAGCAAGTGACAACATGACATGAGCTGCCCATCATAAGTTGTACATTTAGATTCACCAAGTGATAAGGGCTGACGGGGTAAACAGCAATTCACCCCATGACGGAAATGCCATATATGAGATCCAGCATGAGAAGGCATCAATAAATCAGCAGATTACACAAAACTGCCATGACATTGACCATTGTTGCAATAATACCTCCTCTCAAAACACTTCTATGACCATGGGTCAGGAGGTTATCTATGACCAGCTGATGGAAGAGGAAAATATCAAGCTGAATGCACAGATGTCAGCATTACAGATAGCTGTAAATGTACTGCTCCTACACTTTAGCCTCAGTTGGAGTAGCCCTGAAGATTAGTGTTGGAGGAGAAACTCTTAGTTGGCAAAGCTGTGAACAGTACACCTGCTACTTCACTTTACAAAGGGACTAGTGGCCTGAAGTTGTTTCCTGGACTGTGGAGAACAACTTGGCTGGTGTGTCTGAGTCTTGGAATGAGAAGGGCTGGAAACTGAAAAAAAGAAAATGTGGATTAGAGGCACATAGATGGAATTATGGGAATGGAAACAAATCATATGTATCTTTGTGCCTCATTTTTAATGGCCATGCAAGAGAACTGACTGTAGAGAAGGCACTCAACAACCAAGTGGACCTAATGACTCATGCCATGAATGTCAAACAACTTCTTTCCTCAGTTATCTTATTTCTGGCACATAAATCCATGAATTGTCTTGGTGGCAGGGATTAAGCCTAAGCACGAGCTCAACAGCATTGGTTCTCTCTTGTCAAAGGTGATCAAGCTACTGCCACTGCTCAATGTATATCTTTGCAAGAGCAACATCTGATGCTCTGCCCTCAATTCTATACCTTCCTTCAAAGACACCATCCAGCTACTCGGATCCATGTTGAATGCACTGCACCCATAGTAGTTATTCATCCTAACAAAAGTGGATACCAACTTCTATCCCAGAAGACTGAGCGCGACCTGCCTGTAGTGATGTCCAATTTAATAACACATCCTTGTTTGAATTTTCTTCTTTTCTTATTTCACCACTAATTTTTCTCACTCTGACTCACTAAAACCACTTGGCAAATAAACTATTTGCATGCAAACTCTTGTATCAGGCTCTGTTTTGTGGACACTCAGGCAACGACAAACAACAATAATGATGCATATATTTTAGAAAATATAACTAGGTACCACAGTATAGTAACATCATAAAACATTTTAAACATTCATAAATGAAAGCTGTTAAAAGTTAATAAGTTTTCCATTTCTGGATAAGACAAAGTATACACATTTCTACCCCATTCCCACTACTAAAATCAGTAACCTAACTTTTCACCTTAGGAATCTAGAGAAAGTAGAGCAGATTAAATCTAAAATGAGCAGTAGAAAGAAAATAAATACTAGAGCAGAAATCCACAAAGCTAAAAACAGGGAAAAATAGAATAAATTAGTAAAATCTAAAGGTGTTTCTTTGAAAAGATTAATAGATTTGATAAGACATTAACCAGGGTAACCAAGAAAAGGGGAGAGAGAAAGAAAAGTCACAAATTATCAATAACAGAAATAAAACAGGAGACATCACTACTAACCCTATGGTTGTTAAGGATAATAAAATATTATCAACACCATTATGCACACAAATTTAATAATTTAAGTGAAATGGACCAAGTCCTCAAATATTTTTAAAGAAAATATCATTTTATTTTATAACATTTCATTGAAATACACTTGATATTTTAATATGGAATTCACATTTTTTACATGAAAAGGCACCGGTGTCAGATATTAAGCAACAATAATTTTTAAAATTCAATGTATTTTTTTCAGAAATATTAATTGAATTTTTTACCTTATTAATATAAACTCTTAGATTTTCTTTTTAAGAAAATTTCTGAAAATTCAAAACAATGGCAGAGAAACTTTCTTATATATTATCCTTAATTTCAACAGTCTTTGCAAGAAAACAACCTGCAATTAAAGGATAAAGTTGATGCATTATCTGTATGCAGTCTATATGTGTGTGAATAAAATCTCAGCATGCAATAAATCATTTGGGCAGCCTTCAGGAAGATTGTTCATCCACATTTTCCTGAAATTCCATTTTTGGGAGTATCCATTATTTAACAATTGAATTGTTTCTTAAAACAGACAGTCTTTTTGGCTGTCTTCCTCACTGACACTGAGGGAGATTCTCTTAATATAGCCATCTACTCCCATGTGGAAGGCAGCTAGCATCATTGTATTCATGAACTGGCTGCTCCTGACCTATGACTCCACACTGACTTAAGAGTTCCTGTAGTCTAATATAAGCTGTAGAAAAAGCAAGCACTTTATTTTGAGTCTTTTAGCTCCAAATAGTCATTTGTCTCAAACCAAACAAGGTTTATCACCTTGCTTATTTGTAGAATAGTTTCAATTGGTTCCAGTAATA
This sequence comes from Homo sapiens, assembly GCF_000001405.40. NCBI lineage: Eukaryota > Metazoa > Chordata > Mammalia > Primates > Hominidae > Homo > Homo sapiens. Next base: position 106,216,606 of record NC_000023.11, read on the forward strand.
CAAATGCTGACTAGTAAGTCATTCCAAACTGCTAGAAGGAGTATATGGACCAGAATCTAGAATTTTGAAAACAGCTCACAGAAAAAGCCTTCATTTGGTGAAATATGACAATATCGTAATATGGCTGAATATACACAATTAAAAAGTTAAGATCTGAAATGAATTGTTTTTCCTAAGGAAATACAGTTTTTGTGAGAATAAATGTTAGAAAGTCTAATTTATTTAAAAAACTGAATGTGAAAACAAATGCTAAGGTCTTAACCCAGATCTACCTGCATTTTTACTTCGTAGAATGTCAACTGCACCTCATTTGTGATGACATTGACACATATTCTTTTTTTTCACAGTAATGACTATGATAGTTGAAGTCTATCCTCCTGGATTTATAGGGGGAATAAGACATCTTTCATAATTTCCCTTTCACTTTGCAGAAGCTCCCTTAATAAAAATTATATCGCATTTCCTGTTGGATGGGAGATTACCCACTTACCTGTCACTTAGTAAGTTAATGTTTTAATAGAGAGACAGACATTCATTCAAGATAATTGCAAATAAAAATTGTAATACATTATACACATTTACAATGTGGATTTCAATATGTGATGTAGAAGATTAAAAATTATTTATTGGAGGCTGGGCACAGTGGCTCACGCCTGTAATCCCAGCATTTTGGAAGGCCAAGCCAGGCGGATCACGAGGTCAAGAGTTCAAGACCAGCCTGACCAATATGGTGAAACCCCATCTCTGCTAAAAATACAAAAATTGGCGGGGCGTAGTGGCGCACACCTGTGGTTCCAGCTACTTGGGAGGCTAAGGCAGGAGAATCACTTGAACCCAGGAGGCAGAGGTTGCAGTGAGCTGAGATCACACCACTGCACTCCAACCTGGATGACAGAGCGAGACTCCGTCTAAAAAAAAAATTTATTGGAATCACTGAAATTGTGGAGTAGGGAACTCCAAGGATCTGTCAACCCACAGGGGCAATAAAGATGCTAGCAAAAACTGTCAGAATCAACATTTTTTTGGAACTCTAGAATTGAATCTCGCACTGAATTGATTAGGTTTTATCATCAAAACAACTTGGCAATAATAAAGCCAATATTTTGCCCGTGTACCCCCCTTTCATCATATAACATTCAGTTGCTGCTATGGTCTTTGGCAACAACCATGTACTATGTTCTGGGAACATAATTTGGCATAGGATAATTGTCTTAAACTCTGGAAGTTGCTTCTCTTTTTTACTCATACCCATGAAGAGCTTTCTAGAATACCAGCTTCAGGACCATAGAAATTTTTTCTTTTGTTCTGTTCCATCTATAGTGCCTTGAACAGTGCCTGGCACATAAGAGGTACCCGGTAAGTATTTGTTAAATGAATTGAAAGAATGAGTAGTATAGATATCAAATCTCTTGGGTCCTGCTCTGTCTTGTATGTGAAAAAAAAGTAAAATTCCTGTGATTTCTGAGACCTTAAAAGCACTATCCAGTTCTAACAGCACACATCTCAGAATGTAGCTGCTGAAGCAAGCTCAGCACCATCCAAGCATCAGGGACACTTTTGGCCAAAAATAAATAGAAAAAAAGATACAGTGCAAGACTTTAAGTTTTTTTGGGTTTTAATTTAATTTCACACAAAAGCAGAATAATGTTATTAATTTTTGGAATTTATTTATTGGAAATTCATAAGGAAAAATAGTCTTTTTTTTCAAATTTGGAGCATCTCCATATTGTTGCCATTTTATTATTGGTCTATCTAAATGTGATCTTATAATCTTAGAACCTCTAATGTACCACATTGAGAAGCATAGCTGGACATAGGATGGGAAGTAGAACAGGGCGTAAACTTACAGCAAGAGACTGAAACTACAGAGACAGAAAGACTATGCTTGTAAATGGAGAGTCTGCTGCTAGAGATGTGGGAAATCTTGCTTCTGAGAGTGTGGAGAAGTGGCTAGATGAAGTTTAAAGTCAATTCAGGACTGTAGTGCCAGAAACACAAGGTTCAACAGACAAGTAGGAAAGTTTAAATATGCTGGATAGGAAGAAAAGTTACCTCTAATTGTATCTGGTGACAGGAGGGTGCAGCTACACACTTCGTTTACCAAAAACTTAATTAATGGTTAAGATATGTGTTAAAATAACAAAAACCTGGTGGAACATTGGAATGAGAGTGGGTTGGAGATCCTCCATGTTCCTTACTGCTTGCTTCACTGTTGAAGGAAACTGATTTCAGAGTAACGCTCCTAATCTCTCTCCCAACTTTCCTTCCTTAGGAAGGATGATTGAAGAGCTTGGTGAGCTTTGGGAGAAGAAATTAAGTATGACTGGATCAGACCCTTCTTTTGTTTTTGGCTGTCTGCAAGGAGGGTCCATTCTGGTTTTCTCTGTGCCATAATTTAAAATGGACCTGTCCTGTGCTGCTGAAAGATGGTGAAAGCAGTGATTTTCTAGCAATGCCAGAGACTGGATAAGTAAATCTGTTTAGTTCAGGGAGCAAGTATTTGCAAGCATTTTGGGTACAGATTATTAGCAATAAAGCTAACATTTTAATGTCTATCTCTCTGTCACTCGTCTTATTTTTTAGTCGATTCTGACCTAGAGAACACAAAGAAGTACTTAACAAATCTCTGTTGTATTAATCTCAGACAGAAAAAAAAGGTAGTTTAAATCTCTGAGGTTTCTAGAAGGATTTAATATAAATATAAATAATAAGCATGAAGAGGAATGTGAGAAATACAATTTTTGTGGATTATTACATTTTAGAAACTTTGGGGGATATTTCAGACAAAGTTTGAAATATAAAAATCATTCTACCGGACATGAGAGCATATTCCTCTTTCTGTGGGATTTCCCTTGAAAGGCTTTTGTCAGTTCTATTCTTTAATGAGCAAGATGAAACAATTAGTCTGAGATAGTTCTAATCCCAAAGTGTAATTCAAAAGCAATTACCTTCAGATGTATTTACACATCATTTAATATAAATATCATTTAATATAAATGGAACATTTGATTTTATTTGGGATTTTAGGATACAAAGAAGTATTAAATGAGAAGTTTAAAAAAACCTTTATCTAAATTTGGAAAGTTTGTGGTAAGTTATTGGCATGGACTGATATAAAATAATAAAATATTTTGCTTCTGGATTGAGAGTCCAGCTGATAAATATGTGGTTGAACTACTTAGTATAATAAAATGTGAGGGTTTTGTTTTTAATGCAAGGGAGAGTTTTATGTAGCACATTTGTGAGAAACAGAATTCTTCCATTGTATTACTGGGACTGTTCATTGAACAATGGAGAGTATTTTACATATCTTTACTTGCCAGGGTTTCTGTCTTCTAATGCCAGCCTTGGTTATTGGCTTCTGGGTATTCGCAACACTGATATTTCATTCTCTTTGGAAAGAAGGCATTGGTTTGTTGGTTGTGTGTGTGTTTGTGAGATCAAAGTAGTGGTAGAAATGTTTGGAAATTAGAATATCAGTTCTGGTTCCAGGTAATATAAAATAAAAACACTTCATTCATCTCTGCCACTGAATACAACCATAAAACTGGAATAGAATGCATAGAGCAGTTATGTAAGGACTCTGAAATGTAAATAGCAGAAGGCAATTTGGGAAAGAACACCCACATTCAAAGTATCCTGAACTGGCAGCAAGTTTAATGTTTTCTTGTTTTGGCATCCTCCAACTCAAATGTAATGCACTCGGAAACCCAGAAGTGAGCATTGTGGCACAGAAAAATGAGAACTCCAGAGAACGCCATCTAGTTCTGGCTGAAGGAATTGCAAATGCCTAATATTCTGAGAGCACAGATAATCTCCCTTTTTCTTTCCTTCTTTGATACACACCTCACACCATATATGAAAAATTTTGACAAAATACATCATCAAATTAAATGTAAAACCTAAGACTGCAGAACATCTAGAAGAAAAGATAGGCCAAAGTTTTCTTAGGTGTAACACCAAAAGCAAGATTCATAACAGAACAAATAAATCAACTGGACATGATAAAAATTAAAGCTATCCTCCTCAAGAGACATTGTTAAAAGAATGTAAAGACAAGCTACAGAGAGAAACTACTTTTAAATCAGATATCAGATAAAGGTCATATATCCAGAATATATTTTAAAAACCTCAGAACTCAATATGAAGATTAAAACCCTAGCATAAAATATCTAAAAACTCAATAAGATAAACAACACAACATAAAATGAGAAAATTTTCAACAACCATTTTGTTAAGGATGATATACACGGTAAGTTAGCACGTCAAAAGATGCCTAACATCATTAATTACTAAGGAAATGCAAATTAACACCAAACTAGTTCAACCATTGTGGAAGACAGTGTGGTGATTCCTCAAGGATCTAGAACTAGAAATACCATTTGACCCAGCCATCCCATTACTGGGTATATACCCAAAGGATTATAAATCATGCTACTATAAAGACAGATGCACATGTATGTTTATTGTGGCACTATTCACAATAGCAAAGACTTGGAACCAACCCAAATGTCCATCAATGATAGACTGGATTAAGAAAATGTGGCACATATACACCATAGAATACTATGGAGCCATAAAAAAGATGAGTTCATGTCCTTTGCAGGAACATGGATGAAGCTGGAAACCATCATTCTGAGCAAACTATCGCAAGGACAGAAAACCAAATACCACATGTTCTCACTCATAGGTGGGAATTGAACAATGAGAACACTTGGACACAGGGCGAGGAACATCACACACTGGGGCCTGTCGTGGGGTGAGGGGATAGGGGAGGGATAGCATTAAGAGAAATACCTAATGTAAATGATGAATTAATGGGTGCAGCAAACCAACATGGCACATGTATACATATGTAACAAACCTGCAAGTTGTGCACATGTACCCTAGAACTTAAAGTATAATAAAAAACAAAAAGAAAGAAAAAACATAAAATAAAAAAATAAAACCACCATGAATTAGCACAGTGCACTTATCAGAATGGGTAAAAGTAAAGGATTGACAATGCTGAGTTCTGGTGAGGATATGGAGAAACTAGAACTCTCATACACTGCTGGTGGGAATGTAAAACGGTACAGACACATTGGAAGACATCTCGGTGGCTTCTTAAAAAGTTAAACACACATCTATCATATGATCTAGTCATTCTTCTCCTAGATATTTACCTGAAGGACATGAAACCATACATCCATAGAAAGATTTGTGCAGAAACGTGCGTAGCAACTTTATTTAAATTAGCAAAATACTGTAAATTGGGAACAACCCAAATGTCTATTAAGAAGTAAATGAATAAAATACAAACTTTGATATAGCTACATCTATTCAGCTAGCTAACTATCATCTATCAATATATCTGATTAATTCAAATGAATGGTTGGCGTATGCTACAACATAGGTGAATCTCGAAATAATTATAAATGAAAGAAGCCACACAAAATAAAGTAGCTACTATATGATTATATTAATATGACATCACAGTAAATGCAAAATGTATAGGTATCTGGGGAAGAAGACAGGAGTTGCAGGGACTAGAAACAGTAAGACAATACAAAGAGGAATGAGGAAACTTCTGGGAATGATTGAAATATTCACTATTTTGAGTGTGCTGATAGTTTCATGGGTTTATACCTGTGTCAAAAACTACATTATATAATTTTAATACATACAGTTTATTATATGTCAGTTATACCCACTTAAAGCCATTTAATAAAGTAATGAAAAATACATACCATGCAAATACTCAGCAAAAGAATTCTAGAGTGGATATATTAACATCTGAAAACTTAGATTTCAGAACAAAAAAACATTAACAGGTATAAAGATGGACATAACATTAGTAAAGGGTAAATCGATCAAGAAGATCTAAAAATCCTAAATGGGCATGTGCCTAACAACTAAGTTTTAAAATATATTTAGCAAAAAACAAAAATTAAATGAGAAATGGAAAATATACAGTTATAATTGGAGATTTTAATACAATTATCTTAATTAATAGAATAAAGCGTTTAAGCTTGAAGCAGATCTAGACAAAACTATTAACTAACTGATCTGATTAATACTTATAGAGCACTCCACACAACAACTTGCATAATAAACATTTTTTTCAAGTGCACATGCGTCATTTACCAAGATAGACCGTATTTGGACCACTAAACAAATGTCAACAAAATTAAAATAATTAAAATTGTACAAAGTACCTACCCTGACCAAAATGGAACCAAACTAGAAATATATTATAGAAATATATTTCACAATCCTCATCATTTCAAAATTAAACAGTACTCATAAATAACTCAATATGTCAAAGGGGAAGACTTAAGAGAATTAGAAAATGTATTACAGGGAAAAGATGAAACATAACAATTCTTGTTTTTTGAGATGCTTCTAAAGTAATACTTAGAGGGTAATAGAAAGCACAACATTTTCAGAATAACAAATAATAAAGATTTCAAATCAACTACGTAAGCTTCCAATTAAGAAACTAGAAAAAGAAGAGCAAATTATACCTACAGAAAAAAGAGGGATGAAATAGTAAAAGTAAGAGCAGAAGTAAAAGTAAGAACCAAAAAGCAGATCAATAAAGAAAATGAATGAAATCACAAGTTTATTGTTTTAAAAGGTAAAAAAAAACTATAAGAAAAAAACAAATTACCAATTATAAAAATAAAGGATGTAACATCACTACAGATACTACAGGCATTAAAAATACAATAAGGGAATATTATTTAAAAGTTTATGCTAAAAAATTTAACAACATTAATGATATGAACTAGTTCATTGAAAGAAACTACCAAAGATCACTCAAAAAGGAATTTATAGCCTTCATAGTTCTATACTTACTAAAGAAATTATATTCATAGTAAATGTCTTTCCAACAATAAAAACTACAGATCCCAGTATCTTCACTGGGGAATTCTATGAAATATTTATGGTATAAATATTACTAATTCTATAGAAATTTTTCTGTAAAACAGAAAAGAAAGTATTAGTTTACATCTTATTTTATGACAACAGAATTTCATTGACGACATAAAGACAACATTAAAAGAAATGAAAACTACAGACCAATAACTTATTAATGTAGATGCAAACATCCTTAAGAAAATATCAAGTGTAATTATTAAAAGGATGTATAAAATGATGATATATTATCAAAGATAAAAACTACCCAAGAATCCAAACTTGCTCAAACATTCAAAAATCAATTAATGCAATTTACTATATCCATACATATACAAGGGTGTCTCAACCAATACATAAGAAGCATTTCACAAAATTCAACTTCCATTTGTGATAAAATCTTCCAATCTCTTGAAATAAAAAGGGACTTCCTCAAACTTGTAGTGGGTACTGATGTAAAACGATAGAAGACTGAATGCTTTTTTCCTAAGTTTGGGAGCTATGCAAGGATGTCCGCTCTCACCAAATATATTTAACATAATACTGGTGTTCCCAGATATTGCAATAAGGAAAACAAAAAAGATTTAAAAACAAAGATTTGAAAGGAAGAAATAAAACTATCTTTATTTTCTGTGCCATGACTCCTTACACAGACAATGCCAAAGAGCTTATTAAACAGCTATTCTGTCTAAAAATTGAGTTTAGCAAGATTTCAGGATACAAGGAAAATATACAAAAATCAATGATTTTTTATACACCAGCAACGAAAATTGGACATTGAAATGAACAATAAGTAATTTAACAAGTGCATCAAAAGATGAAATACTTAGGTATAAATCTAACAGATTATTTGCAAGACTTCTATGCCAAAAAGTACAAAACCTTGCAGAGAGAAGTCAAAGACCTGAATAAAAAAAGAATTATAATGTGTTCACAGTTTATAACTCTGTGAGAGGAGTTATAATTGGAATTCTAAAAATGTCTAAAAAGTCTCAGACTGGAAGTCTAAAAACTAGATATCATTCTTCCCCAAACTGATCTATTGATACTTAGATCAAAATTGTTATCAAACACCTATTGTTATCAAATATCTATTGTTAATCAAAATTCCAGTAGGCTTTTTCTCTAGAAATGGGAGTGCTGACTCTAGAAGGCATATGGATGCCATAATTTGAATGTTTGTGCCCTCAAACCTCATGTTGAATTTGATCCCCAATGTTGAAGGAGGGGGGCCTAATGGGAAGTGTTCTGGTCATCAGGATTGATCCCTCATTAATAGATTAATACTGGGAAAGGGAGTAAGTGAATTATCACTCCTATTAGTTCCTGAGAGAGATGGTTGTTAAAAAGAGCCTCCCAGATGACGTGTTAGTGGGTGCAGCACACCAACATGGCACATGTATACATATGTAACTAACCTGCACATTGTGCACATGTACCCTAAAACTTAAAGTATAATAATAATGAAAGAAAGAAAGAAAGAAAGAAAGAAAGAAAGAAAGAAAGAAAGAAAGAAAGAAAGAAAAAGAAAAAAGAGCCTGGCACCTCCTTCCCCTCTCTCTTGCTTCCTATCTCACTAAGTGATCTCCACACAGCTAGCTCCCCTTTGCCTTCCATTATGAGTGGAAACAGCCTGAGGCCCTTACTAGATGCAAATGCCCAAACGTTAACTTTTCCAGACATCAGCATCATGAGCCAAATAAACCCCTTTTCTTTATAAATTACCCAGCCTCAGGTGTTCCTTTATAGCAACAGTAAACAAACTAAGAAAATGGAAAAGCAAAGAACTCAGAATAGCCAAAACAATTTTGAAAGTGAACAAACTTGGAGGACTCACTGTACCTGACTGCATGATTATATAAAGCTACAGTAATCAAGACAATGTGCTATTGGCAAAAATATAGGCATGTAGAACAATGGAACAAAAGAGCGTGTCCAGAAATATAACTGTATACATAATGTCAGTTGTTGTTCATCAACGATACCAAGGCAATTCAAGAAAGAAAAGATAGCCGTTTCAATAAATGGTGCTTGAACATCTTACATGTGAAAAAGAAGTGACCCTTGACCTATACATACCTTACATAAAAAATTAACTTGAACTTATGAGTGCAGGGACTATATATGGGAAATCTCTATACTTTCCACTCAATTTTACTTTAAACCTAAAACTGCTCGGAAAAAAAGTGTGTATATATACATTTATAAAACTTTAAAAAATTTTAAATTAACTTCAAATGGATCATAGACCCAAATATAACAGGAAAACTATAAAGTTTCTAGGGGAATACAAAGGTGTATATCACAGTGAACTTTGTTTAGGTAAAGATTTTTTAAATGGGACACAAAAATCATGAATATAAAAAGAAACAAAGTAAATTATATTTCATCAAAACCAAATATTTAAGTTTATTTTTTCAATAGACACAATTGGGCCACAAACTGGGATAAACTTGGGCAAAACATACGTTCACACACACACACACACACACACAAACACACACATAACTCAGTTACAAGAAGACAACATCCCAATAATAGCTTTAGAAAAGATTTGAGTAGACACTTCACCTAAGAAGATACAAAAATTGCAAAAAAACATATGTTATGGCAACATACATGACTTACCACTTTAGTCCTATTAGAATAGTTAAAAATCAAAGAAACTAACAATGGCAAATGATGATGAGGATTCAGAGCAACAGAAACTCTCATTTATTGCTGGTGGCAATGTGAAATGGTACATCCATAGTCACTTTGGAAAGCAGTTTGGCAGTTCTTAAAAGAATAATCATAAACTAAATACTTTTTGTTTTTAATGTGGTACGTGTGAGTTTTCTAGCACTTCTTGAACTGCTTGATGCCTTTTATCCTTTGTGGAAAGTTCTTGAACACATATCCTACAAATATTACATTTTCCAAATTATCTCTCCCCTCTCCATTTCACACTAATTAAATATCTCTTAATTTTTTGTCCTGTAAATCACTCATTAACTCTTCCACATTTTCCAACTTTGTTGTCACTCCATGTTGCTGTCTGTATTATATCTTACCTCTCTTTCAAATTGCTTTTATACCACTTACTGTGTCTAAGCTGCTATTGAATACAATCCTTGGGTACATTATTTTAAAAGTCGTTTTAGGTATTTCATTTCAAGAAATTTTCTTCTGGGATAAAGAACTTTCTTTTGGATCAGTTTTAATTTTTTTAGTTCTATCAGACTTTGCTCTCTAAATTTAAAGCTATGTGCTTGATACATAAATTTTCATATCTAACAATTCATTGAATCGATATGAGATAGCCCTCAAAAAACTTTTGAGAGTGGTTGTTCTTAAATTGCCTTTGGTCAGGTATAATTTATTACTGTTGTGGTGTGTCTATTCACTTATGTTCAATATATCATTTTATATCCCCTAAGAGACTTTAAAAAGTAAATTTTTAGGTGCCTATGTAAACACAAATGAATTCTCCATGTAAAATCTTACAATATGATGTGAACAATAATTTTTACTGTCATCATCTATGTCACCTGTTATCCTATATATATAAAAAGATTTACCATAAGGAATTGGCTCACACCATTATGGAGACTGAGAATTCCAAGATCTGCAGTAGGCAAGCTGGAGACCCAGAAAATCAGTTCTACTCCCAGTCCAAGGCTTGAGAACCAGGATAACCAATGGTGTAATTTCCAGCCCTGAGTCCAAATCTGCAGGCAGGAGAAGACCAGCTTCTTAGCTTGAACACAGTCAGGCAAAGAGAAATAGTTCTTATTTACTTAGAATTTTTTTTCTACTCAGGCTTTCAATGGATTGGATGAGGCCCACCCACATTGGGGAGTGCAATCTGCTTTCCTCAGTCTACAAATTTAAATGTTAATCTCATCCAGAAACACCCTCACAGACACACTCAGAAATAATGTTTAACAAACTATCTAGGGGATCTGTGGCCCAGTCAAGTTGACACATAAAATTAACAATCACAGGTCTACCGTTTATCAGCTTGGCACCCATACACATCTCCTTAAACCATACTTAATCTCCAAATAAAGACAACAATTAGGTCATAATTATCCCTAACAGGATGTACCTATCTTGTGTACAACCAAAAACACACTAACCCCTTCCCCAGAAAAGGATGTAAAGCCCTTGAGTGATGTTTACTCCTCTCCTTGATATCCCATAACTTAAATACTATAAAGTAAATTTAACAATACTTAAATACTATTATGTACAGTCAACATATCTTATGTTACATGATAAGGGAATAAGAGACGTACAAAAATAGATATACACATGCACATATTCATGAAATAAGGAGGAATAATCACATCAATTGCAGCCATTATTTCTGTAACTTGTCACATGGTCCTAGCTGGTCTTTATAACCCCCTTCTTCTGCTACCCCTTCTGTATTCCCTTTGCCTTTAGCAAGCACTTCAGCTGGTTGTGGCTCTTTATCTTGTGGGGTGACCCAAACCTGCATTTTTGAAGGGTCTGGGTCATTAATAGCCCTGTCTGGATTCAGTTGTTATAGTTTTCTATTCACTTAAATCACAGGGCTTGGTAAAACTAAGAGACACCCTAAGGGAGGGGTCCCCAATTCCCGGGCTGTGGACTGGTACAAAACTGGAAACGGTTTGTGACCTGTTAGGAACCAGGCTGCACAGCAGAAGGTGAGTGCGGCGCGAGTGAGCATTAGCACCTGAGCTCCTCCTCCTGTCAGATCAGCCTTGGCATTAGATTCTCATGGAAGTTCACAAACCGTATTGTGAACTGCTCATGCGAGGGATCTAGGTTGCATGCTCCTTATGAGAATCTAATGCCTGATAATCTGAGGTGGAACAATTTCATCCTGAAACCATCCACCCCCATCGCCTCCACCCCCATCGCCACCACCCCGTCTGCGGAAAAACTGTCTTTCATAAAACTGGTCACTGGTGCCAAAAAAACTGGGGACTGCTGCCCTAAGGGACTTCCTGTATTCCAGACATAGTCTTCCATACCTCTATTGTGAAGTGGAAGTCTAATTTCCTCTTAGTGGTCAGGATCAATCACCCCAGCCAGCACAATAGCTCACTTCTTTGTGTATTGATTTGGAGGCAGGAAGAGTTAAGAGTGGTCAGGTGGCAGTTGTTTTTTCCTGGCTGTATTCAGATATAATTGACAAGTAAACACTATATATATTTAAGGTGCAGAGCATGACATATTGATGTATGTATAAATTGTGAAGTAATTACGACAATCAAGCTAATTAACATATTCATCACCTCATATAGTTATCTTTCTTGTGGTGATAATAATGAAGATCACTCTAAGCAAACTTCAAGTATGCACTATGTTATTATTAATAAGAAAGTGATTTCATTTTCTTTGGATATGTATACAGAAGTGGGATTACTGTACTATATGGTAGTTCTATTTTTAATTTTTTAAGGAATCTTCATTCTGTTTTTCATATACTAGCTCTATAATTTACACTCCATTATTTTACTCTTTTTGATGCTATTGTAAATGGGATTGTTTCTTTAATTTCCTTCTTAAATACTTTATTCTTAATGTATAGAAATACAATTCATTTTTGGCTGTTGATTTTATATCCTACAACATCACTGAATTTGTTTATTCTAAATTTTTTTGGTGGAGTCTTTAGGGTTTTCTACAGGTATATATATGGTCATGTCATCTGCAGACAGAAACAATTTTACTTATTCCTTTCTAAGTTGAATGCCTTTTTTATTTCTTTTCCTTGCCTAATTGCTCTTGCTAGGGCTTTTAGAACTACAGTGAATAAAAGTGGCAAGAGTGGGCATAACATTGGTCCTGCAATTTTCTTTGCTGGGAGATTTTTGATTATTGATACAATCTCCTTATTCATATAGGTCTGTCGAGATTTTGTATTTCTTCATGATTCTGTCTTGGTTAAGTTGTGTGTTTCCAGCAATTTATTCATCTGATTTGGTTATCCAATTTGTTAGCATGCAATTGTTTATAGTAGTATCTTTGTATTTTTGTGGTATCAGTTGTGATGTCTCTTCTTTTATTTCTGATTTTATTTATTTGAGTCTTCTCTCTTTTTTTCTTAGTCTAGCTAAATTTTTGTCAATTTTTTATTAAAAAGAAAAGCAACTCTTTTTTTTTCTTTTTTTTTTTTTTTTTGAGACAGAGTCTTGCTCTGTCACCCAGGCTGGAGTGCAGTGGCATGAACTCGGCTCACTGCAACCTCTGCCTGCTAGGTTCGAGTGATTCTCCTGCCTCAGCCTCTTGAGTAGCTGGGATTACAGGCGAGTGCCACCATGCCCAGCTAATTTTTGTACTTTTGGTAGAGACAGGGTTTCACCATGTTGGTCAGGCTGGTCTCGAACTCCTGACCTCGTGATCTGCCCACCTCGGCCTCCCAAAGTGCTGGGATTACAGGCATAAACCACTGCACCCTGCTTTTTTTTTTTTTTTCCCGTGAATCCTGGCTATGGGAACAACTGTGAATTTTGTTGATCTTTTCTATTGTCTTCCTAATATCTATTTTGTAGATTTCTTCTTTGATCTTTGTTATTTCCTTTCTTCCACTAACTTTGGGCTTAATAAATCCTTTTTTTTCTATTTCCTTGAGATATAAAGTCAGTTGTTTATTTGAGATTTTTCATTTTTTTGCTTACTTCTTTCTTAGAACTGCCCTTGCTACATCCCATAAGTGTGGTATGTTGTGTTACCAATTTTATTAGTCTCAAGATATTTTCTGATGTCCTTTTTTATTTCTTCCTTCTCCATTGGTTGTTCAGGAGTGTGTTGTTTAATTTCCAGATATTTTTGAATTTCCCAGTCTTCCTCCTGTTACTGATTTGTAGTTTCATACTATTGTGCTCAAAAAAGATGCTTGATATGATTTCATTTTTCTTACATTTGTTAAGACATGTTTTGTTGCTAACATATGATCTATCCTGGAGAATGTTGCATGTGCACTTGAGAAGAATGTGTATTCTGCCGCAGTTGGATGGGATATTCTGTATATCTCTGTGTTAGGTCTATTTGTTCTAAAGTGTGGTTTAAGTCCAATGTTTCCTTATTGTTTTTCCGTCTGGATAATCTGTTCATTGCTGAAAGTCATGCATTAAAAACAACTATCCCATGATCATCTCAATAGGCTCAGAAAATGCATTTGACAAAATCCAGCATCTCTTTATGAATAAATCCTTCAGCAAGACTGGCATAGAAGGGACATACCTTAAGGTGATAAAAGCCATCTATGACAAACCCACAGCCAACATTATACTGAATGGGGAAAGTTGAGAAGATTCCCCCTGAGAACTAGAACACGACAAGGATGCCCACTTTCACCACTTCTATTCTGCATAGTACTGGAAGTACTCATCAGATCAATCAGACAAGAGAAAGAAATAAAAAGCATCTAAATCAGTAAAGAGAACATCAAACTATTGCTGTTTGTCAATGACATGATTGTATATCTAGAAAACCTTAAAGACTCATCCAAAAAGCTCCTAGAACTGGAAAATGAATTCAGCAAAGTTTCAGAATACAAAATTAATGTACACAAATCGGTAGCTCCGCTACATACCAACAGCGACTAAGCTGAGAATCAAATCAAGAACTCAACCCCTTTCACGTAGCTGTAAAAAAAAATTGAAGTTAAAATACTTAGGAATATACCTAATCAAGGAGGTGAAAGACCTCTACAAGAAAACTACAAAAAACTGCTGAAAGGAATCATAGATAACACAAGCAAATGAAAACATATCCCGTGTTCATGGATGGGTAGAATCAATATTGTGAAAATGACCACACTGCCAAAAGCAATCTACAAATTCAAGGCAATTCTCATCAAAATGCCACTGTTATTCTTCACAGAACTAGAAAAACAGTTCTAAAATTCATATGGAACCAAAAAAGAGCCCACATAGCCAAAGCAAGACTAAGCAAAAAGAACAAATATGGAGGCATTGCGTTACCCAACTTCAGACTATACTATAAGGCTATAGTCACCAAAACAGAATGCTACAGGTATAAAAAAAATAGGCACATAGACCAATGGAACAGAATAGAGAACGCAGAAATAAAGCCAAATACTTAACAGCCAAATGATCTCTGAAGAAGCAAACAAAAACTTAAAATGGGGGAAAGGACACCCTATTCAACAAATAGTGCTGGGATAATTGGCAAGCCACCTGTAAAAGAACGAAACTGGGTCCTCATCTCTCACCTTATGCAAAACATCAACTCAAGATGGATCAAAGACATAAATCTAAGACCTAAAACCATCTAGATTCTAGTACAGAAGACAGCATCAGGAAAATATTTCCAGACATTGACTTAGGCAAAGACTTCATGACCAAGAACTCAAACGCAAATGCAAAAAAAAAAAGGTAAATAGATAGGACTTAATTAAACTAAGACGCTTCTGAACAGCAAAAGCAATAATCAGCAGAGTTAACAAACAACCCATCAAGGGGGAGAAAATCTTCACAATCTATATATCCGAAAAAGAACTAATATTCTGAATCTACAAATAACTCAAATCAGCAAGAAAAAAGCAAACAACCCCCTCAAAATGTGGGCTAAGGACGTGAATAGACAATTCCCAAAAGAAGATATACAAATGGCCAAAAGCATACGGAAAAAATGTGCAACATCACTAATTATCAGGGAAATGCAAATCAAAAGCACAATGCAATACCACCTTACTTTATATTTATGTTATACTTTATAAATATAATATATGTAATATATGCTATATATTATATATAACAATATAATTATAATATAATATTTTTACAATATAATTATAATATAATATATTATATTATATAATATATAATTATATCATATATAATTATATAATATATAATATAATATAATATATATAATATATAATTATATAGTATATAATATTATATAATATATATAATATATAATATACTATAGTATAATATATATAATGTATAATTATATAATATATAATATACTATAATATAATATATATAATATATAATTATATAATATATAATATTTACATATTATATATTATATAATTATATTTATATTATATATTATATAATTATATATTACATTTATATATTATAGAAATATAATATAAATATAAATATAATATATTAGATATATTTATATATAATATATAGTATATATTAGAAATATTTATATATAATATATAGTATATATTAGATATTATATTTATATATAACATATAGTATATATTAGATATTATATTTATATATAACATATAGTATATATTAGATATTATATTTATATATAACATATAGTATATGTTAGATATATTTGTCTCTAACATATAGTATATGTTAGATATATTTGTCTCTAACATATAGTATATGTTAGATATATTTGTCTCTAACATATAGTATATGTTAGATATATTTGTCTCTAACATATAGTATATGTTAGATATATTTGTCTCTAACATATAGTATATGTTAGATATATTTGTCTCTAACATATAGTATATGTTAGATATTATATTTTGTATCTAATATATAGTACATGTTAGATATTATATTTATATGTAATATATAGTATATGTTAGGTATTAAATTTATATGTAATATATAGTCTATATTACATATAAATATACTATATATTATATAAAATATATAATATATACTATATATATTATATATTATAGTATAATATATAATATATATAAAGTATAATATATATTATATACTATATATTATAATATAAATGATATATATATTTTATATAATATATAATATAGATTATATATTGTAATATAATATAAATGGTATATGATATGTTACATATTATAATTATGTATAATATGTAATATAATATATAATTTAATTTATATATAATATACAGTTTATTAGATTATATATACTATTTAATATAATATGTATTATTAATATATTAATAATATGTATTATGTTAAATAGTACATATAATGCATTGTAGTATATATTGTAACATATAAAATATTACATATATATAAGCTGACTATAAGGAATAGGCTTATCTGCAGCATGCAAGCTAGAGACCTAGGAAAGCCAACTATATAGTGCTAGTTCTAATCCCAAGGCATGAGAATCAGAAGACCTGATATTGTAAGTTCTATTTCAAGTCCAGAGAAGGAGACTGGTGTCCCAGCCTGAGGTAGTAAGGCAGAAAGAGAGATAATTCTTTCATACACAGACTATTATTCCATTTAGTTCTTCAGTTGATAAGAGGAAGCCCACCCACATCAGGGAGGGCAATCTGCTTTATTCAGTCTATCAATTCAAATGTTGATTTTATCCACAAACACACCTATAAATAACGTTTAACCAAATATATGGCACCTCATGGCCCATTCAAGTTGACAAATAAATTTAACCATCAAAATATTTAAGATTATCTTCTTTAAATTTACGTTTTGGAGGCTCTGCCACCCTTGTCCTTTTAATGCTGAACAGAACTCTTAAATTAATAAAAATTTTGGGGGAGATTTTCCCTGAATGTAAGGAAATAGGAGTTGGAAAATGACATAACCTATCAACACCACTGGGATATAGCAAACACGGTGCTAAGAGGAAAGTTCATAGTCCTAAATGCCTACGTCAGAAAGAAAGACTGAAAGAGTACAAACTGACATTCTAAGGTCACACCTCAAGGAACTAGAGAATCAAGAACAAACCAAACCCAAACCCATCAGAAGAAAAGAAATAACCAAGAGCAGAGCAGAACTAAATACAATTGAAACAAACAAACAAATACAAAAGATAAATGAAGCAAAAAGCTAGTTGTTTGAAAAGATAAAGAAAATTGATAGATCATTAGCAAGATTAACCAAGAAAAGAAGAGAGAAAATCCAAATAACCTCAGTAAGAAACAAAGCGGGAGATATTACAACTGACACCACAGAAATACAAAAGATCATTCAGGGCCACTGTCAACACCTTTATGCACATAAACTAAAAAACCTAGAAGAAATGGATAAATTTCTGGAAAAATACAACCCTCCTACCTTAACTCAGGAAGAATTAGATACCCTGAACAGACCAATAACAAGCAGCCAGACTGAAATGGTAATTTAAAAATGACCAACAAGAACAAAAAAAAGTCCAGGACCAGACAGATTCACAGCACAATTCTACCAGACATTCAAACAATAATTGGTACCAATCCTACTGACACTATTCCACAAGATAGAGAAATAGGGAACACTCCCTAATTCATTCCATGAAGCCAGCATCACCCTAATACCAAAACTAGAAAGGGACATAACCAAAAAAGAAAACTACAGACCCATATCCCTGATGAACATAAATGCTAAAATCCTTAACAAAATACTAGCTAACCAAATTCAACAACATATGAAAAAGGTAATCCACCATGATCAAGTGGGTTTCATACCAGGGATGCAGGGATGGTTTAACACATGTAAGTCAATAAATGTGATACACCACACAAACAGAATTAAAAACAAAAATCACGTGATCATCTTAATAGATGCAGAAAAAGCATTCGACAAAATCCAGCATCCCTTTATGATTAAAACTCTCAGCAAAATCGGCATACAAAGGACATGCTTCTGTTGCGGGAAGTCAGGGACCCCAAATGGAGGGATTGGCTGAAGCCACAGTAGAAGAACATAAGTTGTGAAGATTTCATGGATGTTTATCACTTCCCTAATAATATTCTTATAATTTCTTATTCCTGTCTTACTTTAAATTCTTAATCCTGTTATCTTTGTAAGCTGAGGATGTACGTCACTTCAGGACCCTGCGATAATTGTGTTAACTGTACAAATTGATCATAAAACATGTGTGTTTGAACAATATGAAATCAGTGTACCTTGAAAATGAATAGAATAACAGCGATTTTAGGGAACAAGGGAAGACAACCATAAGGTCTGACTGCCTGAGGGGTCAGGCAAAAAGAGTCACATTTTTCTTCTTGCAGAGAGCCTATAAACATATGTGCAAGTAGGAGAGATACTGCTAAATTCTTTTCTTAGCAAGGAATATAATATTAAGACCCTAGGAAAAGAATTGCATTCCTGGGGGGAGGTCTATAAATGGCCGCTCTGGGAGTGTCTGTCCTATGCGGTTGCGATAAGGACTGAGATATGCCCTGGTCTCCTGCAGTACCCTCAGGCTTACTAGGATTGGGAAACCCCAGCCCTGGTAAATTTGAGGTCAGACCGGTTCTCTGCTCTCGAACCCTGTTTTCTGTTAAGATGTTTATCAAGATAATACGTGCACCACTGAACATAGACCCTTATCAAGAGTTTCTGATTTCGCCCTGGTCCTGTTTCCTCAGAAGTATGTGATCTTTGCTCTGCCTTTTGCCCCTTGAAGCATGTGACCTACTCCCTGTTCGTACACCCCCTCCCCTTTTGAAATTCCTAATAAAAACTTGCTGGTTTTGCAGCTCAGGTGGACATCATGGACCTACCGATATGTGATGTCACCCCCGGCAGCCCCGCTGTAAAATTCCTCTCTTTGTGCTCTTTCTCTTTATTTCTCATACTGGCTCACACTTAGGGAAAATAGAAAGGACCTATGTTGAAATATTGGGGGCAGGTTCCCCCGATACACTTCAATGTAATAAAAGCTATCTATGACAAACCCACAGCCAACATAACGCTGAATGGGGAAAAATTAAAAGCATTCCCTCTGAGAACTCGAACAAGACAAGGACGCCCACTCTCACCACTCCTCTTCAACATAGTACTGGAAGTCCTAGCCAGAGCAATCAAAGAAGAGAAAGAAATAAAAGGCATCCAAATCAGTAAAGAGGAA
This sequence comes from Homo sapiens, assembly GCF_000001405.40. Taxonomy (NCBI): domain Eukaryota; kingdom Metazoa; phylum Chordata; class Mammalia; order Primates; family Hominidae; genus Homo; species Homo sapiens. The sequence continues at coordinate 106,236,297 of NC_000023.11, forward strand.
GTCAAACTGTCACTGTTTGCTGACGATATGATAGGTTACCTCAAAAACCCTAAGACTCCTCCAGAAAGCTCCTAGAACTGATAAAACAATTGAGCAAAGTTTCTGGATACAAGAATAATGTACACAAATCAGTAGCTCTTCTATGCACTAACAGGGACCAAGCAGAGAATCAAATCAAGAACTCAACCCCTTTTACAATAACTTCAAAAAAGATTAAAATACTTAAGAATATACTTAACCAAGGAGGTGAAAGACCTCTACAAGGAAAACTACAAAACACTGCTGAAAGAAATCATAGATGACACAAACAAATGGAAACACATCCTATGCTCATGAATGGGTGGAATCAATATTGTGAAAATGACCATAAGCCAAAAACTATCTACAAATTCAATGCAATCCCCATTAAAATACCATCATCATTCTTCACAGAATTAGAAAAAAAATTTTTAAGTTCATATGGAACCAAAAAAAGCCCACATAGCTAAAGCAAAACTAAGCAAAAAGAACAAATCTAGAGGCATCACACTACCTGATTTAAAACTATACTATAAGCCCATAGTCACCAAAACAGCCTGGTACTGGTATAAAAACAGGCAGAGAGACCAATGGAACAGAATAGAGGACCCAGAAATAAGCCCAAATACTTACAGCCAACTGATCTTTGACAAAGCAATCAAAAACATAAAAAAGGGAAAGGACACCCTTTTCAACAAATGGTGCTGGGATAATTGGCTAGCCACATGTAGGAGAATGAAACTGGATCCTCATCTTTCACCTTATACAAAAATCAACTCAAGATGGATTGAGGACTTAAATCTAAGACCTGAAACTATAAAAATTATAGAAGATAACATTGGAAAAACCCTTCTAGACATTGGCTTAGGCAAGGATTTCATGACCAATAACTCAAAAGCAAATGCAATAGAAGCAAAGATAAATAGCTGAGACTTAATTAAGCTAAAGAGCTTTTGCATGGCAAAAGGAACAGGCAGCAGAATAAACAGACAACCCACAGAGTGGGACAGAATTTTCATAATCTATATATATGACAAAGGAATAATATTCTGAATCTACAATGAACTCAAACAAATCAGCAAAAAAAAATCTTATCAAAAAGTGGACTAAGGACACAATAGACAATCCTGTAAAGAAGATATACAAGTGGCCAACAAATATAGGAAAAAATGCTCAACATCACTAATGGTCAGGTAAATGCAAATCAAAACCACAATGTGATACCACCTTACTTCTGCAAGAATGACCATAACCAAAAAATCAAAAAATGGTAGATGTTGGCATGGATGCAGTGATCAGGGAACACTTCTACACTGCTGGTGGGAATGTAAACTAGTACAGCTACTATAGAAAGCAATGTGGAGATTCCTTAAATAACTAAAAGTTGAACTACCGCTTGATCCAGCAATCCCACTACTGAGTATCTACTCAAAGGAAAAGAAGTCATTGTACAGAAAGATACTTGCACACACATGTTTATAGCAGCAAAATTCACAATTGCAAAATTGTGGAACCAACCCAAATGCCTATTGATCAACGAGTGGATAAAGAAACCGTGGTGTATATATACAATGGAATACTACTCAGCCATGAAAAAGAATGAATTAACGGCATTTGTGGTGACCTGGATGAGGTTGGAGACTACTATGCTAAGTGAAGCAACTCGGGAATGGAAAACCAAACATTGTATGCTCTCCCTGATATGTGGGAGGTAAGCTATGAGATTGCAAAGGCATAAGAATGATACAGCAGACTTTGGGGACTTGGGGAGAAGGGTGGGAGGGGGGTGAGGGATAAAAGACTACAAATAGGGTGCAGTGTATACTGCTCATGTGATGGGTGCACCAAATCTCACAAATAACCAGCAAAGAACTTATTCATGTAACCAAACCTATGGAAAAATAAAATAACCAACAACCTATAACCCAATAACCTGTGGAGAAGTAAAAAATAAAAAAGCCAAAAACTAACGGATGCTGGTGAGGTTGTGGAGGAAAGGGAACACATATACATTGTTGGTGGGAGTGTAAATTTGTTCAACCATTATGCAAAGCAGTATGGTGATTCTTTAAAGAGCTAAAAATAGAACTACCATTTGACCAAGAAATCCCATTACCAGATATATACCCAGAGGAATATAAATCATTCTACCATAAAGACACATGCATGTGAATGTTCACTGCAGCACTATTCACAATAGCAAAAACATGGAATCAGCCTCAATGCCCATCAGTGACAGATTGGATAAAGAAAATGTCATACATATACATTATGGAATACTATGCAGCCATTAAACAAAATGAGTTCATGTCTTTTGCAGTAACATGGATAGGGCTGGAGGCTATTATCCTTAGCAAACTAATGCAGGAAGAGAAAACCACATACCACATGTTCTCACTTATAAGAGGGAGCTAAATCATGAGAAGTCATGAACGAAAAGAAGGGAACTACAGACACTGTGGTCTACATGACAGTGGGGGGTGGGAGGAGGGAAAGGAGAAGAAAAAATAGCTATTGGGTACAGGCCTAATACCTGGGTGATGAAATAACCTGTACAACAAACCCCTGTGACACGAGTTCACCTATATAACAAACCTATACATGTACCCCCAAACCTAAAATAAAAGTTAAAAAAAAAACAAAAGAATTGGGAAAAATAAGTTTCTAAAACTTCCCCCAAACTAAGATTGTTATATCCGCTCTAATAAATCTGATAACCCTTGTAAAATTTCAGCATGTTAAATTGGAATAAAGATATGATAAAATATTGTGTTTTCTGCAAGCTCATCTTTATTTCTAAAAAAGTCTTTCAAAGTTTCATTTTGTGCCTCATATTTTTCAATTAAGTTTTTTCATTGTTGTCAATTAGTTGATGTTGCCCTACATGTTCTGTATTTTTGTTACATTACAGAGGATTAATAGCTGGAAATTATAACACTTACCATATTCCAGGCAAAATTCTAAGTATTCCACAGGCAATTTTGGTCCAGAACCCCTCATCTTAAATACCATGCTGTAAATGTCATTTCTTGTTTGGGGTTTGTGGTTTCTCCCATTTTTGTGATACATATTCTGCACATATTGTGAGACTTGTTCAAGAGTGAAAGCTGTTTAATTTGAGAGTGAACATAGAGTTCAAAGAGTATTTTTTTGTCTTTTTCTTATTAAGTATATAGGAGTTCCCAAGACCTGATAAATTGTTTTTTCACTTTGTGTAGAATGGCTCAGGCAGGAAAAATAACTGCAATTGTTGGCTAGTGAAATTTTCAGAAAGTAAAGAAGTCAGAGAAGTGATCATTTCTAGCTAATATGTTGGTTTTGTATTTTTAAAATAATGAACTGTGAAGATCTTCTCAGTTTTTATATTTCATTGCAATTTATGGAAGAAAAAAATGAACTATAAGTGGTATTTGCAAATTTTGTGAAACTTGAAAGTGTCGTTGTTATCGAGGTTATTCTTCCTCAAGCCATCTTCTATTCACTCCCAAGCAAGTCACGTCAAGCTCTGCTTTTTAACTTTTGTCACCATCATTTGGATTTTACAGTGTTCGTCAATTTTTTAAATCCTATATATCTTAAAGTCCCAGGCCTCTGCTTCAGGGAAGATGACTTCTATGGTTAAGGATCTTTTAATTTTTAATTAAGACTTTCTTTCTCTGATTGTTTGTTAACAATATTTGTTAATTGTTGTTTATTAAAAACATTTACCACGTTAAAAAATAAATGTTAAGCTACTCACTTTATTTCTTGATGATATGGACTAGCAAGAAACAGAGAGAGAAAGCAGCCCCTGACATTATAAAGCTGACCTGGCACTACCAGGTAGTCCATGTTCTTCTATCAAACCAAAACAATCTCACAGAATACCGTTCTCAGAGAAGGTCACTCTGAGATCATGATAAAATAAGAGAAAATGAGACCACTTTATATTTTTGTCTAACCACAGAAAAAAAACCCTGGTAACTGCGCTACCCACAAAATTTCCAGTCAGAATTGTGCCCACTTTCTAACATCTAAACTAAAGTAAAATCCCTGCTTCCTCATACCCTCCTCCAAAATATAGACACAAAGCCCAAATCCTATATGTCCTTTCTAATACTCTTTTACTGAGACTACTGTATTTCCTGTTAGTGTTCTTTTTCCCTGCAAGAAGTAGTAAACCCAACTTGTTTATCTAAGTGTCTGTTCCTGGTAGTCATTGGATGAAAATAATTGACAATGGATTGTAAAAATATAGAGCATGGATCTGCCAGCTTTAATATTTGCCTGTATGCAACCATTATGGCTAGTTTGGGTGGATTTGATTTAAAGCTAAATAGCTATTTTGATGCTTGTTTAAACTCAACAACCGTGAGCATTTTGGAATAGATTAACATTGGTTGATTTTTATTCATTATAACACTTTAATGATCAAATTACTGTTACTGGTGTACAAAGTCAATCAGGATTAATAACTCCGTGTATATGTATATAACAGAGAATGAGAGGGAATAAGAGAGAGAGGAAGAAGTGGGAGGGGGAGAGAGGTGAAGAAGGAAGGAGGGAGGGAAGAAAAGAGAGAAAGGGAGAGTAGGGGGAGGAGGGAGAGTACACCTCCCTCTGCTTTCCATGCTGCTTAGTGTCGTCCCAATAGAGGACCTTCAGGAAATGTCCATTTTACTGTTTATCCTCAAACATCACGGTGTTCAATTTTGCCTGCTCATAAAGCCCCGCAGCAGCCGCCTGCTGGTGGATGTCTCTTTGTTCAGAAGTCTGGGTCCAAACTGGTATGCAGGTCAAGGTCCTTTTCTGAGATTCTGAGGCTTAGCACAATCCAGGGATCTGTCCCTCCTCAGAGATAGAATTCCCTAGTTTGTGGTTTTCCTGCTTGAGTCCCTTTAGAAACCACCACTAGTTGGGCAGTTTGCTTTCCTCAGAGGTCTGAGTTCTAGCTCTGAGGGTCCATCCTCCCCTATTATGGGTTCTCAGAACACCTAGATCTTTCCTTGCTTTGCCCCACTCTAGGGGTGGAAGTTCCATCTTGCCCTTTCGGTCTTTGTACAACTTTAGCCTTCCTTTATGTCTACTTAGACATCCCAAGTTTGTTTAAACAATTCCCTCTATTAAATCCTCAATCTTATTAACCTGTGTTGTTTCCGTTTCCCTGAGAGCACCTTGATTGATATACATGTGTTTCTGAAAGGACCTTGCCTAATATTATATGCTTATTTTTTCCCCTGCGGTGTTTTCAGTTTTCTTCTGAGCATGTGCATTTCAGGGTCACCTCTTGAATCTGCAGCTTGGTTTTTCTCATAATTTATTTTTGTAGAAATTTTGAGCCATTTTGTTTTCAAATATTACTTCTTCTACAATCCCTTTCAACTCTCCTTTGCAGTATGTCCTATAAATCTATATTGTTATTCGCATTTTCTTTTTTTGGCGTATTTATTTATTACTTCAATAGTTTTGGAGGAACAGGTGGTGTTTGGTTACATGGTAAGTTATTTAGTGGTGATTTCTGAGATTTTGGGGCACTCATCACACAAGCAGTGTACACTGTACCCAGTGTGTAGTCTTTTATCCCTCACCCCCTTCCCATCCTTTCCCTCAGTCCCTAGAGTCCATTATATCATTCTTATACCTTTGCATCCTCATAACTTAGCTTCCACTTACAAGTGAGAACATATAATGTTGGCTTCTTGGCCTTCATCAGTGAAAATATTTATTTATTTATTTATTTATTTATTTATTTATTTATTTATTTATTGAGACAGAGTCTTGATCTGTCACCCAGTCACCCAGGCTGGAGTTCAGTGGCATGATCTCGGCTCACTGCCACCTCCACCTCTTGGGCTCAAGTGATCCTCCCACCTCAGCCTCCTGAGTAGTTGGGACTACAGGAGCATGCCACCATGCCTGGCTAATTTTTAAATTTAATTTAATTTTTTTAGAGACAGAGTTTCACTATGTTGCCCAGGCTGGTCTCGAACTCCTGGGCTCAAGTGATCCACCAGCCTGGGCCTCCCAAAGTATTGGAATTACGGGCATGAGCCACTGTGACCGACCATTTCTTTTTATCTATCATCCATTTACTTTTTTTCTTTTTCACTGTGCCTATCTGTTATTTTAAAACTCTCTATTTCACATTTCAATAAATATTATTTACTATTGATTATGCAACTATCTACATGTAATTCTATTACTTTTAAAAATGTTTTAATTTAACCTGTGTTCTTAGCTATATACAATTTTGGTGAATAGTTTCTTTGATCAATATAAAATTTCTTTCTGTACTTTTCAAGGATATTGCCTTTCAATTTTTAAAATATTGTATTAATATTGGCCCATTGTTTGATTTTTAAAATATATTCTCAAAATATATTTTTATATTTTTTCAGGTTTTTTTCAGAAGGCATTATTTAAGTGCATAAATAAATAGAAATGCTTTCTTCTAGTTATATCTTACAATATGATTGTAATAATAGAGTTGACTTCCATCACCTGCCTATTCTCTTCTTCCTCCACTTCTTTCAGATCAAATTCATTTTATCAGTTTGGTATATACTATTCAAGACCTTTTTCAGGCCAGACACGGTGGTTCACGCCTGTAATCCCAGCACTTTGAGAGGCCGAGGCGGGTGGATCACCTAAGGTCAGGAGTCTGAGACCAGCCTGTAACCAGGTGTGGTGGCACATGCCTGTAGTCTCAGCTATTCAGGAGGTAGAGACAGGAGAAACACTTGAACCCAGGAGGCGGAGGCTTCAGTGAGCCAAGATTGCACCACTGCACTCCAGCCCAGGCGAGACAGAGTGAGACTCTGTCAAAAACAAAAAAACAAAACAAACAAAAAAAAAACCCTTTTTCTATGGATATGTATATTTCTTTATGTTGTAAGAGAAGAATATAAAGTATTGTTTTCCATCCATATGGGATTTTTAAATTAACAGTATCATTTTATTTCCTTGTTGGCTGATCTGATTTTTGCATCTGATTTTTTTATGTTAATATATTTAGATCCATCTCATTCTTTGGTTGACAGCATAATCCACTTTGGCCTAGACCTTAGATTACTTATTCTATCCCCTCTAATGGCACTAGTTTGAGTTGTTTTCATTGTTTTGTTATAAAAGCAATGCAATGAATAATCTTGTGACAATGGTCAATGCTATTTTTGAGCACAGCAGAGAGATATTGACAGATGCTGAAAGAACCACACTCTCAGTTCACATACCTAGAAGTTTCTCATTATAAGGATGGTCCTCCAGGAGGAGGAAATACCATTGGTTTCTAAGCTTCAAGCTTCATGCCTGAGTCATTTACAGTTACAGGTGCATTATGAAATCTCCAGGCTTTCAGGTTATAGGGAAAGGAAGAAGTGAGAGAGAATAATTAAAAGAAAGTTGGTCTGTTGAACTACAGACTACTTGTGAGTTTTCTAGAGAGAACTGTTAGAGGGAATGCTAAACTGAGAGGTTTCTCTGTGGAATTAAAAAATACTCCCTGTAAATGAAACCAAGAAGAAGAGGCTATCTCTGAGCAGTGGGATCACTACCTGACACACACAGAAGCCAATACTATGGCACCGGGTTTTGAAGAAAAAAAGAGGCTTCACTGAGAAGTCAACCAGCAAGGAGACAGGAGGCACAGCTCATATCTGTCTCCCCAGTTTGGGGTCTGGGGCAAATTTTAAGGGGTTGGAGGACAAGGAAATGTACTAGAAATGTTGGCTTGGCAGGCTCCAATTGGAGGGCTTCAAATTTGACCATTTATGGTAAGGTATGATGGGTAGATTTCAGTACTGAATTTTCCTCACTAATGGACCCTTCACTTCTGAAAGGGTTCTGGCATTCAGGTTCTAGTCATATCCCAGTCTTGGTTCTGGGGGCAGAAAATGTTGATTCTGGGAGTTGTTAGAGGCCAAAGCTTTTTCCATTGTGCATACCCAGAATACATGACTTGCTGTTTTGGCTTTGTTATAGCTACAAGGTAACTCGACATTCTGTTATCAACAGAGTAGGGTCAGTTTGGGCTAATCCTGCAGTTATGAGACTATGGAACAGAAAAGTTATAGTGAAAGTAAAAGTGGCTGGCAGAGCTGGGACTCAAGCCCACATATGTTTTTCTGGATATCTCTCTGATTAAAAAGCACAGTTGTGAATGACCCCCACATGAGGGTTGCCAGATAAAACATGTAACAATTAAATTTGAATTTCAGATACATAACTTTTTTAGCTCAAGCATGTCCTATGTAATATTTGTGTATTTGAAATTCAAATTTCACTGGAAATCCTGTAAATTTATTTACTAAATCTCATAATACTATCAATATTTGTCTTCTGTAAAGACTGGAATGTGTGGCTAGGTTTCTCTCTCCATTTTCTCCTCATTAAAGGTATGTTGAAAACATTCACTCATTTTATATACAGGTATCTTTCTGGACTTGCCTGAACATATGCTATGGATCCCAGTGGGTTTGAGATGGGTTCCTCTTGCTTTTGAGTGCCTCAACCAACCACAGAGGAGTGCCTTTTATGCTTGTTGATAGGAAGTAGAGTTGTGTGTTACTGTAGCTCAGTCTCTGTAGACTGAATAACCATGTACTACAGAAACTGTGCGTGTACCTACCTATTCTAATAAGTTTGTGTGGTCATTATCAAATGTATCTAAATGTTATTATTTTTAAAATTAATCTTAAAATAGTGTCATGTAAAACACCTACCTATGAATATATTATCCATGTTAGCCTATAGATTTCACCATGTCTGAGGAACAGCATAATCCCTAAAGTGGCAGCCTCTTATTTGTCTTCTGTCCTATGTTTCCTTGTACCAAAGCACTATGGAATAGTTTATCTATTCTTTTATTTTAAAGTATTTAATTAGCAAGTAAAGATTGTATATCTTTAAGCTGTACAAGAGGATGATTTGATATATGTATGCTTCATATAATTATTATCACAATCAAATTAATCAACACATCCATCACCATTCATGCTGTACATTAGATTCCCAGAAACTGTTCATCTTATAATTTAAAGTGTTATACCCTTTGACCAACATCTCGCTATATCTCTCACCACCCCCCAGCCCCTGGTAACTACCATTCTATTCTCTGCTTCTGTGAGTTTAACTATTATAGATCCACATGTAAGTGACATCATACAGTATTTTTATTTGTGTCTGGTTTATTTTACTTGGTGTAATGACTTTCAAGTTGTTTTCCATGGTTCTTGGTATGATGACTTATTTTTGATCCAATTCTGGACATTTTGACTTATATTAGGAGATTCTTGATTCTATATAAATATTAAACTTCAACAAGCAGTCACCATATTTAGGTCTAGCTTATGTATACTGGCCAACTTTTGTAACCTTTAGTTCAAATGGAAATTTGGTATCCAGAGCCTGGGTCAGTGCTTTTCTGATTGACTTAGTTCTGGCTCTGCTAGTCTCCCACTTGATCTCTGCAAGTGCCACCTATGCACCTAATGTCATTGGGTTGGAATTAATGAAACACTGGGCCTTGATCGCTAATGTTGTTGTGGACTAATTCACGACTGCTCCATGCATGGACTGTGGGATACATCCCTGGCTGGGCCCTGCTGATGCTACTACTGTGATACACGGAACCACCACAGCTTTAGTTGTTGGGCAGTATGGATCTCCCTGCTAGGTCTTTGCTGGGTTGCCTTTTTTCAATGCCTTTGACCAGAAAAAGTAGGCTTTTTTGTTCATGTTGTTTTTCTTCCATGCCTGCTGGAGCTTCCTGGTTATAGGACTCTCTTGTGCCCAGGCAAGAATATATGAGAGATAAAAAGAAGTCAAGGGACTCAGTGGTGTCTTTCCTCATGTCTTGAGTTCCTTGGCCTGTCAACTTCTTCCTTACACCTTCAGAGCCCTTTTATGATTCTGTGTTGAGTTATTTTCATGGCATTTAGAGGGAAAGTGCAAGTAAAGTCACTCTATACCACTTTGTCCTGGAACTGAAAGTCAGTGTATCTTTTCTGGAATTATTTTCTTCATAATACCATCTTCATAAATATTTGTTGTCCAAAAATGTTTCCAGTGTCCTTACCTCAACTCCTCAGTGGCTGGTTTCCCTAGTACTATATCTGGAGGGTTGATATTCACTAAATTTTCTCCTTCCCATGTTGACCCAAAATTGCCAAAGGTCCTTGGACATGGCCTCATTATATTCCTGGGGACTGCTATAGTCAGGTATCGGGTATCTCTATTATCAACGAAGACTTTGGTAGAGGAAAAATCTCATTCTTACATATTACTTAGATTTTACTTCCTCATTAGAGTCATCTCAATGTCCAGATTCTAACATTTTTTATACTACCTTATTCACTCATTTAATTTTACTACTGTGAGTCATATGTGAACCACTGAGCTGTGATGCAAAGCTCTGACTCTGAGGATGAATTTAAGGTGCAATAGACAGAACATGTTAATCTTGTGAACCACATCATCTGGAACTATTGAGTGTTTGGGCCACGTTTGAAACTGTATGGATTTATAGATAGTTTCAGCATAAGCATCTGTTATTTCAGGTTCTAAAGTGGTCCTGGACAGAGACTGAGACCAGATTTGGTGTGTCTGACAGAAAACTCATAATAATTAACTCTTTGTTCTTTCATTTTAACCATTGTTTCAAAATCCTCTTATTTCACTCCAAAGGTAATTTTGGGGGAATGGATAGCATAATGTCTTCTAATATTGCATTAATTTATTCATTCATTGCATTGATTGAGAGGATGAATTACATTTCCCAGTTTCTCTGGAAAACTAATGTAAAACTGAATGTTATGGTGATATTCTGGTTTCTATGACTACTGGTATATGCTCTCTAATGGCCAGACATAGAAACAGTTTGCAAGGATATTTACAGGCAAAACAAATGGCATATATGCATATATAACAAGCCTATTGGGTGTTTAGCATCACTATGCCTATGTTTTTTAGTGTGTTTCTGTTTGTGTGTGGTTGAGGCCATGAGTTATTTTCTTGGAGAAGCTGGGTATGATCCCCCTGTAACTTGAGAGAAACTGCCAGCTACTCAAGAGGAGAGCTGTAAGTAACTGAGTCACCAGTTACTCATTTAATTCCTTTGTTCCTATGTCCTAAAATAGCCTAACACTTGTGCAGGAAGAGCCTAGTTAGCCTTTGTTAATAGCAATTTGATTTCATTGGTGGACATAGAATAAAATTCAGAAGATCTAAAGAGGACTAAATTAATTTTATGATTTTATAAATTATTATAATATTTTCTTTTAACATTATATATTAAAAATTGCCCTGACAAAATGGGTATTACTTATTAGGGTGGAAAATGGAATTTTAGTGAAGACGTAAATTCTCCCTAAATTGTTATATATATGAAATATCAAAATAATTATCAAAAGTTCCTTTTAATTACACAAGTCAATTCTAAAATTTATCTAGTGTCACTAAGGTGCCAGAATAGCCAAAATATTTTTATTACGTAGAGGAAGCAAAATTTTACCTCTACCTTTTCTGGATAAAGAGTCAACTTTTGTAAAATATTTGAAGAGATTTATTCTGAGCCAAATATAAGTGACTATGGCCTGAGACACAATTTCTGTAAGTCCTGAGAACATGTACCCAAGGTGGTCAGGCTACAGCTTGGTTTTATACCTTTTAGGGAGATATAGCATATCAATCAATACGTGTAAGGTGTACATTGGTTGGGTCCAGAAAGACAGAACAACTTGAAAGGGGGAGGCCTCCAGATCATAGGTACATTAAAAGATTTTCTGATTGGCGATTGGATGAAAGAGTTAAGTTCTTATCCAAAGACCTGGCTAGGTTAAGATAATGGGTCGTGGAGACCAAGTTTTTTTATCATGCATATGTCTCCAGGTAGCAGGCTTCAGAGAAAATAGATTATAAACGTTTCTTATCAGACTTAAAAAGGTGCCAGACTCATTGGTAATTCTCCTCTGGATCAAGGAGAAGACCTGGAAAGGGAAGGGGATTCTCTACAGAATGTAGATTTTCCCTGCAAAAGATAGCTTTACAGGGCCATTTCAAGCATATGTCAAAGATATATATTTTGGGGTAAAATACTTTAATTTCTTCCAGGGATTTCTATCTGTCATGTTGGTATCTTATTGTAACAAAGAGTCTGTTTGTCAGTCTTAAGATCTCTGTTTTGAAAACCAAACACCACATGTTCTCACTTATAAGTGGGAACTGAACATTGAGAATAATAAGTGGACACAGGGAGAGGAACAATACAAACTTGGGAATGTCTGGGTGGTGAGGGGAGGGAGAGCATTAGGATAAATAGCAAATGTATGTGAGGCTTAATACATAGGTATTAAGAGTTTGACTCTTGTTGATATTTTCTTACTAATTAGTTTTAGGAAACACTCCATTCAGGTGTCTTTACATTTCAATGGGCTACATAATACAAGAAACTCTAAAGTAAATAACAGCTTGGAAGTTTGGTGATGTGGATTTAGGATGAAAATCTATGGCTGTTGGTGTTCATGGGGGTCATTTTAAGGAAAATGCACTTATTTCGAGAGAACTCCATTCCTAGGATTTCTTTTCCTTGAGGTATATGTTAATTGCCCACCTGGATAAAGCATTATCAGAATATACCTTCCAAATTAATAATTCTATAGAGCATGGCTATTAATTGGATAACCAATGACTACTTTTTGATTAGTCATTTTATTTCAACCTAAGAACAATGTAGGAAAATGAATCATTATTATTTTTATTTTTGTGGATACATAGTAGGTGTTTATATTTATGGGGTACATGAGAGGTTTTGATATAAGCATACAATGTGAAATAAGCACATCATGGAGAATGGGATATGTGGTGAGATGGGTTGGTAGGTGCAGCAAACCACCATGGCACATGTATACTTATGTAACAAACCTGCACATCCTGCACATGTATCCTGGAACTTAACATTAAATTAAATTTAAAAAAGAAAAGATAATTTGATAAATTAGTAAGGTTACTACTTAGCAAATATAAATGATTATATGAAGAAACTGTGATAAATATATATATATATATATATATGCATATGTAATTTTAGCTTTGCCAAAGAAGAAAATTCTGCCATTTTCAACAACAAAAAAGATCTCTGTTTTTATGTTAATGCTGGTCAGTTTTGCCTGAATTCCAAAAGCAGGAGGGTATAACAACGCAGGTCCAACCTCCCTCTCCCCCATCATGAACTGAATTAGTTTTCCAGATTTCTTTGGAATACTGTTGGCTGAGGGCCAGTTGGGGGGTTGTCCATCAGTCCATTGCTGGGGGGCTTAGAATTTTATTTTTGGTTTATACTTCTTAGAGTTTTTTGCTGGGTCTGATAATTAAATTGATATAAAACAGATTAAACAGGATAAAGGCATAAAAAACTTGTATGCATTTTATGTGACATAGGAGCCCTCATAGGGAAATGAAGACCCAAAGAAGTGGAAAAATCTAAATGCTTTTTATATTAGGTTGAACAAAAAGAGACAATTCTGGAAAAGTAACTAAATTATCTGGGAAGGCTAAAGGAAGATAAGAAATACTTAACAAGGACTGTTTGTACAGAATTCACTCAGCTGTGACTCCCCGTTGAAGAATGTTCCTTTTAACTGGTACAGGGAGATCCAGTAAATAACCTTGCAAACTGTTTCTTCTTTTTAAAATTATTTTGTTGTTTTTGTTTTTGTTTTTTAATCTCCAGGGTACGCGTGTAGGATGTGCATGTTTGTTACATAGATAAATGTGTGCCATGGTGGTTTGCTGCACCTAACAATCCATCTCCTAGGTATTAAGCCCCACATGTGTTAGCTCTTTTCCCTAGTGCTCTTCTGCCACCAGCCTCCTGCAATGGGCCCCAGTGAGTGTTGTTCCCCTCCATGTGTCCATGTGTTCTCACTGTTCAGCTCCCACTTATAAATGAGAACATGCTGTGCTTGCAAACTGTTCTGACCTCTGGCCATTTTTCACATGGCAGTTTTTATCCTGTTTTCAGGAATAAAGAGGGAAATAAGAATGCCCTTCTTGCATCTGTTGTTACTCAAGTGAGTTAAGGCTTAAAAATAATCTTTATGTCAAAATGACATATTTTAGGGTGGCATATTCTGCCATGCTTCAATTACATGAAACCAGTTTGATCCACCCATTTAGCATAATAAAGAAGTTTCTGAGGACTAAACTCTGATCTTTTTCTTCTCTTGCTCAAATTCCTATGTAAGGGGTACGGAGATCCATGTCCTACAAACCATAAACTCTCAAAAGAGGGGTTTTATTCAAAACATATAACATGGCTTACTTTCCAGCCTGACTCTAGCATAACATCACATGACAGATAAAGATAACCCCCAAATATGTTTCTTTGCCACATCTTCAAATAGCCCAGCAAAGGGGACAGTCAACATTGTATAGAAAATCCCCTTCCCTTTCCAGGCCTTTTTCCTGATCCAGGAGAGACTCAACTAAGAGTCTGGCACTTTATATATTAAAAAAAAGTCTGACAAGAAACATTTACAATCTATTCTTTCTGAGGCTTGCTACCTGGAGGCTTTATCTGCATGATGGGAAATTTGATCTCCACAATCTCTTAACTTAAGCCAGTCATTCCATTCTATTGATTCTATGTACATAAGGGGAACCTTAGTTTCCACAACCCCTTATCTTGGCCCAAACATTCCCTTCTACAGATTCTAGATATTTGGACAATGACTTAACTCTTTCAACCAATTAACAATTAGAAAGTTCTTGAATCCTCCTATGACCTGGAAGCCCCCACTTCAACTTGTCCCATCTTTCCAGACTGAACCAATGTACATTTTACATGTATTGATTTATGTCTTATGTTCTCCTAAATTGTATAAATCCATGCTGTAGGTCGACCATCTTAGGCATATATTCTCAGGACAACTTGAGACTGTACCTTGGGCCATTGGTTACTCATATTTGGCTCAGAATATATCTCTTCAAATATTTTACAGAGTTTGACTCTTTTGTTGATATTTTCTTACTAATTAGTTTTAGGAAACACTCCATTCAGGTGTCTTTACATTTCAATGGGCTACATAGTACAAGAAACTCTAAAGTAATAACAGCTTGGAAGTTTGGTGATGTGGATTTAGGATGGAAGTCTATGGCTGTTGGTGTTCATGGGGGTCATTTTAAGGAAAATGCACTTATTTCGAGAGAACTCCATTCCTAGGATTTCTTTTCCTTGAGGTATATGTTAATTGCCCACCTGGATAAAGCATTAACAGAATATACCTTCAAAATTAATAATTCTATAGAGCATGGCTATCAATTGGATAACTAATGACTACTTTTTGATTAGTCATTTTATTTCAACCTAAGAACAATGTAGGAACATGAATCATTATTATTTTTATTTTTGTGGATACATAGTAGGTGTTTATATTTATGGGGTACATGAGAGGTTTTGATACAAGCCTACAATGTGAAATAAGCACATCATGGAGAATGGGATATACATTCCCTCAAGTATTTATCCTTTGAGTTACACACAATCCAATTATATTCTTTAAATTATTTTAAAATATGCAATTAAATTATTCTTGACTATAGTCACCCTGTTATGCTATCAAATAGCAGGTCTTATTCATTCTTTCTATTTTTTTTGTATCCATTAACCATCCCCACCTCCTCCAAACCCTGCAACACCTTTCACAGCCTCTGGTAACTATCCTCCTACTCTCTATGTCCATGAGTTCAATTGTTTTAATTTTTAAATTCTACAAATAAGTGA
This sequence comes from Homo sapiens, assembly GCF_000001405.40. Taxonomy (NCBI): domain Eukaryota; kingdom Metazoa; phylum Chordata; class Mammalia; order Primates; family Hominidae; genus Homo; species Homo sapiens. The sequence continues at coordinate 106,252,072 of NC_000023.11, forward strand.
GAACATGCGATGTTTTTCTTTCTGTGTCTGGCTTATTTCACTTAACATAATGATCTCCAGTTTCATCCATGTTGTTGCAAATGACTGGATCTCATTATTTTTATGACTTAATAATATAATACTCCATTGTCTGTAGGTACCACATATTCTTCATTCATTAATGTATTGATGGACACTTAGGTTGCTTCCAAATCTTGACTATTGTGAACAATGCTGTAACAAGCATAGGAGTGCAGATAACTCTTTGATACACTGATTTCCTTTCTTTTGGGTGTATACCTAGCAGTGGGATTGCTGGATAATATGGTAGCTGTATCTTCAGTTTCTTGAGAAACCTCTAAACTCTTCTTCATAGTTCATGTACTAGTTTACATTCCCACCAACAGTGTACAAGGGTTCCCTTTCCTCTATATCCTTGCCAGCATTTGTTATTGTCTGTCTTTTGGACATAAGTTATTTTAACTGAGGTGAGATGATATTTCACTGTAGTTTGGATTTACATTTCACTGATGATCCATGATGTTGAGCACCTTTTAATATGCCTGTTTCTCATTTGTATGTCTTTTTTTGAGAAATGTCTATTCAGATCTCTTGCTCATTTTTAAATTGGATTATTAGGTTGATTCCTAAAGAGGTGTTTGAGCTCCTTATATACTCTGGTTATTAATCCTTTGTCAGATGGTAGCTTGCAAGTGTTTGCAAGTTATGTGGGTTGTCTCTTAGCTTTGTTGATTGTTTCCTTTGCTGTGCAGAAACTTTTTAACTTGATGTGATTCTATTTGTCCCTTTTTGCTTTAGTTGCCTGTGGCTGTGGGGTGTTGCTCAAGAAATTTTTGCCCAGAGCAGTGTCCTGGAGAGTTTTCCCAGTGTTTTCTTGTAGTAGTTTCATAGCTTAAGGTCTGAGATTTAAGTCTTTAATCAATTTTTATTTGATTTTTATATATGGTGAGACAGAGGGGTCTAGTTTCATTATTTTGCATATGGATATCCAGTTTTCTTAGCACCATTTATTGAAGAGACTGTCTTTTTCCCAGTGTATGTTCTTGGCACCTTCATAAAAAATGAGTTCACTGTAGGTGTGTGGATTTTTTCTTGGTTCTCTAGTCTGTTACATTGCCCTATGTGTCTGTTTTCATGCAAGTACCATGCTGTTTTGGTTACTAAAGCTCTGTAGTATAATTTGAAGTCAGGTAATGGGATTCTTCCAGTTTTGTTCTTTTTGCTTAGGATAGCTTTGGTTATTCTGCTTCTTTTGTGATCCATATAAATTTTAGGATTTTTTTTTCTATTTCTATGAAGAATGTCATTGGTATCATGATAGGGATTGCATTGAATCTGTACATTGCTTTAGGTAGTATGGACATTTTAATAATACTGATTCTTCCAATCCATGAACATGGAATTTTTGCCCATTTTTTTGGTGTCCTTCAATTTTTTTCATCACTGTTTTAGAGTTTTCACTGTAGAGATTTTTCAGTTCTTTGGTTAAGGTAATTCCTAGGTATTTAATTTTATGTGTGGCTATTGTAAATGGGATTGCTTTTTAAGTTTCTTTTTCACATTGTTCACTGTTGGCATATATAAATGATACTGATTTTTTATGTTAATTTTGTATCCTGAAACTTAACTGAATTTGCTTATCAGTTCTAATAGTTTTCTTATGGCATCTTTAGCTTTTACAAAATATAAAATTATATCATCTGCAAACAAGGATAATTTGACTTCCTTTCCAATTTCGATGTCCTTTATATCTTTCTCTTGTCTGATTGCTCCAGCAAGGATTTCCAGTAATATGTTGAATAACAGTGGTGACAGAGGCCTCCTTGTCGTGTTCCAGATCTTAGAGGAAAGGTTTTCAGTTTTTCCTCACTCAGTATAATATTAGCTGTGGGTCTGTCATATATGGCTATTATTATGGTGAGGTACGTTCCTTCTATCCTCAGTTTTTCGAGGGTTTTATTATGAAAAGATGTTGAATTTTATCCAATACTTTTCCAGCATCAATTGAAATGATCATATGGTTTTTATCCATCATTCTGTTAATATGATGTGTCAAATTGACTGATTTACATACGTTGAAAAATCCTTGCATCCTGGGGAATAAACCCCACTTGGTCATGATGAACGATCTTTCTAATCTATTGTTGAATTTGATTTGCTAATAGTTTGTTGAGAATCTTTGCATCAGAGTTCATCAGAGATAATGACCTGTAGTTTTCTTTTTCTGATGTGTCCTTGTCTTGTTTTGGAATCAGGGTAATACTGGCCTTGTAGAATTAAATTGGAAGTATTCCCTCCTCCTCTACTTTTTGGAATAGTTTGAGTAGGACTGGTATTGGTTCTTCTTTAAATGTGTTTGGTAGAATTCAGCAAGGAAGCCATCAGGTCTTTGGCTTGTCTTTACTGGGAGTCTTTTTATTACGGCTTCAATTTCGTTAATTGTTATTGGTTTGTTCGGGTTTTAGATTTCTTCCTGGTTCAGTCTTGGTAATTTGTATGTATCTAGGACTTTTTCAATTTATTTTAGATTTTCCAATTTATTGGCATATAGTTGCTCAGAGTAGCCACTCATGATTTTTTGAATTTCTGTGGTATCAGTTGTAATCTCTCCTTTTTCACCTCTGATTTTATTTGTTTGTATCTCCTCTTTCTTTTCTTAGCTATTCTAGCTAAAGTTTTATCAATTTTGTTTAACTTTGCAAAAAACCAACTTTTTGTTTCATTGATATTTTGAATTTTTTTATTTCAATTTCATTTATTTCTTTAATAGAAGAAAAGAAATAATAAAGATCCCAGCAGAAATAAATGAAATTGGTTCCCTTTTAATTTTCTAATTCTTTAAAATGCATTGTTAGATTGTTTATTTGAAGTTTTTCCTTTTTTTGATGTAGGTATTTATTGCTATAAACTTCCTTCTGGGGACTGCTTTTGCTGTATCCCATAGGTTTTGGTATGCTGTGTTTATTAGTCTGTTTTCACATTGCTGATAAAGACATACCCAAGACTGGGCAATTTACAAAAGAAAGAGGTTTAATTGGATTTACAGTTCCACATAGCTGAGGAGGCCTCACAATCATGGTGGAAGGCAAGGAGAAGCAAATCACATCTTACGTGGATGGTGGCAGGCAAAGAGAGTTTGTGCAGGGCAACTCCCATTTTTTTAAAACCATCAGATCTTGTGAGACCCATTCACTACCACGAGAACAGCATAAGAAAGATGCCCCCACATCCCATAATTCAATCATCTCCCACTGGGTCCCTCCCACAACACGTGGGAATTACGGGAGCTACAAGATGAGATTTGGGTGGGGACACAGAACCAAACCATATCATTGTGTTTTCATTATCAATTGTTTCAAGAAATTTTTCCATTTCCTTCCTGAATTTCTTCATTGACCCACTGGCCATTCAGGAGTATATTGTTTAATTTCCATGTGTTTGTGTAGTTTCTAAAATTCCTATTGTTATTGATTTCTAGTATTATTCCATTGTATTGAGATAAGATGCTTGACATTATTTCAATTTTTTGAATGTTTTAAGACTTCTTTTGGGACCTAACATATGGTCCCCCTTAGAAAATGATCCATGTGCTGAGAAGAATGTGTATTATGTAGCTATTGGATGCATAATACATCCAATATCTTGTAAATATCTCTTAGATTCATTTGGTCTATACTGCAGATTAAGTCTGATGTTTCTTTGTTGATTTTCTTTCTGGAAGGTCTATCCAATGCTGAAAGTATGGTGTTGAAGTCTCTAGCTATTCTTGTATTGGGGCCTATCTCTTTCTTTATATCTAATAATAATATTTTCTTTACATATCTGGGTGCTCCTGTGTTGGGTGCATATATATTTAAAATTGTTTTATCCTCTTGCTGAATTGGACCCTTTATTATTATATAGTGACCGTTTTGTCTCTTCTTATACTTTTTGTCTTGAAATCTATTTTGTCTAAATATAGTGAGTCCTGCTTTTTTTTGGTTCCCATTGGCATAGAATATCTTTTTCCATCCCTTTATTTTCTGTCTATGTGTGTCTTTATAGGTGAAGTGTCTTTCTTGTAGGCAACAGATTGATAGGTCTTGTTTTTTCATCCATTCAGCTAGTCTATATCTTTTGACGGGAGAGTTTAGTCCATTTACATTCAGTGTTATTATTCATAAGTAGGGATTTACCCCTACCATTTTGTTATTTGCTTTCTGGTTGTTTTATGGTCTTTGCTTCTATCTTTCTTTCCTTCCTGTCTTCCTCTAGTGAAGGTTATTTTCTCTGGTGATATGACTTAGTTTCTTGATTTTCATTTTTTGTTTATTTGTTGTATGTTGTTTTAAGTTTACCATGAAGCTTGCAAATACTATCTTATAACCCATTATTTTAACCTGATAACAACTTAATGCTATTTGCGTAAACAAACAAGCAAAAAATAACTAATAAAAACTCCACACCTTAACTTTGTCCCTAAACTTCTGAACTTTTTGTTGTTTCTATTTATATCTTATTGTACTATCTCTTAAAAGGTTGTTGTATTGTTTTTGACTGGCTCATCATTTGGTCTTTTTACTTAAGATAAGAGTAGTTTACACACTATAGTTACAGTGATATAGTGTTCTGTTTTTCTGTGTACCGACAAAAGAAAAATTTCAGCTGAATTAAATTTAAAGAAATTTAATTGAACAATGAATGATTCGCAAATGGGGCAGCCTTCTGAGCCACAGTAGGCTCAGAGATTCCAGTGTAGACAGGTGATGGAAGAAGATTTATGGACAGAAAAAGAAAGTGATGTACAGAAAATGGAAGTGAGGGGCAGAAACAGCTGAATTGGTTACACCTCAGCATTTGCCTTATTTGAACATGGCTCCAAGTGTTGGCTATATTTGATGGGCCAAAACTCAGTTATTGGCAGAAGTGTAGGCTATGGTCTGTTTACACCTCCACTTGTTATAGTTCACAATGTACAGAGAAACCTTTAGGCTGAACATAAAATATGTAAGGAGGCAGCCTCAGGCTAAAACTGATTTAACAATTCCCCGCTGTTGGTCTTCTCAATTTTGAGAGATTGACCAAAACTTTAGTCATTTATGTTACTATCACTATCATAAATATACTTAGCTGGTCTTGAAACCCAGGGGAAAGCAGTAGAACTGTGGGTTTTGTAAGGTGGGAACAAGAACTTCAGGTTATTATTATTATTTTTTTGTAAGGGTTAGAGTAGAGGATACCCTCCTCATGCTGGAATCTGTTTAAAAGGAAAACCTGTTCTCTTCTATGATTTATATGCTTCCTTAAATTATTAGTGTGATTATGTCACCTTTAGCATGAGCAACTCCATTTTGGTTTGGTCTGGTCTGTTGGGGCCTAGTGAATGAGCTCGGTCCAAAACAATGGCCTCCCATAATTTTATTTTAAAAATTCCCCGTTTGTGTTCACGTTCTCACCTGCGTGAGAATGTGACCAAAACTTAGGGCCTTAGCACAACTCTTAGTTACCATCATTTTGGGTTTATGGTCTCAGCATGTCATTCATAGGTTATAGTACCCTCATGGTCACACATTTCTTTCAGAATGACTCTTGTCATTCCAGTTGAAGAGAGGCCATTTGACATTCTAGAGATGGCTGCATGCAAACATTTAAAACTTTTGAGAGAATACAGCACACCAGGGAGAATACTATTATGACTCTCAGGAGGATAACACCAAGAGTTTAGAGTATGCTCTTTACCCAGGGTCCCCATAAACCAAACCACCTAAATTAAATAGATCAAAGAGGTAAAGAGTCTACTCACTTAACTAAACAGTCTCTTCACTAATCCCCAAAACTGAATCTGTATAATACCTAATGTGTTGTATTTCTCCATAGGCCACAGGTGCCAGCAGCTACACAGATATTTCTCTGTTTAGCCAGTAAGTTATATAGAGCAATTCTATTATTTAGCATAACTTTCACAGTCTGTTGTGTAACTATAGCCTTTACAGTAGAATCTGCTATAGAGCCTATCATGAGGGATACATTTCTAATCATTGCCTCTTTTACTCCAAACCATGGAAAAAGGACCTAATGAATGATGCCCGTCTAGAATAGCGAAGGCCTCCTGGCAATGTTATTTTAATCCATTATGTGGGTTAAGAGGAGAGAACCAACGTTCTGTTTCTGACTGATTATGAGGCAAAGTATATACCATTAAAGTTTCTCACTTTCATCGGGCCTTCATCTTCCATCTATCAAGGTATAAGGTTATCTATGTATAAGGCTGGCTGCAAAATCCTTCACAAATAAAAGTATACCACATGAGTACACACAACAGACCCCCTTTTCACTTCCATTGTTCATAAAGGTATAAGCAATGGAAAAATATTTAATGATAAGAGTCTCGTGAGAGTAAAGAAGTCTTGATCCGTGATCTTGGGAAAAGATCACATCAAAGATGCCATCTTCTTCTGAGAAGAAATTTTCTTGGTTTGCTTTATCCTAAGGGTTCCAACGGGTGTACGCTTCCAAGATTGTGGAGGGACACTTCCCAGTTGTGAGATTATGAACTCAAACTTCAAAGTCCCAAAGTTTTGCTGTAGTGTGCATGGCAGAGAAAGAGACAGTCTTTCTCTGATGTTCTCAGAAGATCCAGTCTTTGGGTTCTAGATTGTGAAAGGGTTGATTGTCCTTAGTCAGTGAATCATAAAAAGCTTTCTTTACCTGGTGAAAATGTACTGTGGCATAATCATCTGATGTTATAACATCACCCCTCTTGCATGGAAAAGCTTTTATACAAGCAGAAAACATGCATTGAAAATGACAATGGAATGAAATCCCTCTACAAAAGTTTAAATGGCCCATCAGATAGCCAAATGTACCTGAAGCTTTGATTATCTTCCCAGCAATATGGGTTTGACACAGCAAACATTGGTCATAAACTATGTTAGCAATTTAGAAGTCACCACACTAATATATATTTAATTTGGATCATTTTATCTTTTTCATGATGAGTCATGGAATGCAGAACTTTTAACAACAAAAGCTTTAGGGACTCAGGAAGGACAAGGCATCTGTCCTGGTTCTCTATGAGTCCATTCTTAACGTTGGACTTAGGTCCTCTTGAATACCAGTTGTTTCTCCAATTTAGGTGCATAGCACTGATAACCGATGGGTTATCATAGGTCATTTGACTTAGACCATGAAGTTCATTCAAATTGTATATCGAAACGATTTCAGTATTGGCTGATTTAGCATGATAATATGGCAAAATATCTTCTTGGTATTCAATTTATTTTTGCTCTACTTGGGTTACAAGTTTGATAAAGCAGTCAGTCTTTTCATTAAAGTTCCAGAAATTCTTACCCAGTCCAAATGATGTGATTCTAAAGTTATTAGAAACCTGTATTCAAGAGTGTTTTTCAGAATCCTTTCCATTCTTTCATGAACCTCCTAAAAGATACAATATTCTAAGATTTTGTGTGCTTGTGAAGTTTTCAGAAACTAAACTGCATTAGTATTAAGCAATAAACTGTGGAAATGACTTTAAAAAGTCATAATTAAAGACAAAATTGACAAATGTTTGATTATTTCTGTGGTCTACAATAACTTAAGATAACAACTATAATTATGATTGAGAGTATATACTCTGACATATTAGAATTTTAGAAATTCCATAAAATTTTGGAACAAATATTAATATTACTCACTAAAATGTAACCTGAAGAAGGTTAAACATTTTTATTTTGACAATGTTTCCCATGGAACTTAACATTTCACGTAATTCTGTTTATCTCTCTTTTGGATGCTTCAGGACCCTCTGCAGCATCCCTACGTCAGAGGTTAAAAAAGACTTAATTTTGCAGCTGAAATTTGATTTTGAGAAACCTGCCAAATATGATAAAGGTTTAAAACACTTGATAGTATAAAATAGAATTCCAGGTCATGATAAGCCATTCATTTCGCCAAAATGACTCACAAATTTTAAAAAGGCAAAAACCTTTACTCATTCATAGTGGGAAGACTTCGCTTTCCAAACAATCTGTCTCTTGTCTTTCCCTTCTTTTCCTGTAGTTCATTCAAAATGCAAACAAAAATCTTTTATTATCCTTTAATAGTACATGAAAATCTTATTCAAGAGAGAAAGGCAAATTTTACCCTTGCATTAATATACTATTAATGTCAACCCCAATTTTTAATAAAACCTTATGGACAAATCTATCCAATCTTAATCAGTTTGACTGTAAGGTGAGATTCTCATAAACCTTTTATAATACTTTACAAATTTTTGTTAAAAAGCAGATCAGTGTTCTAAGAAAACCCTGTTGTTCTTTTATTCCAATGTTCAACTTATGGAAAAACTGAATGTTCTTTAAATTTAGCCAATATGTTCATACATAGAATTTTTTAAAATATTATTTTTTTAAAATCTTCTACAACTTGCTGAAACCTTCAGCTTTTTTTCCATCTAATTTAAAACAATCCTTACCTCTAAACTAGATAAAAATGTACATTCCCATGCCTTCTTATAATCATTTATCAAAAGCACATTTCACTTTCTTCACATACCTTGAGTGTAAAACTGTTTTTTTCAGTAGTCTCAATTACATGTTACAATGTTAACTCTTAGCAATTTTTTATTTTTGATGAAAAACCTGGTAAGTTATTTTATTTATGTATGAGGTTTGGAGCCTAGGACACCAGACAGAAGTGTAGATAAGTTCTGACTCTTTCCAGCATAGTTAGGGGGGCATGGCTAACTCCACATGTCTCCAGGCCTTACATCAAATCTAATAGATGCAAAATAAATAAGCTGAACACTTTTCAAAAGTCAAAGAAGCAGTTTATGACCTTAAAGCATTTAGCAAACCTAATATCTGACCCGCCTAATTTAGAGCAAATATCTTTATTTTACCAGTAATCTTTAAAAAACTTTATTTCCAAAAGCTTGCTAAAGTCACGTGAGCTAAAAGGCATTCCTTTTTATTTTTCTGACAAGATATTTAAGTGCTTACTTTTCTTTAATCCAATTAATCAAAGCTCTTTCATATATAAACATTACACACACACCACATATAAACACACATGCAGACAGACAAATGAAGATCCAGCAGTTGCAAGATTTTTCACTGGCCAATTTTTAAGTTTTTTAATTGGATTACTGGCTTCAGGGTGAAGTTCTTTGAGGAACAGGGCTAGGAAAACATTCAGTTTCTAGGGCCTAATAAGCAGGTACAGCTGGAAGGCAAGCAGACCCCCAAAATTCAAGGTCCCATTTTTATACTGGATACTGGATCTCCAAAAGTGAAATGCTATGGAACAAGACAGAGCAATGATTTTACTATGCATTTCATTGCAAAGCAACTCAATTCCAATGAGTCCATTTTGTAATTAGCCCATCCTCCAAGGGAGTCTTATCTGTCAGTGGAGGGTAGGGACATTGTCATGCCTTCCAGCTGGCCAACAGCATGCTTCTTTCATCCAAATGTGCAAAGAGTAGAGTATCCCCCATAACTGTCATTAGCCATCCCTAAATGTTTATTTCCTACCTAGTTATTACACTCCAAAGCGCTCTCATAATGTGAAGTAATTTCCGATACCCTCAAAACTCAAAACCATCAGATAACACAATGCAATGCAGAACAGAGTCTTAGATTTTGAGAGGGATCCATCCAATTTCACTTCCTGGGGTTTCCGGAAACAAAGTCTGTGGCACCTCCTTTGTCTTTCCCAAGGAGTCTCAAGCTGCTACAAGTTATCTTAGGTCCTTTCATGTGTGCATCAAGAGTGGCAAGAAGACAAATTGGAGAAAAGCAATTCAGTTGACTGAAAAACAAAAAACCTTTTCCAAAAGAATAAAAATTATCCAAGAAGAGAAAAAACATAAAGACCTTTTCAACATATGCATAACTTGGATATTCACTTTTAATTAAGCTGACTTTTAACCATAATGCTCTTTAAAAATAAAAGTCCTTTTAAATTTCTTATTAACCTACTTTAGCCAGGCTAAACTGCTATTGTTTCTGGCTTTTGAACTTTGCTAAAGGTAAGCTTCCAGGTGCTCAGGGAAAGAAAAATTCAAAACTGTTCATGGAGGGGAAGAGAATCAACAAATGGTAAAGGTCACACAGATATCAACCAGAAATACTCATGCCCTAAGCCAGGACTGAACCCAGGCCACTGTTGTAAAATGGTGAAGCCCTAGTTGCTGAGCTGCAGCATTGGGTAGATTCTGTTGTCCTTCCTGGAAGGAGTCTAGAGCAGCCAATTTTGAGCTTGCAAAGGCTCGAGCTTTAATTTTTAGAGCTAACTATGACATGAATCCACAAATTCCTATTCCTTGGATGGCGGAGACCAAGAGAAAGTACTGCCACACAGTTACAAGGTCAAGCTCCCAAAGACATAAACAAGATAAGATAGAGATCTCATTCAGTTTTTGTTTGTTTGTTTGTTTGTTTCAGGGACCTGAAGCAAAGTTTGTTACTGACCAGCTTGCTGGGCTGTTTTGAATAGCGAGCTTATGGGCTATTAAACCTGTGTTTTATCCTAAGGTACCCCTCTTCATGGCAGAATAACACAGAAAGGTAAATTTATATCACAAAGTACACTAGATTTGCTATAGCTTAAAACTAGCTTTGTGAATCCTTTTTCTCATTAATTAAAACTTTGCATGAGACAGTGATTTTTACCATTCCCACAGCTGGTTTGCACAGAGAAAGAGGAAAGGGAAGGGAGAAAAGCATTACCTGTGGTGGGGTGGAGAAGGTGAGGCACTCAGGGAATCCGGAGAAAGACACACTTGCAGCAACATTGAATCAAAAGTTCAGGTGGCCACTTGTCGGTCACGAAGGAATCTTTTCCAACAGATCCATCAGCTCTCAAGTTTCCCCTTTTAAGGAGGAAAAAAGTTTCTCATGTCCCACGGTCCTGTACATACCTAATCCTGTCACCCACAGCCATCAGCAAAGAGTACAAGACAAATTAATCCAAAGAGAATAGTGGTTAACATCCCATAATGCCAGGTCCATTTTTAACCAAGAGGGACTTTACAGAGGGGAGGGCCTCTAAAACAGTCCCATCTTTTAGGAAAGTGAAATGTACCCACTACTTACCTAATGTCAGTCAATTGGTGCTGCAGTCTGTTTCCTTTGGATAAGTATCATAACTAACCCAAAAGATTAGGAGTCTTAATTTTTAATCAATTAGTCATTTAAGCTTTTTATTTGCCTTTCAAAAACTCTTTAAATAAATATACTGAAATTTTTTAGAAGATTCTGCATATCAATAGGCATCCCTAGATGAGATTAACTTGGGAACCCTCATTTTCAAATGCACTTCAGTGCAGTGTTGTTCATTTGGAATAATCCACTGTAAGTTATCTTTAGTAAGATTTTGTCATTTCTGTAAGACTTTGCTGCTCAGTTCTTCAGAAGTTAAGGATCTCATTTTTACCTCAAATATTGGCTTTGCTCTCAGATTCCCTGGATCAACTTAGCTAATGATTTTTTCCTATGTAAGCATGCAAGAAAAATGAAACAAAGGGGTAGAACACTAAAACTCCTGTGAATCTCCCAAAGCCAAATTTTACACCCCCTGCAATACTGCCATTTATTACCAGTTTCTTTCTGATGTAGTCAGATATAAGAGACCTCTAACTGCATCCAAGCCAGTTAATTACTGGATTCAATTCGATCCTGTACCTAGTTCAGCTTCTGTCACGACTTCCAAACCCAGTTTAGATCAGACATTTGCTCAAAGAAACTCAGAGAGCTCAAAACACAAATCCGTTGAGGTTCAGAATCCCAGAGACAATTTAACATGATTCCCAGCTGCTCCAGGAGAGCAATGGGCACAAGGTGCATTGGTTACTCAGTGCTCCTGGGGGTTGTTAGAAGCTCTACTTCGGATCCCACTTCTGATGCCATCCTGACAAAAGAAAAACTTCAGCCAAATTAAGCTGAAAGGAGTTTAATTGAGCAATGAATGACTCATGAATCAGGCAGTCTTCCCAGCCAGAGTAGGCTCAGTGACTCCAGCACAGCCACGTGGTAGAAGATTTATGGACAGAAAAAGGAAAGTGATGTACAAAAAATGGAAGTGAGGTACAGAAAGAGCCATATTGGTTACAGCTCAGCCTTTGCCTTATTTGACCATGGTTCAAACAGTTGGCTACATTTGATTGGCCAAAACTCAGTGATTGACAAAAGTGTAGGTTACGGTCAGTTTACACCTCCACTTATTATTGTTCATGATATACAGAGAAACCTTTAGGCTGAACTTAAAATATGTAAGGAGGCAGCTTTAGGCTAAACTTGATTTAACAGTACTTACTATTACCAGTGAGTTTTGTAACTTCCTGTGATAATTTATTGCTCATTAGTGTCCTTTTCTCTCTGATTGAAGTACTCCCTTTATCATTTCTTGTAGGTCAGGTCTGCTATTAACGAATTCTCCTAGCATTTGTTTGTCTGGGAAAGTATTTCTCCTTCATATTTGAAGGATATTTTCACCAGATATACTATTCTAGGGTAAAAGTTTTTTTTTTTTTCCTTCAGCACTTTATGTCATGCTACTCTGTTCTCATCTGTAAGGTTTCTACAGAAAAGTCTGCTGCCAGATGTATTGAAGCTCCATTGTATGTTAATTGCTTGTTTTCTCTTGTTGCTTCTTTCAACCCTTGACCATTGGGAGTTTGATTATTAAATGCCTTGAATTAGTCTTCGTGGGTCCAATATGCTTGGTGTTCTACAACCTTTTTGTACTTAGATATTGATATATTTCTCTAGGTTTGGAAAGTTCTCTGTTTTCCCTTTGAATAAGCTTTCTGTCCCTCTTTCTTTCTCTACCTCCTCTTTAATGACAATAATTCTTAGATTTGCCCTTCTGAGGCTATTTTCTAGACCTTTTAGATGTGTTTCATTGTTTTTTGTTGTTTTTGGTCTCCTCTGACTGTGTATTTTCAAATAGCCTGTATTTAAGCTCACTAATTCTGTCTTCTGCTTGATACATATTGCTATTAAAGGACTCTGATGCATTCTTCAGTATGCCAATTGCATTTTTCAGCTCCAAAATTTCTGCTTGATTATTTTCAATTAATCCAATCTTTTTGTTAAATTTACGTGATAGAATTTTGAATTCTTTCTCTGTGTTATCTTGAATTTCTTTGAGTTTCCTCATCACAGCTATTTTTAATTTTTGGTCTGAAAGGTCACATATCTCCGTTTCTCCAGGGTTGGTCATTGGTACCTTATTTACCTCATTTGGTGAGGTCATGTTTTCCTGGATAGTGGTAATGCTAGCAGATATAATTTGGTTTCTGCGCATTGAAGAGTTAGGCATTTACTGTAGTCTTCACTGTCTGTGCTTATTTGTATCCATCCTTCTTAGAAAGGATTTCCAGATATTTGAAAAGACTTGTTGTGATCTGAGCTGTATCTGCTTTAGCAGGCACCACAAACTGAGTAATGCTGTGGTTTTTGCACACTCTCGACGTACTGACTTGACGGTCTTGGACGAGATTTGGGAGAATTCTCTGGATTACCAGGCAGAGACTCTAGTTCTCTTCCTTTACTTTTTCCCAAATATACAGAGTCTCTCTCTCTCTCTCTCTCTCTTTCTCTCTCTCTCTCTCTCTGTTCTGAGCCACCTAAAGCTGGGGTGGAGTGACAAAAGCACCTCTATGGCCACCAGCACTATGACTGTGCTGGGTAAGACCGAAAGCCAGCACAGTGCTGGGTTTCACCCAAGGCCTGCTGTAACCACTCCCTGGTTACTGCCTATGTTCAGTCAAGGCTCTTGGACTCTACAATTGGCAGGTGGCTAGCTAGCTAGCCAGGCATTTATCCTTCCCTTCAGGTCAGAAAGGTCCCCTAGACCCAGGTAAGTCCAGAGGTGCTGTCAGGGGGTCAGAGACCAGAGTCAAAAATCTTAGAAGTTTGCCTGGTGTTGAATTGTATTGTGGCTAAGCAGGCAATTAAATAAGAAACAGTCCTCTTATTTGTCTCTCCCCTTTCCAAATGTTGAGGAGCTTAACTCTGTATCCCTTGCTACCCCAGGCCACAAGGAGTACCGTCAGACTACTGTCAATGTTCTCTTAAGACCCAAGATCTCCTAAGGCTACTGCCAATATTCTCTTAAGGCCCAAGGTCGCTTAAGACTACTGTCAATGTTCCCTTAAGGCCCAAGGTCTCTTAAGTCAGCTTGTTGTGAATGCTGCCTGGACTGGAATTCATTGGTCAGCACGTTAGAACTGCTATCAAGAGTGAAAATTGTGCTGCAACAAGAGATAGCACTTCTATGACCTCTGCTCACCAAGAATATATTCCAGGTGGCAGGTGGAGGCAAATCTGAGAAACTACTGAAACCGGTGGGTATGGCGTTAAAGAGCTGTCTCCTCTTCTGGAGTCATATCATCAGCTTCCTGAAAATCACTGAGTAAAAATGGATTGTGAGAGTGATTAACTTAGGAGCAGTCTCCTTGGTTTTGAATGCTGCAGAATGGAGGAGTATGTTTGGGTTGATGCAGGACTCACGACTTACTATTGAATAGATGGCTGTACATGATCCAAACACGCAAGTGGTTTTTCCTGAGGGGATCCCTAGCCTTGTATACTGAATAAAAGCCACTGTGAAGTTTCTTTAGCATGAAAAGAGGAAGGATTTTTTCCCCTCCTTTAAAATATAAGTGAAACTCTTAGATGAAGCAGCCTGATGTGCTGCATATGCAATCCATGCTGGATTGGCTTTGCAAAGACCAGGGTGTTTATATACTTATTATGCCTGTTACTCAGGTCATGTTGAATTCTGTGACTTAGGGGAACGTGTTGCATGGTCACCCCATGAAATCTTGCTGTTGTAAAATCAAGCAATGATTTGAGAAGCTGTATCAGATTTGTTATCTCAGCTTCCCCCATGGGTCTCTCAGATGCTAAGAAAATTATAATGATCCACAAGAGAATGAAGAAAGAAAAGGGAGTGAGTCAAGGGACTCACTTCAGCAAAGCCAAAAAATGTAAATAATTACTAAGGAATGTGAAGAATAAAGTGGCATTGATAGAGTTGACAGTAATATCGGGAGGATATCAGGATAGAATGTTTGACGGAATAAAGGTCAGTGTTTGGATAAACATTGAAACGTTTGAAGAGACTCTAGGTGAAGTGGTTGTATCTCTTTTTCCTGCATGCATCACTGAGATGGATATTATGTCCGCTGGGAAACACTTCCTCTAACAATTATGGTAAAACAAACGGCATGTAAGTTTATCTGTTAGGTGGTATTAATCGGACATAATAAGTGGGAGCCTACAGAATTTTCTGAGCCCACTCAGGTTGTAAATTTGAAGCAGTAAAGAATACCTGGTGGAGAAAAAAACAGATTATCACTTTAATTAATGACATGTTAAAAGCTGGAGTGTTGTACAATAGCACTTTGTAGCCTATGAAAAGGCAGATGGTTCATGAAAACTAACAGTAGGTGATCAATGCTTGAATAATGTAGTCTCACATATAGCATCATCATGAAAAAAATACAGGTTAAAGAAGGCAACTACTCAGCAGTTAATTGGGAAATGCTTTTTTTCCTGAACACCAATTATAATAAAGAGTCAACTGTAATTTTCCTTTGTGTAGGAAGGATCCCAATTTACACTCACCATTTTGCTGCAGAATTATTTGAATTCACCAGCTTGCTGTCATAATTTGGTCAGGAAAGATTTGAACTTGATCCATGTATCAAGCACAGTAATAAACTACATAGAGGATTTCATAATAATATCAGAAAACAAAGGATGAGCTAAAATTACTTAAATGCAGTGGTGACACATAGGACAAAGCAAAGATAGTTGATCCACCCAGCAGAGATTCAAGGACTGGTATAAACGATGAAATTCTTGGGAATAACATGGGCAGAAGCCACTGGGACATCCCACAGGCAACTAAAAATAAAATGCCATCATTGCTTACCCCATAAATAGGCAAGAAGCACAGCACGTGGTTGAGTCTTTTGGATTTTGGAGGATTCATACATCATATCAGAGAATGCTGTTAGATTCAATCCATGAAACTACCTCTAAGAAGACCATATTTGAATGGGGGCCTGAACAACAGCAGGCTATGTCAAAAATGCAAAAACTGGCGTCTCAGTCAACGGCTTTAGGACTTTAGGATCCACACTCAGATATGATTTGGAAGTGCCTGCAACTTACATTTATGCAAACGGGAGCTTATGGCAAAATACAATGAGTGCTGTCCAGCAGTGACAATTGACTGGAATATTGGGCAGAAAGTTTTCAGACGTGGCAGTGTATTACACTCTGTTTGAGAGACGATTATTTGTTTGCTATGGGGCACTTATTGAAACTGCCCGTATGACTTGGGTACATAAAATACTCTTGAAACCATTGCTCATAATGTCTTGAGTAATGTCTAATAAGAGAGATAAGAAAGGAAGTGTTCAGAAATCTCCATAATCAAATGAAAAGGGTTTATGCAGGAACATGCCACTGGAGGAATGCAAGGATGCAGTCAATGTGTGCATGCTTAGGTACAGTCTCTTTTCCCTTAGGCTAAGTTTGGAATCAACTGAAGAGATGCCATATTCTATTGCCACCTTGGTGGTGGGTCTCTATGCACAGCTCTCAACTGACCACAAAATAGCTCCTTAATTTATGGATGGCAATTCCAAGGTGGATGGACAGCATCCAGTTTGGGAGACTGACCGACCTAAAAACTGACGAACATAAAAACTCTGATTGAAGAATGTAAGAAGAAATCAGCTTAAAGGGCTGGGCTGAATTGTATGCTGTTTTCCTTGTAGTGATGGAAGAATTGAACAAAAACAAAGTAAAAAATTTGTTGGTTTATTTTGACCCATAAGTGGAATAAGAGGGTGACGTAGGTAGAATAAAGAGAGAGCCAATGGCCTGGCCACGTGGTCAGACAGATGGGCAATGGAAAATCGAACTATTAAAGGGCTACTGTAAGAGTCACAGCCCTGTGGAAATCACAATGGAAATTTAAGAGGCAGATTAAAGAAGGACAAGTTAATGCCCATTCAAATGATTCCTTTCCCCAATCAGGTGATTGGTATGAGCAAGTGGACATCCTTTTGTGCTTGTTGAGGTGTTGACCTGGTCCATGGAATGAGTGGACATGGAATAGCTGCAGCAAAGCAGAGGTGGGCTTATCATCAGCGTATTCCACTTGCACTTTCTGAGGCACCAAATCCCAGCAAGCGCTAACTGTGTGCCAGCCAGAAAGACAAAGACTGCAGATAATTATGAGGCAGATTCCCTTGGGTGGGGGGCTTAAGGGGGAGGTTCCCACATAGATACCACATTCACTGTATCAGACTACTACCAGTAGCCCTGGCGGGGTTGTGGGGAGGGGGGCGCTATAAATAGGTCCTGATAGAAAGAGATACTTACTTTGGACTATGCTTTGTATACTGGATGGTAAATACAAATTCTGAACATACTATAAAGGATTGGAACAGAAGATACTGTACCAAGTTAGAACGCCACGTTACAATTTTTCAGACCAACGATCGTATTGTATAGTCCATAGGGCTCAACAAGAGTCAAAGAGATAATATCAGGTGGCCACATCATATCGCACATCATCTTCGGAGTCGTGACTTGATAGAGAATTGGAATGACAAAACATTTGTTGAGTAAATTGAGTGGAGATAACGGTATGAAAGGCTAGCTTACAAACCTTCATGAGTGTGTGCTCACATTCAACATGGGAAGGGGGGACAAAGCATACTCCCCACTAGGTAGATTTCTCTGTTTTTCTGGGGGATTGGGGAAGAGGCAATAAGGGAGGATGCTGGTGTAATTACATAATGCATCCCCACACAAACCCACCTTTTGTGTTCCTAGCTGCTTCCGTGGTCCCAGGATTAGGGCTGCAACTGTAGGTGTCAGAGGCACAGATGATCCCTAAATCAAAACCCTTAACTTTACCTTTACACCTTTATGCCAGTGATTATAAGGGCCTGAAAGGATGAATTGTGCCTTTATGGCATCTGGCAAAATTAAGGTTGGCGGTGAATGCAGCTGCATTTCCCACATGGTCCAGAAAGCCCACTGGTTGTATCTTTATGTAACCCCTCCCTATTTGAATGGGATTGGATGAGTTTCTCCTCACATAGCCACTTTTGAAAACTGTTGAGGGTAGGCACTTACCAGGCTGGTACTGGTACCAATGATTTTGACCAAATAAATGGTAAAACCTAACACCCTTTCAAAGATAGAAAAGTTTTGGTAAATCTCAACAGCAAATAGAAAGAAGGAGCAATAGTAGTTGAGGGTAAAGGAACGAATAAATGATCTATGGAATAAAAAAAAATCAATATGACGTTGGTGACCTAAAGAAGCTCAGAGTAAGAAATTGCTATTGTCTTTTAGCAATTGTACCCTGATGTTCAAAAGAGTGAAGCCATATGTTTGCCAATACCACACCTGCTTTTTGAACTGCACAAGGTCAAAGGGAAGCCTGCAAATCTGAGTTGCACTGTTCTGGGGGAAATTTTGGTCACACAATGTGATGAACTGGTTCTATGACTAATGACTAAGTGCAACTGTAGAAATATGCCAGTATATTTTGACTCATTTTTCAGGTTATGTCTACTGCAAAGTATATCACTTAGCAAGAAATTTCTAGGAACAACTCCCTATCAGGCCATTTCTCCGTGCAGTGTTACAGCTCCCGGCAGACTAATTACTGTGTAACCATAAACCTTGATGATAAAATCATGGGAAAGGTCCCTGATTATAATGAATGAAAAAAATAATGATAGCATGTCCGACATGCCATTGTGTGCTGTGCACAAATACTTATTATTCTTGTTTTAGCGGATGAAATGCTTTTGAACAAAATAGAAAAAGGAGCATGGATTTCTGATGGGAATAAAGCAGTGGCATCACATGGTAAGTTTGAGTTCTTCTATGGAATGGCCCCAAGGTGACCAACTGTCTTCTGTAGGCAAGTGATATGAAAAATACTGACACTGATTATCAAAAGTATCGGGAGATTGAGTTGAAGTCTACTTAGGATATAATACTAACATGAAAATGACTAGCCTGAGGAAGAGCTAGATTTAGTTAGCCATCAGCTAACTTCTGTGTTAAATGGTGCTGCACAGATTCCTCACAAAGTACAAATAACATTAGATCGAGGGGAGAAAGAAGTCATCGAATTAGGATAAATGTAGAAAAGTGTATGTTTTCTTTATAAGATACATTGCTTTTTTCATTAGATATAGCCCTTTCCTATACTGGCTCTTCTAACTGTTAGGTATACTCATACTAATGCTATCGCTACGTCTATTATATAAATGATATGCTAAAGGTAGAAGCACGAGACAATGTGATAATTTTGCTGTAAGATATCCTAGGCCAAAGGCCAGGGGAGCCAACTGGGCAGGAAAGAGTTACGTCCACTTACCTGGTTTCCTCAAACACAAGACATTCCAAAGAAAGTACTGTTTTCAGAACTAGTCCTTAACACACTCCTGGGAGATAACCGCTGTACATTGGAATATTCTCCCTCAAAAAGGTTTCGTTTTGTTTAGGTTTTTGTTTAGTTTTTTTTTTTTTTTTTTTTTTTTTTTTCGGTATTCCTGAAACCTTGGGCCCTGCTGCACCAGTTAGACAAGATACTTTTTATCATGCATGGTGAATGCCTGTTTTTGGTTCTAAGAGTGGACCGGGGGCTGTGGTCTAAATTGGTGAGGTCATACAAGCCTTGCATCTCTATGTGACAGATCACCCCAAAAACTCTGGATGTCAACTCTCAGAGGAGCTTCCTAAGTTGGTAACACATCACCTGTGTTGCCACACACTGTTGCTTGGGGATTTAAGTGTGTCCCTGGGAAAGTTCACTGGGCGGGGACCCCTAGAAGCTAGAGCCTGGTTCCTCCTAGACTTCACCTGACTTAACTTTTCCCATTGCATATTCAAAGCTATTTTACTGAAATTTCACTGTAATAAACTGTAACTGTGATCATAAGAGCTTTTTAAGTCCCATGAGTCCTTAGAACAAATCGGTGAGCCAGAGGGTGGTCTTAGGGACCCCTGACATGCATTGCGCATTTAAACATACACCACGTGTTAGAAGATCAATATATTTGGTTATTTGTGAAAGTGCCAAAACTCTGAGAAGTAAGGGATAATTTACCATAGATGGGTGTTGTTCAGTACCGTGTACTAATGGCCAAAGAGAACACTGTTGTGAGAGGGGGAGTGGGAGAAAGAGGGTAGCAGGAAAAGGGAACAGGGTAAAAGGCAGGAAGAAAAGAGAGAGAAAGAGTGAGATTTCTGTGGGTGCAGAAAATGAAATTTCTGAAAGTTTACATGCAACCCGGGAAATCGAGGATATATTGAGAAGGAGCCACTGAATGGTGTCAAAGGACATTTCAACATTTTTATGTAAGGAATTTTTTCTATTACTTGTTTAAGATAAGCATGCATTTTTATTTAAAAAGAACCGAAATCGATATTTTGAGGGAATCTAAAAATATATGCCTTCAGCATGATCTTATGATCTATGACATATACAAATACAAACAATAAATTATGTTGAAATCTGGTGTGATTTTTTTTAAATAAAAGCTTTTCTGTTAGTTGTAGAAATGAGGAGAGAAAACCAGAATAAATTCTGGAACTATAGATCCAAACTCTGACAACAAAAATTATTGCCCAGTTTTATTTAGTTAGTTTTTAAAACAATTTTAGCGAGTATTGCTAGGCTGATGAATGCAGGGAAGAGACATAGCCTGCTTTGATAGCTGACAAACCCCAGTGGCGATCTGACTTTTCCACTTCCCCCTTATATTTCCTTGGACACCAACAAGTTCCCTCCCAGTGATGCTGTCCTCACACACAGGCCAATCCTGTGTTTGCATTCTTTTGTTTTGGCGTTTGGAATACATTAAAATATAGAAGGCCTTCCACGTTCATGTTCTTTATTACTGATGAAGGTATCTCTTCAAATCCTCACAGGCCATTCTTTCTTTTTTTGCTTTCTTATTGTAGAATTGAGGGTGCACGATAAATCTCATTTCTCTTCACCATGCGGTGTGTGAAAAAGTGAAGATAAGTATCTAAATATTTATTTCCTGGGAATTTAAATTCTGAGCATTGGAACCCAGCATTTCTAGACTGAAATCCAATGGTCCCATGGACCTTGTGTGGCTCCATATTACCAGAAATTACCTCAGATGACCAGGACCTACCTTTGTCACCCGTATTTATCCTTTGTATTCCAGATGAAACAATGTGCACTTTGGTGTCCTTCTATCAACCCTCTTATTGAAGAGATGTGGATATTTTGCCTATTTCTTCAGAAAGAGAGACCAGAAAACAGAGCAGCTAAGGATAATTTTAATGTCACACACCACTTTCCGTAGCAGAGCTACACTGAAACCTCATCTACCTTGCTGAATGATGCTCTCACTGGAAAACTAACCCACAAAATGACCACAGTATTTTACATCTGTGCGAAACTATGACAGCCCGAATGTGCGTCAAGATATCTGTCCTGCTTTTCTCCTCGCAGAGAAACTGCTGAAAACTATCCCTTACCTTGTATACAGGCATGACTCTTGTCCCAGCCTGACCTTACTTCTGTGTATCCCAGGAAGAACAGGGTTGCTTCTGAAATGAGAGTCCACAGGATGAACAACAAAGGATTTCTTTCTCTTCACTTTTGAAATCTGAGAAGAACTGCACCATAGAGCAGTTGTGCCACTCTAAGCTCAATGCCTATGTGTGACAGAAACTGTGTATATTTCTGTCCACTGATAAACGTGTATGCTCCTGGAAACCCTCGTTAAATTTCTTTCTAAGCATCTTAAGATATCATATCTGTAAGAGCCATGCAACTGAACATCTTTATTCATTGGCAGTATGTAGATTGCAGCATTGCCTGAGGGAAGCAAATTCCAAAATGTCACAGGTCCACCTTAATTTGTCCGTGACTGCCAAACACGGGGCTCTCTGTGGGAGTTCAATCTCTTGCCAGGACTCTTTCTCCTCTCCTATTATCTTCATACATAGTTTTACAAATATTGACCAGTGTGTTTTGGCCCAGGCAGCAACTCAATGTGGGGCTTGCCTTCCTCTGTGCGTGGAGAGTTTGACATCTCTACTTCCTCCTGCCATGACGTTTCACCAAAGGGCCCTGAGAGTTTGCAGGCATTTCCGCCACACCAACCAACTTATGACAGCCCTGGAGAGTGTTATAAAAAACGGTATCTGTGATTGCAACTTAGGTATTGTCCAGAGGAAAAAATCTTTTCCCGTGTGTTGCCTTGACTCTGTGTTCTGAATAAGTCATCACAATTTCAGGTTCTAACATGTTGTCATCCACTTCATTTGTTTGGTAATAACAATGTGAGTCTCAAGTGAGCCTTCTCAATCCTGTTCGATGCAGATGTTCTGATGATAAATTTAATGTGTCATGGAAAATATTTATTCATCTTCGACTCAAAAATGCCATGCAGTTTCTCTGTTGACTGGTGCTACAATGACTTATGGCTGAAAGTAGGGATGATTAATTAATCAGTTTGGGCAATTGACTGCACCTTCTGTGCATCAGCTATGAGGAGCTGTCTTGACACAATGTTAGTGGAATTGGGTATGGGTCATTGCTGGCCAACGGAGGCACACATCAGAGCCTTCTTCACACAGAAAGTGTCCTGAGACACTTAGCAAAGGGCTTCTGACACATATTTCCGATGCCTCCGCCCCATCCTTGAGTTTGGGGATCAGCTGTGAGCACTGAGTGTTAGAGGTGGTTTGGTGGGGGGCCTCGTGGAATTTGGCATCCCTTCACGACCAAGCATGCAGTAGGTCGGTTCCAAACAAATCCCCACAGTGAATCTGATGAGGAATCTGACCCTATTAACAATCCAAAGCTTCCTCCGTTATCTATGGCTTGAAAAGCTTGTGCCAGGAAATATCTAGTACTTAAATGTAGTTAGCATGTTCTTTATGTTGTTTGTTCACCTATTGCTCCGACTGGTATAGTTTTGAGTGGCTGACAGCTCAAGTATCAATCCAACTCTGAGAGTAAATGTATATATTTTACTCCCTACAATGCTACTCTCATGCAGGAAACATAACATTTTGTTTTTTATGAAAACTGTCTATCTTATTGTGTCCCAGGATGTAGATCAGATGTTATTACAAGCAGGAAAAGTTAGGTTCTGAATCAACTGTATTCTTATGCAAAGCCCATCATGACGGTGTTTTCGTGTGCGTCTGTGTTTGGGGGCTGAGGTATTTATTGGAGAAAGAGGATGTTTGATCTTTCCTTCTGTGTGGGAGATGCCGGCAGCTCTTGCTGAGTGGAATCTGCTGAGGATGACTCACCAGTCAGTGTTTTTCCTTTTTAGGTTCTGTGAGCTAAGATGATAGGACCCCTGTGGTAGATGGGCTTCATAATATCTATTTTCATAAAACAGAGGTCTCTGAACTTTTCTACGCAAGCATCCTTGTTTAAGAAAGATTGTTTTCTAGTACTTTAAAGATGTATCATAAATCATTAAATATCTCCATGGAATAATCATCATTATTTTACTTTAGGCAACACACACACACACACACACACACACACATTTGAAATCATAAACTAGGAGTTGGCAACTTTTTTCAGTGAAGCGGCAGATATTAGAAATTTTGGACTTTCAGAGCCATACAATGTCTGTCGCAATTACTCAACTCTGCCATTATATCACGAAAGCAGCTGCAAATACCAAGATTAAAAAATGAGGGTAGCTATGTTCCAACAAGATATGTCTGGGGGGGGAAAAAAAGCATGTATCAGGCCAGATGCAGCCCTCAGGCTGTAGTGTGCTGACCCGTGATATAAAAGATTGAAGATTTAAATGTGTGGAAAAATCTCATGTTATCTTTCTGGGTCCCAATACATCATCATTTGTTGATGGCTGGTGTAGCTGAGCATTCCTTTGCAAACTGGCTCCATAAAAGAAAAGTTGTGTCTCTCTATGGCTTTTCTGTACTTGTGACAGAAAGCACAGGCTCCTTAGTAAAGGCTGTTTTATGTCTTTTTGGGTGCCTGCTAGTAGATATTGTTGATGATGGGGCTGGTAACTCATTCTATCTATCAATAATGGTTTGAAACAGATGCACAGTTTCTTGGGAACTTATTGCTGACTTCCTTGTATGAAATATGCCTTAAGAAGCGGCAAATGGTAGGTCAGGGATATCTGAATCTCTCAGTTCAACATTTCTTAGAGTGTGCATCAATGCCATTGCCCCATCTCTGGCAATACCCTTTGTCCTTGACCACCCAGCTCCCTATTGGGTCTGGTCCCTTGGACTTGCGGGCATTATCGGCTTTGATAAGGCCACTTGGAAACAGGAGACCTGGGAGAGAAGGAAGCATATTGTAACTCCCTTTCTGCCTCCTCTTTCTAGCATTGCTACCCCAACAAATGCTCTTCATCCAGCAGTGCCATGCAGTTTCCTTTCAGGGTATGAAGGAACAGATGCCATTTTCTTCTAACTTTAGGGACACTATGCATCAAACCCACTCAGGTCATTCAACAGAGTAGCCTGCTGGTGGCCTCTCTCTGTTCAAAGTCTGAGTCCCAGCCCTGAGGAAGCCTCCTCTAAGGTCCTAATGCTCAGCACTTATCGGGCAGCTACCCTTTCTCAGATGTAAGTACCCAGGTTCCTGGGGTCATTCCTCTTTGCCCCTTTAAAATGCACTCTTATCTGGGCTGCCCTCTTTGCTCAGCGTCTGGTTCCCAGCAATTTGGTTCCGTCCTACCTCATTATGAGTTCTCACAACCCTCAGATCTTCCTTTCTTTTGCCCTACTCTGGGGATGGGAATTCCTTCCAGCACTCCCAATCTCTGTGCCATGCTTCACCTTAGGCCTGTGTACACACCCCAAGCCTATGTAACCAATTCCCTCCATGCAATCCACACTCTGGAATATCTGGGGTTTTTTTTCTAGACAGAAACCAGGCTTCAACCTGCCTGGTGTCCATGTGTTTCTGGCTGGATCCTTGTATTAGTCCATTTTCAAGCTGCTGATAAAGACATACCTGATACTGGATAATTTACAAAAGAAAGAAGTTTATTGGGCTTACAGTTCCACATGGCTAGGGAGGCCTCACAATCCTGGTGGAAGGCAATGAGGAGCAAGTCATATTTTACGTGGATGGCAGCAGGCAAAGATAGAGCTTGTGCAGAGAAACTCCCGTTTTTGTTTTTTTGTGGGTTTTTGTTTGTTTGTTTTTGTTTGTTTGTTTTTTGAGATGGAGTCTCGCTCTGTCACTGAGGCTGGAGTGTAGTGGCACTATCTAGGCTCACTGCAAGCCCCGCCTCCTGGGTTCACGCCATTCTCCTGCCTCAGCCTCCCGAGTAGCTGGGATTACAGGCGCCCGCTACCATGCCCGTCTAATTTTCTGTGATTTTAGTAGAGACGGGGTTTCACCGTGTTAGCCAGGATGGTCTGGATCTCCTGACCTCGTGATCCACCCACCTCGCCTCCCAAAGTGCTGGGATTACAGACGTGAGCCACCGCGCCTGGCCTAAACTCCCGTTTTTAAGCCATCAGTTCTTGTGAGATCCATTCACTATCAGGAGAACAGCATGAGAAAGGCCAGTCCCCATGATTCAGTCATTTCCCACCGGGTCCCTCCCACAACACGTGGGAATTATGGGAGCTACAAGATTAGCTTTGGGTGGAGACACAGAGCCAAACCATATCAATCCTGCCTTCGCTTTTAGCGACTACTTCTTGTATCTGCCGTTGATGTCTCCCACATTTTCTCTTCCAATGTTGCTTCTTCCTCAATTTGTCTCCTTAGCCTTCTAGAAATCTAACAGTTACAGATCTCTTTGAAATTACATTGTATCCTGTCTTTTCTGCATTTTCTCTGTTATTGCATCTACACAGACATTTTATTATTTCTTCTTTCACTGTCTCTAATGTCAATAGATTCTTGATTTTAGCAATTGGGGTGGGAGTTGCCCCTTTGATATGATAAAATTTCTTTGCTGTTCTTTCAGAAAAGTTTTCTCAGTGAATACAAATTTGGATCCATATGAAATATCTCTGCAAGTTGTTTCCAAAGCTTACCCTCAAATTTTAATTTGTCTACTATTATTGCAGCTCCACTTGTATTTTTTGCCTTCATTTAGGACCAATATATCTTTTTATGTCTCCTTGTGTTTTTAGGATACTTTGTTTAGGTGCATTTGTAAGATAACTGCCCACACATCTTTTGAAACATTACAGTGTATTTTAACAGTAAAGTTGAAAGTCCTCACTCATAACTGGCTATGATCCTGTTTTGTTTTGTTTTGTTTTTCTGTTTTCACATGAATTCCATTTCATCGGCTTAGAAATGGCACTTAGAACAGATTTTTTTTCCCTAAGGGTTCACGTGTCTTTCTGTTTCAAGTGAAAACTGCATAAAATGGTGTTCCAAGTTGATGGGAGTTTCACGTAAGTTGGGCAAGACTGTATTGAGTATATTGGTCTAAAACCTGATATTCTCCCCTAATATTTTCTTTCTGTATTAATACCTTTCAGTCTACCTTATTATTTAATAATAACACTGAACTAAACTAGGTCTAAAAGGCAATTTTCCTTAACATGATAAGGCGCATCTAAGGGAAACCAGCAGTTAACATTAGACTTAGTGGTGACATAGTGAAACCTTTTTTCTTAATATCAAGAACAAGACAAGAGTGTGGATTCTTGACACTTTAAAGTCAGTTGTTGATAACATAAAAACTATTATTGACTTCAAATTATATGTCTCATAGTTCAACAATATTTTTCATCATAAATGTGTATATGTACATGTTTGTTTACACATGCTTGTATATCTAATAAGTAATATGTAACGGCATTTACACATACCTATGTTGGTAATAATGTGTGCATTCCTTTTTCTTGAACAGAAACTCATAATCATACAGGTTTGGATGCCTATACTTCGGAGAATTCAGAGACAAGTCAGTTATTAAGCTACAGGTGCCATTTGAGAACACAATAAAAAGGTAAATAACCTGTGACTCAGTCACTTCAGTCTCCTCTCAGCATGACTTGTAAGCCTTTCCTGCAAAACCAGATTGATCATCCCCCAAATATCTCCCCCAACAATCCAACATAAACACACATACTGCATTCCACAAGAGTCCTGATATTGATGCATATATTCCATGATCACTGCCTGTACACGTTTCTGTAAATGTTTATGTTTCCAGTATTAACATTATTTTCAGCTTCACTATTTACTTATTACCTGAAACCTCTAGGAAATGTGAAATGTTTAAAACTCAAACCAAGAAATCTGTTAAGCACAAGTATACCAATCACCCAGGAATATGTATTATAAAGATGTGAGTTCACATACCCCAGAATTTTTATTTAGCTGTACATGTGTTATACAAGATATCCAAAAGGCATTTTAAATTGTATTTTTGTATTTATTGATATTCACATTGGCTTGCGTCTTTTTATGTGTGAAATCCTTTATCAGAGTACTTTCAATATGTAACCAAAATACCAGTTAAGGTTTTTTCTGATTACAAAACTAATACATACGTGAGAGAAACAGAAGGGAAGTATGTTAAATAAAAATGTTAAGCTGTTCCCTCTCTACGTGCCTTTGTCTCTTATATATAATCTTGCAGATTTTTTCTTTTTATATTTTGTGCTAGGAGGAATACCTCTCTCTTCTCTTCCTCTAGGGAGACAGATAAGCAGATATGGACATACAGATACAGTGAGAAATAAAGATATATAAATATCCATCCTCTTTTGCACATCAATAATAATACCATACTAATAGAACATTGAACAGCACCACACTAACTTTTAAAATAAATTCAATTTTTCAGAAGACCATTGTTATAAAAGTGTCTCCAATATCTCAGTTTAGAATTGAACAACGCACTGTCTGAAAAGTGTCAAAGCAATAATATTAAAATAAAAGGGACATACCATAATTGGCAAGTCTGAAATTTGTAACATCATAGTCAATTTTAGATCATCAAGAAATAAATGTTTCAAATTGAGTAATTTAATTTTTGAATTCCCCACTTAACTTATGTTCTATGACGTTTGCTCTTTTGTTGAAGAGCAAAATGATTAGTTGGAAATAAATTGTGTTTGCCTAGTAAAGAGCACTGAATTTTGGAGGAATTATTTTGGAAGCTCTATTTTGTTAACCCCTTTCCCGAGTGAGGGTTTAAATCACTTCTGGTGGAAAAAGAACATAATTCTAGGCAAAAAAATCCTTCCAAAATGAGGATACTTTTCTTGCTATAAACCCCACCACATCATTACCCACAGGCAGCAATTCATTTTCTCTCATTTTTATCCCAATGCCCCTTCCCTACAACCACTAGGTATTTACTAGAACTTCTTGTAAGCTCCAGGCTTTTGATTTTAAAGCCTCCAAAAAAGTATTTTCGTAAAATATGTGTTGGACTTTCCGTTTATCGTAATAAAAGCACAACTATAAAATTGTTTTTATAAAGAAAATATGTTCTCACCTATTATTGCACCTTTTCATCTCGAGATTAATTTTAGCATACATTTTCACACATACTTTATAAAGATGCTTTAAGGATTTCATTGGGTTAACAGTGAGTTTTTTAAACATTGGGTAAGAACTTATGTCTTTTAAAATTTTTCTCTTATGTTGTTCTCTGGTTTCATATATTTCTTCCGAGGAGTCACACCTAATTGGAGGAAGATTGCTTTTGTAAACAATATTTAAATGACAACTATTACAAACTGATAACTCACGAAGTTGTCCTCAGCTTTTTACTTAGGAACAAAAAAACTAGACTTGCTTTTCACTTTCCAAATTATATCATAAGACTGTAATATACATACACACATTCAAATTACCAGATTTTCAGTATTGAAGCTCTGAGTCCCAATATTTCTCTAAACATCCAGTCATAGAACCTATCCTTCAGGTACATCTTTGAGAACAAGCTCCTACTTAGTAAAGGAAAAACATGAGTACTTCAGAAAAAGAACTGTACAACATTCATGGTTTATCTTTAGGGCAAAATTTTAACACTAAAGTGAATATTTTCCCTTTTAAAGCCCATTCCTATGCAATCTAAGATTGTTTCTCCATTCCAGGAGGCTTTCTTTCAAAGGCGCTCTTTTAACCCTTCAGTCTCTATTACCCTACCACAGAAGAGGTGTTCAATATCCCCTGTGACTGTAATAATATCACACACAGTGTTTTGGGTTAAAAGGTCAAGGGTAACTTCTTTTTCTGAAGGTGAGACCTCCATAATTACTAACATCCAGGTGAGCGAACAATGTGTGTCTTTTATTGATTTCCCTGAGTTTTGCACAAAAATAAGGAGTTGTCTGTGATCATAAAATAAGTCATAGCATGGTACTTCATAATAGACAACAATTAAATTGTATAAAACCAAGGTGCTATCCATGAGACTGAAAAACTTTTGTCTAAGCCAACAATTATGTGTTCTTTATTACAAAGGGTGATGCAGATCTAAATGTGCTGACATAGAAAAAAATTTAGGTTAAAATAATCAGATTAGAGACCAATGCGGTAGAAATGATGCAGGTTATGTAAAGCATACACACACATGGGGCACAACGCTCTGATACTTAACTAAGATAAAAATGAGACAATATCTTGAACAGTAAACAGAAATCTGATGGCATGGATACACATGAAGCAAGAGTGGAATAAGGATGGAAGTGGATAGTGAACGTGCGCTTGACTTTCCCCATCATATTGTAAAAGATTACACAAAGGCTGCATTTACACATACATGTACACCTAAGTATTATTTTATAGAGACTCTAAGGAGATATGACATGAAATGTTGGATATAAGTGAACAAAAACAAAGCAACCATAGCAAAATGGGACCATAAAGAAGAGATTGTAAGGAAAATCTTCTTGAAAGTTCTTAGGCTGGTATTTTATATTGATCAAAGAAAATCTTCATTATTAAAACGTATATACCTAACCACATAAGAGATACACAATTGTAGTCCCGGGAGACAGCCTGAAGAGTAGCATAATGAAAGGAATAAAATAATGAAAAATATAAAGTGCAATATTCAAGACGTTCTAAAAATTCCCCCAAGTATAACATTCACACATGCAGAGACAATTTTATAATGAATATTTCTTTCAATCAATATAAAATATCAGTCTAAGATCTTTTCAAAGATATTTATTTACATGCTCTTCCTTATGGTACCATTTTGCTATAGTTGCTTTTTTTGTGTTCACAAAACACACACTCCAACATATACACACACCTACGCTCACTATGTAAAACTCCTAGAAACTAAAGTCAAAGGGAAACTCTAAAAGAGAAGAGAGAAAAACAAACGTGTTTACCAGGCAGTGTCCTCCTTTTTTAAATCAGAAAGAACTTGATGGTATTATTTGGAGGCTGAAAGAGGCAAATAGGGTGCAATGAAGTAACAAAAAGAGCAATGGTAGAAAGGAGCAAGCACTTCTAGGTCTGGATGAAACCGAGGGAAGATATGCTGGTTCTTAAAACCAATAAGCTTGGATGAGGAGATTCTCAGAGCTGGACACAGGCTTCTGAGAAATGGAGGCTGCCTGGCTAGAAGTGGTTTCTAAAGGTCATAGAAGATACCCCTAAAAATGGGACACTTACGCATGATGATGGTGACCTGATCTCTGCTCATGCCAGAACATCAAGATCTTGGATGAGGCCACCCTCAAGGCTGAGACCCAGAGCTCAGAGGAGAGAAAGAGTTCACCAGTGTGCTAGCACTGGTCTCTCTGAGAGGGCCAGACATAGACAGTCCTTGGAGTTTGGACAAAATCTCTATTATGAATGACCTGCCACCACTGAGATCACATGGCCTTGTTTTTGTCTAGAGCTTTCACTGGGATGATGCTGAGAGGAACAAGAACAGAGATGAATGTACATCCTGCTTCTTCTTCCTGCACACTTTCTGTCTCCCTCTGGTGAGCCCAAATTGTAGAGCCCAACAGGGAGCAGGTTGGTAAAAGCAAAATGGGGATTGCAGTGTGCCAACATCATAGAGCAGAGTATAGGATTTGGAGCCTAGAGACTTTACCTAGCACCTGCTTCTTGTGAAAGCATATATCCCAACAAAGAATACAACAGTAAGTATTTTAGATACAGTACATTTCTCTTGAAACATAATAAA
Source organism: Homo sapiens (assembly GCF_000001405.40). Taxonomy (NCBI): domain Eukaryota; kingdom Metazoa; phylum Chordata; class Mammalia; order Primates; family Hominidae; genus Homo; species Homo sapiens. The sequence continues at coordinate 106,283,243 of NC_000023.11, forward strand.
CACAGAAATAAGTATAACATTAGCAACATCTACTTCCTAAAATGTGAAAAAAAAATCAGAACCAGATTTTTGTAATGAGCTTGTACCTTATATTTATGTGATAAAGGGGAGCCATTTACAGATTTTAATTATCCACAGGATGACAGGAAATTTGTCTTTTAAAGAGAAAACTTTTCTTAATTCGTGTGTCAGTTACTCAAGATGAGCACGATATCAACCCTAAAGTTCCACAAATTCACATTCAAGTGCCCAGTCCTACTCATTTTGTCTCATGATATTCTGACATCAAATTTTCTCTCCCATAATGTGCACATAATTCCTTTTGCTGTAAGTAGATATAACATAAATAAAGAACATGTTAACTGTTACAAGCTAAAATCTTTGTTAAGCTGAGGTGTCAGATCAGAAATACTTGAAGACTTCTGCTTTAAAGAACTCAGATAATGATGCTCTCACGCACTAGCTGTCATCTTAGAACACAGAAACACAGAAGGAATGAGAGATGTCTCATAGCCTCAGACTCCCTTCAGGAGGAACTTCGAGACTCTTCAATAGAACAAGAGGGCTTATAGCCCCTAATATCTAACGAAAAACCTGACTCTCCCAAAATACAAACACACACACACACACGCACGCATGCACACACACACACACACACACACACACACAATCTCGCAGTGATAGGAGACAACTACTAGGTCATGTATTTTTGCTGGTAGTCCATCCTTCCAGCATATAAATATCCTTGTTAAATGTTTCTACCTCCAGGATAAAATGGCATATCCCAGTTGTCATAGAAACCAGAATGTCAGCAAAGCATTTTCCTTAACATGAGCTTTCTCAGGAAACCAGAAAACACACCTACATCAGTAGAGCACTGATATCGAGCTCAGTTATTTCCCCATAGCCAATTCAATGAATAAATGAATGAATGAAACATTAGAAATAATACCCAAAATTTTTCATGAAATAGGCATTTGGGGAAAGGGAGTTTTTTACACAAGGGATTAGGGAAGAAGTAAAAGGGGGTTAAGAAGCTTAGTTCTCCTGTTAGAGACAGACTCAAGTTCCAATTCCTGTTACACATCATCTTTCAGCCTTCCAGAACATAAAAGGTTGGGTACATTTGTGTAGGCCAGATACATTGGTGCAGGAGAGAGTATGTGGATTGTTGGTCTCTAAAATAGCCTATGAAGGAGAAAATATACGAAGACAAAGCACCTGGATGTCAATGGAAGGCAAACCAGAAACTCAGGTTTTGCCAGGGCCAAAGGAAGCTGGGCCTATATTTGGACAAATGTGTATTTGAAGTGTTGGAAGGACAAAATGGTTCCTGAGAAGGGAAACAACTTCCACAAAGTATCCCGTGCCCTAGGGCAACAGGGAGATAAAGCTGAGTATCTCATATTTGAAAATCTGTTCTGCCCAAGTAATGTTGAAACCACACTGCCAGTGGATAATATGCTTTGAGGTAGTTCCATTACAAACATGTTAAGATTTTTAAAAATTCAGTCAGGTTGGTGAGGACCACACAAAGCCATCATCAGGACATACAAGTACACACAGGTTCTGTCATGCACAGCCATTCACATTGAGGAGACAGCTGCACTATGATGTGTCACTTTCTCCTATAATTAGCTTAGAAGCCATGACTGTGTGCCCAGTCCTGGCCAGTAACATGAAGAAAACAGGTCCTCAGGTGGGGAGGCATGCAGTTCTGACTTCCACTGTTTCTTGGTTTCTCTGGTTTAAGAACTCCCACTGTGGTCTATTATTTTTAGCCACCAAGATGATGTCACTGAACACCAAGTTGACAAGTGATGCAGAGAATCAGTTCTCATGCACTGGTCTGAACCAGCTCCAGAACACCACTGGACCTGTGAACTAGAGCAAAACAAAGTCATCCCACTCTGTATGGACGCTGCAAGAAAAAGGCCGTGTTGGATTAGATATATACCTGTGTGCAAACTACATGAAAGGAATGATTCCACAGGTTCTTAGCGCAGAGGAAATGGAGGTAGATATCAACACGCACAATCTAACCTATCTAATTTCTCAGGAAAAGCAAATAGTGGGGTGTTTTTATGGTCAATCCTTTTAATTCAAAGACACTTTGAGGAAGACAGATGGGGGTTTGAGTTTTAGTTGTGCCACTCACCAGCTGTGCGACTTTCAACATGCTGCTAAACCTCTCTGTCCTATAGTCTGCATTTAGGTCGAGGAAAATGGTAATATCACAAAAGAAAATAGAATATTTTGTTTTGGAAAATATAGTTATTCTTCATAAAGCAAGTATTTTTAAATTTAAGTATGAAATAGGCTTAACATTGTTATTTTAATGAATAAATATAGTTAAAATGGCCTAGCATTACTTTCTAATTTTCAAATATTAGCAGAAATAAGCCACATAAACAAAAGCTTTTGATGGTCTTCTCAACAAAACGTTTGAGAACAACTATTCTTGTAGAATTCAGGAAGGTGGCCTTAAGTCGGCCTCATACAGTCTCATGAGCTGACTTTCAAATCTTCAACTCTCTCCTGCACCATTTCTGTCCAAAAAGCATAATCCAGTAATGAGTCAGAATGAAAAGTGCAGTCTGCATTGTCAGGTGACAAAAAAATCAGAAGGTGGACCTGTGGTCCGCTGTGTCCCTCACTTTTCCTAGACATTATATCCTTCAATGCATATCATTCTTGAATGTACTTTTCTCATGCAACTTAACGTCATTCCGTATCATTACATAGCATTCTACCTCATTATCATCCCATTGCATAGATGGAACTATGTACGTCTGTAGTGTGTCTGTGCTCTATCACAAACATCTTTTTCAAAACGTTCCTTCTGAGGAATCACAGGAGTATAGAAAAGTGCCACCTGCTGAGCAGAGCTTGTGTTCTGCACAATGACAGTGAAAGGAAAGCACACCAAGGACACTTAGGGCACCAGGAACAAAGTTCACATGCAAGAATCTCCAGCCCACAGAGAGTCTATCATCACCTAATGACAAGGCTAGCCTGTATGTCTGCATGTGTTCACCTCAAAAGAATGTGCTGTGTTACACAAGGGCAATACTGTTTTCATCTCTTCTTGTCTCCATAAGAATCCTCCTTGAAAATTCTGACAATTGGTTTAAAGGTTCAGTGTGACTATGTGCATCTAGTTTTCTAGTTTTTTATTCTGCCCATACATATACTTTATGAATCATATGAATAACCTTTTAAAACAAGTTCATAGCACAGTTTTCCCAGCCCTCAGAATTCTCACTGTCCACATCTGAGTGTGAATCACATTGATAGGGCATGCTCCAACAACCCCCCAAATATAATTTGAGTTGTTGTTCTCAAGAAAGGAATATATTCTTAAGATAAATAATAAGAAAATACCTTCAACAAAAAACATTAAGCTGCCCTGTCACTTCATTCCTTGGCTCCTTCTCAATATATCCTCTATTGCTAAATTCATGTTTACCTTTAGAACAATCTGATGATTTTTGGATACCGGACATCACCCAACTAGTTTTGATCAATACTGATTTCTCAGATAACCTTCGGTTTACACAAGTATCCAATACTTCAATTTATCCTTGAAAAATAAATCTAAGCCTGCAAGTTTAGAAATCACAATCCAGTTAACAAAGGGTAACTATTACTACTGGGAATTATCCATATTCTAAATTCAGTCAATTGAGGATGATCAAGCAGTGACCTTCCCAAATAAATACTTTATATTTTCTAAGATATTTTTATGACATTGAATTGTGCCACATTGTTCTTTGGATGAAAAATGAAATGCCTATAAAATAAATTAGGCTTACAGTCATGTGAATTCCATGTTTTATCAATAATTAATTTGGAAGTTAGAGATGAATAACCCCTTTCCTAAGTAGTGGCTTTGAACAATTCTATAGGGAGAAAAAATCCTATAGGTCAGGAATTTCCTTAGATAATGGCAAGTGTTAAAATGAGCATGTCTACAAAACATGTCAAAGACTTGGCAATGGGAACAAGGGAGAAGCTGGGGTGCTTTCAGTGGAATGCTGATCATTGGCTAGTGGGACCTCCGGAGATGACCTTTAGCTATATAGGTAAACCTCTTTCATTGTCTTTGATTGATTAGTCTACTTTACCAGTAGATAGGGACAGAGAAGTTCGCTTGAAGAAAACTGACACCACCACCAGAGTTTCCTGTCCATTCCAACTTAAACCATTTTTATTCTATGCGATGCACACATATTTTGTCCTATAGAGACTAACATCAGTAATTCAAATTATTATTTGAAATGGTTAAAATAGTTTTTCTACTATCAACTACTGACTTTAAAGTGTTGAGTCCACACCCTTGTCTTGTTCTTAATGTTAGAAAAAAAAATATTCAGTCTGCCTTCACTAAGTCTAATGCTAACTGCAGGTTTTCCTTAGATGCCTCTTGTCAGGTTAAGAAAAATTGCATATTATTTCTAGTTTAGTTGGGTGTCATTATGGAATAACAAGATAGACTGAAAAGCATTAACATAGAAAATATTGGGGAACAATATCAGGTTTCAGACAAATATACTCAATAAAGTATTACCTAACTTATGTGAAACTCCAATCAATTTGGAACACTATTTTATGTCGTTTTTACTTGGAACAGAAAGATGTGTGTGAATGCTTAGGGGGAAAAAAACTGTTGCAAGTGCCATTTCCAAAGCCAATGAAGTAGAATTCATGTGAAAACAGAAAACAAACAAAAAAACGAAAAAACACCACTACAACAGGATCATAGCCAGTTATGAGTGAGGACTTTCAACTTTACTGTTAAAATACACTGTAATGTTTCAAAAGATGTGTGGGCAGTTATTTTACAAATGCACCTAAACAAAGTATCCTAAAAACACAAGGAGACATAAAAAGATATATTGGTCCTAAATGAAGGCAAAAAATACAAGTGGAGCTGCAATAATAGTAGACAAATTAAAATTTGAGGGTAAGCTTTGGAAACAACTTGCAGAGATATTTCATATGGATCCAAATTTGTATTCACTGAGAAAACTTTTCTGAAAGAACAGCAAAGAAATTTTATCATATCAAAGGGGCAACTCCCACCCCAATTGCTAAAATCAAGAATCTATTGACATTAGAGACAGTGAAAGAAGAAATAATAAAATGTCTGTGTAGATGCAATAACAGAGAAAATGCAGAAAAGACAGGATACAATGTAATTTCAAAGAGATCTGTAACTGTTAGATTTCTAGAAGGCTAAGGAGACAAATTGAGGAAGAAGCAACATTGGAAGAGAAAATGTGGGAGACATCAACGGCAGATACAAGAAGTAGTCGCTAAAAGCGAAGGCAGGATTGATATGGTTTGGCTCTGTGTCTCCACCCAAAGCTAATCTTGTAGCTCCCATAATTCCCACGTGTTGTGGGAGGGACCCGGTGGGAAATGACTGAATCATGGGGACTGGCCTTTCTCATGCTGTTCTCCTGATAGTGAATGGATCTCACAAGAACTGATGGCTTAAAAACGGGAGTTTAGGCCAGGCGCGGTGGCTCACGTCTGTAATCCCAGCACTTTGGGAGGCGAGGTGGGTGGATCACGAGGTCAGGAGATCCAGACCATCCTGGCTAACACGGTGAAACCCCGTCTCTACTAAAATCACAGAAAATTAGACGGGCATGGTAGCGGGCGCCTGTAATCCCAGCTACTCGGGAGGCTGAGGCAGGAGAATGGCGTGAACCCAGGAGGCGGGGCTTGCAGTGAGCCTAGATAGTGCCACTACACTCCAGCCTCAGTGACAGAGCGAGACTCCATCTCAAAAAACAAACAAACAAAAACAAACAAACAAAAACCCACAAAAAAACAAAAACGGGAGTTTCTCTGCACAAGCTCTATCTTTGCCTGCTGCCATCCACGTAAAATATGACTTGCTCCTCATTGCCTTCCACCAGGATTGTGAGGCCTCCCTAGCCATGTGGAACTGTAAGCCCAATAAACTTCTTTCTTTTGTAAATTATCCAGTATCAGGTATGTCTTTATCAGCAGCTTGAAAATGGACTAATACAAGGATCCAGCCAGAAACACATGGACACCAGGCAGGTTGAAGCCTGGTTTCTGTCTAGAAAAAAAACCCCAGATATTCCAGAGTGTGGATTGCATGGAGGGAATTGGTTACATAGGCTTGGGGTGTGTACACAGGCCTAAGGTGAAGCATGGCACAGAGATTGGGAGTGCTGGAAGGAATTCCCATCCCCAGAGTAGGGCAAAAGAAAGGAAGATCTGAGGGTTGTGAGAACTCATAATGAGGTAGGACGGAACCAAATTGCTGGGAACCAGACGCTGAGCAAAGAGGGCAGCCCAGATAAGAGTGCATTTTAAAGGGGCAAAGAGGAATGACCCCAGGAACCTGGGTACTTACATCTGAGAAAGGGTAGCTGCCCGATAAGTGCTGAGCATTAGGACCTTAGAGGAGGCTTCCTCAGGGCTGGGACTCAGACTTTGAACAGAGAGAGGCCACCAGCAGGCTACTCTGTTGAATGACCTGAGTGGGTTTGATGCATAGTGTCCCTAAAGTTAGAAGAAAATGGCATCTGTTCCTTCATACCCTGAAAGGAAACTGCATGGCACTGCTGGATGAAGAGCATTTGTTGGGGTAGCAATGCTAGAAAGAGGAGGCAGAAAGGGAGTTACAATATGCTTCCTTCTCTCCCAGGTCTCCTGTTTCCAAGTGGCCTTATCAAAGCCGATAATGCCCGCAAGTCCAAGGGACCAGACCCAATAGGGAGCTGGGTGGTCAAGGACAAAGGGTATTGCCAGAGATGGGGCAATGGCATTGATGCACACTCTAAGAAATGTTGAACTGAGAGATTCAGATATCCCTGACCTACCATTTGCCGCTTCTTAAGGCATATTTCATACAAGGAAGTCAGCAATAAGTTCCCAAGAAACTGTGCATCTGTTTCAAACCATTATTGATAGATAGAATGAGTTACCAGCCCCATCATCAACAATATCTACTAGCAGGCACCCAAAAAGACATAAAACAGCCTTTACTAAGGAGCCTGTGCTTTCTGTCACAAGTACAGAAAAGCCATAGAGAGACACAACTTTTCTTTTATGGAGCCAGTTTGCAAAGGAATGCTCAGCTACACCAGCCATCAACAAATGATGATGTATTGGGACCCAGAAAGATAACATGAGATTTTTCCACACATTTAAATCTTCAATCTTTTATATCACGGGTCAGCACACTACAGCCTGAGGGCTGCATCTGGCCTGATACATGCTTTTTTTCCCCCCCCAGACATATCTTGTTGGAACATAGCTACCCTCATTTTTTAATCTTGGTATTTGCAGCTGCTTTCGTGATATAATGGCAGAGTTGAGTAATTGCGACAGACATTGTATGGCTCTGAAAGTCCAAAATTTCTAATATCTGCCGCTTCACTGAAAAAAGTTGCCAACTCCTAGTTTATGATTTCAAATGTGTGTGTGTGTGTGTGTGTGTGTGTGTTGCCTAAAGTAAAATAATGATGATTATTCCATGGAGATATTTAATGATTTATGATACATCTTTAAAGTACTAGAAAACAATCTTTCTTAAACAAGGATGCTTGCGTAGAAAAGTTCAGAGACCTCTGTTTTATGAAAATAGATATTATGAAGCCCATCTACCACAGGGGTCCTATCATCTTAGCTCACAGAACCTAAAAAGGAAAAACACTGACTGGTGAGTCATCCTCAGCAGATTCCACTCAGCAAGAGCTGCCGGCATCTCCCACACAGAAGGAAAGATCAAACATCCTCTTTCTCCAATAAATACCTCAGCCCCCAAACACAGACGCACACGAAAACACCGTCATGATGGGCTTTGCATAAGAATACAGTTGATTCAGAACCTAACTTTTCCTGCTTGTAATAACATCTGATCTACATCCTGGGACACAATAAGATAGACAGTTTTCATAAAAAACAAAATGTTATGTTTCCTGCATGAGAGTAGCATTGTAGGGAGTAAAATATATACATTTACTCTCAGAGTTGGATTGATACTTGAGCTGTCAGCCACTCAAAACTATACCAGTCGGAGCAATAGGTGAACAAACAACATAAAGAACATGCTAACTACATTTAAGTACTAGATATTTCCTGGCACAAGCTTTTCAAGCCATAGATAACGGAGGAAGCTTTGGATTGTTAATAGGGTCAGATTCCTCATCAGATTCACTGTGGGGATTTGTTTGGAACCGACCTACTGCATGCTTGGTCGTGAAGGGATGCCAAATTCCACGAGGCCCCCCACCAAACCACCTCTAACACTCAGTGCTCACAGCTGATCCCCAAACTCAAGGATGGGGCGGAGGCATCGGAAATATGTGTCAGAAGCCCTTTGCTAAGTGTCTCAGGACACTTTCTGTGTGAAGAAGGCTCTGATGTGTGCCTCCGTTGGCCAGCAATGACCCATACCCAATTCCACTAACATTGTGTCAAGACAGCTCCTCATAGCTGATGCACAGAAGGTGCAGTCAATTGCCCAAACTGATTAATTAATCATCCCTACTTTCAGCCATAAGTCATTGTAGCACCAGTCAACAGAGAAACTGCATGGCATTTTTGAGTCGAAGATGAATAAATATTTTCCATGACACATTAAATTTATCATCAGAACATCTGCATCGAACAGGATTGAGAAGGCTCACTTGAGACTCACATTGTTATTACCAAACAAATGAAGTGGATGACAACATGTTAGAACCTGAAATTGTGATGACTTATTCAGAACACAGAGTCAAGGCAACACACGGGAAAAGATTTTTTCCTCTGGACAATACCTAAGTTGCAATCACAGATACCGTTTTTTATAACACTCTCCAGGGCTGTCATAAGTTGGTTGGTGTGGCGGAAATGCCTGCAAACTCTCAGGGCCCTTTGGTGAAACGTCATGGCAGGAGGAAGTAGAGATGTCAAACTCTCCACGCACAGAGGAAGGCAAGCCCCACATTGAGTTGCTGCCTGGGCCAAAACACACTGGTCAATATTTGTAAAACTATGTATGAAGATAATAGGAGAGGAGAAAGAGTCCTGGCAAGAGATTGAACTCCCACAGAGAGCCCCGTGTTTGGCAGTCACGGACAAATTAAGGTGGACCTGTGACATTTTGGAATTTGCTTCCCTCAGGCAATGCTGCAATCTACATACTGCCAATGAATAAAGATGTTCAGTTGCATGGCTCTTACAGATATGATATCTTAAGATGCTTAGAAAGAAATTTAACGAGGGTTTCCAGGAGCATACACGTTTATCAGTGGACAGAAATATACACAGTTTCTGTCACACATAGGCATTGAGCTTAGAGTGGCACAACTGCTCTATGGTGCAGTTCTTCTCAGATTTCAAAAGTGAAGAGAAAGAAATCCTTTGTTGTTCATCCTGTGGACTCTCATTTCAGAAGCAACCCTGTTCTTCCTGGGATACACAGAAGTAAGGTCAGGCTGGGACAAGAGTCATGCCTGTATACAAGGTAAGGGATAGTTTTCAGCAGTTTCTCTGCGAGGAGAAAAGCAGGACAGATATCTTGACGCACATTCGGGCTGTCATAGTTTCGCACAGATGTAAAATACTGTGGTCATTTTGTGGGTTAGTTTTCCAGTGAGAGCATCATTCAGCAAGGTAGATGAGGTTTCAGTGTAGCTCTGCTACGGAAAGTGGTGTGTGACATTAAAATTATCCTTAGCTGCTCTGTTTTCTGGTCTCTCTTTCTGAAGAAATAGGCAAAATATCCACATCTCTTCAATAAGAGGGTTGATAGAAGGACACCAAAGTGCACATTGTTTCATCTGGAATACAAAGGATAAATACGGGTGACAAAGGTAGGTCCTGGTCATCTGAGGTAATTTCTGGTAATATGGAGCCACACAAGGTCCATGGGACCATTGGATTTCAGTCTAGAAATGCTGGGTTCCAATGCTCAGAATTTAAATTCCCAGGAAATAAATATTTAGATACTTATCTTCACTTTTTCACACACCGCATGGTGAAGAGAAATGAGATTTATCGTGCACCCTCAATTCTACAATAAGAAAGCAAAAAAAGAAAGAATGGCCTGTGAGGATTTGAAGAGATACCTTCATCAGTAATAAAGAACATGAACGTGGAAGGCCTTCTATATTTTAATGTATTCCAAACGCCAAAACAAAAGAATGCAAACACAGGATTGGCCTGTGTGTGAGGACAGCATCACTGGGAGGGAACTTGTTGGTGTCCAAGGAAATATAAGGGGGAAGTGGAAAAGTCAGATCGCCACTGGGGTTTGTCAGCTATCAAAGCAGGCTATGTCTCTTCCCTGCATTCATCAGCCTAGCAATACTCGCTAAAATTGTTTTAAAAACTAACTAAATAAAACTGGGCAATAATTTTTGTTGTCAGAGTTTGGATCTATAGTTCCAGAATTTATTCTGGTTTTCTCTCCTCATTTCTACAACTAACAGAAAAGCTTTTATTTAAAAAAAATCACACCAGATTTCAACATAATTTATTGTTTGTATTTGTATATGTCATAGATCATAAGATCATGCTGAAGGCATATATTTTTAGATTCCCTCAAAATATCGATTTCGGTTCTTTTTAAATAAAAATGCATGCTTATCTTAAACAAGTAATAGAAAAAATTCCTTACATAAAAATGTTGAAATGTCCTTTGACACCATTCAGTGGCTCCTTCTCAATATATCCTCGATTTCCCGGGTTGCATGTAAACTTTCAGAAATTTCATTTTCTGCACCCACAGAAATCTCACTCTTTCTCTCTCTTTTCTTCCTGCCTTTTACCCTGTTCCCTTTTCCTGCTACCCTCTTTCTCCCACTCCCCCTCTCACAACAGTGTTCTCTTTGGCCATTAGTACACGGTACTGAACAACACCCATCTATGGTAAATTATCCCTTACTTCTCAGAGTTTTGGCACTTTCACAAATAACCAAATATATTGATCTTCTAACACGTGGTGTATGTTTAAATGCGCAATGCATGTCAGGGGTCCCTAAGACCACCCTCTGGCTCACCGATTTGTTCTAAGGACTCATGGGACTTAAAAAGCTCTTATGATCACAGTTACAGTTTATTACAGTGAAATTTCAGTAAAATAGCTTTGAATATGCAATGGGAAAAGTTAAGTCAGGTGAAGTCTAGGAGGAACCAGGCTCTAGCTTCTAGGGGTCCCCGCCCAGTGAACTTTCCCAGGGACACACTTAAATCCCCAAGCAACAGTGTGTGGCAACACAGGTGATGTGTTACCAACTTAGGAAGCTCCTCTGAGAGTTGACATCCAGAGTTTTTGGGGTGATCTGTCACATAGAGATGCAAGGCTTGTATGACCTCACCAATTTAGACCACAGCCCCCGGTCCACTCTTAGAACCAAAAACAGGCATTCACCATGCATGATAAAAAGTATCTTGTCTAACTGGTGCAGCAGGGCCCAAGGTTTCAGGAATACCGAAAAAAAAAAAAAAAAAAAAAAAAAAAACTAAACAAAAACCTAAACAAAACGAAACCTTTTTGAGGGAGAATATTCCAATGTACAGCGGTTATCTCCCAGGAGTGTGTTAAGGACTAGTTCTGAAAACAGTACTTTCTTTGGAATGTCTTGTGTTTGAGGAAACCAGGTAAGTGGACGTAACTCTTTCCTGCCCAGTTGGCTCCCCTGGCCTTTGGCCTAGGATATCTTACAGCAAAATTATCACATTGTCTCGTGCTTCTACCTTTAGCATATCATTTATATAATAGACGTAGCGATAGCATTAGTATGAGTATACCTAACAGTTAGAAGAGCCAGTATAGGAAAGGGCTATATCTAATGAAAAAAGCAATGTATCTTATAAAGAAAACATACACTTTTCTACATTTATCCTAATTCGATGACTTCTTTCTCCCCTCGATCTAATGTTATTTGTACTTTGTGAGGAATCTGTGCAGCACCATTTAACACAGAAGTTAGCTGATGGCTAACTAAATCTAGCTCTTCCTCAGGCTAGTCATTTTCATGTTAGTATTATATCCTAAGTAGACTTCAACTCAATCTCCCGATACTTTTGATAATCAGTGTCAGTATTTTTCATATCACTTGCCTACAGAAGACAGTTGGTCACCTTGGGACCATTCCATAGAAGAACTCAAACTTACCATGTGATGCCACTGCTTTATTCCCATCAGAAATCCATGCTCCTTTTTCTATTTTGTTCAAAAGCATTTCATCCGCTAAAACAAGAATAATAAGTATTTGTGCACAGCACACAATGGCATGTCGGACATGCTATCATTATTTTTTTCATTCATTATAATCAGGGACCTTTCCCATGATTTTATCATCAAGGTTTATGGTTACACAGTAATTAGTCTGCCGGGAGCTGTAACACTGCACGGAGAAATGGCCTGATAGGGAGTTGTTCCTAGAAATTTCTTGCTAAGTGATATACTTTGCAGTAGACATAACCTGAAAAATGAGTCAAAATATACTGGCATATTTCTACAGTTGCACTTAGTCATTAGTCATAGAACCAGTTCATCACATTGTGTGACCAAAATTTCCCCCAGAACAGTGCAACTCAGATTTGCAGGCTTCCCTTTGACCTTGTGCAGTTCAAAAAGCAGGTGTGGTATTGGCAAACATATGGCTTCACTCTTTTGAACATCAGGGTACAATTGCTAAAAGACAATAGCAATTTCTTACTCTGAGCTTCTTTAGGTCACCAACGTCATATTGATTTTTTTTTATTCCATAGATCATTTATTCGTTCCTTTACCCTCAACTACTATTGCTCCTTCTTTCTATTTGCTGTTGAGATTTACCAAAACTTTTCTATCTTTGAAAGGGTGTTAGGTTTTACCATTTATTTGGTCAAAATCATTGGTACCAGTACCAGCCTGGTAAGTGCCTACCCTCAACAGTTTTCAAAAGTGGCTATGTGAGGAGAAACTCATCCAATCCCATTCAAATAGGGAGGGGTTACATAAAGATACAACCAGTGGGCTTTCTGGACCATGTGGGAAATGCAGCTGCATTCACCGCCAACCTTAATTTTGCCAGATGCCATAAAGGCACAATTCATCCTTTCAGGCCCTTATAATCACTGGCATAAAGGTGTAAAGGTAAAGTTAAGGGTTTTGATTTAGGGATCATCTGTGCCTCTGACACCTACAGTTGCAGCCCTAATCCTGGGACCACGGAAGCAGCTAGGAACACAAAAGGTGGGTTTGTGTGGGGATGCATTATGTAATTACACCAGCATCCTCCCTTATTGCCTCTTCCCCAATCCCCCAGAAAAACAGAGAAATCTACCTAGTGGGGAGTATGCTTTGTCCCCCCTTCCCATGTTGAATGTGAGCACACACTCATGAAGGTTTGTAAGCTAGCCTTTCATACCGTTATCTCCACTCAATTTACTCAACAAATGTTTTGTCATTCCAATTCTCTATCAAGTCACGACTCCGAAGATGATGTGCGATATGATGTGGCCACCTGATATTATCTCTTTGACTCTTGTTGAGCCCTATGGACTATACAATACGATCGTTGGTCTGAAAAATTGTAACGTGGCGTTCTAACTTGGTACAGTATCTTCTGTTCCAATCCTTTATAGTACGTTCAGAATTTGTATTTACCATCCAGTATACAAAGCATAGTCCAAAGTAAGTATCTCTTTCTATCAGGACCTATTTATAGCGCCCCCCTCCCCACAACCCCGCCAGGGCTACTGGTAGTAGTCTGATACAGTGAATGTGGTATCTATGTGGGAACCTCCCCCTTAAGCCCCCCACCCAAGGGAATCTGCCTCATAATTATCTGCAGTCTTTGTCTTTCTGGCTGGCACACAGTTAGCGCTTGCTGGGATTTGGTGCCTCAGAAAGTGCAAGTGGAATACGCTGATGATAAGCCCACCTCTGCTTTGCTGCAGCTATTCCATGTCCACTCATTCCATGGACCAGGTCAACACCTCAACAAGCACAAAAGGATGTCCACTTGCTCATACCAATCACCTGATTGGGGAAAGGAATCATTTGAATGGGCATTAACTTGTCCTTCTTTAATCTGCCTCTTAAATTTCCATTGTGATTTCCACAGGGCTGTGACTCTTACAGTAGCCCTTTAATAGTTCGATTTTCCATTGCCCATCTGTCTGACCACGTGGCCAGGCCATTGGCTCTCTCTTTATTCTACCTACGTCACCCTCTTATTCCACTTATGGGTCAAAATAAACCAACAAATTTTTTACTTTGTTTTTGTTCAATTCTTCCATCACTACAAGGAAAACAGCATACAATTCAGCCCAGCCCTTTAAGCTGATTTCTTCTTACATTCTTCAATCAGAGTTTTTATGTTCGTCAGTTTTTAGGTCGGTCAGTCTCCCAAACTGGATGCTGTCCATCCACCTTGGAATTGCCATCCATAAATTAAGGAGCTATTTTGTGGTCAGTTGAGAGCTGTGCATAGAGACCCACCACCAAGGTGGCAATAGAATATGGCATCTCTTCAGTTGATTCCAAACTTAGCCTAAGGGAAAAGAGACTGTACCTAAGCATGCACACATTGACTGCATCCTTGCATTCCTCCAGTGGCATGTTCCTGCATAAACCCTTTTCATTTGATTATGGAGATTTCTGAACACTTCCTTTCTTATCTCTCTTATTAGACATTACTCAAGACATTATGAGCAATGGTTTCAAGAGTATTTTATGTACCCAAGTCATACGGGCAGTTTCAATAAGTGCCCCATAGCAAACAAATAATCGTCTCTCAAACAGAGTGTAATACACTGCCACGTCTGAAAACTTTCTGCCCAATATTCCAGTCAATTGTCACTGCTGGACAGCACTCATTGTATTTTGCCATAAGCTCCCGTTTGCATAAATGTAAGTTGCAGGCACTTCCAAATCATATCTGAGTGTGGATCCTAAAGTCCTAAAGCCGTTGACTGAGACGCCAGTTTTTGCATTTTTGACATAGCCTGCTGTTGTTCAGGCCCCCATTCAAATATGGTCTTCTTAGAGGTAGTTTCATGGATTGAATCTAACAGCATTCTCTGATATGATGTATGAATCCTCCAAAATCCAAAAGACTCAACCACGTGCTGTGCTTCTTGCCTATTTACGGGGTAAGCAATGATGGCATTTTATTTTTAGTTGCCTGTGGGATGTCCCAGTGGCTTCTGCCCATGTTATTCCCAAGAATTTCATCGTTTATACCAGTCCTTGAATCTCTGCTGGGTGGATCAACTATCTTTGCTTTGTCCTATGTGTCACCACTGCATTTAAGTAATTTTAGCTCATCCTTTGTTTTCTGATATTATTATGAAATCCTCTATGTAGTTTATTACTGTGCTTGATACATGGATCAAGTTCAAATCTTTCCTGACCAAATTATGACAGCAAGCTGGTGAATTCAAATAATTCTGCAGCAAAATGGTGAGTGTAAATTGGGATCCTTCCTACACAAAGGAAAATTACAGTTGACTCTTTATTATAATTGGTGTTCAGGAAAAAAAGCATTTCCCAATTAACTGCTGAGTAGTTGCCTTCTTTAACCTGTATTTTTTTCATGATGATGCTATATGTGAGACTACATTATTCAAGCATTGATCACCTACTGTTAGTTTTCATGAACCATCTGCCTTTTCATAGGCTACAAAGTGCTATTGTACAACACTCCAGCTTTTAACATGTCATTAATTAAAGTGATAATCTGTTTTTTTCTCCACCAGGTATTCTTTACTGCTTCAAATTTACAACCTGAGTGGGCTCAGAAAATTCTGTAGGCTCCCACTTATTATGTCCGATTAATACCACCTAACAGATAAACTTACATGCCGTTTGTTTTACCATAATTGTTAGAGGAAGTGTTTCCCAGCGGACATAATATCCATCTCAGTGATGCATGCAGGAAAAAGAGATACAACCACTTCACCTAGAGTCTCTTCAAACGTTTCAATGTTTATCCAAACACTGACCTTTATTCCGTCAAACATTCTATCCTGATATCCTCCCGATATTACTGTCAACTCTATCAATGCCACTTTATTCTTCACATTCCTTAGTAATTATTTACATTTTTTGGCTTTGCTGAAGTGAGTCCCTTGACTCACTCCCTTTTCTTTCTTCATTCTCTTGTGGATCATTATAATTTTCTTAGCATCTGAGAGACCCATGGGGGAAGCTGAGATAACAAATCTGATACAGCTTCTCAAATCATTGCTTGATTTTACAACAGCAAGATTTCATGGGGTGACCATGCAACACGTTCCCCTAAGTCACAGAATTCAACATGACCTGAGTAACAGGCATAATAAGTATATAAACACCCTGGTCTTTGCAAAGCCAATCCAGCATGGATTGCATATGCAGCACATCAGGCTGCTTCATCTAAGAGTTTCACTTATATTTTAAAGGAGGGGAAAAAATCCTTCCTCTTTTCATGCTAAAGAAACTTCACAGTGGCTTTTATTCAGTATACAAGGCTAGGGATCCCCTCAGGAAAAACCACTTGCGTGTTTGGATCATGTACAGCCATCTATTCAATAGTAAGTCGTGAGTCCTGCATCAACCCAAACATACTCCTCCATTCTGCAGCATTCAAAACCAAGGAGACTGCTCCTAACTTAATCACTCTCACAATCCATTTTTACTCAGTGATTTTCAGGAAGCTGATGATATGACTCCAGAAGAGGAGACAGCTCTTTAACGCCATACCCACCGGTTTCAGTAGTTTCTCAGATTTGCCTCCACCTGCCACCTGGAATATATTCTTGGTGAGCAGAGGTCATAGAAGTGCTATCTCTTGTTGCAGCACAATTTTCATCTTATAGCAGTTCTGAGACTAGGAATCATAGCTCCGACTAGCTACAATTTGAATTTCATGCAGTGCTGGGATCTACCCCAAAACTCTCCTGCACTTTCATTTTATTTATTGCAGATAAAAAATAACTAAGAGGTTGTCTATTTGGCTTTTTTCTCATTGTATTGTATTTTTTCATGTATCCAGGGAAGCCACCTCCTCATGATTGTAAATCCCATCGTTATGTGACATTCACCTCAAGTAACTGATCATATAACAGCTGTTTTGTACAATGGGTGACTCAATAGACATCCAGGCATCAAAGGTTTGTCATCCACTACCCCTTTATCCTTCCTCTCTTCAAAGAATCCTTTCACCATGATTTGGTGAGTCAGATTGTTTTAGCAAATCTCACTTCTGAAGCCAACTCTGTTGGGTATCATGACCACCTTCAGGCTCCATGATTCACCAAAAGAACTCGGATGACTCAGAGAAGCTCTTGTACTCACAGGTATGGTTTATTATAATGAAAGGATACAGATTACAGTCAGGAAAGGGAAAAAGCCACATGAGGCAAAGTGAAAGAAAAATTAGGTACAATCTTTTTAGTGTCCCTTCCCAGATAAGTCAGACATGGATACATCTAATTATACCAGAAATGATGTGTGCCAACTATGAAAGATGACTTGAGCCTTGAAGTCCAGGCTTTTATTATGGGTCAGTCATGTAGCCATGTAGCACCTGCATGACTGACCACAGCTACGCAGATTCTAGTCCATCCCTCAGAGCAAAAATAGACATTCACAATAATTCGCATTGTTAGGATAAACTTAACTAGTCAAACAGGTAGAGCATGGCCCATGGACTCTGACATGCAAAACCAAACTTGTTAGTAAGAACATTTCACGGACTCAGAGGTTATCTCTCAGGAGCATCAAGAAGACAGGGCCTTGTTTGGACTACATGTTGAGGCCTGCTGAGTTAACCCTTCACTTTCCACAATAAACATAAAGAATAAATATTACTCTTGCCAAATCCATGCCCAATAAATTAAAAGTTTCATAAGGTTAATCAAGAAATAAAATGTCCAAATGCAGAGTTTTAAATTTCCATGCTTCTAATAAAAATAGTGATTAATTTTATATCATTTCTCTTAGGTTGAAAATAAAATCAGTAAACAAAAAATAGTTTTCAGTTATCCAACAGATAGGCATACCTTATAAAAGTTAATTTGGAAGCCATATTTTGATAATCCCCAGCCAGGTGGTTAGTTTACATAGGTCTAAAGGAAATATCAGGTGTGGCATTTTCTCTATATAAGAGTATGTTTCTTTAAATTACCCACATGAATACCAACACCCATGGAATAAAAAATATTTTTTCTAACAACAGAAATTTCAAGCTTATACCTTGGAGATTTTTGTGTGATGTAGCTGGTGTAAATGTAAAGGCACCTGAAATTTCTGAAAAGTAATGAAAAAAGAAACTTTTTTATTACTATATAAGACAGTCCATAATGGTTCTGATTAATAAACGTGTTTTGGCTATTCTGGCTCCTACATAAGTATTACAATTGCTTTGTATAATTAAAAATAAATTTTGAAAATTGATGGGATATTCAATTTGTAGGACAATTCAGAGAGATTTTAGGTCTTCGCTAAAGTTTCCATTTTTTTCTAATAAGTAATACCCTTTTTGGCAGGGAAATTTTTAATACATAATGTTAAAACTAAAAGTATTATAAACATTTATGAAAGCATAAAATTAACCTCAGATTTCTTAAAAGAATGGAAAACTTTAGCTTTCTTTCTGATCATCCAAATTTTATTCTATGTCTATCAACAGAATCCAATTGAAATTATCAAAGGCTAACTAGGTTCTCCCCGCACAGGTGTCAGGCTATTTCAGAATACAGAAACAAGAGAAGAGAAGTGAATGGATAACTGGTGACTCGTCTACTTCTGGCTTTACTCATGAGGAGAGAACCGTTTCTTCCAAGTAACAGAAGTCTCAGATACAGCTTCTTCAATAAAATATATCATCCTCCCATACACACACACAAATAAACATATATATACACAGTCGCAGTTATGATAGACGCCCAATAGGGCTGGTATGCATGTAGGTATGCCACCTTTCCTTCCTGTTAATATCCCTAATAATTATTTCTATCTCCAGCTATTAAATAGCATTTCCCAGTTGCCATTAAACCATAATATCAGCATAACAATCAGCTTGATGTTAGCTTTCCATGGAAACTGGGATACACAAATTCATACTTAGAATCACCATCAATGAATAAATAAATAAAATGTCTGGCATTCTTGTCAGACAAACCAAACCTGTTTCAGTCTCTATTCAGGACTACCTTAGAATGTGGAAATCACAGACGCTTGTACGAAAGGAATCTCAAATTCCATGCAGCCACAAACCCAGTGCAAACATTCAATAGCTCCAGATGACCTAGTACACAAGATTAACACATTTTTTCCATTACACCTTAAACATATCATCAGGATCATGGCCTTGTGCCACAGCTAAGTGGCTCACACATGACTCACAATGCTAAAACTCACAGAATACATGAGTGAATGAATGAATGAGACAGAAGAATATCTGTTAGAATCTAGACACAGAGATGACTCTAATGAGGAAGCAAAGTCTGAGAAATAAGTGAGAATGGCATTTTCCTTCCATCAAGGTCTCCGACAAATTTAGAATACTCTATCTGACATCAGCATAAAAACACCATTAGCAAGACATCATTTAAATATATGTATTGTGGTACAATTAATATAACATTCAGCTGTTTTAAGTGCATGAAATTGAATGATTTTGTATTAAAGGTACACAGTTATGCAACCCTCACCACAATCTATATACACCCTATTCAATTTTAGAACATTTCTGATATCTCAAAAAGATCTTTGTGCCCATTTGCAGTCCATCCCTGCTCCCAATCCCAGATGCAGACCTAGGCAACCACTAATATGCTTTCTGTCTCCATGGTCATACTTTTTCTGAGTATTTCATAAAATCAAAACATACATTGCATGTTCTTTTGTGACTAGCTTATTTCATTTAGCAGAAGATGTCCAAATTTCATACATGTTGTAGCATTTATCAACACTTCTTTTCATGGCTGAATAATATCTCACAAATATAACACATTGTCTTTATTCATCCATCTGTTGATGAACATTGAGTTGTTAAATTTATTCCTAAGTATTTTATTCATGTTATGTTACTGTATGCACAATGGATCTACTAATTTCATTATTGTATTGTTCATTGCTAATTGCAACTAAACATAATTGATGTTTATATACATATATATTTTACTTTAAAACATACAATTAGGTTATTTTTGACTATAATCACCCTGTTGTTGCTATTAAACATTAGTCTTGTTCATTCCTTCTAATTATATTTTTTAACCCATTAACCATCCCCACATCCCCACTAGTCCCTGACTACCATTCTCAGCCTCTGGTAACCATCTTTCTACTCTCTATGTCCATGAGTTCACTTACATTGATTTTTAGATCCTACAGATAAGTGAGAACATGTGATGTTTGTCTTTCTGTGTCTGGCTTATTTCACTTAACATAGTGATCTCCAGTTCCATCCATATTGTTGCAAATCACTGAATCTTATTTTACTATGGCTGAATAGTACTCCATTGGGCATATGTACCACATTTTCTTTATCCATTTATCTGTTGATGGACACTTAGGTTGCTCCCCAATCTTGGTTATTGTAAACTGTGCAGCAGCAAACATCTGAATACAGATATCTCTTCAATATACTGATTTCCTTTCCTTTGTGTATCTACCCGGATGTGAGACTGCTAGGTCATATGGTAGCTCTATTTTTAATTTTTTGAGGAACCTCCAAACTATTCTCTATAGTGGTTGTACTAATTTACATTCCCGCCAACAGAGTACAGAAGTTTCCTTTTCTGCACATCCTCACCAGTATTTGTTATTGCCTGCCTTTTCGATATAAGTGATTTTAACTGGGGTGAGATGATATCTCACTGTAGTTTGGATTTGCATTTGTCTGATGATCAATAATGTTGAGCACCTTTTAATATTCCTGTTTGTCATTTGTATGTCTTCTTTTGAGAAATATCTGTTCAAATCACTTGTCTAATTTTTATTAGATCGAATTATTAGATTTTTTATAGAGTTGTTTGAGCTCGTTATATATTCTTGTTATTGATCCTTTGTCAGATTGGTAGTTTGCAAATATTTTATCCCATTATGTGGGTTTTCTTTTCACTTTGTTGATTATATACTTCATTGTGCAGAAGCTTTTTAACTTGATGTGATCCCATTTATCCCGTTTTGCTTTGGTTGTCTGTGCTTGTGGGGTATTGCTCAATAAATTTTTGGCCAGACCAATGTCCTGCAGATTTTTCTCGAAGTTTTCTTGTAGTAGTTTGATAGTTTGAGGTCTTATATTTAAGTCTTCAATCCACTTTTATTTTATTCTTGTATATGGCAAGATGTAAGGGTCTAGTCTCATTCTTCTGCATACGAATATCCAGTTTTCCCAGCACCATTTATTGAAGAGACCGTCTTTTCCCCAATGTATTTTCTTGGTATCTTTGTTGAAAACGAGTTTGCTGTAGGTGTGTGAATTTGTTTCTGGTTTCTCTAGTCTGATCCATTGGTTATGTGTCTGTTTTTATGCCAGTACCATGCTGTTTAGGTTACTATAGCTCTGCGGTATAATTTGAAGTCAGGTAATGAAATCCCTCCAGTTTTGTTCTTTTTGCTCAGGGTAGCTTTGGTGATTCTGGATCTTTGGTAGTCCATACAAATTTTAGGACTGTTTTTTTCTATTTTGTTTTTTGAAAAAAAAAATGGCATTGGTATTTTGATAGAGATTGCATTGACTCTGTAGATTGCTTTGGGTAGTATGGACATTTTAACAATATTGATTCTTCCAATCCATGAACATGGAACATTTTTCCATCTTTTAGTGTCTTCTTTGATTTATTTGTATAGTGTTTTATAGTTTATATTATAGAGATCTTTCACTACTTTGGTTAATTCCCAGGTCTTTAATTTTATGTGTGGCTATCATAGATGGAATTACTTTTAATTTCTTTTTCATATATTTCACTGTTGGCATATAGAAATGCTACTCATTTTTGTGTGTTGATTTTGTATCCTGCAATTTCACTGAATTTATCAGTTCTAAAAACTTCTTTATGGAGTCTTTAGGTTTTTCCAAATATAAAATCATATCATCTGCAAACAAGGATAATTTGACTTCTTCCTTTCCAATTCGAATGCCTTTTATGTCTTTCTCTTGTCTGATCGCTCTAGCTAGGACTTCCAGTACTGTGCTGAATAACAGTGGTGACAGTGGGCACCCTTGTTGTGTTCCAGATCTTAGAGGAAAAGCTTTCAGATTTTCCCCATTCAGTATGATACTATCAGGTTGGTGCAAAAGTAACTGCAGTTTTTCCACTGTTAAAATTTGCAATTTGATATTGGAATATATTCTTAAATAAACGTGATTATGTTACACATGATTTTAATGCACATTTCTCACTTCATGCTTTTTTGATTATGGCATTAATTGCTGTTTATTTTATATTTACTTTAGACTATGGAAATGACATTAGACAAAA
The DNA here is from genome assembly GCF_000001405.40 of Homo sapiens. Taxonomy (NCBI): domain Eukaryota; kingdom Metazoa; phylum Chordata; class Mammalia; order Primates; family Hominidae; genus Homo; species Homo sapiens. The sequence goes on from NC_000023.11 coordinate 106,305,689, forward strand.
AGCAAATAATTGGTGTGATTTTCTTACATGAGTTCAAAATGGGTCCTAAAGCAGCGGAGACAAGTCACAATACCGACAATGCACTTGGCCCAGGAACTGCTAATGAACAGACAGTACAGGGGTGGTTCGAGAAATTTTGCAAAGAGGACAAGAGCCTTAATGATGAGGAGCACAGTGGCTGGCCATCAGAAGTTGACAACGACCAGTTGAAAGCAATCATCGAAGCTGATTCTCTTACCACCACAGGAGAAGTTGCCAAATAACTAAATGTTGACCATTCTATGGTCATTAGGCATTTGAAGCGGAAGGTGAAAAAGTTTGATAAATGGGTGCCTAATGAGCTGAGCAAAAATTAAAAAAAAATCGTCGTTTTGAAGTGTCATCTTCTCTTACTCTACCAATGAATCATTTCTTGATTGGATTGTGACATGCGATAAAAAAAAAATGGATTTCAAACGACAACTGGTGAAGACCAGCTCAACGGTTGGACTGAGAAGAAGCTCCAAAGCACTTTCCAAAGCCAAACTTGCACCAAAAAAAGGCCATGGCCACTGTTTGGTGGTCTGCTGCCAGTCTGATCCACTACAGCTTTATGAATCCCAGCGAAACCGTTACATCTGAGAAGTATGCTCAGCAATTCAATGAGATGCATCAAAAGCTGCAATGCCTGCAGCTGACATTCGTCAACAGAAAGGTCCCAATTCTCCATGACAACGCCCAACCGCACATCGCACAATCAACGCTTCAAAAGTTGTACGAATTGGGCTATGGAGTTTTGCCTCATCTGCCATATTCGTTTGACCTCTCACCAACTGACTACCACTTCTTCAAGCAAAGCAACAATATTTTTCAGGGAAAAGACTTCCACAAGCAGCAGCATGCAGGAAATGCTTTCCATGAGTTCATCAAATACCAAAGCATGGATTTCTACATGACAGGAATAAACAAACTTATTTCTCATTGTCAAAAAATGTGTTGATTATAATGGTTTCTATTTTGATAAATAAAGATGTGACTGAGCCTAGTTATAATGATTTAAAACCGCAATTACTTTTGCACCAACCTTTTGCTGTGGGTCTGTCATATATGGCTTTTATTAGGTTAAGATATGTTTCTTCTATCCCCAATTTTTTTAGGGTTTTCATCAGGAAGAAATGTTGAATGATTTTTTATATATTGACATTGTATCCTACAACCACACTGGGCTCATTTGTTAGCTCTATTTTTTTTTTGCAACAGGGTCTTTTTCTGTCACCTAGGCTGGAGTGTAGTGGTGCCACAGCACCTCACTGCAGCCTCAACTTCTGGCTGAAGGGATCCTGCCAACTCACCCTCCCAATGGCTGGGACTACAGGCACACACCACTGCGCTCAGCTAATTAAAAAATGTTTCTGGTAGAGACAGGGTTTTGCCATGTTGCCCAGGCTGCTCTCAAGCTCCTGAGTTCAAGTGATCTTCCTCCCTCACCCTCCCAAAGTGTTGAGATTACAGGGATGAGCCACTGTGCCCAGTCAGTTTTAATTTTTTAATGTGGATTCTTTTCAGAATTCTATATATAAGATCATGCCTTCTGCAAATAGAAATAATTTTACTTCTTTTTCAATTTTCATGTCTTTTCTTTTTTCTAATTTATTTTTAATTAAAAAATAAAAGTATATATATTTATTATGTGAATATGATGTTTTGAAATATGTATACTTTGTAGATTGGCTAAATAGAGCAAATTAATACATGGATTAACTCACATAGTTACCATTTTTTGTGATGAGAACACTTAAAATGTACTCTTATCCGTTTTCAAGAACAATATATTGTTATCAAATATAGTCTGTTATTAAGTATAGTCACTATATTGTACAATAGATCTCTTGAATCAATTCCTCTTAACTGAAATTTTTTATCCTTTGATCAACATCTCCCCCATACTCCCCTAGATCTGCCCTAGTAACCACCATTCTTACTCTCTACTTCTATGAGTTCAACTTTTTACATTTACATGTACATGGGGGTACTGAGGCAGGAGGAGTACTTGATCCGGGGATTGATTGTTCAACCCAGGAGATCAAGGCTGCAGTGAGTCAAGATTGTGTCACTGCACTCCAGCCTGGGTGAAAAACTGAGACCTTGTTTAAAACACACAATGTGTGTGTGTATATATTTCTATATATATACATATTCTCTCTCTAAATAAATATATTAATATATAATATATTATATATTATATATAATACACATATAATATATAATATATTTTATTTATATATAATATATTTATTATATATATATTATATATATAATATATATTATATATATAATAAATATATGTATAATATATTTATTATATATAATACACATATAATATATAATATATATAATATATATAATATATAATATATATAATATATAATATATATAATATATAATATATATAATATATATAATGTATATAATATATAATATATATAATATATATAATATATATAATATATAATATATTTTATATTATATATTAGATAAATATATAATATATTTATCTAATGGATGATTTTGAACACATTTTGGTGTGCTTATTTGCCATCTGTATGTCTTTCTGACTAGGTATCTGTTCAAATCTTTGTCTATTTCTTAATTGTATCTTCTCTTCTTATTGTTGGGTGATATGGTTTGGCTGTGCCCCCACCCAAATCTCAACTTTAATTGTATCTCCTAGAATTCCCACGTGTTGTGGGAGGGACCCAGGGGGAGGTAATTGAATCTTGGGGGCCAGTCTTTCCCATGCTATTCTCATGATAAAGAATAAGTCTCACGAGATCTGATGGGTTTATCAGGGGTTTCCGCTTTTGCTTCTTCCTCATTTTTCTCTTGGCACTGGCTTCTTCCTCTATCATCTCCATTCTGCTTTTCAGACCATCCAGTGATATTTTATATATATATCACATATATGACATATATCCTATATTATATATCACATATGTGACATATATCCTATATTATATATCACATATGTGACATATATCCTATATTATATATCACATATGTGACATATATCCTATATTATATATCACATATGTGACATATATCCTATATTATATATCACATATGTGACATATATCCTATATTATATATCACATATGTGACATATATCCTATATTATATATCACATATGTGACATATATCCTATATTATATATCACATATGTGACATATATCCTATATTATATATCACATATGTGACATATATCCTATATTATATATCACATATGTGACATATATCCTATATTATATATCACATATGTGACATATATCCTATATTATATATCACATATGTGACATATATCCTATATTATATATCACATATGTGACATATATCCTATATTATATATCATATATCATATATCGTATATATGATATGTAATATAATATATATCATATATCGTATATATGATAGTAATATAATATATCATATATATGATATATGTAATATATTAATATATCATATATATGATATATGATATATGATATATTAATAATATCATATATATGATATATGATATATTAATATATCATATATATGATATATGATATATGATATATTAATATATCATATATATGATATATGATATATGATATATGATATATATGATATATAACATATCATATATACGATATACATATCATATATGTATATACATATCATATACATATCATATATACATATCATATACATATCGTATATACATATCATATACGATATATACATATCGTATATACATATCATATACGATATATACATATCGATATATACATATACACATATACGATATATACATATCGTATATACATATCATATATACGATATATGATATATAATATAGGATATATATCACATATGTGATATATAATATAGGATATATATCACATATGTGATATATAATATAGGATATATATCACATATGTGATATATAATATAGGATATATATCACATATGTGATATATAATATAGGATATATGTCACATATGTGATATATAATATAGGATATATGTCACATATGTGATATATAATATAGGATATATGTCACATATGTGATATATAATATAGGATATATGTCACATATGTGATATATAATATAGGATATATGTCACATATGTGATATATAATATAGGATATATATCACATATGTGATATATAATATCGGATATATATCATATATTTGATATATAATATCGGATATATATCATATATGTGATATATAATATAGGATATATATCGTATATGTGATATATAATATAGGATATATATCGTATATGTGATATATAATATAGGATATATATCGTATATGTGATACATATATAAAATATCACTGGATGATCTGAAAAGCAGAATGGAGATGATAGAGGAAGAAGCCAGTGCCAAGAGAAAAATGAGGAAGAAGCAAAAGCGGAAACCCCTGATAAACCCATCAGATCTCGTGAGACTTATTCTTTATCATGAGAATAGCACGGGAAAGACTGGCCCCCAAGATTCAATTACCTCCCCCTGGGTCCCTCCCACAACACGTGGGAATTCTAGGAGATACAATTCAAGTTGAGATTTGGGTGGGGGCACAGCCAAACCATATCACTCAACAATAAGAAGAGAAGATACAATTAAGAAATAGACAAAGATTTGAACAGATACCTAGTCAGAAAGACATACAGATGGCAAATAAGCACACCAAAATGTGTTCAAAATCATCCATTAGATAAATGCAAATTAATACCAAAATGAAATACCATTATACACCTGTTAAAACAACTAAAGAAAAGGCAAAACAAAACTGGCAATACCATCAGCTGGTGATAATACAGCAACTTGTATTCTGAATCATTGCTAATAAGAATAAAGAAGTTATAGATTTCTTCAAATATTTAAGATGCACCTACCATATCGATCTAGCAATTCCACCCCTAATTTTTGCCGTAGTTAAAAGGAAACCTATCTTTGCACAAAAACCTACATGACTTTTGTTTTGTTTGTTTGTTTGTGTTTTTTTTTAGACAGAGTGTCGCTCTGTTGCTGAGGCTGGAGTGCAGAGGCACAATCTCGGCTCACTGCAACCTCTGCCGCCCAGGTTCAAGCGATTCTCCTGCCTCAGCCTCCTGAATAGTTAGGATAACAGGCGTGCACCACCTTGCCTGGCTAATTTTTTATATTCTTAGTAGAGACGGGGTTTTGCAATGTTGGCCAGGCCAGTCTCAAACTCCTGACCTCAGGTCATCTGCCCAACTTGGCCTCCCAAATTGCTGGGATTACAGGTGTGAGGCACCTCACCTGGCCCTACATGAATTTTTTATAGCATTTTATTCATAGTTGACCAAACTGGAAACTACCCAAGCAACTGTCCATCAACGGGTGCATGGATTAATAAATTATGGTACATCTATACAATGAAATACTGCTGAGCAATAGAAAGGAACAAACTATTAATACAGCAACAAGTGTGAATCTCGAGGGCATCAAACTGAATGAAAGAAGTATATGTCAAAATGTTAGATACTCTGATTTAATTTACATGATGTTATGTATAAGAGAAAATTCTGGGCCTGGCCCGGTGGCTCACACCTGTAATCCTGGCACTTTGGGAGGCCAAGGCAAGCTGTTCACTTAAGGCCAGGAGTTTGAGGCCAGCCTGACCAACATGGCAAAACCCCGTCTCTATTAAAAATACAAAAATTAGCTGGGTGTGGTGGCAGGTGCCTGTAATCCCAGCTACTCTACTCAGAAGGCTGAGGCAGGAGAATTACTTGAACCCATGATGTGGAGAATGCAGTGAGCTGAGATTGTGACACTGCACTCCAGCCTGGGCAACAGTGCGAGACTGTCAAAAAAAAAAAAAAGAAAGGAAACCTCTAAGGAGGATAAATCAATGTCTTCCAGGATTTTAGGGGCTTGGGAAAGGCTTGGCTACATAGCAAAAACACCAGAGATTTTTTTTAGGTAGGATGGAAATGTTCAGAATTCGTATTGTGATAATGGTTACACACATCCACCCAGGTCTTAAATTCATTGTAAGTGTAAACAAACTGAATATAAACTTAAAGATAAATAACTATATATTTTGTGTGTATTTGAGTATTGTGGTGACTGGTCGCACAGATATATACATTTGTTAATACTCATTGATTACTTAAAATAAGTAAATTCTTTTGCCATCAAATTATAGCTTAACAAAGTTGCATTTTAAAACTAATTCAAGAAATCTACAATGAAAAGTTCAAAATATTGCTTTTCAGACATTTCAATAAATTGAGAAAATAAAAATTGAGAAATACATTGCTGTTTATAGACTGGCAGGCTAAGTAATCTTAAGATGTCCACTTTCCTCAAACTGATCTACAGATGTAATCAAAACCCAGTCAATATCCCAACAGGCTTTTCTGTATAAATTAACATGATGAACCTAATAGTATGGAAATGCTTAGATCATCCAAAACAATACTGAGAAAAAAAGCAAAAGTTGGAGAATTTCAAGGCTGAAGACAAAACTGAAGTAACCAAAAAAGTTACTACAAATATTAACGGAAAGATAAACATACAGATAAATTTAAGAGAATAAAGCATTCAGAAATAAACTTAGATATAAATAAAGAATTGATTCTTAACCATAGACCTAGTATAATTCTATGGCAAAACGAAAATCTTTTTAACAAACATTGCTGGATAAACTAAATACCTGTATGGAAATGAATGAATCTTGACCCCTACCTAAATCATGAAAAAACATTAATTCAAAATGATTTTTAGACATAAAAGTAAAATCTAAGCCAACACCTCTAAAAGAAAACAGAAAATAAATCCTTTGCAACCATGGAATAGGCAAGGATCTCTGAGCATGGTGACAAAAGGTATTGCATACAAGAAAAATTGATTAACTGAACTTTTAAAGAATATTCTGCTTTTTAAATGACAGTGTAAGGAAAACAAAAATAGAAATGACAATCAGGGAGAATCATGCACAATACATATATCTGACTAATGGATTATATAGAATGTAATCGAGAATCTTACAATATAATAGTACGAAGGTTGTTTTGGTGTGTGTGGTTCTATCATCATCTAGTTATTTATCGAACAGCTTTATTGAAATAGCATCGATATAAATATTGTTTATATTTAAGATGTACAAGTTGGTATTTAGATATGCGTATAAATTGTGAAATGATCACCACATTCCAGGACAGGAGGCTAGAAGTTGATACTGACACCTACACCAAGTAAGATATATGAATGGCTGTTAATCACATGAAAAATTACTCAGCATCATGATTCATCAGGGAAATGCCAATTGAAATCATAATGACATACTATTTTATACCAAATCCAATGGCTAAATTTTATTTTTCCATTATTTTATTTTATTTTAGATTCAGAGGGTAATGTGCAGGTTTGTTACATGGATATATTGCACAACGGGGAGGATGGGGCTTCTAGTGAACTCATCACGGAAATAGTGAACATAGTACCCAATAGGTGATTATTCAACCCTAGCCCTCTTCCCACCCTCCCCACTTTTGAAGTCCCAGTGGCTATTATTTCCATTCTTATTTCCATGTGTACCCATAGTGGATAAATTTTTAAAGACTGAAACTACCACATGATGGCAAGACTGTGGGACAACTGGAAATCTCATACATTACTTAAAGAAGTATAAAATGGTATGACTACTGTGGAGCTGGAATTTTCTTATAAAGTTACATGTACATTTAACATATGATGCAGCATTTCTACTCCTAGGTATTTTGCAGCAGACTTGTACAAGAGTCTGTCAAACTAATAGTATTATTCTTCATTAAGGCATGAAGATAATGATAAATGATAAATAAATATTTTCAACAAACAGATTAGAAATTGTCAAATATTCATAACAATAAAACACTACTATACAATGAATAGGAATGAACTACTGATAATGGAATGAAATCTGAAAATGTGCTGAATAAAAATAACAGACACATATAAGCATATACCATTTTAGTCTATATATACCAAAGTTCTAAGACAGATAAAACTAATAAAACTACTTATAGTGATATAAGTGAAACCAATGGTTTCCTCAGGTGGAGATTTAGAAGGAGATAAAATACAAAGTTGCAGGAATGCACTTTTTTGGGTAATGGGAACTTTCTATAGCTCAATTGTACCTCCAGTATACATTTATCAAAATTCATTGATACATTGATTGCAAAACCAAGTGTGATATATTTTACATAGATTATACCTCAAAACGTTGATTTTAAAAAAAAGGAGTGATGTAATGCAGAACATCACAAGAAAATGTTAAATGAAATGCAGAGCTACATTCACAACATTTGATAAAGAGTTAAACATATAAAGCAAAAGGCAGCATCAAGGCATAGAATGGATGGCAAAGAAGTCCAAGTTTATCCCAGAGCATCCATGGGCCAATGGTAAATTAGGATTCAGATTAGACATAACAGCTTACAATTGCTAATTTCTTGTGAGATAACTAAATATGTTTACAACTTTCATGGAACAAAGCATGAAATTTATTGGGATGCCTCAATTCTTCAAGATAAAACCATAAATATTAAAATGACCAATGGATAGATTTTTTTAAGTCAACTCCCATAATAATCATAGAAACACAAATATAAATAAACATGGGATTCCACTTTGTTCACATCTTCTGCCTGACAAACTGAGAAAAGGATAAGATGATACATCATTGTAAAGAATCTGTAGAAAAGGACACTGTTCAGCATGTGCCCAAGGTCACATACCTAGTAAGTGGTGGAGAAAATATTGGAACCCAAGTCTACCTGACTCAGAGATAGACAGTGTCCTCTCTTCACCAGTCTTCATCTCCTCCTCCGCTTGAAATTCTATTTTCATTATAGAAGATAAAATGCCAGGCATTACTATGCTTCATAGTTTATCATGAACTGTATTTGAAAATATCAATAGTGTAATTCTGTCTATCTTTCTCTGCTCTCTCTCTCTGTCTCTGTCAGTCTGTCTTTATACGTATATGCAAATGTAGACACAAACATAGGCATACATATATAAACATACATGCATGTATACAAACATATGTAAATACACACATATATACACATATAAAGAGATGATATACACATATATGTGAATGTGTATACATATAGATGTATATATACACACACAGAGACAGATGCATACACCACACACACATGCATATATTAGATATAAATGTCAAAGCCAAAACTACAGAGTGCATTTTAATGTGACATTGAAACTAGATTCAGTCAATGACAGTCACAATATATGTATGAAGCTTTTTTGAGTGCCTAGAAAGTTTCATCAAATTTAGTAAAGACAAGTAAAGAGGACATTATCTGTGTACCCAAATAGTATCATATTTTTATCAGTTTTACTGTGTTTTCTTTTTTTCTCCACAAATGCAATCATTTAATACAGTCCATTCTGGAATATGCCTTTACCATACTACTTGATATTATTTCATATCCCTTCCCTACAGAGGAATATGAATACTTACACTCCCTTCAACCTCATTTTCTTAACATCTGTATTAGCATTCTATTGTATGTATGTAATATATGTATGTAATTATTATAGTACCTAAGACCTCAAATTCTCAGAGGTTCTTGGGTGTTCTCTAACATCAAATACCTCAGTATTTTACTAACCCACTTTTCCCTAGCAGCTAAGTTAGAAAAGACAATTCACAACAAAAAGGAAAAAATACAATTAGCAAAACCACTAAATAACTTCACAGTCAAATTAGATTGGTCAAGAAATAAAATTTCCACCAGCCTGGCCAACATGGCAAAACTCCGTCTCTACTAAAAATACAAAAATTAGCCAAGTGTGGCAGTGCACGCTTGTAATCCCAGCTACTCAGGAGGCTGAGGCAGGAGAATCACTTGAACCCGGGAGGCGGAGGTTGCAGTGAGCCAAGATCGTACCATTGCACTCCAGCCTGGGCAACAGAGCAAGACTCTGTGAAAGAAAGAGAGAGAGAGAGAGAAAGAAAGAGAGAGAGAGAGAGAGAAAGAAAGAAAGAAAAGAAAGAAGAAAGAAAGAAAGAAAGAAAGAAAGAAAGAAAGAAAGAAAGAAAGAAAGTCAGAAAGAAAGAAAGAAAGAAAGAAAGAAAGAAAGGAAGGAAGGAAGGAAGGAAGGAAGGAAGGAAGGAAGGAAGGAAGGAAGGAAGGAAGAAAGAAAGAAGGAGGGGTGGGGTGGGGGAGAGAGGTTGGAGGGAAGGAGGAAGGAGAAATAGAATTCCCAAATGAAAGATTCAAATTTTCCCCTTTTAATACTGACAATTTATCTCCACTATCTGATTAAACCACTTGATATCTGGTTAAAAAATGAAATGTCTGGGATAAAAGTTAGATTTCAGTTCTCAGACCTACAGAAATGCCTTCTGAGTCAACGTGCAGAAGCAGTTAGGTAATAATCTCTCTGTCCTTTGCCCCACTGTCAACTTTATGCTTTATGCCTTAAGCCTAAATGCATGCACACACACACACACACACACACACACACACACACACACCAATTCTAGGTGACAAATTCCTTTTGTAAGGTTTTGGTTTTTTGAAGGCCTTTCTCATTTTGTGGTTTGTGGTTACTAACAAATAACACTTAAATGGCAAATATTAACTAAAGTACATAAAATATCTTATTTCCAAAAGAAAAATTTACACAAGGTTTTGACATTCAAAATAACCCTAGGTGCACAAATACTTGCACAATTCATACCACCAAATTTTTCGCAATTAAAGCTTCTATTTGCAAGCACTCCTAAAACAAACCATTTTCAAAAGAATGTTTCCAGACATAAATCATCTTACTATTAGAAGAACAAGCATGCTTGAAAGAAATCCCAATATATTATTTCTAGTTTTGACTGCAACATATTACTTAAACTTTATAATGAATCCTCTGTTTCAATATACATTCTATTTACAAAACTCTTATTTCTACCACCAGTTTAGCAGGCCAACTTCCTCTTAAAGATCTTAATTTATCTCCCCAGTTTCAATGACCCTGACATGGATGAGAATTGCAAAATTCCTGTAACTGTAATTACTGAATGGTCTTTTGAGATAAAAAGGCAAGAGTCATTTCATCCTTTGCCAAAGTTAAGACATTCATTATCACTTCTAGGTGGGTGAGATAGGTATGTAATTGTATCACCTATTGACAGTCCTTACTGGTGGTCAAGACACAGGGTATCCCATGATCATAAAGAGATGTTTACAAGGTTATTCACTGTATTATTTTCTATAATAACAATAAAATGTTCCTTCATAAAATGAAAGTGCGTATCAAAGTGTAAAAGAATAAAAATTTATGGTCTACCCAGAAAGTGAATTATTATGTAACAATTAAAAAGAATGAGGCTTATGTAAATATAACTAATGGCAAGACAACTCAAGTGAAAATAAGATTGTAAATCAATAAGTGCTAAATTATATCCTTTGTTTAAAACTCACAGATACATATAAAGAAATATATACATTTTTGTAGTGCACAAAGTCATGTTAATGCACATAACAAAGGTCTTGAATTATATCCCATAATGTGATGATGAAGTAACATATGAAGTCAGGGAGAATGAGGATGGTGATAGATGATGAAACAGGATTTTAGTATTTCTATAATATTTAAAATATTTATAAGGCAAATGCAATTATTGTTCAAATATTCTATTAAACATTATTTTAAAAACTTCTAAAGAGAAAGAAAATAGAGCATATGTGACCAATAACAAGATAAATATAGCAAAGTCTATATAAGAAATAGTATAATTTATGACAAATAGCTTTCCAAGGAACTTAGAGGGAAATTTCATCCCAGTTAAATAACTAGTCATCATACGCACTTAAGTACATGACAGCATAATTTTGAAATCTATAAAGCAAAATAGGCTAGAAGTACATGGTAAATAAATCCAAATGGAAATTCCACAACTAAAAGGAACATTTAGTGAAAGTAAGAAAGAGAGAAGCAATTCTGGGATGGTAGAGTAAGGACCTCCAAAAAGCAATGAGAACACTGGAAAAAAATTGTCAAAATCAACTTTTAAGCACTCTCCAAATGAACCAAAGGCTTTCAATCATCCAAAAAGCATTTGTTTAAGAAAAACTGGCAAATATTACTATGAACAGCAAGCTTTGTTGCATTTCAACTTGGCCTAATCTGACCGTCATCCAAGATCTGTGGTAGCCTTCAGAACCAACAGCTTTGCATTTATGTTACCTGAGAAACCTGTAGCCTGGCAACCAGTGGAAGAGCAAAACAGGTTTGGATCTCCCTTACAATTCTAACCTCAGAGAATTATTATTTGACCCATCTGGCAGCTCTCTGAAATGCTCCACTTGCAGACATGACTTCATTTTATCTCACTGAAGCATCTATTTTGTGTAAACTGGCCTGCCCTTAGCACATTTGAAAAAAACATTCAGCAGCAATTGTTTAACATTGCAGCTTCCGGAGGTGGTAATACAATATCAGTGAGGACTAACAGGAAGCGTCAAAAAACCTTAAAATGAAAAAGTGACAAAATAAATTTCCACAGAATGTTTTGAAAAGTTCCAATATAAATGAGATCTGAAAGGCCATAAGCATGTGCAGAACTGTGTGCATACTCAGGAAATAGCTGAGAAGGCCCTAAGCTCTCATCTATCACTGATATTGAGGCTCTGCACATGCAGAAAATGAAAGCTTAGGCATGGTAATAGACTGCCTGAGTGTTAAAGGCATCCCGAAATATACACACAAAGAACCTAGGTAAATCCTAAAAGATTTATTGGTTCAAGCCACTTAATGAAGTCTCTGTCTAATCATTAGCTGATCATTATTAGAGAATTCAGTGGCCACAGATGACAAAGTATCCAGGCTTTAAAGAATTATTTGAGTAAAGTTACTATGTAAGAAAACAAGAACAAAAACAAGAACAGACAACAACAAATTTGGGGAGGGAGACGTAATCTCATTTCCAGAGTTGCCACATCCTATTGTTTAAAAGGTCCAACTAAAACAATAACAACAACAAAACTATAAAATATGCAAAGAACCAAGAAAGCATGGCTCATGAACAACGAAACAAGTCAGTAGAAACTGTTCCTGCTGAAGCCCAGACACTGGGTTTATCAAAGAGTTTAAATCAATTATTATAAATATGTTCAAATAGTTAAAGGAAAGAACAATATTTCACCAAATAGAGACTAGAAAGAGACATTATTTAAAAAGGAAAAATCAGAATTCTGGATTCAAAAAGTACAGTAACCGACATGAAAAATTTCCCATTGGGGCTCAATAGCAGATTTGCTAGCAAAAGAAAGAACCATTAAATTTGAAGGTAGGTCACTTGAGATTATCCAGACAGAAGAACAGGGGGGAAAAGGAATGAGGAAAATTGTAGATGCCGAAACCTATGGGGCAAAAATAAGGCATTCTTAGAAGGAGAGGAAAGAGAGGACGGGGCAGAAAGAGTGTGTAAGAAATAATGGCCAAAACTCACAAATTAATAGAAAAAACATTATCCTATGCATTCAAGAAGTTCAATGTCATACTAGTGGGGTAAACTCAGAGGAGACACAACTAGGCACAATATAATCAAACTTTCAAAGCCCAAGACAAAGAGATCTAGAAAGCAACAAGGGGAATACACTTATCACATATAAAAGATTCTCAATAAGATCAATAGCTGACTTCCCATCAACCACCATGGAGGCACAAAGGCAGTGGGATGATATATTTTAGGTTTTGAAAGAAAAAAATTGTCAGCCACAATTCTGTCTATAAAAACCATTTTTCAAATTTGAAGAAGGATTAAGATTTTACTGAAAAAAAAAAACAGAGATTCTGTCACTAGCAGACCTGTCCTACAAGCAGTATTAAAGGGAGTATTTCAGGCTGAAATGCAAGGACACTGGACAGTAACTCTACATAAAATGATAAAGAGTACCAGAAAATGTAAATGGATAGGTAAATGTAAAGACGGTGTAGGTGAATTTCTGTTTGTTTCTGTATTTTTTCCTGTCTGATTTAAAAGACATCATAGAAAACAATAATTATTAAAATGCACTGATGGGCTTATAATATGTAAGGATGAAATTTATATGACAATAATAGCCCAAAGAAAGAAGGAGAAAATGCTAATAGTTACAAAAATTTTGTTTTCTATTGAAATTGAGTTGGTTCTTAATCCATCCTAGATTGTTTTAAGCTAAAATGCCAATTGCAAATCCTAGGGCAACCAATAAGAAAATAACAAAAATATAGTGAAACTGACAATAAGGCAATTATAATAGTATAGTAAAACTATGTGTTTAACATAAAATAAGGAACTAATGAAGAAATGGAGGAAAAAAAAGACATAAAACATATGGTAAAGAAATATCCAAATATCACACATAAATCCTATCTTATCAGTAATTGCATTTAATGTAAATAGACTGTCCTCTAATCAAAAGACAAATTTGTAGAATAGATTTTTAAAACCACAATTCAATTATTTTGTCTGCGTGGGACACATTTCAGTTTCAAAATAGATTGACAGTAAAAGGATGGAAAATATATATACCATAGAAAGAGCAACCAAAGGTGAATTTGCTACCATATCATACAAAACAGACCTTAAGATACAGTTATCGAACAGAGATGAAGAAAGACAGTTCATGATTAAAGGGTCAATTCACAGGAATGAGATAACAAATATAAATATATGTACCAAAGAACAGAGTATCAAAATGTCTGAAACAAAAAGTGATACAACTGAAGAAAAAAAAATACGCAATTCAACAATAATAGTTGGAGACTTCAACAGTTTACTTTCACAAATGGATGGAACAACTAGGCAGAAGATGAAACAGAAATTAGAATATTTGAACATCATTATGAACGAGTTGGATCTATAGACATCTAGAACAATCTACTCAACAACATAATACACATTCTTCTCAAATGGACATGGAATATTCTCCAGAATAGACCTTATATTAGGCTGTAAAACAAGCATCAATAAACTTAAAATGTTTTAAATCATACTAAGTAATTTTTCTGAAGGCAATGGAATGACAGTATGAATCAATAAAAGTAAGATGTGGAAAATTCATACAAATTAAACAACATAATCCTAAATAACCTATGAATCACAGAAAAACTTTCATTAGAAATTAGAAAATAATTATATATGAATGAAAGGAAAACTTATCAAAACTTATAAGATGTAAATATACCCAAAGTCAGCCCAAGAAATAGAATAATAAAGATAAGAGTAGTAATATGTAAAATAGATACTAGAAAAAGAATACAGAGACTCAGTGACAAAAAGGTTTTGTTCTTTAAAGTTCAACAAAAGATACAAATCTTTAGCTAGATTGACCAAGGAAAAACTTGAGGAAAATTGAATTTAAAACATCAGAAATAAAAGAAGGAATATCATTACTGATGCCACAAAATTAAAAAGGACTACAAGGGAGTACTATGAAAAATTGTATGCCAACAAATTATATCTCCTAAATGAAATGTGCAAATTACTTGGAAGACACAAAGTACCAAAATCGACTAAAAAATAAATAGAAAATCTGAACAGACCTGTAACAGAGGATTGAATTACTAATCAAAAAGCTTCCCACAAAGAAAAACCCAGGTCCCAATGGCTTCACTAGGTAATTCTACTCTACATTTAAATAAAGCTTAACATCAATCTTTTACAACTCTTTCAAAAAATAGGAGGAGGCCCCGTGCCGTGGCTCACGCCTGTAATCCCAGCACTTTGGGAGGGTGAGGCGGGCAGATCACAAGGTCAGGAGATCGAGACCATCCTACTCGGGAGGCTGAGGCAGGAGAATGGCGTGAACCCAGGAGGCGGAGCTTGCAGGGAGCCCAGATCATGCCACTGCACTACAACCTGGGCGACAGAGCAAGACTATGTCTCAAAAAAAAAAAAAAAAATTAGGAAGAAATATTCCTTAACTCATACTATGAAGCCAATAATATTACCCTGATACCAAAGACAAAGATATAACATGAAAAGACCTACAGCTCAAAACCCCCTATGAATACAGACACAAAAATCATGAACAAAATATTATCAGTACTCATCAAGCAACATATGAAAATGATTATGCACTATAACTATGTGGAATTTATTTTAAGAATGCAACATCAATTAACATATGAAAATCAGTCAGTGCAATTGTTGGGAAAGGGAGTCATGCCCAATCTGTCAACCCCCACTTGGCTGCATAAGAATGAGCTTTGGGCCTGGAACATTTCCTTATTGGAAGATGAAGAATCTTCACAGCCTATGCTGGGCTTATCATCTAATGAGGAGATATCTTTCCCTCTTCTGACCTTGATGTGTACTCTTTTTCTGCTTAAGTGTATGCCTGAGTGTCCCTAAGGCATGCCCTCAGTTTTCTGCATCTCAGACCCCACAAGGGAGGGGATAGGGGTCCTTCCACTGCAGCATGAAATGGGATACATGAAGTCACAGTGCCTGAGTTGGCTGCCTAACTGACCCACTAGCCATAGGAACTAACATATTAACAGTGACTGGAACTTGTGTGTACCCCCTCGCTCTTCTTGCTATAAGAAACACTATATCACTTGAGCCTGATGTGCATAATACTACTCTCAGCAACCTCAAATAGTTCACTAGTTCCTTCCCCAGTTGGCACTTATCCACCTTTTAATATTGGCCACCCTCATGTTATATTCTATCCCGTGGCACAGTTTAACAACCCAATAAATAGTGAAATAGTAATGCACCATATTCATAGCCTAAAGAACAAAAATTACGTAATGATCTCAATAGATGCAGAAAGAACTATTTGACAAAAATCAAACCACTTTTCATAAGAAATACATTCAACAAACTAAGAATAGAAGGGAAATTTCTTACTTCTTAAATAGCATCTATGAAAACCCCTCCCTTATCATACTTAATGGTAAAAAAAAAAAAAAAACGGAAAGATTTTCCCCAAGTTCAAGAACAGAAAATGATGTCTGCTTTTGCCACTTCTATTCAAAATTGTACTGGAGGTTTAAGTAAGCACAATTAAGCAGGAAACGTAAATAAAGACATGCAGGAGACAGAGAGACAGATGTCAGCAAGATAGGAGAATAGGACATTCTGGCACTTATCCCCCAACAGAAACATCAACTTGCCTAAGTATCCATGCATGAAAATACCGTCAAAGAGCTAAGGAAACCAGGTGACAGATTACAGCACATGGTTGTGGCACAGAAATAAGAAAAGATTCATTGAAGAGGGTAGGAAGAATGGTTTTACATTACCCACATCACCCTTTTCCCCAACCACAACAGCACAACATGGAGAGAGATAACCCCTACTTGGGGGAAGGAGAGGGAAGTGAACATTGTATTTTGTCTCGGCCCCCAACACTGGGCCCATCCAAGTAAAACCCAGTACCAGGCATGTTGCTAATACCCCAAACTCCATGCCAGTACCCATGGACTGAGTCTCCAGGGCCAACTCAGCATCAGGCTGCATCCCATAGCCCCAGGCTCCAGGCTTGCCTGGCTGACTCAGTCTCTGGGCCACTCCACCTCCAGGCCAACACCACCAGCAGCTCTAGGCTCTAGAACAACTCCAGCAGCCCTGGGCTTCAGGCCCACCCCAATGCTAGACAAGCCCCCACAGATTCAGGTTCTAGTTTCCATCCCAGGGCCAGGCCAGCCCCAGCAACCCTGGGCTGTAGACCACATCTGGGCTGGCCCCAGTGGTCCCAGGCCTCAGGCTGGTCCCAGCAACAGAACAGCCCCCACAGCCCTTGTCATCAGGCTAGCACCTATGGACCCAGCCTCCAGGTCAGCCTCTGTGGATATAGGCTCCAGGCCAACCCAGCTCCAACCCAGCCCCCTGCAACCCAAGGCACCAGGCCTGCCCCAGGGTTCAGAACAGCTGAGAGCCAGGTCAACTCACACAGCCCTAGGCTCCAGGCCCATCTCAGCACCAGGTGAGTACTATTGGCCTCAGCCTCAGGTACCATACTGGTCCCAAGGGACCCTGGATCCAGGACTGTCCTCACAGCCCAAAGCTTCGGGCCAGCCTCTGTGTCACCAGTCACCAGACCATCACTCTTGCTACCAGGCTCCAGACCAGTCCCCACAAACCCAGGCTTCACACTTGCCACAGGACCAGGCTGGCCCTGGGCCCCAGAGGGTCCAGAGTCACAGCCTGATCCAGCAGACCCAGGGCCCAGGCCTATCCCAGTTTACCCAGGCTCCAGACCAGACACTATGGACTCAGGCTTTAGGCCAGCCACCAAGGTTACAGGCTCCAAGTCTGCCCATGAGGACTCAAGCTCAAGCCCACCTCTACAAGCCAAATAAACAGGTCCATTCCCATGGATTCAGGCTCCTGGTCCAAACCAGTGGAATCAGACAGCAGGCCCACCTACTTACTAATGCAGGTACCAGGCCAGACTGCTTCCGGACTCCAGAAGCAAGCCTGCCCATGGGCCACACCAGATGGCCTGCCCAGAATCTCTAGATGGTCTGACTCATGTAGGGCTTTCTCAGAAAAATTACTCTGCAAAAACTGGAATGAGTCCATACTTCTTCAAGTGTGCAGACATCAATGTAAGGCAACCAGAAACATGAATAAATAAGGAGACATAACACCACCAGAAGAATACCAGAATCTCCCAGTAGACGACCTCAAAGAAATGAAAATGCCGACTTCATTTTCATTTCAATTATTTTGATTTCTTTTCCTCTGGCAGTTAGTATCTTCATTTCTTTGAGAAAGAAGATACCAACTACCAGGGAAGAAATTCAAAATAATTGTTTTAAGGAAGCTTAGCAAACCTCAGAAAAAAATACAGAAGAACAATTTAATAATATCAGGGAAATAATAAACAACCAAAATGAGAAATTTAATGGAGAGACTGAGATTATTTTTGAAAAATCAAACAAAAATTCCAGAGCTGAAAAATGCAATGGATAGAATGAAAAATGCAATAGAAGAGCATCAATGGCAGAATTGAACATGGGGAAAAAAATCTGTAACTAAAGAAAATAATCTGTCTTCAGATTATTTGAAAATATACAGTCAAAAGATGAAAAATAGAATGCAAAAAAATGGAGAAAGCTTACAGGATTTATGGCACAACATCAAGAAAGCAAATCTTCAAGTTATAAGAGTTCAAGAAGGACAGAGAGGCAAATGGGATAAAAAAAAGGGTAAAGAAGCAATAACAAAAAAACTTTCTAAATCTGGGGAAAGATATAAATATCCAGGTACAGGAAGGTCAAGGGTTTCCAATAAGATTCGATTCAAACAATTCTACACCAAGATATATTATGCTGTAAATAATAATAATAAAGAGAGGATCCTGAAATCAGTAAGAAAAAAGAAGCAAATCACATATAAGGAAGTTTTGATAAAGATAGCAGTAGAAACCTAATAAGCCAGGAGAGCGGGATGTGTGTCTATCTCCCCTAACCCCTAGAGAGCAAACTTCTAAATGATCAGGGTTTTACAGGATTTTATCTCTGCCCCCAAAACACACTGATAAATATCTGTTAAAACAAAGTTAACATAATCCAACCACACTCCTTTTTTGTCACCAGTGTTGACATACTAAAATGTATTATCATGTAGCAACAGGCAGTATTCCTTATGATATGGCTGGAATCACAAAAAGCACAGGGCCTTTGGTCACCATCATTTAAAATGAAAAGACATTCCAAATTGGATTTTATCTATGCAGTATCATTTGAAGGGCATCATATTGGTCCTGACTGGTTTGTGCTTAGCTGGCACTCTTTCTGCTAACATTTTTTAAAAGTCCTACATGGTCTTTCTAGGAATCTTATTGGGGTTCACTTCCATTAGACAAAATACACATCCACAATTCTCTTTGACATAAGCAGTTTGGGTCTTGGGCTGTTGCTGAGACTGCTTAGGAACAACACCCTTAAACTTCTTAGAAGGCATATTGTTTCATTTAAAGGATCTCTGAGGCACTGCCCAGACCTTTCTGAGGCTTTATAGTCACACCTTTGGCTTCATCTTTATAGCTCTTATTTTCCTGGACGGCTTCTAGATTTGCTCTTTGCCCAAAATCCTTTTCTTAATTTTGGCATCATTTGCCATCTAAGAAAAGCTAGGAATTTTGAAAGAAACAAGTGCTGGCTCCTTTTTGTTCAAGCTAAAGTCCTTCATTTAGTTTAACTTTCTCTTCACACATTTTCCTACAAACAAGAAGCAGCAACCAGGGGGCACCTTCAACACTGTGTTTGAAAGTCTCCTTTGTTATACCACCCATTTCTTTAGGTGTAGATTTTCTACTCCCCACATTATTGCAATATATGACAAGGCACCCTTTTCCTCCAGATTCCAATAACATTTTTCTCATTTCCATTTAAGCTTTCTGAGACAACTTTCACAATGACCGTCAGGTTTTTGATAACAGTCTGGTCCAAGCATCTTTGACTTTTACTAATACTCCCCTCAGACTCCTCCCAGCTTCAGCCCTCTGTCTGGTTTCAAAGCCATTCCCCTATTTTAGGTTTTAGTTACTGCAGCAACTTACACTTACTACCAACATGTGTTAGTTATCTATTGCTATTAATACATACAAATGTTTTGTCACATATGTCTCAGCTCTATTAAATGAGAGAGAGCACTACACTAGGACATGAACACCAGGAGGCAGGGATCACTAAAACAACCTTGGAGGCTGGCTATCCCAGTGCCTATGCTTAACCAGTTGTTAAATACAATACTGCTCTGATATCCAGGCTCAAAGGGGCTTTTCATTTACTTAACGCTTCAGAGGGTCCACATCTGCCCTCTTTCAGCCCCACCTCTCTGCAAACAGCCAAGAGTCTAATGTATGGAGTTTAGGGGATGGGCACACTCAGAGCCCATACCCCCTTCCCCAAACATGCTCCAGGTGCCTGGGGCCCTGAATTTTCTGCCCAAGTCTTCCCAAGCCCCAAACGCCAAGTTCCAAGCAACCTGTAGACATCTATTCACTGGTTCTGTGCTTCTGAGGGTTGAGTGCATTGCATTTGCAGTGATGGTTGCAAATCAGGATGCTGCATAGAGCATTTTCAGGATCTTATAGGTGATATAAATGACTATATTTCCTTATAATTTTCATGGAAAATAGTTTATTTGGGTTGATACCCTTATCCAGATAATTGTGACAGATAGCTATTACACCTTCCATGCCCTTACTTTTTCTTATAGTGAACCAATGTAAGGTTGGAATTTTCCTATTTTCTTTTCAAAAGTTTGCAATAAAACTGTTGCTTAATGAAGAGGTAAAGAATATCTAGATACCAAGAAGCACATTCTGATGAGTTGTCAGGTTCTTTGTAGCTTCCTTGGTCTCTGCTCTATGAAAAACAAAATTACAAAAACAAAAACCCTTCTGTAGCTTATCTCATCCTGTATGTAGCAGTGGAGAACAATCAAAAAGGACATTGACAGTTCAGACCTGAGCATTGTCAGAAAAGCAAAGCATTCTTAAGAAGGATTGTGTGCCTGATCCAACTGATGGCAGATAGCCTCCTCCGGGTGGCTATTGGTATGGGAAAGAAGTAGTCTTGAGAAAGAGGATTTGGGCCTGGAATTTGGGGAGCAAGAAAGATGTGTGGGAAAGAAGGTGGATGCAGTTGAGCATGGTTAGAGTGGTAGAACGGTTGGTGGTTGTACTTTAGCCTTGCCCAGGGACTAGGTACGTTGCTCCCAGCCCACAGAAAGAGGGGCTATGGGATCAAGCTGAAGAGGCCATTTCTGAACCAAGGGGCAGCACTGTTTTTGTGCTTAGGTAACAAACTGTAATAAGAAGTGAGGATTTGACATGGAAGTGAAAGGTTGGGGTGGAGAAGATGTTCATCTTTATCGAAAATACTTACGTGGTGACCTCATTGTTATTCGGAATCCAGTTCCTGGTCTTTTCCACCTCTGGCATGAAAAGCACTGTGCTGATGAGCTGACCCCCGAGCAGTACCGCATGTGCATCCAGTCTAAAGCCATGGATGAGGCTTCTCGCTCCCACCTGGGAATGCTGGTCTTCAGGGAGGAAATAGAGACGCATCTTCATAAACAGGCATACAGGACAAACAGCGAAGCTGTTGGTTGAAATCATAATGCCTTACTGTGTGAACCACAAACCAACACTATTTATTTAGCCTTGCTTCTACTTTCAGATGCAGTGCCTCTTTTGGAGAAGACATGTTTATTTTTCATGTTCTTTCTGACATTACTTTAGCAATTCAACTTGATGTGAGAAGAAAAAACAAATGTTTCAACACGAAATCTCTGTTTTGTGAGAATACTGCACTATGGAATAATTGACAAATTGAAATCTCGTATTTGTCCCAAAAGTTGTTTTGAGTTAGTTCTACCTAGTGCCCATGTTCTGATTGTGTGTGGGATTGCATGGTGTCCTGATTGCATCTAGGTGGAGTGGATGGAATGTGCTGGGCCACTGTTGGGTGGAGAGCAGCACATTCTTACAGAGGAGATGGAGTGCTATGAGCATAGTGTGTGGACAGGTATCTTCACCTGCCCACCCCTGAGTTAGCCTGCTTAATTTGATAGCTTGAAGAATCCTTTTCCACTGAAGTAGAGGATAATTAATTGACACATCTGAAATCCCCAATCAATCAATCAAGAGAAAGGTAGAAATAAAAACTCCTTAACTTACTGTTGCTTACACCCCTGAAAGTCTGTTTTTAAGCAAGTGGGTAATAGTAGAAAATAGGTTAGAATCTATGGCTTGATTAAAAAGATAATGTTATTACATTATCATGTTCAGGATTAGGATTAGTAGTCAGAGTTGCTGTAAACTATTTTGAACAAACAGAAAAGAACACGGAAACATTTTTAACAGAGCACTTAATTATGTTGGACTACAGGATCCTAGCTGTGTCTGGGAACATTGGTTTATGTGAGCCAGCTACATCAGGGTCTTCCCATGGTGATTCAGAATAGATGAGCATAGCATGGTTTCGTTTGTTTTTGCTTTCAATTTTCTCATTTGGCATGGATCCATATGTATTTACTATCCTTTCTTCTAATATATTAATATATGCTACATTTGTATTTGCATTACTATAATACTTTGAATGGAGAAAGTTTCATTGTGGAGAGAAAAAGCAAATGGTATACCACAAGATCACCCTGATTTGAGAAAAGGGAGGAGGGGAAGACAGTCTGAATGGAAATCTGAAATACGGAATGTTTTAGAGAAATATATCACTTGCATATAGAATGTTTTAATTGAGATATAAATTAATGAGACAAAGTGAAGAAGAAATTATATTCAGATAGGACTGCACTACATTATTTCTCACACATGTATCTGTTACCATCAGGTCAATTCCTAGTATGCATAAATTTTTTAACCATTGGCTTTTAAAAGAGACCTATGTTGAAAACCCCTGAAAATTCACCGAAGAAAAATCATTACTCTTTTTCTCAGTAAATCATATCATCTGAAATATTACAAATTTCAAATTTCTAGGTGCTATATTAATTCAACATTACAATAATTCTTACCTGATTATTCTTACAAGTTTTAAGTTGTGGTAGTTTAGTGATTTTTTTTAAAGATGTGTGAAATGTTCTCTGCAAAATAATTCAGGCCACTGTCTCTTTGTATATATTATTATAATTATTTATTATGAAGACCAGCGAATTATGATATTTAAAGTGAGAGAACTTAATTATTTGCAAAGGTAAGTTACAGCTTGTTTTTTTGAGAGAATCAAATGAGTTTACTTTTGTTCCTGTTGTTTGTAAACTAGTTTGTAGTTTAAAGATGGAAGCTAAGCAATGGAAATGTTATATGTTTTTGACATTTATTAAATGGTACCAATAAAGTATTTTATTACCAAAAAAAAAGAAGTGAGGAAGAGGAAGGAGTAAGAGACCAAATATTTAAACTAGACCATCTATACCTTTTGTAATATTTGCAGGGTTCTAGGCAAGAGTTCATTTGGAGGCCTACCCTACGTGCCATGTATACAAATATCTGAAAGGTTCAAATCAACTAATAAACTGTTAAATATAGTATCTTTCCTACCATGATAGATATACCTTCTTATCAATCTGAAAGGCAGGGCTAAATTTAGAATACTTGGTGTATTTTAAAGATCTTTTTTCTTATTTAGTTTACTGAAGAAATTTAGAAACATAGAGCTTTCAGTAACAAGTATATATCAGGAATAGTTGGATGAGGTGCCAGGCTATGCATCTAGGTACCTGGAACCTCCAGGGATGCCCTCTCTTGGGCCCAGTGCATTGGTTGTTCGTTGTGGCATAAAAATGAATCACACAAAGAAGGTGTGTGTGTGTGTGTGTGTGTGTGTGTGTGTGTGTGTAAAATCCCATAACAAGAGTGACATCCCATCACCTTTGCCATATATTTTCTATTTCTGTCGCCATATATTTCCATATATTTTCTATTCATTTTTAGAATGAAGTCACAGGCTCTGCCCAATATAAGGGGAGGGAATTATTCAAGACTGTGAATGCTGGAAGGTTGGGTTTATTGGGGGTCAGTTTAGGGTCTGTCCATGATACCTGAACACCTCAAAGTTCTGTTCCAGTGATGTAGCTAGAGCAGACCCACACCCTCAGACCTCTGTACTACATCCCAGGCCCCAGAACCCCCTCATGCCTCAGCACTTCTCTGCATACTCTGAGCTCCATTCCTCACCTCAAGTGGCTACAATATGCATATGTATATATGGATACTGAAGCCCACCCACCTCATGGTCACCTCTCAGTGCTGAGAAAATACATTGACAGTGCACTTAACTTTCAGAAGCACAAGACTCAGTGAACAGGAGCCTGCAGGCCTCTTGGGGTTTGGGGCCACCTGGACAGCAAATTCAGGGTTCCAGATGCCTGAAGTATGTTTAGGGGTGGAAGGCACAGGTTCTGAGTGAGTGCGTAGATTCTCATGACCCCAAACACTGAACTTTTGGCTGCTTACAGAAAAGTGAGACCAGAAAAGGGCAGGTGTGGAGCCTCTGTAGTGTGGGGACCATGAAAAGTCCTGTCTAGACAGGGTTAGTGAAATTCTGTGAGGTTGAGTTTATGGTTTATAAAAGAACACAGGCTTTTAGTGTGGAAAGATTTATTTGTATCTCTAAATGGTCTTACAAGAAAAAAAAGTTTAAAAACATTCAAAACCATCACCATAAATTAACTATGAGTGCATATGTATGTGGTAAAAGGAATGCATGAGTGTGATGTATGCATGTGTAGGATGCAGAAAGTCATGTATGAGAATAATAAACATTTTAGTAGCTGTGGCTTGTGAAGAGAAATGAAGGAGAATTTAATTGGAGAGGGGCACATGGGGGCCCTCAAGTGCTTTTGTAATGTGATATTGCTTTAGTTGAGTGGTGAGTACATAGATATAGTATTCTATGTTCTGTTGTCTAGGTTGGCAATATTTCCTAATGAAAAAATAAAAATTAAGAGAGGAAAGGGAGAAAATTGAACAAATAACTGGAATCTGTTTAAGGAAAAAAATGAAGTCGTAGGTGACCAGAGTACGGGATTAGAAAGGGAAAAGACAAGGTATTGAAGGTGGAAGACCTCATTCTACTTTCACATAAGTTTGCTTCAGTGCTCTGTAGATAGCCTTAATACCTGCTCTCATATTTTTTGGGAGCACATCTGTTTTGTATTATTTTATGAGATGGTCAGTCAGGTGCAGCCACAAAAGGAGACCGAGGAGACTCAGGAAAAAAAACAAAGTTTATTATACTATTATACTCACAGGTCCTGGAGACAAGAGGCATGCCATGCCACTCAGAGCCACATGGTAAAGATACTAGGGTGGTCAGGAGGCAGAAGACAGGAAAAAGGGACCCTTAGGCCAAGGTCTTTATTGGGATTTCTGTGGGAAAGGCAAGGCAGTGCAGGGTGAACAGTTTAGGGTCGGCTAGTTTGAATAATTTTGGAGGTCTCTAAACTATATGGGTGGTCTCTAGTTGCCTGGTATCTAGTCCTGGGATGATTAAGGCACAGGAATATTGCCTCCTGGGGTGAGAGGGCCAGACAGAGGAAGTATGGCTGTGGGTTGGCTAGTTTGCATAAAGACATGCTCTGGTTGAGCCCTTTGTTATCTTTGAGAATTGCCTAGCCCAGGGAAGCGTAGTCTCTCCCCCGCCAGTGTTTTTCTCTTTTTTTAGATGTCAGAACATCATAATATACAGGACATTTTTAAATTGGAAATGTTTACAGTACAATTGGTCCTCTGATGTTTTGGCATCCTATTAAAGAAACTTTGAGGTGATGATAATGGAGACGTTTAGAGACTAATACATAAATTTCCCCAAACAGCATAGAAAACATTTTATTACGAGAATAGGAAAGAAGGAACACAAGTAGAAATACAAGGAGTCTCTGCAGGCTGCTCCATAACTAAATTTTCCATTTATATGGCATTAGCCAAGTAAAATAGATCTGAAATTTTGAGGTCTCTAACAATATCTTAATGGAGTTGTAGTGTGTTAGAAATATGCTCAGGTCAAGATGCCAGGTTATGTTGTTAGAGGGTATGAAATGGTAAGCTAGTAAAGTATATGTAAATATCAGTGATATTTGTGTGTAGCCCAAGGGAAGGAGTCATTTTGGTTGGAGACACAGGCAGGAGGTCATCCTGAAAACCTGGATGGGGTTTAGTAGGAGTAGGCAGTGGGGAGTCAGTGGTCCTCTCCCTAGGGGGTCATGAGGTTGACTGATAAAGAGGCAGGTGCCTCCTGGGGAAAGCAATAATCTCCATTAATGTTTAGAGGAGTACAGGCAGTACTAACCTCAATCAGATTTCTCTTTAGGCATAGGAATTGTGGGGAAAGATAATTTAGTTTTTTCTTTGTTTTTATTTTTTTTTTTGGTTTTTTGAGACAGTGTCTCATTCTGTTGCCCAGGCTGTGGTGAAGTGGCACAGTCATTCCTAGGCTCAAGCAATCCTTCCATCTCACCCTCCTACCAAAGTGCTGAGATTACAGGCAGGAGCCACCACACCTGGCTGGTTTTCTTTTCTTACTCAACACTAACTTCATGGCTGAGGCACATATAACAAGAAACAGATTAACAAAAGAAAAGCATACAAATTTACTTAATGTAAGTTTTACATGGCATGGAAGCCTTCACAAATGAAAACCCAAAGAAACAGAGAAACCTGTGTATTTTTATGCTCGGGTTTGATGAAGAGTGGACAGTCATGCAGACATATGATAGGACAAAGGGGACATGTAATGATAATAACTGCAGGGAACTTAGCAAGGCCTATTTTTTCAAATTATTGGTGTCTCTGTGTCTTTGAGGATAAAGATGTTCCTTTTCTCTGGGTGTAAGAAGGTGATATGGTTCGGTTTTGTGTCCCCACCCAAATCTCATCTCAAATTGTAATCACCACATGTCAAGGGAGGGACGTGATTGTATCATGGGGGCAGTTTCCCCCATGCTGTTCTTCTGATAGGGAGTTCCCATGAGATCTGATTGTTTTATAAATGTTTGGAATTTCCTCCTTCATTCTTCTCTCTCTCTTGCCGCCATGTGAAGAAGGTCCTTGCTTCTCCTTCACCTTCTGCCATGATTGTAAGTTTCCCGAAGCCTCCCCAGCCATGTGGAACTGTGAATGAGTCGATTAAACCTCTTTCCTTTATAAATTGCCCAGAGTCAATTAAACCTCTTTCCTTTATAAATTGCCCAGTCTCAGGGTAGTTCTTTTTTTCTTTTTTTTTTTTTTTTGAGACAGAGTCTTGCTCTGTCACCCAGGCTGCAGTGCAGTGGTGCAATCTCGGCTCACAGCAACCTCCTCCTCCCAGGTTCAAGCGATTTTCCTGCCTCAGCCACCTGAATAGCTGGGAGTACAGGTGCATGCCACCATGCCTGGCTTTTTTTTTTTTTTTTTGGTAGGGACAGGCTTTCACCATACTGGCCAAGCTGGTTTCGAACTCCTGACCTCAAGTGATCCTCCTGCCTTGACCTTCCAAAGTTCAGGGATTATAGACATAAGCCACCACACCCAGCCTGAGAAGTTATTTATAGCAGTGTGAAAATAGACTAATACAGGAGGGTACTTCTGGAATAAAAGTTTTATGACCTGCTTCAGGGGAAAAGTGCAAGCAGAAGGTGAGAGTGACCTTTCTGCCTCTGCTATTTCTCAAATGCCAAGGTGCCATATTTTGGAGTAGCATGTCGTGATCCCCATCAGAGTGTAGGTGTGTACATTTGCAGAACAAGGAGTTTATCAGGATCATGGGCTAAACAGACAGGGAGCTCAGAAACATATTAGAATCCTTAATATCGAATGAAGAAAACCAAAAATGTGGGGCCTTAGAAAAGGCTGTCCATGGGTGTCACTGAGCAAAGGTTTTAGTATCTAAGGTGAAGTCATTTCCAAGATGGGGTCGGGGTGTCGAAGTCATCTCCCAAAGTGAGGTCTTGGGCCAGGATGATATCCTCTGAGATGTAGGACTAGGATGTTCTTTTTCAGTTAGTACACACTCGAGTAGATGTGGACCTCAGCATCTGCCATGTTTGAGTGAAGCAAGCACTTGCTTGGAGGGTTTGGGCTCCCAGATTGTAAACCAGTGAAAGCACCCAAATCAACAGTAAGATCAATAGTCGGCCGGGCCTAGTGGCTCACACCTGTAATCCCAGCACTTTGGGAGGCCAAGATGGGCAGATTGCTTGAGCCTAGGAGTTCGAGACCAGCCTGGGCAACATGGAAAGACACTGTCTCTACCAAAAATAGAAAAATTAGCTGGGCATGGTGGTGCAGGCCTGTAGTCCCAGGTAGTTGGGAGGCTGAGGTGGGAGCATCACCTGAGCCAGGGATGTGGAGGTTGCAGTGAGCCAAGGGTGTGCCACAGCACTCCAGCCTGTGTGACAGAGTAAGATCCTGTCTCAAAAAAAAAAAAAAAAAAAATCAATAGTCAACAGAATGGTGTGCAGCTGCACCTGACAGGGATTTTATTTTTGTGTTTTTGGTGGAATTTTAGGTTCAAATTGTTCCCATATCAGATGAGCAGCTGCCTGGCCTATGGAACAATCTACGGTTAATGAGTCCCAGGAGATTTTACCCCTTAAATATGGCCTGCAGTTTTTATGAGATTGTGGTAAGATTAAAAATGTATAAAAAATATGTTAAGGCCTGGGACAAAATGGAGAACTTTAGGAGTTTATTTGTTGGACTGAAATTTTAAAAAGAGTCATTTTAGGAGACCATTAGGTCTCAGTTAAACTGGTTATGCGAGGTCTATCAGGAACATGGAAATTCTATTTAATGTCTATTTCAAGAGCGCAGCAGTATGTATTCTAAGAAGCAAATGTATGTGTGTGTCTTGGTTACAACCAGTAATGTCTATAACTCTCAAGAGAGTGTAAACCAAAAGGTATGTGAGAGTCTCAGTTTCTAGAAGAGCCCAGCAGGTAACCAGTCATTTGTTATTTTAATGATGTTTTGCATGAGGCTGAGGGAAGCAATTTCTTGCATCAGAAGTCCTTGGGCAATTAATGGCTATCTTAAGTGGTCCAGAGACTACAGGAAGCATGAGAAGAGGATGCCACAGTCTCTACAGTGAAGGAGTTTTTGAGTGCTCTAACAGGAGTGTTTGTTAACTTTCATTGGAAAGTAAAATTTTTAAATGTGGAATATGTTGTTACCAGAACCCAGAGAGTACTCAAAGATGTTGGACTTATATGTTCTTAATGAGGGCATCAAATACATCTCCTTGAAAGAGGATGCCATTAATGTAACGTCATACGTGTGTTCCTGGAGAAAGACAGATGCAGTTAAGATCTTGCCTGCAAAGATTGTTCGTAAGCAAAGCTGTTGAGGTACCCCATGGGTAGCCTGTAAAGGGTGTCTTATGTCCCTTTAGAGGAAGAAGTAAAATGTAGTTGAGAGGATGTTGAAATGGGCACTGAACAGACCATGTTAGACAAATCTATAAGAGTAAAATATTTACTGATTTTTGACTAAATGGAGGAGTGGATATTGTATATGGGGGGCCTTGGTGGATGGGAACACAGAATTAACTTTGTAGTAATCTACTGTAAGGCATCCTTTACTTTTTCCAGATTTAGAATCCAGGAAAATTGGGCTGTCAAATAGAGAAGCAGTGGGGACAACCATCCCATTATTAATTGGTTTTATATAATAAATCTTAATCTTTGAAGGCCCTGTTTTAGTCACATTGGGCCATACTATTTTAACTATGGGTTCATGGTATCCCATTTCATCAAGCCAATTTATAAGCGTTGTTAAAGCGAATTAAAGTGAAGACCAGGCCTGAAGAATCCCTGAGCAGATGAAGTGACTTTAACTTTTCTTGATTTGCAAACATAAACAAAACTTAACTTGAGCTGTTTCTTGTAGATGCCTATATTAAAGAAAAATAGAACTTACACTCAACCAATCAGAAAAAGCTAACAAACTTATGTAACTAGAGATTATAGCAGCTAACAAACTTATATAAGTAAAGATATATATGTTGACAAAAGAGTCAAACTCTGTAAAATATTTTAAGATATTTATTCTGAGCCAAATATGAGTGACAAATGGCCTGTGACACAACCCTCAGGAGATCCTGAGAACATATGCCCAAGGGGGTCAGGCCCCAGTTTGGTTTTATGCATTTTAGGGAGACATAAGGCATCAATCGATACATGTACGATGTACATTGGTTCAATCTGGAAAGGTGGGACAACTGAAAGTGGGGGCTTCCAGGTCATAGGCAGATTCAAAGATTTTATGATTGATAATTGGTTGAAAGAGTTAAGTTATTATCTACAAGACTTGGAATCAATAGAAAGAAATGTCTGCATTATGATAAGGGGCTGTGGAGACCAAGGTTTTATCATTCAGATGAAGCCTCCAGGTAGCAGACTTCAGAGAGAATAGATAGTAAATGTTTCTTATCAGACTTAAAGAGTCTGTTCTATCAGTAACTCAAAAAGAGAGGGGGTATAATGAGGTATGTCTGGCTCCCCCTTCCCATCATGGCCTGAACTAGTTTTTCAGGTTAACTTTGGAGTGCCCTTGCTGAGAGGAGGTGTCTATTCAGATGGTTGAGGGGCTTAGAATTTTATTGTTGGTTTACATTCTCCCCCTTCTGGCCAAGATTTGCCAGAGGCAACATCAGTGGCCACCAAACTTTTATTATGTCCCATAGCATTGCCAAGGCAGCATGGCTGCCTGCCCTGGGTCCATCCTGTCTCTCAGTGGGAACCCCTATGGCCAAGGGGTTGAGAACCAAAAGACTTACAGCCAATTACGTGTTCTAGGCAAACAGGAACGGACGTGGACAGACATTCATTACCCTTTAAAAATTTTAAAGTAATTTAAAAGCCAACAAACAAAAAGCCAAAGGTGAGGCTACAAATTGACTTTATCTGTCTTTAACTTTTATGTGTTGAGCTACTTTAATCTTGGTTTTAGTTATAGGCTTACAGCAATTGAGTATACCAAACATAAGCATTGCTAAACCCTTTTAAGCTAAGGAATTTACAGACTTTTGATGTGCTGCAATGCTTTTTCTGGTCTTTTTGTAATTTGTCCTAAAATGGCTGATAAAAATTTTTTAAAATATATTCATATCCATAAATCTCATAACTAAGAGTATTATAACAAGGAGGCTTTTGTCACAAGGTATCTTATTATCTCAGTAATAAATTTTTTTTAACTGTACAAGAAGCAGCAAATTCTTTATGGTTGTGACGAATGAAAAGATGCCACATAATATCTCAGAAGGCAAAGTCTCTTGTTTTACCAGATGTTTAAAAATCTGTGTATGCATGCTTGATTTTGGATGGCCTGAACTAATTCTATCCCTCAAAACCAGCCCTTATAATCTCATGTGCCCACGTCTTCTGTGATAGTCCCAGGGCCGAGAGGGAGTATGCCTATATAGTTTTAGCAGCAGGGCACTTGCAGTGAAAAGCAGAGCAGTTCCAGTGGGATTTCAAATAAGGGAGACTCACAGGATTTGTCAAATCATCTCTAGTCTTTGGAATATCATATTTATGGTTTTCTCAGGAGAAGTAAATCAATAAGCAATAAATAATATTAATAATTTGACACTTAGAGAATGTGTGTGTCAGAACAGAAAAATAAATCTATTCTGTTAGGGTGCCAACAAAAAAACATGAATAAAATTAAAACCTGGTACTCTTTAGAGGATTATTGTAGCCAATAAATAATTCATGATTCAATCTGCACTCAAAAACAAAAGTCAGGGCTGGAATCTAGCAATAAGTGTTAGTTTTCCTTTGAAATAATTTTTCTGTCTCTAACCCTCCTCTTATACTTAAGAGAAATTATATTAAGACCAATTCATGTACAAAATAAGTTTTAGGCTTATTATACTTGGCTTGATCATTTGCAAAAAGTGCAGCAAAAATTGAGTGGCCATATAGCCTCTTTTTAAGTTGGCTTTTCTGGAACTTTACATAAAAATGTTACTTTAGTCAAAGCCTTGGTAAAATAACCACTGTCCCCAATTGTCCTGTTTAAAAAGAAAAGACTCTTACTAAACTTATGCAAGTAATTATATTGCTATTCCAAATTTTGGAGAAAGAACTCAGATGGAGAGAAAGGTAAATTTTCTCAAAACAACGTATTTTACCCAATTGCTCTAAACTATAAATAACTAAAAAGAAAAATATTTCCTTGACTCTTCTTTAACCAGAGCAGCGGCCTTCCAAACAAGATGCTATTTGTTCACCTTGGAACTCTCATTCACAAGCCAAGCAGCTGTTGTCAGATAAAAGTTGTTTACTAGGCACTGTAGAATCTAGCAGCTCCTCATATAGTTAGAGTCAGTCCTAAGGAAAAAGAGGCTCTCTGCTCATGAGCATCTCCTCCTTGCATCCCCAGATAGCAAGATCCTATATAAGCCATTTTTATTTTATCATTGAACTCATTTGGGCACCATTATTTTCATTAGGATAGAGTTGGCTTCAGTTAACATCCTATAGCAAGGCAGTAAATGCCCCTCAAGTGAAAATTCTGTAGTCCAAACTCCAGGTTTTTGTCATTAGGAAGTGCTCACAGGCTTTTGCCATAAGCCCCAATAAATGCTCCACAAAGGGCTATGAAGGGGAGGATTTGTCCTGACCAGCACTCCAGCTTCCAGCCTATATTCTGTGGGCTTAGGCAAATCTTACTAGTTCCAATTTAGCGTGTCCAATTAATGTTTCTCAAAGGGAAGATTTATATGCCTTCAGTTTTATTTTACTAGATAGGGATAACATCCCCCAGTCAGATACAATACCCATTTTCATAAGACATTTAGGTAAAGGCGTTATAACTACCTTACATAAAGGTAAGGTTTAAACATCTCAAATTTTATAATCCAACCTTTTAAAAAGGTTGATATTTCATTATGTCAACCTTTACATTCTTACATTCTGGTCCCAGGAACTTTTATTCTCTACTCCCAGACCATTTTACCTTTTCTGGTGAAAGAAAATTTGGGTTCCCATCAGGGAGTTGAACCAAGGGACTCACATTCTTTTTTCAACGTTTATCTTAATTTGCCTCAACATTGACCCAGGCAATGTCATCTTTCTCATTATAATCTTTGCCTTTTGATTTTTCTTAAATTTCTCCAGTCTGGGGCAAATGCAGAAAACTGGTGTAGGGCCGTTTAATGTTGGGGGACCATCAGGGGTCCCCTTTGGTCCACCCAACCTTTGATAGTGTTGCAAAGACCTTTGTTTTAACCTCAGCAATTTTAATTTATTCCATTTCTTAATAACCATCTAAAGATTTCAACCACGCTTCTAGGGTAAGTCCTTTGACTCCCTTTTGCTCTTCCATTTTTTTTGGTTGTTAATTACTCTAATGTTTTATTAAGCATCTATAAGACCCATGCAGGACAGCAAATTTGATAAGGCTTCTCAAAGAGTTGTATGACTCTCCAGGAGTAATGTTGCCGGGGGGGCCCATGTAAAAGGGGCTCCTTTAACACCAACATTTACCATGACCTGGGTAATAGGTATATTCAGTGGGATAATATCCCAGTCATCATAAAGCCAGTCACACATGGCTTGCATATGAAGCATAACAGTTGCTTCATCTGGGGTGTTCCACTTTGCTGTTTTTTTGTTTGTTTGTTTTTGAGATGGAGTCTCACTCTGTTGCCCAGGCTGGAGTGCAGTGGCACAATCTCGGCTCACTGCAACCTCCGCCTCTCAAGTTCCAGCGATTTTCCTGCGTCAGCCTCCTGAGTATCTAGGATACAGGTGCACACCACCATGCCAGGCTATTTTTTGTAATTTTAGTAGAGACAGGGTTTCACCATGTTGGTCAGGCTGGTCTCAAACTCCTGACCTCGTGATCTACCCACCTTGGCCTCCCAAAGTGCTGGGATTACAGGCATGAGCCACCACACACAGCCCACTTTGCACTTTATAGGGAGAATTGGACAGTTCCCTTCTAAGGGTAAACAGACTTTACAATGGCACTTATCCAGTCCACTAGGTTGGTTGTTCTCTCAGGAATAACCTCCTGTGTGTCTGGATCACATGTACTCATCAGTGAATGTTTAAAAGTTAGCTGTAGGAAAATCAAACACCACATGTTCTCACTCATAAGTGGGAGCTGAACAATGAGAACACATGGACACAGGGAGGGGAACATCACACATCAGGGCCTGTCGGGGGGTGGGGGGATAGGAGAGGGATAGCATTAGGAGAAATACCTAATGTAGGTGACGGGTTGATGGGTGCAGCAAACCACTATGGCACTTGTATACCTATGTAACAAAACTGCATGTTCTGCACATGTACCCCAGAACTTAAAGTATAATTTTTTTAAAAAAGTGAGCTGTGGGCCCTACATCAACCCAAACATGCTCTTTTATTCTGTAGCATTCAAAATTAAAGATACTATCCTTAAAGCAGTTATTTTTACAATCTATTATAGTAAAGGTTTCTCAGAAAGCTAATGATACCAATCTACAAAATGGAATAATTCCTTTACGTTATATGCCCTGGTATTAATAGTTACTTGGTTTTGCCCTTACCCCACATTGACTATCTTCTTGGTAACCACAGGTCTCAGAGGTAACTTTTGTTGTGCTGGCTTAATTTTTCCTTTTGTGGGTAGCTTTGAGGCTAGTGGCCTGAGCTGAGACAGACCCACATCTGAGCTTGGTCCAGCATTAACACCCAACCCAGCATTCTTTTATTTTAATTTTAGCTATTAGAGATAACAATAGCCAAGAGATTGCATATTTGCTTTTTGTCTTATCTGTTTGCATTTCCTTATGCATCCAGTGAGCCACATCCCTGGGAGTATGATTCATCTCTAAATTTCACTAGTAACTTTTGCCTTTAGTAACTGAATGCAGCTCAGCTGCAGCTCTTTAATATGGGTGACCACGTGGCCACCCAGGAGTCAAAGCTTTCTCATTTCCCACCTTTTTATTTTTCTCTTTATCCATTTAGTTTTATCTGTATAATTTTTTCCCTTTATTTTAAAGTAACTCTTCAATAACCTCTAAATGAGAAAAAAATACATTTTCTTTAGCAAATACCACATCCTTGTGTCTTTATAAACTTCACCCAAAACACTTTTTAGTCTCTTATTATTTTAACTCTTAGTAACCCAAATTCCCAGTGAAAAAAACTGAGGTTACTTAATGTAACGTGACATGACTTTAAGATTTTAAGCTACTGGATAGAATTTTTAGATTAAATTTACCAAATGAATTTTACCAAATATTACTAAAGTCCTGTGAACTAAATGGCATTAGAACTAGCTTTTATTTGGCTGATTCTTTAAGGCAATTGATTGGAGCTGTTTCATATAGTTTGGTAGTCAAATATGATTTCCACATGACACATATAAACATATAGACAGACAAAGGCACATCCAAACGATTTTTTCACTTGCCCATTTTCAAAAATGATCTCCCTTACTTTAGAATCTTAATTGAAAAAAAAAGTTACAGGTGCAACAAAAGGTATAGGAGAGAGTTACCATGTCAGCCCTTTTCAAAAGAAAGAAAGAGCTAAAGCAGCAGGGGACAGCAGAAGTTAAACTTCTGAGATATCAATCTGAAGAATTTCAAAAAGAAAAAGATTATAGAATTTAAAAATTTCTTGCATTGAATAATATTTTTCAATAAAATTTTGTTCTAACCAAAGCTTTTTAGTGTATTTTTAATATCAAAATCAAATTTCTAGAAGGACGATTGTAATTTCATTTTAGCCAACTTAATTATATAACGTTTTTTCCTATAAATTCCTTTTTTACTAACCTGATTACAACTTACACACACTACTCACGACATGCTTGGACTTTCTGGTTTGTCCTAAATATTCCCCTTTATTAAACAATCAGTGTATTCATTTTAGAACAAAAGTTTACCATATGAGATTCTCTTGCAAACAAAGTCATTTCTCTTTTAACATTTCTTACCAAAAATACCCTTTTATAACTTTCTTTACATCTCTATTAATTCCTGGTTCCTTTTA
Organism: Homo sapiens; assembly: GCF_000001405.40. NCBI lineage: Eukaryota > Metazoa > Chordata > Mammalia > Primates > Hominidae > Homo > Homo sapiens. Next base: position 106,342,203 of record NC_000023.11, read on the forward strand.
CCTTGCTTTATATATAACTTCTGAATTAGACAAACAATATTTATCTTTTAATAAAACACATTTAAAAATGTTTTCCTATTATTTTTAATAGGGAATTACCCAGATATTTAATAAATAGCTATTATTTAATCTAACTTTAGATTACAAGTTATATGACAAGTTTGTTTACAAGCATTTACTCCATTACATTTACCAGATTAGTTCATTTAATAGTTTACCTGGATTATTTATGAAAACTGTGGTAGTCATCATTTAGAGTTATTTCCCTGTTAACAATTTTCATAGCCTATGAATTTCAGGTGTTTACCTAAGTAAGAAACTTAAGGCTAAACATATAGGTATTCTACCAATAACCCAGGATTTAGCTGTTTTCATTAAACCAACAATACTAAATGTCTTATTTATCAAAAATTACACAAGCAAAGATCATTATGTTTGGGGTTGAGTTTATAGTTTTATAACTCTTATGGCCAATTTTGACACCTTATGATATTCTGCAAGGATAAGTATGAAACTACTTGATCAATAAATGCAAACAAAAGTGCTGACAATTATGTTTGGGGTTGAGTTTATAGTTTTATAACTCTTATGGCCAATTTTGACACCTTATGATATTCTGCAAGGATAAGTATGAAACTACTTGATCAATAAATGCAAACAAAAGTGCTGACAATTTTAAAGACATCTCTAATATTACTTTACCAGTAATTTTGTGTCCGGAATTTATTCCTTCCAGTGGGTTCTTGGTCTCGCTGACTTCAGGAGTGAAGCTGCAGACCTTCACGGTGAGTGTTACTGCTCTTAAAGGTGGTGCGACCAGAGTTGTTTGTTCCTCCCAGTGGGTTCGTGGTCTCGCTGACTTCAGGAATGAGGCTGCAGACCCTCACAGTGAGTGTTACAGCTCATAAAGGTAGTGTGGACCCAAAGAGTGAGCAGCAGCAAGATTTATTGTGAATAGCGAAAGAATAAATCTTCCACAGCATGGAAGGGGACCCAAGCAGGTTGCCACTGCTGGGTTGGGTGGCCAGCTTTTATTCCCTTATTTGGCCCCGCCCACATCCTGCTGATTGGTCCATTTTACAGAGAGCTGATTGGTCCATTTTATAGAGTGCTGATTGGTCCATTTTACAGAGTGCTGATTGGTGTGTTTACAACCCTTTAGCTAGACACAGAGTGCTGATTGGTGTGATTTTACAGAGTGCTGATTGGTGTAATTTTACAGAGTGCTGACTGGTGTAATTTTACAGAGTGCTGATTGGTGCATTTACAATCCTTTAGCTAGACACGAAAGTTCTCCAAGTCCCCACCCAACTCAGAAGCCCAGCTGGTTTCACCTCTCAATTTTAAAGCTGGTTTATTAAAATTTTTACTTAACTCATGTGAACTTGAAAAGCATTTTAGCTTATTATTTAATTTATGAGTACTCTTTAAGCCAATTTGGTACCTTGTGGCCAAAACACATAACAAAATATGTGTATGTACACATAAACACACACATACACACTCACACAAACCAACAAAGACCCTTTAGCTTTTACTTCAGAGCTCTAGCCATGAGATATTAATACAAACTCACCAGTTTGAAAAAAAAGAAAAAAAAGGTTGCATCCAAAGATTGTTTTTTATCTCAGTAGAAAAGTGAGAACAGATTTAAAGCAGGAAGAAAAGAAAATAGAGAAATAGAGAATTTAGGAACTCTACAGTTGCAGGTCAACCTTTGGGCTCTGAATTATTCCTTGATGTAGTTTGCCCATCAGTTTAAAATGTGCACAAAAAGACCAAAATAAGTAACCAGCTGGAGTGCTAGAAAAACTGGCGTGGCCTCAAACTTTTCCATTTTACACAAAAACAAGTAGAGGTGCCATAAAACCAAAGGGGTACTCCAAAGGGGGTTGTTCTCCTTGTTTTTCCTCATTCTTATTTGTGTGAACCCAAAGTATCTGAGACAGGTCTCAATCAATATAAAAAGTTTATTTTGTCAAGGTTATGGACATGTGCCCAGGAGGCAGGACTGAGCTTTTCTCCAAAGATGATTTTGAGGGCTTCAATATTTAAAGGGGATAAAATGGATATTGGAGAAAGAGGAAGAAAATTTAAAAAGGTGTGGGTAGATAAGACAGGAACATTTGCATCCTTTTGAGTCTTTGATCAGCCTTTCACTGAATACATAATTAACATGAGAGATGCGGGTAGAGGAATAGTTACTTATGCCTTAGTCTGGCTCGCTGAATCTGCATTTTTGCATAAACAATAGGGCAGAAGAAGCAATCAAATATGCGTTTGTCTCAGGTGAGCAGAATGATGACTTTGAGTTCTGTCCTTTGTCCTGCACCTGTGAAGATAAGCTATCAATTTACATTGCCATGGTGAAATTCAACACAACTGTGTTAGGGTAAAGATTTTGAGACCCACAAGGAATTTCCATGTGGGCAGATTGTAAGGGAGGTATGAAGCATCTTTTCATCTTTGCAGCTATTTTATTTAGGAATAAAACGGGAGGCAGGTTTGCCTGATTAATTTCCCAGCTTGACTTTTCCCGTTGTCTCAGTGATTTAAGAGGTCCCCAAATTTATTTTCCTTTCATATTTGTTTCCCACTTTTCTTAAAAGAACAAACACAGCTGTGGCCTACGGTTTTATGTGTGGTCAATTCATGTGTGCTGACTGTGGGTAGGACTCTACAGTGTTTCAGCACTGAGTATTTTCTGCCCTCTTGCACGTCTGTTTCTCTCTCTGGAGGTCTATCACCTCCAAGAGGGCTCAAAACATGGAGTAATCAGCTCTTATATGCATATCCTGGATGAGGCTTTTTAAACTAATTTTGTTGGGGGTTCCCTGTAGGGGTACTGCATGTCATGAGGGTCAACCCCCCAGGCATTCCCACTCAGCCCTACCACCGGTCACCCAATGGCATCTTTCAGCTGGAAGGAGTAAAATGCCTTTTCTCTTCAGAGATGAGAAAGCTCAGTCTCTCATTTATCTACAAAAATGACACTTTATTTCCTCATGGAAATGCAAAGACAAGCCAAATGAGCTTAATTTTTAGGAAGAAAAAAGCAGTAGAGAAGACCCTTTAGAATGTATCTCTGAACTTGAAACCAAACAGGGTGCCTGAAAGGCGGTCATTCTCCTTGTCTTTACAGAAAGGAAATAGAGACGGTCTTTTATAATGCACCTCTTAACTAGAATTAGGATTCTAAACAACATCTTAGGAGAAAAATAAAACAGCTCAGAATAAATCAAGGACCATCAACCAAAGGAAGATTCAGGACTCAGGAGGACTTACCAGTTCCACCAGAGGAGGAACTTGAAGTCAGAGAGGATTTCAATGGGCCCCTGCTGACACCTTATCTCTGAGTTCAGGCAGCTCCTTCAGGGTCCTGAGGCCCCACATTGGACATCAAATTATTGTTGACAAAAAGAGTTAAACTGTAACATCTTTGAAGAGATTTATTCTGAGCCAAATGTGAGTGACTAATGGCCCATAACACAGCCCTCAGGAGATCCTGAGAACATGTGCCCAAGGTAGTCAGGCCACAACTTGGTTTTATGAGTTTTAGGGAGATGTAAGGCATCAATCAATACATGTGTGATGTACACTGATTTGGTCCAGAAAGGCAGGACAACTGGAAGCACGGGCTTCAAGGTCATAGGCAGATTCAAAGGTTTTCTGATTGGCAATAAGTTGAAAGAATTATCAACAGAAAGGAGTGTCTGGGTTATTATATGGTGTTGTAGAGACCAAGGTTTTATCATGCAGATGAAGCCTCCAGATAGCAGGGTTCAGAGAGAATAGACAGTAAATGTTTCTTATCAGACTTAAAGAGTCTGTTCTATCAGTAATTCCAAAAGGGAGGGGGTATAAAGAGGCATGACTGGCTCCTCCGTTTTTCAGGTTAACTCTGGAATGCCCTTGCCAAAAAGGCATTCAGAAAGTTGGGAGACTTAGAATTTTACTTTTGGTTTACATTTATATCCTTGTATTATAACTTATATAGCAGGATAGACCAAATAAGGCAACTTTATAACTGTAACCAATCAAATATTTTCTTCATATGACTTCTGGATTCACTCTGTAGAAGCTTGTCCCTTATGCTTCCTCAGTGGAGCCCCAAACCACTGGTTTGGAGATGCCCTATTCGTTAATCACTATTTGCTCAAATAAACTCTTTAAAATTTTATTGTCCCTTAGTTTATTCTTTTAACAGTGTTAAAGACTTACTTTAATTTTAATTCATTATTTATTATGTCAGGGCATCTATGCCAAATATAGAATATTTTAGGGCAATGGGTATTGTGACTATAGGAAATATAGACAAGGCTACACTTAAAGTGAGGCATACCCATTTTACCTCAATGTTATATTTAGTTAATTTTTAAGATTATAGGGGATATAATGTTTCAACTTAATGGGCTCCTCTAGTATAACTATAATTTGAGCCCCAGTATTGGTTAAGTCCATGAAGTTTTGTCAATTGGATGCATTTTAGCAAATGCTAAGTTAGAATTTATGTTGTACAAGCACAAAAGTCAACCAATGCCCTTTTTATCTTTTGTTATATAAATTCTATAGTATATTAATTTTTAATTTCCAATTATATCAAAGTAGAACTATTTTTGTTTATAGTTTATATATACACAATTTATAATAATATATTTATATTAAAAATGTATATGTATGCATAATTTATTTAATTTCTTTTCATCTTCTCCCTGGTTTGAGTTTGTTTATAAATTGGAAAGGTCCTAGGGCTAGTATTATTTTTGTTAGACCTGTCATTTGCTCCATACATAAGGTTTAAAGTTCTTTTTACCCACCTTGGGCTTGTAGCCACCTAAAGCCAGTCTTTGTTACCCCCTTTCCTTCCTTCCTTTTTTTTTTTCTTTCCCTTTCATTCTCAGCCACCTAAAATGGCAGTCTTTTCTTTCTTTCTCTGGCTGATAAAGAACGGGGCGGGTGGGGGGCAGGGGGAGGGTGACACCTCTAGGCAGTAGCCTTTCTACTGTAAGCAGTAGCCTCCCTCTCTAGGGTGTCTCAATCAACCTCTGAGGTGCTGTGGTCTACATCAAAGAGATCAGTGGCAGCCTCAGTTTTATCTTTTAAATTCTTGGTTTTGTGACAATTTGATTTTAAGGAGGAGACTCTCAGCATGTCAATAGGCAGCAGTACTTAAGAGTGTCCAAGCACATTGAACTGGAAGTTTGTAATCTCAAATCAGCTGAGAAACTTGAGGTATTTTAGGGAGAGGAGGAACAAAATATTCCTTCTCCTTTTCCTTTTTTTATTGAGCCACTCCTCTCTATGGGTGAGATTCGAGATATCCCATGAAGTCAGGAAGGAAGACTGACAGAAGCAAGGCACACAGCAGAAAAGGAGTTGCCAGCAGCATTAACCCTTACTGGACACCATGGTGGACTTCCTTTGAAGGTAATGCTCCTCTGTTGTTAGAACTCGGCAGGGACAGGAGAAACATGAATTTGAATGTGAACATGAGGCAGCTCCCTGTCCAGGTGCCACTTGTCAACATAAGTAATCTTGAGAAGGTCACCCAGCTCTCATTTGCTGACAAATCAGCTAGTACCTAGCACCTGGTACTCAGTAAGCCTTTGCTAGCTGCAGGGAAATTCACCCTTCCACGTCATTCTCAATCCCAGTGGAATCTTTGTAATATTTTTAGGCAATTGTTCCAGTCTTTAACTTAATTGGGGAATGTTAGGAGAATCTTTGCCCCCCTCTTACCGAGTCAGGGCTAGCTGGAAGTGGAGTCCATGGGCATTCTAGGAGGATGCAATCCACAATTTAGGGCAGTAAGCCTTGGCAGTCCCTAAAAGAGGCAACAAAAAGTGGCATAGAGCGGTACACAGAAATGTTAACATAACGCTGGAGACTTCTCAGATGGTAGAGCCCAACTGAGACTGCCTATTAGTAAGCCAACTAGCTAAGAGGCACCTCCTAAGTCTCCTCTTGCCCATAACTAGACCGTCCTGTTTGTGACACCAATTGTTTTGTAATTCTTTTATGAGATGTTCAGCCAGGTGTAGCCACAAAGGAAGGCAGAGGAGAGGCTCAGGAAAAAAAATAAACAACAACAACAAAAAACAGTTTATTATGGGTCATAGAGACAGGAGGCACATTGTGGTTCTGATTTGTCAATGCTGCTAGAATTTCTACTAATATAATATAATTTCTACTAATATAATATAATGTATGCAAGTTCTGTGAATCATATTGGTGCTCACTCTATTACACAAAAGGCACACCTGCAAATCTTGTTCAGGTAAGCCATTCACACCCGGGGCTTCTGCTAAGACTAATTAGGTGCAACAACCTTCATCTTCTTTGAAAGGCCACTATTTTACTGAAAGTTTCTTTGAGATACTTCCTCAGATCTTCCTGAGGTCTTAACAAAGGATTTTATACTTACAGCATTGACTTAATCTTTAGACTATGTTTTCCAAATGGCTTCTGAATTTGATCTTTATCTGGAAGCAGTTTCTTAATTTTAACATTCTCTGCCATTTAGAGAGGCTGGAAATTTTTAAGACTAGGAAGTTTGTCTCTTCTTTATTGACTAGTTTATTTACCTTAACTCTCTCTCCTACACATAGCAAGAAGAAACCATGTAGCACTTGCAAGGCTCTAGAAATCTCGTTAGTTTTATCACCCATTTCCTTAGGTACATTTTCTACTCGCCACATTATTGCACTACATGACAAAGTATTCCTTTCCTTCAGTTTCCAGTAACGTTTTCCTCACTCCCCTTTAAGCTTTCATAGGCAACCTCCACATTAACCATCAGATTTCTGATCATGGTCTCTTCCAGGCATTTCTGATGTTCATTAATACTCATCTCAAACTTCTAGTTTCTTCCCTCTGCCCAGTGCAGAGCCGTTCTGACATTTGAGGTTTTTGTTGCCACAGTATCCTGCTCTTAGCATCAAAACGTGTTCTAGTTGTCTATTGCTATATAATACGTGAGCCTCTTCTTGACTGGGTCTGTGCTTCTGAACTCATTTATTATTTCTAATATATATATATTTTTTTAGTAAATTCCTTAGGATTTTCTATATACAAGATGAGGTCATCTGCTAACAAAAATACTTTTATTTTTTTCTTTCTAATTTCAGTGTCTTTCGTTTGTACCCCTTTTATCATTATGTGAAAGATTCTTTTATCATTATAAAAAATCCAGCATTATCTATAGTAACTTTTTTGTTCTAAAGTCTATTTTGTCTGATATTAACATATCCACTTAATCTTCTTTCTGTTGCTTTTTCTATCCTATTACTTTAAATCTACTGTATATTTATCTTTGTATCTAAAGTGTGTCTAAATCTGCAGCAGCTGCTCTGTGAATAAATCAAAAGATAAAACATGCTTGGATTGAGACAAATGACTACATTTTTAAGGTACAATCCCAGAATAAAATGCTTGCTTTTTCAGCAATTTACACCATATGAAATGGGCTCTTTAAACAGACAGCCTGGACGCATAGGTCTACAGTAGCCAGAACATGAATACAATGTCTCTACCTGCCTTCTACATGGGGATCAACAACTATATTAAGGAAATTCAAACAGTATCAGTTATGAAGATACTCAGAAACCTATGTTTTAAGAAACGATTGTCGTTGAAGAGACATTTCCGTAAATAGAATATATGGGGAAAGTAGAGAAAACAATCCCTTTACAGTAGCATCAAAAAGAACAAAATACTTAGGAATAAATTTAGCCAAGGAGGTAAAAGCCATGTATACTAAAAACTACAAAATACTTATGTAAGAAATTAAAGAAAACACAAATAATGGAAATATATCTCATGTTCATTGATTGCAAGACTTGATATTATTAAGATTTTAATACTACCCCAAACAATCTACACATTCAATGCAATCCTATCAAAATTCTATGCAGTTTTTAGAGAAATAGAAAAAAGGAATTCTAAAATTCATATTGAACCTCAAAGGGCCCTAAATAGCCAAAACAATCTTTGAATGAGTGAATATTTGAGCATGCTCTGTGAGTGAGAGTGTGAGTGACTGTGTATTTAAGCGTATGCCTGAATTTGTGGCCATATGCATAGATGTTAGCATCTTTGTGTGAGAGAATGAAAGTATTGGGTTCACTGCTGCGAGCTCCTTAATACGTGAGTATGTTCTTGTGGGTGAAATGTGAGCAGGTGAGTGTAAGTGCATGTGAGAATATTTTCTTCTGTGAAGGTTTGAGTTTTATGGTGGATGTGAGCATATTTGTGTGTGAGTTTAAATGCGAGCATGTTTCTAGTTTGAGAATGTTACTGTGCATGTGTGATTGTGGACCTCTGAGTGTATATATTTGTGTGCTTGTACAAGTGTATTTGTGGTTATAGTCATATGATTGAGTGAATTTTTCAGCATGTTTATGTGAAGGATTGAATGTGTCAGTGTGCATGTCAATGTATATGTACCTTTGAATGTGAGTGAATTTGAGGGCATGTTTGAGTGAGTGAATGTTTGTGTTTTATGAGTAAATATTTTAGTGAGTATACGACTGTGAGCATGCCTGTATGCGACAGTGGGTGTGTGAGCCTGTTCATAGATGAGAGTGTTTTCTTGCGTGTAAATTTGCATGCTGAAAGTGAAAATTTAAGTGTGTTCATCTTTATGAGTGAATTTGTAAGCATGCGATTTTTTGCATATTGGTGTGTATTGAGCAGATAAAAGTTTCTTGATGTAATCTTGATGTGTGATTACGTTTGAATAAGGTAATTTGTGAGTGTGTGTAAGTAATGTAATTTTTCATATGTAATTGAGTGAATTTGTGATTTTCTTTGTGACTGTGAGCATACTCATGTATAGATGAATATGTGAGCATGTTACAGTTTCTGACAATGATAATTTGCATGAGTAAGTAATTGTTTGTGTGCACATAAATGCAATGAGCATGTGTGGTGTGTGAGTGAATCTGTAATCATGCTCATGTGTGTCTGTGAATGTGTGATTAAGCATATGTGAGTGAATGACATGAGAGTAATTTGTGTGAATGTGTGAGCATCCAAGTGTGAATGCATATAACGTTATGTATGAGTATGAGTAAATTTGTCTGTATGGGCAGATGAGTGAGCAAATAGTAAGCAGGTTAATGAATGACTGCATGTTTAAACATGTGAAAATTTATATTGATGACAATGAGTATGTGAACTTGTATATATGAGTTGTTAGTATAACAATATTTGAGTGTTTATGTAAATTTTTATGTGTGTTAAATGTATGCTTGAATTTCAGACCGTATGCATTTTCAAGGTCTCTTTTTGCTCAAATTTTAGATTCCTCTGGCCCCTCTTCTCCAGTGAGCTTCATGCATGGCCCCATCCTTGGTCTGCTGAGCCATATTTTAGCAAGAATCATGCTAAGAAAGTTTAGCCAGAATTCCCCCAACCTTGACACCTAATCAAGTTCCTCTTCCCCAAACCCTTGATAACTAAGTTCCTTTTAGAAATTCTCTATCCACTGACTCCCTCACCCTGTGTACTGGCTAGAAATCCTCAGCTGTTCCTGTTGGATTCGGAGTTGCATTTCATATCTTTCCCTTTTGCAATAGCCTTGAATAAAGTCTTCCTTACTGATTCAACTTCATCCAGTGCTATCTTTCTCAAATTTTATGAGTCATGACACAGTTCCAGGGGCATGACTTGGATAGAATAGGATTCATTCCTGGATCACCAGACGTTTCACCCAGGTAAGGTCTTGGGTTTTCTCCAGGGTACACACCTTTGAAGCGTTTTTCTTCACTTCTGACTTATTCATCCAAGATTCGTTAGTAAGTCTGACTTCTGATCCAGTGCTCTGAATGATAGTTTGTTGATGCATGGTAATGACAGATTTTGATTTTTAGGATTCTGAGTATAGTTCTGAGTCTGGGTTAGAGTGCCAGCCTTCTTTATTTGAAAGGTACCATTGTTTTAGAAAATGGGAACTTCTGATTGAGTCTTATTTGGTTGAACCTTGGTTCTCTGATATATAGATTACCCTTCATTTGTAGAGATCTCATTTGTAGAGATCCTGTTTGGATCCTGTTTTCATTGTAAAGATCTCATTCAGATTTTCTGTCTCTGTTGCCATAACTTTAGTGCCTTCATTTTGCATGGAAAAATCTCATTCTTCTGATTCTCCTCCTTTGAAGACTCTAGCTGACTGTATGCTTCAATACTATGACACTAATTTGGCCTAATGGCTTCAAATGGGGCAAAGACAAGAGCCAAATTTTTAATATAAATCAGTGAGTTTCATATCACTGTGTTTATCCCTGACTTGTAGCTAAAATTTTGAAATGAAAGATATGAGATCTCTGTTTGCATCTGTCTGTATGTTCATGTATGCATGTATATGTTTATATATGTGTGATATTTTCCTATTTTCCTACTTCTGGATGACATTACCAAATTAACTTATATAATCCTGTAAAGGAACTCTACTCTAATTGTCTTAGAGATAAGTAAATGGGTATATAAATTAAATATTACTGAAATTCCCCCAAAATAAAAAAGTGAAATGCTAATACTTCCAACATGGAAAAAAAGGTATTCTTATAACAACTAACTCAAATATTTTAAAAATGCAAGCTTACATAATTTGTGTAAAACTGTGGCAAATAAAACTTATTGAATATTGTTGGTTTAATCAAATAGCTATGTCTTCTGAGTTATAAGCATTAAGTATGATATTAGCATACATTTTTATTCTATTTGATCTTACTAGTCAATACGCTAATATTACATCTACTAGAGTCTATACCATCATCAAAACATTCAATCTGAAAAACAGGAAATCCATCAAATTGCCAGTACAGACTCCACCATCTAAACAGTTTCAAGCCCAACATCTAGAAGTTTTCTTGACTGGCTGTCTTGTGGACTCAGAAGCTGGATTTATAATCCATTCCAGCATTAATCTTTCTTTTTCTTTTCAGAGAAATCGTCCTCATTAAACGCCTGATTGCTTGCACTATCCAGAAAATACTGCCCTACTACCAAGTCTCAACAGATTGCTCAGCTGATCTTTAATGAACAAAGATGACCAAGTGAGAAATGGACTTATATTGTTCAGAGGAAAGAATAATATCTCTTCTTGAATAAGAGGAGGGACTAACAAGAACTCCCTCCTTGACTAAACTTAAAGGTATTTTGAGCCCTCTTCTCAACTAAGCCTCACACTTGGTGTCATCCTAGGCCTGCCAAACCCAGTTTTAGCAAAAGTCTTGCTAAGCCTGCTAAGCAAGAATCACCTGACACTTGATATTTAATCAAGTTTTTTATCCTCTCCCTCCTTGATACATAACCAAGGTTCTCTTGGTAATTTTCCATTCATTAACTCCTTGATTCTGCCCACTGGCTATAAATCCTTAGTTGTATCTGCTTTGTATGAAGTTGAGTCTAATCTCTCTCCCTTATTACAATAGCTTCTGTCCCTTATTATGATAGTCTTGAGTAATGCCTTCCTTGCTTGTTTAATTCCATCTGCTGCAATTTTTCATTGACAATATGAACATTAGTATGTTCATTTGAGTGAGGGAATGTGTCCAGGTTTGTTTCTATGAGCTAGTTAACATGTAAGTGTATTTGTATCAGATAATGTGAAAGTGTGAGTGTAAGTACATATGAGTGTATTTTCTTCAGTGAGTAAATGTTTGAAATACATGGTGCCTGTGCGCATGTGTGGCTGTGTGCATGTTTATATACAAGTGTTTTGTGTGTAAGTGAATTTTTAAAATCATATTCATGTGTGTGAGTGAATGTGTGATAATGCTCATTTGAGTGAGCTGTGGGCACGTTTGTATGAGTGAGTGTTTGAGTGTGTGGGTTTGAATATATGTGAATATGTCTATGTGTGTGAGTAATCTTTCAATATGTTTATAAGAGTGAGTAAATTATAATCCTGTTCATATGAGTCAATGTGTGTCCATGTGCACATATGTAAGCATGTATATTTGTGGCAGTGACTATGTGAACCTGTAGGTATCTTAGAATGTATTAATGGAAAAATATTTGAGTGCTGAGGTAAACATCTGAGTTCATGTGTATGTATTTGTGAGCATATGCATGGAGTATAACTTGTTGGTGTGAGTGTATGAATGTGTACCATGTTCATTTTATGAGCATATTAATGTGTGAGTATACTGTGTAGGTGACATGTGGGCATGTAATTGTGAGTGCTTGTAACTGTGAGTGCATGTGAGTGTATTAATGAATGTTTGAGCTTCATGGTAAGTGCTATGGTTTGTATGTCTGTCCCCTCCAAATCTCATGTTGAAATGTGATCTCCAACGTTGGAGGTGGGGCCTAGTGGAAGATGTCTGGGTCATGGGGGTGGATGCTTCATGAATAGCTTGGCACCCTCCCTGTGGTAGTAAGTGAGTTCTCGCTCTATTAGTTCACATGAGATCTGGTTGTTAAGAAGAATCTGGCACCTCCCTCCCTTCTCTCTCTTGCTTCCTCTCTTACCATGTAACACACCTGCTCCTCCTTTGCTTTCTGCTATAATTTAAAGCTTCCTGAGGCTCTGACCAGAAGCAGATGCTGGTGCCGTGCTTCCTGTACAGTCTGCAAAACCATGAGCCAAATAAACCTATCTTCTTAATAAATTACTTGGCCTCAGGTATTCCTTTATGGTAACACAAAATATACTAAGAAAGAGAGTATGACCAAGTTTGTGTATAAGTTTTTCTCTAAGATGTTCCTGATTATAAGCATGTTAATGCCTGTGATAAGTGATTAGGCCTGTTGGTGCATATGAGTATATATATTTATGTTCCCCTGTGCATGAATTTGTCAGCATGCTCATGTGATTGAATGCATGAGCATGTTTCTGTGAAGGATGAATGTGTCAGTGTATGTATGTGCATATCAGATTGTGTGTTTGTATGTGAGTGAATTAATGAGCATGTTCTTGTGAGTCAATATTTGAGAGTGTTTTTAGTAAGTGAATGTGTCACCATGTGTGTATAAAAGAACGTGTGTGACAGTTTATGTGAGTCTGTTCATGGATGAGAGTGTTACAATGTGTGTAAATGTGTTTACAGGGGATATTTTTTATGCACTTATCTGTATGAGTCTGTGAGCATCTGCATGTATGTTAGGATGTTTGTCTGTAGTGTGTATTTTTTGTGTGCTCTTGTTAATGTGTGAGTATATTTGAGTAAGGTAATCTTTGAGTGTGTGAATGTGAGTGAATGTTAATGTTTTATGTGTGGAGATACATGGGTAAATGTATGAGTTTTTTGGTGAGTGAGAGCATGTTCACATGCAAGTGAATACGTATGTTATTATTTGTAACAATGATAACTTGTATGGGTGCATGAATGTGTGAATGCACATGTATAATTGTAATGAGTGTGTCTGATATGTTAGTTAATTTGTTGTCATGATATTATGTGTGAGTGAACAGATGGGTGACGACGCTCATATGAATGAATGAGATGTGAGCATATTTGTGTGAATGACTGAATGTGTGAGTGTGAGGATGCAAATGTATGTATGTCTACATGAATTAGTAAATTTGTCAATATGCGTGCTATTGGAGAGCAAATTGTAAGCATGTTAATGTGAGTGAGTGAATGAGCATGTGCATATATGTGAGCATGTGCATTCATGAGAGTGAATAAGTGAACTGTACATATGACAGTGTAGTTGTGTGAAAATATTTGAATGCTGAAGTTAATATGTGTGTTCTTTTGTATGTATGAACTAGTGAGCATGTGCCTGGACAAATAGTATATTCATGTGAGTAAGTCAATGTAAATTGTGTTTATTTGTTTGAGCTTGTTAATATGTGAGTATATTATTTGAGCAAATGGGGAGCATGTGTGTGAATTTATTTGCATCTATGTATGAAGGAATGTTTAAATGTCTTGGTGAGTATAAGCATCTGTGTGTTTGAGTATATATGTGACCATGCTCCTGTTTGAGATTTTGTTAATGTGTAGGTGAGGGTGAATGGGTTAGTGGAAACATTTGAGTTTTTATACTGGTGTCCCTATGTTAGTGACTTTGTGAGTATGCTCATGTAATTGAGTGAACATTAGAGCTTGTTTGTATGAAAGACTAAATGTGTCAGGGTGTGCATGTCCATATATCTGTATCTATGTGAATTTGTGAGCATGTTTGAGTGAGAATGGATGTATGCATATGTTTCATTAGTGAGTAAATGTGTGAGTGTATGTATGTATGTGAGCATGTCTGTGTGTGACAATGTATGTGTGGAACTGTGGATACGTGATTGTGTTTTGCTCTGTAAATATGTGTGTTTAAAGTGAGTAACTGCATAGTCATCTGTATGAGGGCTTTTGTAAGTATGTGCATGTGTGACAGATGTTCACATGTAATGAGTAATGAGCAAATGTGTCTTGTTAATGTATGAATATACTTGAGTAAGGTTATGCATGAGCATATGAGTAAGTGAAGGTGTTTTTATGTGTTGAATAAATCTGTGATCAACTTGGACAGTTTAAGCAAGTTTGTGTGCAAGTGAATGTACAGTACATTGCATGGCTAGTGAATTTGTGGTTCTGTACATATAAATGTAATGAGTGAGACTGCTGTGTCAGCAAATTTGTGATCATATTCATGCATGTGCATGCATGGTAATGCTCATGTGAAAGCATGCAGGGCAGGACAATGATAATCTGCATGTGTAAGTTAATGTGTAATTGTATGTATATAAATCTAATGAGTGTGTTTGGTGTGTGAGTGAAATTCATATCAAATACATGTGAGTAAATACAGGAGAATATTTGCATCACTGAGTGAATGTGTAAGTGTGTGGTGAGAATATATGTGTGTATATCTAAGTATGGGAGTGCTTTGGTCAGTATGTATCTTCAGTGAGTGAATTATAAATGTGTGCATATATGTGAGCATGTCATTCATGACATTGAATACGCAAACCTCTACATCTGAGTCTGTTAGTGTGACAATATTTGAGTGTTGAAGTAAATGTGTTCAATTGTATGCCTAAAATTTGTGAGCATATGCATGAGTGTTCATATGTTTGTGTGAGGCAGTGAATGTGTACTGGGTTCACTTGTATAAGCTTGTGATAATTCTTTTTTCTTTAACTCTTAAGTTCAGGGTTACATGTGCATATTTGTTACATAGGTAAACTTGTATCATGGGGGTTTGTTGTACAGATTATTTCATCACCCAGGTATTAAGCTTTGTACTCATTAGTTATTTTTCCTGATCCTCCTGCTCCTCCCACCCTCCACCCTCTGATAGGCTTCAGTGTGTGTTGTTCCCCTCTATGTGTCCATGTGTTCTCATCATTTAGCTCCACCTGATAAGTGAGAACATGTGGTATTTGGTTTTCTGTTGCTGCATTAGTTTGCTAAAAATAATAGCCCCCAGTTCCATCCATGTTTCTGCAAAGGACATGGTCTTGTTCCTTTTTATGGTTGCATAGTGTCGCATGGTGTTTATGTACCACATTTCCTTATCCAGTCTACCATTGTAATCATTTGGGTTAATTCTGTCCCTTGCGATTGTGAATAGTGCTGCAATGAACATAGGCGTAAATGTGTCTTTATAATAGAATGATTTATATTCCTTTGGATATATACCCAGGAATGAGATTGCTGGGTCAAATGGTACTTCTGTTTTTACGTCTTTGAGGAATCATCACAATGTCTTCTAAAATAGTTGAACAAATTTACACTCCCACCAACAGTGTATAAGCATGACTTTTTCACTGCAACCTTGCCAGCATCTGTTATTTTTTGACTTTTAAATAATAGCCATTCTGGCTGATGTGACATGGTATCCCATTGTGGTTTTGATTTGCATTTCTCTAATGATCAGTGATGTTGAGCTTTTTTCCATATGTTTGTTGGTTGCATGTATGTCTTCTTTTAAAAAGTGTCTGTTCATGTCTTTGTCCACTTTTTAATGAGGTTGTTTGTTTTTTTCTTGTAAATTTGTTAAGTTCCTTATAGATGCTGGATATTAGACTTTGTCGGATGCATAGTTTGCAAACATTTTCTCCCACTCTTTAGGTTGTCTGTTCACTTTGTTGATAGTTTCCTTTTCTGGGCAGAGGGTCTTTAGTTTAATCAGATCCCACTTGTCAATTTTTGCTTTTGTTGCAATTGCTTTTGATGTTTTCATCTGAAACATTTGCCTGTTCCTATGTCCAGAATGGTATTGCCTAGGTTGTCTTCCAGGGTTTCTGTTGTTTGGGGTTCTTGTTTTGTTGAGACAGAGGCTCACTCTGTTGCCCAGGCTGGAGTGCAGTGGCGCAATCTTGGCTCACTGCAACCTCCACCTCCTGGGTTTAAGTGGTTGTCGTGCCTCAGCCTCCCGAGTAGCTGGGTTTACAGGCGTGTGCCACCACACCTGACTAATTTTTGTATTTTTAGTAGAGATGGGGTTTTGACATTTTGGCCAGGCTGATCTCAAACTCCTGGCCTCGAGTGATCCACCCACCTCGGCCTCCCAAAGGGCTGGGATTACAGGCATGAGCCACTGCACCTGGCCTGTTTTCGGTTTTATATGTAATTCTTCAATCCATCTTGAGTTAATTTTTGTATATGGTGTATGGAAGGGGTCCAGTTTCAGTCTTCTGCGTATGGCTAGCCAGTTATCCCAGCACTATTTATTAAATAGGGAATTCTTCCCCCATTGCTTATTTTTAACAGGTTTGTTGAAGATCAGATGGTTGTAGGTGTGTGGCCTTGTATCTGGGTTCTCTGTTCTGTTCCATTGTTCTGTGCGTCTGTTTCTGTCCAGTATCATGCTGTTTTGCTTACTGTAGCCCTGTAGTGCAATTTGAAGTGAGTTAATGTGATGACTCCAGCTTTGTTCTTTTTGCTTAGGCTTGCCTTGGCTATTCGGGCTCTTCTTTTGTTCCATATGAATTTTAAAATACTTTTTTCTAATTCTGCAAAAAAAAGTCAATGGTAGTTTAATAGAAATAGCATTAATTCTATAATTGCTTTGGGCAGAATAGCTATTTTAATGATATTGAGTCTTCCTAGCCATAAGCTTGGAATTTTTTTTTTCATTTGTTTGTGTCATCTCTGATTTATTTGAGCAGTGTTTTGTATTTGTCATTGTAGAGATCTTTCACCCCCCTGGTTAGCTGTATGCCTAGGTATTTTATTCTTTTTGTGGCAATTGTGCATGGGATTGCATTCCTGTTTTGGTTCTAGGCTTGACTGTTGTTGGTGTATAGGAATGTTAGTGACTTTGGCATATTGACTTTGTGTGCTGAGACTTTGCTAAAGTTGTTAATCAGCTTAAGGAGCTTTGGGGCTGAGGCATAGTTTGACTTTCTCCCTTCCTTTTTGGATGCACTTTATTTGTTTTCTTCCTGATTGCTGTGGCCAGGACTTTCAATACTATATTGAATAGAAGTGATAAGAGAGGGCATTCTTGTATTGTGTTGGTTTTCAAGGGGAATGCTTCCAGCTTTTGCCCATTCATTATAAAATTAATTGTAGAATTGTCATAGATGGCTATTATTATTTTAAAGTATGTTCCCTCAATACCTAGGTTATTGAGACTTTTTAACATGAAGAGGTATTGAATTTTATTGAAAGTCTTTTATGCATCTATTGAGATAATCATGTGGCTTTTGTCTTTAGTTCTGTTTAGGTGATGAATCACATTGATTAGCTTGCTTATGTTGAACCAACTTTGTATCTGAGGCATAAAGCCTACTTGATAGTGGAGGGTAAGCTTTTTAATGTACTGCTGGATTCGGTTTGCCAGTATTTTCTTGAGGATTTTTGCATTGATGTTCATTAAGGACATTGGCAGGAATTTTTATTTTTTTGTTGTGTCTCTGCCAGGTTTTGGTATTAGAATGATGCCAGCCTCACAGAATGATTTAGGAGGAGTCCCTCCTCCTCAAATTTTTTGAAATAGTTTCAGCAGGAAGGGTAACAGCTTATTTTTCTACATCTGATAGAATTCAGCTGTGAATCCATCTGGTCCTGGGCTTTTTTTGGTTGGTAGACTATTACTGATTCAATTTTACAGAGCTCATTATTTATCTGTTCAGTGATTAAATTTCTTCCTTTTTTAGTCTTGGAAGGGTGTATGTGTCCAGGAGTTTATCAATTTCTTCTTGATTTTCTAGTTTATGTGTACAGTGATATTTAGAATATTCTCTGATGGTTGTTTGTATTTCTGTGGGTTAAGTGGTAACATTCCCCTTGTCATTTCCCCTTTCGTTTATTTGAATCTTCTCTCTTTCTCCTTTATTTGTCTAGCTAGCATCTATTTTATTTTTTATTTTTTTTAAAACTAGCTCCTGAATTCATTGATCTTTTGAATAGTTTTTTTTTGTTTGTTTTTTGTTTTTTTTTTTTTGCATCTCAATCTCCTTCAGTTCAGCTCTGATTTTGATTATTTCTTGTCTTCTGGTAGTTTTGTGGTTGGTTTGCTCTTGGTTCTCTAGTTCTTTTAGTTGTGGTGTTAGGTTGTTATTTTAAGACCTTTCTAACTTTTTGAGGTGGGCATTTAGTTCTATAAATTTCCCTCTTAACA
Source organism: Homo sapiens (assembly GCF_000001405.40). NCBI lineage: Eukaryota > Metazoa > Chordata > Mammalia > Primates > Hominidae > Homo > Homo sapiens. Next base: position 106,360,722 of record NC_000023.11, read on the forward strand.
CTGCCTTAATTGTGTCTCGGAGATTCTGCTATGTTGCATCTTTGTTCTCATTAGTTTCAAAGAACTTCTTGATTTCCACCTTAATTTCATTATTTACCCAAAAGTCATTCAGGAATAGGTTATTTAATTTCCATGTAATTGTATGGTTTTCAGTGAATTTCTTAGTATTGATTTCTAATTTGATTGGGCTCTGGTACAAGAGACTGTTTGTTATGATTTCAGTTCTTTTACATTTGCTGAGGCGTGTTTTATGTCTGATTATGTGATTGATTTTAGAGTATGTGCCATGTGGTGATGAGCAGAACGGATATACTTTTGCTTTTGGGTGGAGAGTTCTGCAGATGTCTATCAGGTCCACTTAATCCAGTGCAAAGTTTATGTCTGAATAGTTTTCTTAATTTTCTGTCTCAATGATCTGTCTAATATCGTCAGTGGGCTGTCAAAGTCTCCCGCTACTATTGTGTGGGAGTCTAAGTCTCTTTGAAAGTCTCTAAGAACTTGCTTTGTGAGTGTGGGTGCTCCTGTGTTGGGTGCAGTGCCTTTATATATTTAGGATAGTTAACTCTTCTCGTTGAATTGAATTCTTTACTATTATGTAATGCCCTTCTTTGTCTTTTTTTTTTATCTTTGCTGGTTTAAAGTCTGTTTTGTTTTTAACTAGGATTGCAACCTTGTTTTTTTTCTGTTTTCCACTTGCTTCATAGATTTTTCTTCATCCCTTTATTTTGAGCCTATGTGTGTCATAGCATGTGAGATGGATCCTTTGAAGACAGCATACCAACAGGTCTTGGTTCTTTATCCAGCTTGCCACTCTGTGCCTTTTAATTGGAACATTTATCCTGCTTACCTTAAAGGTTACTATTGAAATGTGTGGATTTGATCCTGTCATCATGATGTTAGCTGGTTATCTTCCACACTTGTTTATGTGGTTGCTTTATAGTGTCACTGGTCTGTGTATTTCAGTGTGTTTCTGTAGTGGCTGGTAATGGTCTTTCCTTTCCATATTTAGTGCTTCCCTCTGGAGCTCTTCTAAAGTAGGTCTGGTGATAACAAATTACCTCAGCATTTGCTTGTATGAAAATAATCTTATTTCTCCTTCATTTATAAGGCTTAGTTTAGCCACATATGAAATTCTTGTTTGAAATTTCTTTTCTTTAAGAACGTTGGATATCAGCCCCCAATCTCTTCTGGCTTGTAGGGTTTCAGCTGAGATGTCTGCTGTTAGTCTGATGGGCTTCCCTTTGTAGGTGACTTGTCCTTTCTCTCTAGCTGCCCTTAACATTTTTTTTTTTTCATTTCAACCTTGGAAAATCTGGTGATTATATATCTTGGGGAAGATCTGCTTGGGAAATGTTTTGTGGGGGCTCTAAGAATCTCCAGAATTTGGATGTTGGCCACTCTAGTTAGGTTGGGAAGTTCTCCTGCTTGATATCCTGAAATATGTTTTCCAAGTTAGTTTCATCCTCCCCACCTCTTTCAGGGACAATAATGAGTCATAGATTTTGTCTCTTTATATATTCCCATGTTTCACAGAGGTTTCGTTTGTTTTGTTTTTTTTTTCATTCTTTTTTCTCTGTTCTTGTCTGACTGTCTTATTTCAGTAAACTAGTCTTCAAGCTCTGAGATTCTTTCCTCAGCTTGGTCTATTCTACTATTAATACTTGCAATGGCATTATGAGAGTCCTGTGGTGTGTTTTTCAGCTCTATCAGGTTGGTTATGTTCTTTTCTCTACTGGCTGTTTTGTCTGTTAGCTCCTGCATTGTTTTTTCATGATTCTTAGCTTTCTTGTATTGGGTTTCAATGTTCTCCTGCATCTCAATAATCTTCATTCCTATCCATATTCTGAATTCTATTTCTGTAATTTCAGCCCACTTCAGAACGTGTGCTTGAGAGTTTTATGTGGTCGTTTGGAAAAAAAGAAGGCATTCTGGCTTTTTGAATTGTCAGAGTTCTTGTGCTGATACTTTTTCATATTTATGGGCTTGTCTACCTTCAGTCTTTGAAGTTTCTGATCTTTGGATTTGTTTTCTTTTATCCTGTTTGATGACTTTGAGGGTTTGATTGTGGTATAAGGTGGATTTAGCCAACTGGCATCATTTCTGGAATATTTTAGGGGGCCAACATTCAGCCACCAACTCCTAAACTACATGCTCTAATTCTGGGGGACTTGTGTTGGGCCTCGACCTTGTTCTCTGGCTCCTTAAGGTTAGGAATCTACTGCACTAGGGTGGCCGAGGTGCTCCTGGACTGCTGGTCACTACATTCAGATGGGTGGTGTTAGCCAAAATGTTTAATAGTGTGGTCATAGCTGGATCCATCCTCATAGCAGCAGCTGTGGCAGATTGCTAGCAAGTGCCAGGGTGCCCACCACTGAGAGTGCTCACCACAGTGGTGAAGGCAATGCAGCTGGTGGGGTGTGTGGTTGTGCTGAAGGTGGTGTTGGCTCAGGGGCAGGGTGCTAAGGGGCACAGGTTTGGGTGCCTTCTCTGTGCCCCACAAGCAGGAGTGTTCACTCAGGGTGGGGAAGGATCTGCTGTTCTCTGCACAGTGTTAGCACAAGGATGGGGAGCTGACGGGGATGGTGCTGGCTGGCTCTATGCCCACCAAGACTCCATCTACAATGGTGGCCGGGGAGGGGAGTGGGGGTGAACTAGACTCCTGTGTGCTGGCAGGGCAAGGAAACAAAACCAGCCCATGCAGACACACATCAGCAAAGCAATGTGGGGAGTTGCCGTGGGCCTGGGGGAAACTGCAGTATAGGGAGGGACCATGCAGGCTGGTGTGTGGCCATTGGAACCAGCCTGCTGGAGCTCTCCACCAGGCAGGCACGGTCTGCCAGTGCAGAAGCTATGGTGTGGGCCCCCAGGGCACCCAAGACTGCCCCGTAAGCAGGCATGGACAGCTTGGGCCCCTAGGAGAGGCCAGGAGACCAAGGGTGCTCAGGTCAGCCCAGCCCTGTCTGAGGGGCAAGACTGCCCTGCAGAATTCAAGTTTGACAGCTCCCCTTGGCCTAAAGTCTCCTATGGGAGCAAGTCAAGCTTAGGGGGATGACTGTCCCTGGCTCCACTGGGACAGTGGTTCTCCACTTCAGATGCTCCCGCACCAAACACTCTGGGCTCCACATCAGCTGGCTTGCTGCCCCTACTACTTCTCTAAGCAGCTTTCCCTGCCAACTCAAGTGTCTGTGGTGGTTGAGGGGTCTCCTCCTGCCAGGGTTCCAGAGGCCCATGGCAAGAGTGGGTTTCTCCTTGCCAGTTCAACTCATCCAGTCCCCTGGAGCCATTGAGGGCCAAGAACAAGTCCTGATGTGCAGTAGCCCCGTGCAGGATTCCCAACTTTCTCCCCCTTCACCCCAGCTTTTGTGTCTTCCCTCTGTCCACTGTTGTTGCCTTCTCTCTGAAGATCTGTTAGGAGCACACCAGTCTTCTAGGTTCCACAGTGAGAGCTGTTCCACCTGGCTGCATCTAGTTGGCCATCTTGCCCTCACTCAGCTTGGGAATTCTTGTGTGAGGGTAAGGTAACCATATGAGTTAAAGTTCATGTGAGTATATCTGTGTGTGAATGCATGTTTCAGCTTTGTGGTGGATATGGGCATGTCCATGTGCAAGTGTATATGTGGACATGTTCCTTATTCTAAGAAGGTTAATGTGCATGTATAGATGAAAAGGTATGGGGGAGCACCTGAGGATATATATTTGAGTCTCTATATGAATAAATTTTGTAAGCATGTTTATGTGATTGAGAAATCATTTAAGCATATCTGTGTGAAAGAGTATGTCAATGTTTTGTGAGTATATTTAACTGTACGTAGGTATGTGAGTGAAATTTTTGAAATTCATATTTGTGTGATTCAATGAGTGAGCTTTTTTGGTGAGTGAGTGAATGAGTGAATACATGAGATTTTGTATGTATGTGAGCATAAATATGTATGACAGTATATGTGTGGGACTATTCATGGGTGAAAGTGTTTGTATGTGAATTCATATTTCATTAAATATTTGTCTGTGCTCATCTGTATGACTAAATTTGCAAGCATGTGAATATTTGCATGTTTGTGAGTAGTGAGTGTGTAAGTGGTCTTTGGTGTGATCTTGTTACATATATGTGTTTATGTTGATATAGACAGTTATGTAAAGGAATGTGTGAGGACATGTGTGTCAGTAAATGTAAGTGTTTTACATGTTTTGAGTGAATTTGTGAGCTTCTTGGTGAGTGTGACAATGTTCATGTGCCAGTGAACATAGGAGCAAGTTCCTCTATGTCAATGACATTTTGCAAGTGTAAGTGAATGTGTGATTATGTGTATATAAATCTAATGAGTGGTTCTGGTGTGTGTCATTTTCTGATTAAGCATATATGTCAGTGAATGTGTGATAATGCTCATGTGAATGAGTGAGATGTGAATATGTTTGTGTCAGTGAATGTGTGAGCATGTGAATATATGTGAGTAGGCATATCTGACAGTGAATATATGAACTTATACATGTGAGAGGTGAGTGTGATATTTGAGTGTTGAAATTAATGTTTTTGTGTGTTCAAATAATATGCTTGAATTTGTGACCAAGAGCATGGATGTTAGCATGGTCATGTGAGTGACTGAATGTTTATCAGGTTATTGTTGTGAGCCTATAACCTGTGAGTATACTTGTGTTACCATGTGAGTATATTTCTGTGAGTGAAATGTGAGTGTGTGAGGCTATGTGTGTATTTTTTCTGTGAGTGAATGTGTGTCATGTGGCTGTCAGCATGTTTGTGTGTGCCCATGTGTGCATGTTCCTGATTATGACAGTGTTAATGTCCATGTGAAAGTGAAAGTGGGAGCATCCAAGTACATCTGTTTGAGTCCCTGTGTAAGTGAATTTGTGCAAATGCTATGTGATTGAATGAGCAGGATTGTATGTAGTTAATTTACTGGTGTGTGCATGTGAGTGTATCTAATGCATCTATGTATTTGAGTATATTTGTGAGCAGGTTTATATGAGTGAATATGTGATCATGCACACAAAAGTGTGTGAAAGTATGAGCACATTTATGTAAATAAGTTACTGTGTGTGAGCATGAAACTGTGAATATGTGTGTCTGTGTAAGTGAAATTGTGCATATGTTATGTGATTAAATGAATGAGCAGGATTGTATGTTAATTTATCGGTGTGTGTGAGTGTATCCAATATGTCTATTTATTTGAGTACATTTGTGAGCATGTTTAGGTGAGCAAATGTGTGATCATGCTCACATAAGTGTGTGAAAGTGTGAGCATATTTGTGTAAATAAGTGACTGTGTGATCATGTAAGTGTGAATGTATGCATGTGTCTATATGTGTAATTTTTAAAGTTCATTTGATTAAGCGAATATTAAACATGTTAATATGAGTGAATGTATGAGCATGTGCATATATGTAAGCATGTATATGTAAGCATGTAAGCATATATGTGTAAGCATGTGAGAGTAAATATGTGAATTTGTAATGTCTTAGATTGTGCTAGTGTAACAATATTTGAGTGTTGAATTCAAGGGGTGTGTTAAAGTATACTGTGAATTTGTGAGCATGTATATAGGTGCTAGCATGTTTGTATTAAGTGAATGTGTGTCATATTCATTTGTGTGAGCTTTTTAATGTGTTAGTATATTGTGTGAGTTAAATGTGAGTGTGAAGTGTATCTCTGTGAGTGAATGAGATCATTGTGAGTGTAAGCACGTTTGTGTGAGAGTGATAGGTAAACAGATTACTATTCATGAATGTGTTAATGTGCCTGTTTAATTGTATGGGTGAGTGTGAGCACATAGTATATATAATGGTGTCTCTATAGGTATGAATTTGTGAGAATACACATGTGAATCAGTTAGTGTGTGAGCAGGTCCCTGTTTTTATGTGTGCTAATGCATGAGTGAAGGGATGCGTAAAAGTGTTCAGGTGAGATATACAAGTGTGTCTTACATATGAATGAACTTGTGAGCATGTTCATGTGCATGAGTGTATATGTCTTGGAGATAGTGTATGTGAGTGTTCTATATGTGTGAAAATTTAGCATGATCATGTTACTGAATGTGTGAGCATATCTATATATGAGAGCACAAATTTGTGTTTTAGTGTATTTGTGAGCATGTTCACATGTGAGCATAAGTGTGTGTAACTAAATAATGAGAATGTATATGTGAATATATAATTATGGGAATATGATTAGGCATGTGGTTGTAAATAATTGTATGTAAAGGTATCTATATATTATAAATGTGATTTAATTTTATAAACGTGTGTGTGATTGAATGTATTAGCATGTCCCTGTTTATGTTTACATACATGTGTGAAAGAAAGTATGAGTGAGTAAATGTGAGCATATATGAGTGGGTCCTGTGTGTAAGTTTGTAGGTATGTCCATGTGAAAGAAAGAAAGTGTGAGCAAGTTTGTGTGAATGTGTGCACGTGAAGGTGTCTGTCTATATATGTTAGTGAATATATGAGCATGTCATGAGCAAAGCAAGTCCATTTGTAAACTTTAATGTGTGAGTGTATCTATGTAAGTGAATGTGTGACCTTTTATGTAAGCATGAGCATATTCATGGGCAGTGAATACCTGAAAATATTCCTTTTGTGGTCATATTATTTTGGGTAACCAAATGTGTGAGTATGTACATATAAATGTGAATGAGTCTGTCTGGTGTGTGTGATTTTGTGAGCACATTCATGTGAGTGAGTGAATGAGCACGTTTGGTTTTTTTTTTGTTCTTTATTGTTGCTGTTTGTTTGTTTTGAGACAAAGTCTCACTCTGTCGCCCAGGCTGGAGTGCAGTGGCGCAATCTCTCAGCTCACTGCAACCTCCGCCTCCTGGATTCAAGCAATTCTCCAGCCTCAGCCTCCCAAGTTGCTGTGATTACAGGTGCCTTCCACCACACCCCACTAATTTTTGTATTTTTAGTAGAGATGAGGTTTCACCGTGTTGGCCAGGCTGGTCTTGAACTCCTGACCTCAAGTGATCCACCCACCTTGGCCTCCCAAAGTGCTGGGATTATGGGTATGAGCCACCACGCCTGGCCCATGTTTGTGTGAATGAAAGAATGTGTGAGATTGCAGACATGTATGTGAGTGTGACTGAGTTAATTTATCACTATGCTCTTTTGAGTGAGTGAATTGTGTGTGTTAATGTGAGTGATTGAATCTGTGTGTGCATGTATAAATAAATCTCTGAGTAAATTCTTGAATTTGCATATTTGAATACACATACATATTTGTGCAAATAGAAAACTAGGTTTTATATTTAGTATATTGATGTATGTCTGTGTGTGGATGTGTAAATATGTGTAAATTATTATATGTGAGGGTGTCCATGTGTGTGAATTTTAAAACGTTTGTGTTTGATAAGTAATATGTGAGTTTATGTGTGAGCTCAAATTCAAGTATGTCCTTGCATGTGAGTAAATGTTTCAGTGTTGATATGTGTGAGTGAATGTTTTAATAACTTTGAGCATAAATGGGTGAGTGAATGTGTGAGCATTTCATGTATGTAACCATGTTGGTGAGTATATTTGAGTGAATAAATGAGCATGTGTGTGTGAGAGTGTGAATGTATCCACCAGTGTGAGTAAACTTCTGAGCATGATTATGTGAATAATGCATGAGTATATGTATGTATGTGGGCATGTCCACGTGTGAGACTGTTCATGTATGAATGTGTTAGTGTGAGCATATTTGTGTGCTTAACTGAATGTTCATGTATAAACGTGTATAAGGATGTAAAAGTATTCATGTTTGTGTGAGGTTGTCAATGTGTGAGTAAAGTTGTGAGTGAAAACATGACCATGTACTTGTGTGTATATGTGTGCATCCATGTGTGTGATGAGTGTGAATGTTTATTTGCAAGTGAATGTGTGTGTCCCTGTTTGTGTGTTAATTTGCATGTGTGAATGAATTATATGTGCATGTGAGCATATATAAGTATGTCTTTGAGTACATTTTTAAGAATATTCACGTGAATTAGGGGATCTATAATCCAACTTGTGTGAGTGAATAGCTGAGCAATTTTTTTGTGTGAATGTATGTGAAAGTGGGTTCATTTGTGTGGGCTTCTTAATGGAAGACTATATTTCTGTGAGTATATATATGTGTGTGTGTGTGTTTGCAAGTATATGTGTGTGTGTTTGCAAGTGAATGTGTGAGCATGCCCCTGTTTATGTGTGTTTATATGCCTGTGTGAGAGAGTAAGTGTGTACATGTGACCATATATGAGTGTTTTCTGTATGAGTGAAATTGTAACCATGTTCATGTGAATGAGCTAATTTGGGAGCGAGTTTGGTTGAGTGAATAAATGTGTGAGCATCTCTTATATGAGCATCACTGAGTATGCATGTGTGTGTAAGCATGTTCATACTATAAGTGAACATATGAACATATCGTGTCTGTAAGGGAGTTAGTTTTTGAGTATGTTTGACTGTATGAGTGAACTTACCTGTGTGAAAGTAAAAGTGTGAGTGTGTAATATGTGAAGGTTATTTCTGTGAGTGAATGTGTGAGCACATTCATGTGTAGGATCAGGTTCTCCAGTGAGTGAATGAGTATGTTTGTATATGTGAATATAATTGTATGTGTGAGCAAGTTCATATGTGTGTGCTAATGTATGACTATGTGAATGTGAGCACCAGCATGTGAGTGTATCTATGTGAGTGAGCAAATTTGTGTAATGTTAAGAGTGAATAAATGTGTTAGCATGTCCTTATTTGAGAGTGTCAATACATGGGTGAATGTATGAGCATATTCATGTATGTGAGGAATTAAGTGTGCCTGTGTGAGTAGATGTGCAAAGATGTTCATGTGTGAGTTAATGGGTGATCAAACACATGTAATAGCATGATAATATATGAGTAAATGCATGTGTGAATAAACACATGAATATGTTTCTATGAGCAGGTTAATGTGTGTGTATAAGTGAATATGAGTATGTGCACAGAAGCAAATATGAGTGTTATGTGTCAATAAAATTGTAAGCATGTTCATGTGTGTCAGTGAATGTGTGAGCATGTGCATGTATATGAGCCTGTTTATGTCTGAGTGAATTCTTTAGCATCTTCATATGTGTTAGTACATGTGTGAGTGAATAGTGAACATGTTTGTATATGTAAGCATGTTAATGGGAGAGCGAATGTGTGTATGAAAATTGTGTGATCATAAATGTCAGTGTGTGAAAAATTGTGTGTTGATGTGTGTGACAGAATGTGTATGAATGACTTCATGTATATGAGCATACTTGGCATGTGAGTGATTTAGCATTTCATATATGTATTTAGCATTATCATACTTAGCATGTACATTTCATTATTGTATTATGCCATTCTTGCGTTGCTATAAAGAAATACGTGAGGGTGGGTAATCTATAAAGAGGCTTAATTGGCTCATGGTTTTTCAGGCTTTACAGAAAGTATGATGCCAACATTTGCTTCACTTCTGGGCCGGCCTCAGAAAGCTTTTACTCATGGCAGAAGGTGAAGTGGGAGCAGACATGTCACACGGTCAAAGCAGGAACAAGAGAGAAGAGAGGAGGTGTCACACACTTTTAAATGACCAGATCTTATAAGAACTCACTCACTGTGGTGAGAACAGCACCAACCTATGGGGTTCCATGGAGGTATCCACCTCCATGACCCAAACACCTCCCACCACACCCTATCTCCAGAATTGGGGACTACATTTCAACATGAGGTTTGGGCAGGGACAAATATCCAAACAATAACAAGTATACTTACGTTTCTGTGAATTTGTGAGCATGTGTGTGAGTAAATATGTGTGTTCATGAGCATAAGCATGTTGGTGTCAGTGAATATTTGAGCATCGCCTTGTATATGAGTGAAAATGCAAGCTAGTTCATATGTCAGTGTTTATTACATTTGTGTGATCAGGTAAATGCTTGTGTGTTCTTGTTTTTTGTTTTGTTTTGTTTTTGTTTATATTTTTGATGGAGTTTCACTCTTGTTGCCCAGACTGGAGTGCAATGGCACGATCTCGGCTCACTGCAACCTCCACCTCCCAGGTTCAAGGGATTCCCCTGCCTCAGCCTCCCAATTAGCTGGGATTAAAAGCATGAGCCAGCACGACCAGCTAATTTTGTATTTTTAGTAGAGACAGGGTTTTTCCATGTTGGTCAGGCTGGTCTTGAACTCCTGACCTCAGGTGATCCACCCGCCTCGGCCTCCCAAAGTGCTGGGATTACAGGCGTGAGCCACCATGCCCTGCCTGAGTGTTCATGTTTATAAGCAAAATTTATGACCGTGTGCATCAATGTTAGCATATTTGTGTAAGTTCATGTGTAATCATGGTCATTTGTGTGAGTGTATTTGTGTGAGGGGTGATGAGGGTGTGCATGTGAGTATATGAATGTGTGAGCTTCTTGCTATACATAAGCATGTTTGAGTGAATATGTGAGCATGTTTCTGTGAGTGTATTAATATGCATGCATAAGTGAATGAGTGTGTGCATGTGAACATGAGTATGTGTGGAAATAAATTTGTAAGTTAGCTCATGTGTGAGTGAATATATGAGCATATTTGTGTGTGAGAGTAAATGTGAGCATAATCATGTGAGTGTGTGAGCAAGGTTTGTGAGTAAACATGAGAGAGAGTGCATGTATGTGAGCCTGTTTGCAGCATTAGAGACTTGTACAGTTTGTGAAGGAAAGTACTTGAGAGTTCAGCTGCTGAATAAATATCTGGAAAGTTGTGTAAAACCCAAGTGCAAGTAGTATTTTTCAGGGTTAGACAAGAGGAATCTTGGACTAGATGCAGCCAGGTGGAACAGCTGCCACCAAGGGACTGGGACAACTGGCACACTCCTAACAGATCTTCCAGGGGAAGGCACTGAGAGTGGATGAAGGGAAGACAAATAAGCTAGGCTGAAAGGGGAAGAATCTGGAAACTCTGCGTGGGGCTACCACACACTGGGGCTTGTTCTTGGCCCCCAGTGACTTCCAGGGAAATGGATGAGTTGAACTGGCAAGGAGTAACCCATGAAAATTTCCCCAACCTAGCTATAGAGGCCAACATTCAAATTCAGGAAATGCAGACAACACCCACAAATACTTCACAAGAAGTTCATCCCCAAGACACATAATCATCAGATTCTCCAAGATCAAAATGAAAGAAAAAATGTTAAAAGTAGCTAGAGAGAAAGGTCAGGTCACCTACAAAGGCAAGCCCATCAGACTAACAGTGGACCTCTCAGCAGGAACCCTACAAGTCAGAAGAGATTGAGGGCCAATATTCAACATTCTTAAAGAAAAGAAATTCCAAACAAAAATTTCATATCTGGCCAAACAAAGTTTCATAAGCAAAGGGGAAATAAGATTCTTTTTCAGACAAACAAGGGCTGAGGGAATTTGTTATCACCAGACCTGCCTTTTAAGAGCTCCTGAAGGAAGCACTAAATATGGGAAGGAAAGACCATTATCAGCCGCTACGAAAACACACTGAAATACACTGACCAATGACACTAAAAAACAACCACATAAACAAGTCTGCATAATAACCAGCTAACATCATGATGACAGGATCAAATCCATACATTTCAACATTAATCTTAAATGTAAATGAGATAAATGCCCCAATTAAAAGGCACAGAGTGGCAAGCTGCATAAAGAATCAAGACATGATGGTAGGCTGTCTTTAAGTGACCTATCTCACATGCAATGACACTCATAGGCTCAAAATAAAGGGATGAAGAAAAATCTACCAAGAAAGTGGGAAAATCTTAATTTCAGACAAAACAGACTTTAAGGAAAAAAATATCAAAAAAGATGAAGAAGGGCATTATGTAATGGTAAAGCATTCAATTCAATAAGAAGCTCTAACTATCCTAAATATATATATGTGCACCCAATGCAGTAGCACTCAGATTCATGAAGTGAGTTCTTAGAGAACTTCAAAGAGACTTAGACTGCCACATAAAAGTAGTAAGAGACTTTAATATGCCACTGTCAGTATTAGACAGGTAATAAAGGCAGAAAATTAACAAAGACATTCAGGAAACATAAACTCAGCACTGGTCAAATGGACCTGATAGACATCTGTAGAAGTCTTCACCCAAAAACAACAGGATATCCATTCAGCTCATTGTCACATGGCACATACTCTAAAATCAATCACATAATCAGACATAAAACACTCCTCAGCTAATGCAAAAGAACTGAAAACATAAAAACCACTCTCACAGACCACAGGCAATTAAAATAAAATTTATGACTAAGAAAATAGCTCAGAACTATATGATTACATGGAAATTAAATAACCTATTCCTGAATGATTTTTAGGTAAGTAATGAAATCAAGGCAGAAATCAAGAAGTTCTTTGAAACTAATGAAAACAAAGATACAACATATCAGAATCTCTGGGACACAGCTAAGGCAGTGTTAAGAAGGAAATTTATAGCACTAAACACCCACATCAAAAAGTTAGAAAGATCTCAATTTAACAACCTAACATCACAATTAAAAGAAGTAGAGAAGTAAAAGCAAACCAACCCCAAAGCTATCAGAAAACAAGAAATAACCAAAATCAAAGCTGAACTGAAGAAGATTGAGACACACACACAAAAAAAATTCAAAAGATCAATGAAACCAGGGTTTGGTTTGTTGAAAATGTTAATAAAACAGATAGACTGCTAACCAGACTAATAAAGAAAAAAAGGGAACATAGGATCCAAATAAAAACAATTAGAAATGACAAAGGAGATACTATCACCGACTCCACAGAAACACAAACAACCATCAGAGAATATTATGAACACCTCTATGCACACCAACTGGAAAATCTAGAAGAATTGGATAAATTCCTGGACACATAAACCTTTCCAAGACCGAAACAGGAAGAAATGGAATACCTGAACAGATCAATAATAGCTCTGAAATTGAATCAGTAATAAATAGCCTACCAACCAGAAAAAGCCCAGGACCAGATGGATTCACAGCTGAATTCTACCAGATGTACAAAGAAGTGCTGGTACCATTCCTACTGAAACTATCCCCCAAAAAGTTAGGAGGCCAGCATCATGCTGATAACAAAACCTAGGAGACACACAACAAAAAAGGAAAACTTCATGCCACTATCCTTGATGAACATCATGCAAAAATCCCTAAGAAAATACTGGAGGCTGGGCGCAGTGGCTCACGCCTGTAATCCCAACATTTTGGGAGGCCAGGGTAGGTGGATCATTTGAGGTGAAGGGTTCAAGACCAGCCTGACCAACATGGTGAAATCCCGTCTCTACTAAAAAAATACAAAACAAAAAAAAATTAGCTGGATGTGGTGGCACGTGCCTGTAGTACAGCTTCTTGGGAGGCTGAGGCAAGATAATCACTTGAACCCAGGAGGTGGAGGTTGCAGTGAGCCAAGACTGTGCCACTGAACTCCAGCCTGGGAGACAGTGAGACTCCATCTCAAAAAAAAAAAAAATACTGGCAAATTGAATCCAACAGCACATCAAAAAGCTTACCCACCACAATCAAGTAGGCTTTATCCCTGGGATGCAAGGTTGGTTCAGCATACACAAATCAGTCAATGTGACTCATCACATAAACAGAACTAAATACAAAAACCACATGATCATCTCAATAGATGCAGAAAAGGCTTTCAATAAGATTCAATACCCCTTCATGTTAAAAACTCTAAATAAACTAGGTAGTGAAGGAACACGTCTCAAAATAATAAGAGCCATCTATGACAAACCCACAACAAATATCATACTGAATGGGTAAAAGCTGGAAGCATTCCCTTTGAAAACCAACACCAGGCAAAAATGCCCTCTCTCACTACTACTATTCAACATAGTATTGGAATTCCTAGCCAGAGGAATCAGGCAAGAGAAGGAAATAAGGGACATCCAAATAGGAAGAGAGGAAGTCAAACTATCCCTATTTGTAGACAACATGATATCTACAAAACCCCATAGTCTCAGCCCAAAAGCTCCTTAAGCTCATAAACAACTTCAGCAAAGTCTCAGGATACAAAATCAATGTAAAAAAATCAGTAGCATTCCTATATACCAACAACAGTCAAGCCGAGAGCCAAATCAGGAATGCAATAGCATTCACAATTGCCACAAAAAGAATAAAATACCTAAGAATACAGCTAATGAGGGAAGGGAAAGATCTCTACAATGAGAAATACAAAACTGCTCAGAGAAATCAGAGATGACACAAACAAATGTGAAAATATTCAATACTCATGGATAGGAAGAATCAATATCATTAAAATGGTCATACTGCCCAAAGCCAGTTATAGATTCAATGCTATTTCTGTCCAACTACTAATGACATTCTTCACAGAACTAGAAAAATGCTATTTTAAAATTCATATGGAACCAAAAAAGAGCCCAAATAGCCAAGGCAATCCTAAGCAAAAATAAAAAAGCTGGAGGCATCATATTAGCTGTCTTCAAACTATACTGCAGGGCTATAGTAACCAAAACAGCATGGTCCTGGTACAAAAGTAGACACACAGATCAATGAAACAGAGAGCCCAGAAATAAGGTCACACATCTACAACCATCTGATCTTCGACAAAGTGGACAAAAATAAACAAGAGAGAAAGGACTCCTTATTCAATAAGTAGTGCTGGGATAACTGCCTAGCCATATGCAGAAGACTGAAACTGGACCACTTTCTTACACCATATACAGAAATTATCTCAAGATGGATTCAAAGCCTTAAATATAAAACCCAAAATGATAAAAATCCTGGAAGACAACCTAGGCAATAATGTTATTGACATAGGAACAGGCAAAGATTTCATGACAAAGATGCCAAAAGCAATTGCTACAAAACCAAAAATTGACAAATGGGATTTGATTAAAGAGCTTCTGGACAGCAAAAGAAACTATCTACAGAGTGAACAGACAACCCATAGAATGGGATAAATATTTTGTGAACTATGAATCTGACAAAGTTCTAGTATTCAGCATCTATAAGGTATTTAAACAAATTTACAAGAAAGAAACAACTCATTTTTAAAGTAATTTTTAAAAGGGCAAAGGACATGAACAGACACTTTTCAAAAGAAGACATATATGCCACAAACAAGCATATGAAAAAAAACTCATCATCTGTTATTAGTCCATTCTCACGCTGCTATGAAGAAATACCCAAGACTGGGTAATATGTAAAGAGAAAAGATTTAATTGAGTCACAGTACTGCAGGGCTGGGGAGGCCTCCGGAAACTTACAATCATGGCGGAAGGGAACGCAAACACGTCTTCTTTACATGGAAGCAAGAAGAAAAAGTGAAGAGCAAAGCAGGAAAAAGCCCCTTATAAAACCATCAGACCTTGTGAGAACTCACTCACTATCATGAGAACAGCATGGGGGAACTGCCCGCATGATCTAATCACCCCCCAAGAGTTCCCTCCCCCAGTATGTGGGGATTACAATTTGGATTAAAATTCAGTATGAGATTTGGGTTGGGGACACAGAGCCAGACCATATCAACATCACTGATGATTAGAGAAATGCTAATCAAAACCACAACAAGATACCATCTCACACCAGTCAGAATAGCTATTATTAAAAAGTCAAAAAGTAACAAATGCTGGCCAGGTTGCAGAGAAAAAGGAACACTTATACACTGTTGGTGGGAATGTAAGTTAGTTCAGTCATTGTGGAAATCAGTGTGGAGATTCCTCAAAGAGCTAAAAGCAGAACTACCATTCAACCCAGCAATCCCATTACTGGGTATATACCCAACGGAATATAAATCATTCTATCATAAAGACACATGCACGTATATGTTCATTGCAGCACTATTCCTAATAACAAAGACATGGAATCAACCTAAATGCCCATTAATGACAGACTGAATAAAGAAAATATGGTACATATACACCATGGAATATTATGGAGATATAAAAAAAGAATGAGATCATGTTCTTTGCAGGAACATGGATGGAGCTAGAGGCCATTATCCTTAGCAAACTAACACAGGAACAGAAAAATAAATATTGTATGTTCTCACTTGTAAGTTGGAAGTAAATGATGAAAACATATGGACACGTAGAGGGGAACAGAAGACACTGAGGCCTACCAGAGGGTGAATGGTGGGAGGAGGAAGAGTATTAGGAAAAATAACGCATGGGTACTAGTCTTAAGACCTGGGTGATGAAATAATGTGTACGGCAAACCACCATGACACGGGGTTTACATATGTAACAAACCTACACGTGTACCCCTGAACTTAAAAGTTAAAAAATAATAACAAAAAAGAAATATTCAACTAAAGGAATGGCCATGTTTCATCGTTTGAAAGTATTGCCAAGTACATATTCCCTTGCACAGTGACCAACCCACCATATGTATGTTTTCTAAAGTTATAAAATTTTGAAAATTAAAAAAGGGAATCTTGTGACAGAGGAATCCATTTGATTCTTTTGCAGGCCCACCAGGCTCCCTCTGCTACCTCTTGCTCCTATGAAAGTAATCTTGTGTCGCTTAGTGCAATTCCAGGCGGTATTAAGAGGAGCATACTATGTCGTAGTCAAATGAGCTTGCATGTTATCTGCCTTGCATTTAGCACCTGGATCAACTAAATTGGTTATGAGCTCTGCTCACCATTGCCCACATATCTTCATGAGATTAGCCTCTGGATATTGTTGGTGAGTGTCAATGGTTAGAGTAATAGGCTTATCTTGATAAATGAGATTTATGGAGTAGCTTGGCCAGGGAGAAGTATGCTATGTGTACCAAAGCGATGACGGTGGAGGCAAGCTCAGTATGTGGTTTAATTTGCATCTTAGGTAGTATTGTGGCTAAAGTTTCATGCTTTTTTCTTTTGGTGGGCAAGTGTATGTTCCTCCTTCTTCAAATTGGTGTGCATTGTGGCTTGTTTTTCCTGCCAATTGCCAACAGCAAATAGCATTGGTATGTTCCCATAGGTGAGGGATAATTTCTCAGGTACTCTCAGCAGCTTGAATAAAGGTTGTTTATGTAGCAATGCAATAAATTAGATACTGAAGTAAGGGGCACTTACATATGGGATCCTCACAGGTGTGCCAAGTTATTTCAAAATTAGACATCAATTGGCCCATTTTTGTCCCTGTTTATCACAATGTTGCCATGTTTCAATGGGAGATCACCTGTTTCAATGCTTCCACTCTACGGAAAACTTTTCTAGGGCAGCATTAATAGCCTTAGGCTGGCCTAATACCAATAAATGTCCTCCTGAATTAGTTTTGCTACCAGGCTTCTCGTTATTGTCTCTATCTTCTATAAGATGGAGTGTGTATGTATTTTAAGGACCCCGCAGAAGAGTAAAATTGGGCAATTTCCCTTAAATATTCCCCAAGTCCTCATTAATGGTGTTCTTTTTAGCCCTGGAAAATTTTGTAACAGCTATAAGCAAGTAGTTATCAATTTCAATAGAGAAACTGCCATTTAGTGAGTGAATAGATGTCTCCATGGAATCAAATATGTTTTTGTAGGAATTGTCTTTATTGAAACATCAAAAGACTATGATTGTTTACTGTTGGCAGCCAGCAATGCAGTTGTTAAAGAGCCTGCTTCCATACAATGTTATGTAAGTGTATATATACATATATATATATATGTATATATATATATATATATATATAGTCAACAGTAGTGTGTAGATTACCAGGGCTAGGGTGATCCACCAGTGGACATGCAGTAGACATCTAGTAGATGTGACAACAATAGAAACTTTTCAAGTAAGGAAGGGACACAGCAACAGGGTAGGGGTTGAAGTCAGAGGTCATCTGTGGCCAGCAGTGAGAAGGCCAGCACTGATTGCCCACTGGGTGGCACCCAAATGGTGTTACCTCGTCTGTTAATGGTTTAGATCCATCCCCTGGTTGCCAGGAGGCAGGTCCAGGTTTATTCCACAGTGCCTTTAATAGAGCAAAGTACGTGGTTAGCAGATGAAAGCAGCTTTATCTCCAGATGGTAGTGAGAAAGAGCTTGGCTTATGCTTATTTTTGAGTGGACACAGCCTGAGGTCAGTTCCAGAGTCATTGGTCCACATCAGGTCCTTGTCAGGATCAAGAGGGAAGTGCTAGCTCTGAGTTTTCTATGAAGGCAAAAGGAAAAGTGAAAGTACTAGACTAATGTTCCTTTTCGGTGGGTGGCAACATCTGGGTTCTCATGTCTGTAAAAACTGGTAATTGGGTTGTGTTTGGTGTGGGTGTGCACACCAGCAGATGCCACAACATCTCTGTTGGTAGTCTCATCATTTATGAATTTACATATGGTATTGTTATGCCATACATAGGTACATGATCATCAGGACTATGGGCAATGTTTTTGATCACTTCAGAGACCACTGTCCTCTAAGAACTGTCAATAGCTCTGGTTTAAAAAAGACTATTATATATTTCTATGATGCCTGCTATAGAATAATAGGGTAGGTAAAAAACCCAGACAATGTTATCTTGTAATGCCCATTGTTGTGTTTGTTTTGTGCTTTGTGGGGGGACCCTTGATCTGATAACATAACTTGTAACACTTCCAAAGGCTGTGAAAGCTGTTTTTGTTAATCCCTCAATAACACTAGCAGAGGTTGGTGTCTTGCATGGGTAAATAAATAGAAGGCCTGTGTAGGTATTCACCATTGTTAAGGCATATTTTAATGGCTCCAGCCACAGCAAGGAGAAGCCCAATGAAATCAATTTGCCAGTTGTCATGTGGTCCTTTTCTGTAAATTTCTCCTTCCATGAAGTAGGCCCAGTGTCTAGATTTCTGTCAATGTGATACAGTTTCTAATATTAATAGTTTTATGTACACATCTCTCTGCCAGTTTGACTCCTCTAGTAACAATCCACTTTCTTAACCCAACAATGCCCGAAT
This sequence comes from Homo sapiens, assembly GCF_000001405.40. Classification (NCBI taxonomy): domain Eukaryota; kingdom Metazoa; phylum Chordata; class Mammalia; order Primates; family Hominidae; genus Homo; species Homo sapiens. Next base: position 106,379,549 of record NC_000023.11, read on the forward strand.
TCCCTGACCGCTCATGTGCCTACCAATAGAAGGGGTGAGATAGCTCATCCCTAAGTTCCGGAGACTCCCCCTCCTTTAACAGACTAGTCTACCTTTGTGGTTTGGTTATTTTGTTGGCTTTGGCATTGTGTATCATGCCTCCTCTTTGCCTTGCTTGGTACAAATTAAGGTATAGTGCACCAAGATGGGTGGAGCAGGAGCCAGTGTGGTGAATTTTTCCCATATCTCTTTACCCTGATTTTTTAACACTGATTTTGCCAAAGCCTCAACTAAGTAATTAGCCACAAACCAGGAGTCAGTAAAAGTATGAATCTTATAAAAATTATTAAGGACATACTCGATTGCTACAAATATTGCCCACAGCTCATCTCATTGAGCCCTTTGGTCCACCCCCCACAAAACTGGAGTGTTTGAATAGAAGTGATGGTCTGAGGCTATCCATTGTTAGCTCCTTCATACCCTGTACTGACTCCATAAGTAAAGAGAGACCATTACTATTCTTTTTTGAGAGTGATGTCCATCCTCCTTCCAGTCCCCATTGAATAAGAGGTAGAGGCATTTCTGGATGTTTTGCCAAAGTAACCTCAGTGCCAGGGTATGTGGCTATTTCCTCATGGAGTTGTGACACTCCAGTAGGGCTGGGTTTAACTCAACCCAGTAGATACCATTTCCATTTTAATAAAGAGGCCTCTGTTGTCAATCTAATTTATGAGGAACTTTATCCATGACCCAGGGCATAATAGGAATCTTGGTCCATGGGGTAACTGGCTCTGCCCCAGTAAGGGCTTCAGTTTCAATAACTGCCCAGTACATCTCCAGGGGTTGCCTCTCTAGCAGCAAAAACCTTTGGGCTGAGTCTGGGAGCTGCTTACACCAAAAACTCATGGGTAAGGCCTTTATCCATCCATTTGGTCCAGAGGCTCCAGGAAGTAAATTTGGGATGGCAGAACTAATTTTAAGTCCTGCTCTCTGTACATTATTGGGAGACTTAAAGTGATGGTGTCCTTTAGTTTATGTAGTGTATGTTGTTGTGTAAGTCCCCACTAAAAAATGGAAGAATTATGGGTGACTCCAGAGATGGAGGCCAGCAAACACGAGTTGAGGAATGTGTTGGCACCAGAATCCAAATATCTTTACCGAATGCTGGACCTCCTTTACTGATGTCACAGGTTGGAGCACTAAGAGCTTGTTTTTTACTGAATTGAGAACAGTTCATTCTTCTGAATTTTCAATGTAGCTCCCAAATTTAACAAACTAGGAAGAGCCTGTACCTTATGTGGGACAATTGCCCATCCCCTTAGTGAGGTGTTTACTCACTGTTGTGATTGACTTTAGACAGATTCTTAGTAAGGTCCTGTGAGGAGGATGTCATCAATATAATGCCAAGGCCTAGTTTCTGGGGACCATTTAGGACAGGTGTCTAGATGCTGTATGAAAATTCCATGCACAATTTAAGTACCCCATAGGCCACTGGGAAAAGGTTTATTGTTGATCCACAAAGGTGAAGGCGATTCATGGTTGACTTTCCTATGAAATTTTCACTGGCTGGAACACATTAACTAAGTCTATAACTCTGAACCATTTACCTATGCTAATTTTAATTTGATTCATTAAGATTATGATATCTGGTAGAGATGCTCTAATAGAGGGAACAGCCTTGTTTAACTCTCTTTAGTCTATAGTTAGCCTCCACTCATTAGTAGTGGCACAGACCATGCTGGAGAATTGAAAGGTGGGAATCAGTACCCCATTTTTAACTAAGTCAGCTATGATAGGTCATAATTCCTCACTGCTTTGCCTTAGCCAGTACTATGGTATATTTGCCTCCTGCACCATAAAGAATGATAAACTGGCTGCCACTGGCTGGAGCCCACCGGTAACATAAAAGCCTTAGGCTCACTCCATGTTATCTGCTAACTGAGGAGATTCATTCCAATAATGGGAAAAGGGACGTTCCCAGGGAGAACAACCAGGACAGAATAATTTGTTAGCAAAATTGGACGAATTTTTACAGTTAAGCAGGTAATTATTCCTTTAATTAATCCTCCTCCCAAACTTCACCTCCTGGGGGTGGGAGTGGATTCCTTTAATGCATGAGTGATTCCTGGGATTCGAGATATTTGGGCACTTGTATTTACCAGATCCAGCCAGTATTTACTTTTTGGAGCTCAAACTGCAGTTAATGTTGTAAAAGGGTGCTTGTCTGTCAAAAGGTGCTTACTTCAAGCCTACCGGATCCCTACATATGTGTGGATCCCTGTCACTGGCAGAGATCAGGAGCAGGTGTGGAAGGTAGGGCTGTCTCTGAAGGAAAAGCCCTCCCAGACGGTAATCTAACCCTAGTAAGTATTGTAATTACTCCATAGATTTACCAGAGATCATATAATTTGGGAACCCCTTTTTCCTTTGGGTCCAATATAATCTCTCTTATTTATCTAAGGGTTCATTCTTAAGCAGGGGTCCTGGCTACAGGTAGTTTGTTTGGCCTAAGAAAGGGGCAGCCTCTCATTTAATAGTAATTTTAGTTTTGGCCAGGTAGGATATTTTTTGTAGAATTAATAGGCAACACTTGATCTGTTTGTCTTTCATGCATTTCTATTAAATCCAGGGCAGCTGTGTCCTCTTGAATTGTTTTAGCATTAGCCATCATTGCCAGTAATGCGGACTTATTTTTTTTTTTAAGTTTTTTTTCTTTTATTATTATACTTTAAGTTTTAGGGTACATGTGCACATTGTGCAGGTTAGTTACATATGTATACATGGGCCATGCTGGTACGCTGCACCCACTAACTTGTCATCTAGCATTAGGTATATCTCCCAATGCTATCCCTCCCCACTCCCCCCACCCCACAACAGTCCCCAGAGTGTGATGTTCCCCTTCCTGTGTCCATGTGATCTCATTCTTCAATTCCCACCTATGAGTAAGAATATGCGGTGTTTGGTTTTTTGTTCTTGCGATAGTTTACTGAGAATGATGATTTCCAATTTCATCCATGTCCTTACAAAGGACATGAACTCATCATTTTTATGGCTGCATAGTATTCCATGGTGTATATGTGCCACATTTTCTTAATCCAATCTATCATTGTTGGACATCTGGGTTGGTTCCAAGTCTTTGCTATTGTGAATAATGAAGCAATAAACATACATGTTCATGTGTCTTTATAGCAGCATGATTTATAGTCCTTTGGGTATATACCCAGTAATGGGATGGCTGGGTCAAATGGTATTTCTAGTTCTAGATCCCTGAGGAATCGCCACACTGACTTCCACAATGGTTGAACTAGTTTACAGTCCCACCAACAGTGTAAAAGTGTTCCTATTTCTCCACATCCTCTCCAGCACCTGTTGTTTCCTGACTTTTTAATGATTGCCATTCTAACTGGTGTGAGATGGTATCTCATTGTGGTTTTGATTTGCATTTCTCTGATGGCCAGTGATGATGGGCATTTTTTCATGTGTTTTTTGGCTGCATAAATGTCTTCTTTTGAGAAGTGTCTGTTCATGTCCTTCGCCCACTTTTTGATGGGGTTGTTTGTTTTTTTCTTGTAAATTTGTTTAAGTTCATTGTAGATTCTGGATATTAGCCCTTTGTCAGATGAGTAGGTTGTGAAAATTTTCTCCCATTTTGTAGGTTGCCTGTTCACTCTGATGGTAGTTTCTTTTGCTGTGCAGAAGCTCTTTAGTTTAATTAGATCCCATTTGTCAATTTTGGCTTTTGTTGCCATTGCTTTTGGTGTTTTAGACATGAAGTCCTTGCCCATTCCTATGTCCTGAATGGTAATGCCTAGGTTTTCTTCTAGGATTTTTATGGTTTTAGGTCAAACATTTAAGTCTTTAATCCATCTTGAATTGATTTTTGTATAAGGTGTAAGGAAGGGATCCAGTTTCAGCTTTCTACATATGGCTAGCCAGTTTTCCCAGCACCATTTATTAAATAGGGAATCCTTTCCCCATTGCTTGTTTTTCTCAGGTTTGTCAAAGATCAGATAGTTGTAGATATGCGGCGTTATTTCTGAGGGCTGTGTTCTGTTCCATTGATCTATATCTCTGTTTTGGTACCAGTACCATGCTGTTTTGGTTACTGTAGCCTTGTAGTATAGTTTGAAGTCAGGTAGCGTGATGCCTCCAGCTTTGTTCTTTTGGCTTAGGATTGACTTGGTGATGCGGGCTCTTTTTTGGTTCCATATGAACTTTAAAGTAGTTTTTTCCAGTTCTGTGAAGAAAGGCATTGGTAGCTTGATGGGGATGGCATTGAATCTGTAAATTACCTTGGGCAGTATGGCCATTTTCACGATATTGATTCTTCCTAGCCATGAGCATGGAATGTTCTTCCATTTGTTTGTATCCTCTTTTATTTCCTTGAGCAGTGGTTTGTAGTTCTCCTTGAAGAGGTCCTTCACATCCCTTGTAAGTTGGATTCCTAGGTATTTTATTCTCTTTGAAGCAATTGTAAACGGGAGTTCACTCATGATTTGGCTCTCTGTTTGTCTGTTGTTGGTGTATAAGAATGCTTGTGATTTTTTTACGTTGATTTTGTATCCTGAGACTTTGCTGAAGTTGCTTATCAGCTTAAGGAGATTTTGGGCTGAGACAACGGGGTTTTGTAGATATACAATCATGTCATCTGCAAACAGGGACAATTTGACTTCCTCTTTTCCTAATTGAATACCCTTTATTTCCTTCTCCTGCCTAATTGCCCTGGCCAGAACTTCCAACACTATGTTGAATAGGAGTGGTGAGAGAGGGCATCCCTGTTTTGTGCCAGTTTTCAAAGGGAATGCTTCCAGTTTTTGCCCATTCAGTATGATATTGGCTGTGGGTTTGTCATAGATAGCTCTTATTATTTTGAAATACATCCCATCAATACCTAATTTATTGAGAGTTTTTAGCATGAAGGGTTGTTGAATTTTGTCAAAGGCCTTTTCTGCATCTATTGAGATAATCATGTGGTTTTTGTCTTTGGTTCTGTTTATATGCTGGATTACATTTATTGATTTGCATATGTTGAACCAGCCTTGCATCATCAAAAAGCTTATCCACCATGATCAAGTAATGTGGACTTATACTTGTCAGGAGCCCCCCTGAGAAACAATTGGGTGGATTCAAGATTCAATTCAGCCTCCTCCAGACTTGCCAAGTCACTATGCTGCATGCCTTCTGTTGCCTGATAAGCCCATTTCAACATCCCCAGCTAATAGGAGGTGAATGTTTTCCATTGACAGTCTGCCCAGGGCTGTTAGGAGGCCTAATGTAGGGTGGGAATCCTCTCGAGCCATAAAGGTCCACATCAACAAGGTATATGTAGACTTGAGTCCAATGCCTCCTCTGGGATTATTCCTACCTTCCCCACTAATTGTGTAGGATCTTTTAGTAGAGACATCATTTTCCGTACCATATGATGGTAATCAGTTGTTTAATTTCAGCTCCCATGAGGTGGAGTTCGCTCCCAGCATATATGTTCTATATAGCCATGCAACCCTTTTTTTCATTTGGTTCTTGGGCTAGGTCCTTAAGGAGAGACTGGATCTCAGGACAAGAGAGAGGATGTGTTTCCTCCTCTAACCAAAAAACGGCCTCACTTCCTTGACCCTCCCTTTTTGTCTTCTCCAACTTTACCACTCTGTGAGTGCTTACCTAGAAAGCAGAAGGCAAATTGTCCTTATCAGTATCATCGTGGTACTGTGCTGCTTTTTCTTCTAGAGGACATAAATCGTCTTCTCCAGGATCCTCCCGTCTGTCTTGTCTCCCTCAGGAGTTTGGGCACCTACCTCCTTTCCAGCAGTGTCCTAGTCAGAAGCTGCCATGAGTAAGGCCTAGCATTCTTCCTGTTCAGTAGGATAGCCACTTCCCTCAGAGTTCTGGGAGGGGCAGGCATATAAACATCCTTGTATTTAGTCACTACAAGTAATGCTTTAGCCAGCTCAGTCCAAGGATTTAGGTCTCGATTTCCTGCGGAAGAGGAACTAGAATAAAGCCTTCTGCAATAACAGGTACAAATCAAACAGCAGTAGAGTCATGCTTGCTGTTTATGAAGGTGTCTCCCCCAGTTGTGCTTAAGAGAGCAGCCTAGGCCTGACATCTCTGTCATAACAGTCCCCAGGGACAAAGATGTCCTCTCGTCTCAGAGTACCCCAAATCAAGGGTAACCTACCTTTGGTCTACAGGTATGCACTCCTCCCCTTTTTCTATTCAGGCCCACAGGTCTTAAAATCTCCAGCACCTGCCCAGTGAGGGACCCAAGTGGGCAGGCAGACCTCCTTCCTCAGGGAGCTCAGTGCCTTTGACCCCCAACCTCCATTGCAATGTCATGGGTTTGCTCAAATGCGGGTGCTGGTGCTTGGTTAGGCTAATAAGTCCTGAGGGAGGGGGCACAACAAATATAGAGTATAATATAGCACAGAGTAAAGCCATGCCAAACTGGAGGCCTTCCAAATTTTGAGTCTGAACTACTTAAAGACTGTCTGAAATAATTTTGTCAATTGATTTTACTACTAACTAGGTGGACCCTGTATTGATTTCCTGATCATCACCAAAATTCTTCCTTTCCCTCATAACCACTTGTAGTGAGTTCGAGCAATTTAGGGGCTGATCAGGGAAAAAGATATGACCCAAATGTGGCATTAGCACACAGCGAGCTTTATTTGGATGACACTTTCACAGGTTTGCGTGAGAGAGACAACCCTCACAACAGGAGACCTTCCAGAGGCACCACCCAGAAAAGGGTATGGAAGAGGGCAAGATAATTTCCAGGAAAGAGTGGAATCAGAGAGGGGACCTGTGTGTCTAGGTGATGTCACTCAGCAGCATGATGACAGAGTCTCTGGGTCAGAGAGTGCCAAAGAACAGCGGTGACTTGGGGGGTCTCTTATAGCTATAGGCTTTATCTTAGCTATGGATAGCAGATGCTGGGTGCTGTTTTGTGGAGTATGCAAAACAGGCAGGATCTCCAATGGCTACAATTCTGCTTATTTGGGCTATTTTTAAAATAACAGAATGTGTAAAATTTGAGTTTTGTGCCAGCCGGCTTTCAAGCTAATGGATCCTAGCCTGCTTTGAAGAGGTAAACAACAAAGGGCCAGTAATATAGAGGCCTTCTTTGGCTAATTTATGTAACAGTGCCCATGTTGGAGAGTGAACATATGAGTTTGTTCAAGTATGAGTGTGTTAATTTGAGTACAGTTGTGCAATTAAGTGTTTGTGCATGTTCCCATGTATGAGTGAATGTGTGACCAAATGTGGATATTAGCATGTACGTGTCAGTGAATTTGTAAATGTTTTATTTGTGTGATATTTTTAATGTATGAGTACATTTGAGAGAATGTGTAGCATATGTGCAAGAGTGTGAGTGTGTGTGTTGTGAGTCAATTCATAATCATGGACATGGATTTTAGCATATTCATCTGTGTGAATGAATGTGTAAATATGCTTGTGTGAGCTTGCTGAATATGAATATATCAGTGTAAGTGAATGTGTAAGCATGGGCATGTAAGTACATGTGAATGAATGAATGTGTGTGTGAGTGAATGTGTGAGTTTCATGGTAAGAACATATTCATTTGTGAGAATATGTGAGTATGCTGAGAATAGGTAATATATGTTGTTTGTGAGTGTGTTAATGTGTATGGATAAGTAAATATGTGAGTATTTGCATGTAAGCACATATGAGTATGTGTGAGTTTATGAGCAGGTTAATGTGAGTGAATAAGTGAGCAAATTTTAGTGAACGCATACGTAAGTGTGTTTGCATGGGTGAGTGAATGTGTAAGTGTATGGCTGCAAGTGAATGTCAATATGTCTATGCGTGTGAGTAAATCTGTGAATATGTTTGTGTGAGTATATGAACATGTGTGTTGTGTGATTCAGTGAATGTGTGAGCATGTGCATGTATGTGAGCATATTTTATGTTTGAGGGAATCTGAACATCTTCATGTGAGTAAGCAAGTATTTATCAGTGAATTTTGAGTACATGTGTAATATATGAGCATGTTAATGTATGAGTGTTACTGGATTGTGAGTTATGCAAATGATTTATGTAAGGAGGTTGATGTATGTAAGTATACTTGTAAGCATGTTTATGTATGTGTGTGAATGTGTGAGCACGATAAAGTCAAGTATACTAACATGTTTGAGTGATCATGTGAGTGTGCTGATGTGTGTGAGTAAATGTGTAAATGATTTTATGTATGTGAAAATATTTGGGTATGTGAGTGAATTAATATTGTTATATATATGAGTATGTAAATATGAGTATACCTGTGTTTTGGTGAATGTCACTGTGTACGTGAGTATATGTGAGTGTGTCTATAAGTATGAGTAAATGGCTGGGCACGGTGGCTCACTCCTGTAATCCCAGCACTTTGGGAAGCCAAGGCTGGCAGATCACAGGGTCAGGCGTTTGAGAGCAGCCTGGCCAACATGGCGAAACCCTGTCTCTACTAAAAATACAAAATTAGCCGGGTGTGGTGGCAGGCGCCTGTAATCCCAGCTACTCGGGAGGCTGAGGCAGGAGAATCACTTGAACCCAGGAGACGGAGACTGTATTGGGCCGAGATCACACCATTGCACTCTAGCCTGGGTGACAGAACGAGACTCCGTCTCAAAAAAAAAAAAAGTGTAAGTAAATTTGTGAGCATGTTTGAGTAAATGTATGGGTGTGTAAATGTCTGTCTCATCTTTGTGTGAGTGAATATCTGAGCCAGTTCATGTGTGAGACTATATTAATGTGAGTATATTTGTATGATTAAGTAAATGCTCATGTCCATCTGAGCCAGTTCATGTGTGAGACTATGTTAATGCGAGTGTATTTGTATGATGAAGTAAATGCTCATGTGTCCATATTTGTGGATAAATTTATAATCGTGTGAATGGATGTCAGCATGTTTGTGTGTAAGTGAATGTGTAAGCATGTTCATTTGTGTGAGCTTGTTAGTGTATGACTGCATTTTTGTATTTGAGAAAGTATGTGTGAATTTATGTGAGTGTGTGTGTGACTGTATATGTGAACTTTGTGATGAGTGTGAGCAAATCTGTGTTCAAGTGAATGTGTGAGCATGTTACCATTTGGGTACATGTTAATGTGCATACATAAGTGAATTGTGAGTGTGTACTTATGATCATACATGAGTGTAAGTGAATTTGTAAGCGTATGCATGTGAGTGAATATGTGAGCATTTTTGTGCGAGTGGATGTATGAGCATGAATGTAATCATATGAATGTGCCTCTGTGTGAGTCAGTTTATGATCATACTCATATATGTGAGTAAATGTGTAAGCATGTTTCATGAGTAAATGTGAAAGCATGTGGGTGTGGGTCTGTGTGTTGTGTTTGAATAAATTTTTGAGCATATTCATTTGTGTCAGTGAATTTTTTGATGTCAATGAATTTTTGAGTGTGCATATATTTAACCATTTTTTGTGTGTCAGTAAATTTTTGAGTATGTTGATGTTAGTGAATATGCATGTGAGTGAGTAGTTACCATGTTTGTGTATGTAAGCATGTAGGTGAATTTGTCTATATGTGTGTGTATGTAAGCATTTAGGCAAATGACTATATGTGTGAATATATATAATCACATATAGTCATTTGCACACACTTACAAATTCACTCACATTCTACGTGTGAATGTGTGGCCATGTTTTTTGTGTGTGATGGATTGCATAAGTGTATGAGCATCTTCAGGTTGAGTGTGTACATGCAAATGAGTTAAAGTGTGAGTAACATTGTGTATATGAGGCATATTTGAGTGCATGAGTGAATACATAGTATGTTGAGTATATTTGTGTGTTTGTGCAAGTATATGTGAGTGTGTCTATGAGTAAGAATAAATCTGTGAGCATGTTTATATGAGTGAATTGTAACTATGTGCATGTATGTGAATATGTCTGTGTGAGAATGAATTGAACCTGTACATGTGTGAAAGTGTTAGAGTTTACTTGTGTGCTTAAGTGAATGTGTGCGTTCATGTGTGTCAATTTGTGAGCATGTGCATACATGTTAGCATCTTCATTTGTGAGTGAATGTATAAGCATGTTCATTCGCATAAGTGTCAAAATGATTGTGTGCATGTGTCTGTGTGTGAATGTTGATTGTGAGTGTGTGAGTGTGTTAATGGTTATATGTGTAAGTTTGTGAGCAGGTTCATTGTGTGAATATGTGAATGTTTTCATGTCTGTGTGCAAGTGATTGTGTGAGTACATACATTTGTGTGTGAACATGTTTATGTGTCTGAATGAATGTGTAACCATATTTGTGTGTGTTCATATGTGAGTGTGAGTATTACATGTGTGCATGTAAATGAGTATATTCGTGTATGAGTGAATGTGCAAAGATGTTTATGTCTGGATAAATGCATGAGCATGTCTATGCATGTGCATGTTAAAATATAAGTGTGAGTGGATGTGGGAGCATGTGTGTGTGAGGGTGTTAATAACTGTATGAACATGTTTGTGTAAGAGTGATGATGTATGTCTGTGTTCATGTGCAAGTATGAGTGAATGTGTGAGGACATAAGTAGACGTGAGTTTGTCCATGTGTGTGACTGTATGAATGAATATGATCCTATCTGTGTGTGAATATGTGATCATATTCATGTTTCTAAGCTATTGTGCACTGGTGTGTGTGAAACTTTTAATGTGTGTACACGTCTATGAGCATGTAGTCTTGTGAATATGTGAAATTTTTTCCAAGTGTAAACTTGTTCATGCATGAGTGATTGTGTAAGTGTACATTCTTGTTTTTGAGTGAACGTGGCAGCATGTCCATATCTAAGTGTTTTCATATCTGAGTGTGAGTGAATGATGCATGTAAGAGTGTGTATGTGAGCATGCAAGCATGTACATGAGTGAGTAAACACGAGTATGTCTTTGTGTAAGTGTGTTTATGCATGAATATTAGTCAAAGTAGGAATGTGTGCTTGAGTGAGAGAATGCATAAGCATGTTCATGTGTCTTGTTATATTAATGCTTGAGTAAGTTCATGTGTGAGTCAATGTATAAGTATGTTCATTTGTGTGAGCATAAGCATGTGCAGATAAAAGTGTTTGCAGTTGATGTTTTGAGCATGTAATGTGTGTGAGTGAATGTGTCTGTGTGAATACATTTGTAAGCTCATTTGTGTGAGTGAATATGTGAAATTCATTCATGTCTGAGTAAATGATGTGTGTGTGAGCATGTTCATGGGTATGTAAAGGCATAAGGAAGTTCATGTGTGGGAGTGTGATCATGTACAGCTTGAGGTGATGTAAGTATGTGTACGTCTGTGAGTGTGTATAGGGTGTGTGTATAGGTTTGTCAGTTAATTTGTGAGCACATTATATCTTATTGTGGTCATGAGTGCCTGAGAACGTCTGTGTGTGTGAATGAATGTCAGTTGTGCAATTATGGGAATATTTTCCTTTTTGTGAGTTGATTCATGATAATTTTTTGTGTGAGCATGTTAAAATATTAATAAGTTAATTAAGTGAATATGTGAGTATATACATGTGTGAGCGAAGATGTGAGCACGTAAGCATATGTGAGTGTCTCAATATGTGTGTAAGTTCATATGTTTGAATGTGTTCACTTGCAAGTGAAAATGTGTGTGTGAGCATGTTATTGTGTGTATGTTCAGGCATATATGTGAATCTAAGACTGTATTCATGTATGAGTTATGTGAACACACATGGGAGTGTAATTGTTTTAGTGTGCAAATGTGACTGAATGTGTGAGCATGTATCTGAGTATGTTTCTTCATCTTGAGGTTTTTCTTTGGGCCTCTGTGCTATCACTGTCCACTGGCAAAATGTACATATGACCATGGATTTTAAAGTGTATCGTAAACTGTTAAGGTGGTGTGCACAAATAAATTTTTATTATTCCCTATGGGTTCAAAGCTGCCTATAACCAGCTCTACAGCAAGGCCATTGTTCTCTGTGTATTACATCACACTCCTGCTATGAAAATATGTGTGACCCTCATCATTCAGCCTGCTGGCTTCTTTGCAGGCTTACTGCCCAGAAGCTGAGCTGCAAAGAGAGAAATGTGTACTCCAACCCCAATGCTTCAAAAAGCTAAGTGCTATTGGGAATAAGTGTCTGAATGACAACTGACAAGTAAATGGGTGCCTGTGTTAGGGCGCAGCCCAGACTCCAGCATTCAGGGCTATTGTGAACAACCCCTAGCAAAGCGCTATGCAGTGACAGGTTTCTAGAAACACAGTTCTTGATTATAGCCTTTCAGGCTCCCCACATGCCTTTAGAGGATAGAGGCTGTGTTATACAGTTAATAAATCCCAGCGAGGCCAGGCAGCCCCCTCCCCTCCTCCAATCCCAGGATCAGACTTCTTATCCTAGACCATTCAGTGCCACTCAAGCAACTCCTCCCTTTCAGTGGAATCCTGGTACCCTAAAGGGCCAGCACAGAGCCCTATCTGAAGGTTCCCAGCAGAAAGAGCAAGTGGGAGCAGAAACACAGGCCACATTACCTTCACTAAGCCCTGTGCTCTGGCACAGAGATGCAGACCAGAGGAAAGAATACTTCTACTTTATCTGCCCAGATGAGCCACTTTACGTGCTAGCTGTGATCAGGATGAGAACTTAGCTAAGGTATACCTATATCTCTAAAAGCATAATCAAAAAAGAAGCCTCCAGATAAGATGCCTAAATGCCATCTTTGGAGTGATGGCCTTAGCCCTGTATCACTGTGCTTCCTGATGAGTTCAGAAAGGCAAGAAAAGTGGTGGGGTTAACTACTTCCCTCCCCAGCATCCATCACAGTGTCAGTGATCAAAAAACAGGTGAATGAAGGAATGGAGGAAAATGTTTCATTCTTTCCTTCACCCTACAATATTGGGATGCTTATGTCATGCCAGGTACTGTGCTAAGTGAAGCCCCCAGGGAACTGTTTTTCACAGCACTGTGGCAACCCAGTTCTCTTGCCCACAGAGAAGAAGCTTTGCTAGCTTTCCCTCCCTCTTCCTCCTCCTCCTCACCTCACCACCCTACCCTACTTCTCAAGGAAGTAATAAAGCTCCTGTATGAACCTGACCAGGGTACAGTCACTAAGGCCTCTGTTTGTGAATTTGAAAAGGAGTGGAAGGAACAGGTTAAGCCTTGAAACTCTATTTCACCTCAGAAACAGAGAGAAATCTGACTCTTATTCTTGTGGGAGGCCTCACAGGTAATTCCGGGGGTCCCTAAACCCTGAAGTCCTTGGCTTGGTTTCCCTGAAGCCCTGCATGAAAAAAGGGATTGGGATGGGGGCTTTTGACTCTTTAATGGAATAGGTGTCACTGCCTGGATCCTGATTGTCACTGCTGACCTGACAGACCTGGAGATGGGCTGACTCAACCTGCCTGGGAAGCAGGCAATGGTTCAAATGAATTTTAAGTATTGTTGATGTACCAAGTACTACCTATCTAAGCAGTATTTTCCTTCCTATCTTCCTTATTCTTTACTCTCATCCCTTTTCTTTTCCGTCATGGCTTCTCTGTGTATTTCTGTCCAGTGTCAGCTCTCATTCTCCCGCTGGCATCTTGCCTCCATCAATTAAATGCAATCCAATATGTAATTTAGCCTATTAATTTCTTGATTCCTAGAGTCTTGCTCTCTTCCAGAATCAAGTTGTAAATCTCTACCCAGGCCCCCTTTCCTGCCAGCTAAACACCCCCAGCCTTTTCTCCTGCTCCCCTGGCTGGGCTTCCCCTCTGGAGCATGCTGCAATTGCTGACCAGGTGGCGAGGCTATCTCCAAGGACAAACACAGTGTTCTGGGTGTTTTGCTTTGTTCTCTACTCCCTCCACCCCTTCCACCCACCCATTCAGAGTGCAGCTGTTTCATCTATTGGCCTCCCTACACACACACACACACACACACACACACACACACACACACACACCCCAAACATAGAGCCTGTAGTGCCCCCTTATGTCTAAAAAAGGTCCTCAGTTGTCTTGCCCTCCTACCTTTATCTACTGCTAGGCCAGATCAATGCAGGAACTCACCTTTTCTCATTTGCCCCAAGTCTGCATGCTAAGAAAGCTTAATGCAACCCCTTCCTCTTCCACCTGAGACAACAAGCATAAACAAATCAGAGTCTGTGTGAAAAATGGTGGTGAGGAACCTTGGGACTATCCACACCTGACCATCTCCAGAGGTTGGTCCTTGCCCCTCCTCCCTTTCCCTGGTCTTGGATGCATGCTGAGATGACAACCTGACCATAAAAGAGTAGGGAGAATGTGCTTGGTGTACTTAATTGGTTGTTGGTTAGCCTTTGCTGAAAAACATGGGAACAAAGAAAGGAGTACATGAAGTAGCTACTTCTTTGACACCCACCAGTATTTGGCTCAATTGACACAAGCCCTGGTGTAATGCAGCGGGGATCTGGCTGTGACCTAACACCTGAATTCCAATATACCTAGACTTCTCTCCCCTTAAAAGTCTTGGCCTCTCCCTTAGGGGGCCCACCAAGAAGAGGCTTTGCTATCCTTATAGGGTAAGGTTATTGAAAGAGCCTGCCTTATGCCCTCTACACCCTAGCATCCCAGTCCCTAGGTGCACAATCATCTCATACACTGTGGGCTGCATCTTATGCCCTCACACTCTGGGAAGAGCAATGAAGCAAAGGGAAAGCAACTTGCAAGGTGCAGTAATTCAGGAGCAAGATGACCGAGGCCTAAGCTAGGGGCCTTATGATCAATGGAGGGATAAGAACAGAGTTAGGATGTTTTCCAGAGGTAGAGCCAATAAAAATCAGTGGGAACTGAAGGCTTGGGGACAATGGGGGAAGACCCTGAGGCCTGGTTAGTCAAAGTAGACTGAACAGAGATTTGTGAAGTAGACTGCATGGTGAAGAATATGCACACAGTTTTGAATAAAATGAACAGGGAGAGTGCCCAGGGTGCAAAGAATGTGTGCTCAAGTGCCTTACCCATAGAGTGTAATAGATGGAGCAGAAAGCTCCAGCTTGAGAAGCACAGCACCCTGAAGCCTGCATACCCATTGCCTCTTCAGCCACAACAGGGGGTGCATATTTAGGCTTGGTGCCCTCACAAGGGACTGTGGAAAGAGCAGAAGATCTCTTGTATATACAAGCAAAGAAGTGGCAGAAATTGCAGGGATAGAGCTAAAGGCCTGGAGATTGGAGGCCCGGGAGTGTTCAGCTGCATGTCTCTTCAGGGTCAGGAAGGTGGGATCTAGAGAGGCAGAGGTGTAGAGCCTGCGGAGGGCCACTGGTAGGCTTACCAGTTGGGTTGGTTTGCTGTGTCTCAGCTCTATTTGACCTAACACAAAGGTCTCAAGTGTCTGGAAGTGGCCTACTTCCAAAATTTGGTCTCAGATGGGCATTGTGTCCCATCAGCATCCTGTCCAAAACCTGTTGAACCACAGCCTTATTTGCACACTTTTTCCTGAAACAGAGAAGTAACTGGTTATCAGTAAATGCCACATTGCTTCTCAGAGAACAAACAGCAGAGAACACCCCAGCCCCTAACTTTCCTAGGAATTCCTTTCTCCTGCACACATACAGTCATGTCCAGTCATAAGTATATGCACTCTTCATACCCCTCTTCTCTTCCCATAGCGAGTCAGCCAGAAACATAGCAGCGAGGAAGACTCATCCTTCCCGCCCCAGCTTTTTTTCAGAGAGTGAGGCACAAAGACTGTCCATGTTACCAGGCAGGATATCAGGGTATGGGGAAGGCTTTCTGAGAAGTGGAGAGGGGAGGAAGCAGGCAAGTGGGAGCCTTCAAAAAATGCATTACTTCAACCTCTGAAAGAGCCCCACCTTGCAATCAGCATGGACATGGCTCTTGCGATTACAGGGAATCCTCCTTCCAGGGGCATCTGATTGACTAAAGAAAAGTAATCTTCCACCCTCAGTGCCCTCCTGAGCTGAGCCAACCAGTATACATTCTCCAGCTCAAAGTCACATTTCCTCTATGTGGCCTGGGACTGGGCATTTTGTTGTCACATCCATGTCAACTTTGCTCTTGTACACCTGTTCTCAGGGCTGGACATATGGCATGTGACACAGACAGACAGCCTTGTTCATGTAGCAGAGATTTGTGACCCTCACCCAATGAAGCCATTTCAGATTCTTGAGGCTCAGGGCTGGCTTCACAGAGACATCTATTCTGGAAGCTGGCATTACTCTCATTAATCATGTGCTTCCAGCCTAGAAGTGTCTTGGGTGAGTACATGTAAGTACCCAGCTGTAGCCCTGCAGAGAGCTGGCTTTTCAGAGGTCTCTGATGTGCTCACTCAAGACAACTGAGATCATTAGCAGGGCTGTTTCCCCCACAAGTAGCTTCTGAATGAGAACAGGCCCTGGGCCCTGGGCATTAATGAGACTCTTAGGATCTTTCTCAAATTAACAAATGAACTCCCCGCAAATCTCAGCATGTGTGTGTGTGTGTGTGTGTGTGTGTGTGTGTGTGTGCACTAATAGTCTCATGTGGTAATGTGGAAACTGCAGTGCTATCTGCTAGAACCTTACCCAACTACCTTTTTATTCCACTGGGTACATGTTCATTTCTGGTTTGCCATGTAAAAACTTATTCTCAATTATCTTTAATCATGAAATTTCATTTAGCAGCATTCCAATGTGTGCATGAATTATTCCTGAATTAAAGCAATGTACTCCAACCTGTTTCCAACCATGCTTTACCCATGTGCCAGCACTCAGGATCTATAGACACTGCAAATACATATTTATGTGTGATCTACATAAATAAGTGGATGACTGGCAAACATCTTCAGATATTATGAGACCCAAATAAATTTAAAGTAAACATAGAAAAGAACCCTGTATCTTCAAACATTTCACACAAGTAAGTACAAAATACACCCACTCCAGGCCACACAATTATACAACCATAGATTGCACAGTCTTATCTCCCTCCAATAGAGCTGAATCAATAATTTCTCTCTGTTGCATCAAAAAAGATCCCCTAGCCCTTTAATACACACACACGCAGAAAGCGAGAGAAAGACAAACATATATGCTTTAGATGGGCTAAAATGTGGGCTCAAACAGGTGTCTCTCAGGTCAATGTTGTGTGTCTTGTCCATCACCCTATAACCATTTTGGTGGCCTCTTCTTCACTCCATTGGTAAGGGAGGGATTCCTGTCCTAGGGATATGGGGATGGCCAAACACATGACAGTCAACACTGGACAGATGAAATCACTAGCAGTTTTATTAGTCACATACACTTAAAGCCCTGGAGAGTACATAATACACCACACAGGGCCACTTGGGGTTACATTCAGAAACACAATAAACAACCAGGGTTTGTAGGAGGCAAACTTTGTAGTATCAAAAGAATGGAGTGTCCCTGATTCCTGGGGGAGAATGTGACTGGCTTCTTCGAATAATTACACAGACTGGCAAGGAATTGAAACTCTCTAGTTAAAGATAAGCAGGAACTGCACTGGCTCATTTAATAAGGAGACTTGTTTTGTTAAGGGACCTTACCTGCAGGCACCGAGTGGAGAGGGGAATTTGCAGTTAGGACATTCAAGGTCCTCCTAATTTTACCAGATGTCCAGGAAGCGCATAATATTAATTTAGGCCTTGCACCATAATTGACTCCTTGATGCCTTCACATCAATATAAATTCTGGTGATGACTGAGACTTCTAGAGAATAGAAGTGCCTCTTTAGGAAGTGAAGTGTCTACACACATACACAAACATACAAACACACATGCTGATACAGTTTGGATCTATATCCCCACTCAAATCTTATGTTGAATTGTAATCCCCCACGTTGGAGGTGAGACATTGTGGGAGGTGATTGGATCATGCGGCAGTTTCTTGTGAACGGTTTAGTACCATCTTCTTGATACTGTCCTCACAATAGTGAGCGAGCTCTCACAAAATCTGACTGTTTAAAAGTGTGTGGCACCCTCCCTCATCTCTCTTTTGCTCCTGCTCCGGCCACGTGAAAGTGCCTGCTCCACTTTCACCTTCTACCATGATTTCAAGTTTCCTGAGCCCTCCCCAGAAGCCAAGGAGATGTCATCATACTTCCGGTACAGCCTGCAGAACCATGGACCAATTAAACCTCTTTTCTTTATAAATTACCCAGACTCAGGTATTTCTTTATAGCAGTGTGAGAACAGACTAATACACATGCCCTGGGAATGGGCTAAAATCTGGACTCAAACGGGTGTCTCTCATGTCTGTTTTGTGTCTTGCCTGTTATCCTGCACCCTGTTTTGATCACCTGTTCAACCCTATTGGTGAGAAGGAAAAGTGTCTACTTCACTTCCTAGGGAGACAGGCAGGGACAGGGCCACCTGGTGAGGTGGTCATCAAAAGCATGAACTTCAGAGGTGTCCCCCTTTATGGCCAATAAAGGCAACTGAGGGACCTGAGTGGCACTGGTATAGTGAATCCATGTCCTAGAAGGCATTAATTTAGATTAATCAATGCCTGTGGTAATAGTGACACCTAGAGGAGTATCACTTTGTAACTTAAATAGGAGTTCTTTGAGGAGCCTATTATGCCTGTCAATTAAACCAGCTGCCTGGGGTCTATAAGGGTAGTGGAAGCTCCATTTACTGTCTTATTCAAGAGCCTAGATTGTGTATTCTGAGAAGTGAGGTGAGTGCTTTGGTCATAGCAGTAATGTCTGGAACTCCAAAGGGGATAAGGAGTATCCTGTTGAGGCCTTGTACTGGGCCTTAGCATAGTCCTTCCTCATTGTTTGCAAATTCCATATTTAAGGATTTACCTACTCACTGAAACTTATTTATAAACCCCAAATCAATTCTTGCAGTGCTTCTGTGGTCATTCATAAACATGCATAGATCAGCAAAAAAATTGAATTATCTGGTGCATGTGTTCCCAGCTGAGGTTGGATAAGGTGATGCTCTGCCTTCTTGTCTCAGCTCTCATACCATAAACAAGTATCCTTTTTGCAGTATATTTAATACCACATTGTTCAAACTTTTATGCTTTTTATTAATAATTTCACTGTTTAAAATTGCCCCCAAGCATAGTGCTAAAGTGTTGTCTAGTGTTCCTAAGCACAAGAAGGCTGTGATGTGCCTTATGGAGAAAATACATGTGCTAAGCATGAGCATAGTGCTGTTGTCCATAAGTTCAATGCAAATGAATAAACAATATATATTAAATAGCAATGTAAACAAATCAATAATATACATGAAATAAAGTGTCTTTAAACAAAAACACATATAAAACAAGGTTATATACTGACTGGCTAATGAAAATGTTGTAACCAGAGGCTCACAGAAAGTGAGCCTGGATTTACTCTAGGAACCATGGTTTAATATTCACTAATTCAGTGCTCACAGTGACTTTATAGAACATAACTACCAGAAATAATGAGAATCAACTGTACATGTAGGAACATCTGTTATCTTGTGTGTCAGACTGCTAGGGCTGCCATAACAAAATACTACAGACCGAGTAACTTAGACAATTAAAATTTATTTTCCCACAGTTCTGGAGATTTGAAGTCCCAGATCAAGGTGCCAGCAGTATTGATTAATGGTGAGGCCTCTCTCCTTGACTTACTGATGGCCGTCTTCTCACTGTGTCCTCACACAGCCTTTCCTTTGTGCAAGTGCAGAGAGAAAGAGCTCTCTGGTCTCTTTCTCTCCTTATAAGGACACAGGTTCTATCTGATAAGGGCCCTACCCTTACGACCTCATTTAACCATAATTACCGCCTCAAGGGTCCTATCTCCAAATTCAGTCACATTGGGAGTTGGGGCTTCAATATAGGGATTTGGGAAGACACAATTCAGTCTGTAACACCCTGATTTATATTTTGGGTATCTGCAAGGGAATAGATTCCCAAAGTTCCTTACTTTGGGGGCAACTCTGAGGCAATGGCCTAAGAGTTCATAAAACTGTACTTACTGGGCCATTTGTTGGTCATGGCACCCAGTGCTAAGATGATGGCTGAAGTTTGGCCAATTGTGCTGACTCTTTGTTTCCTGCCCTTTATCACAGACATCCTGGTTAAGAAATGGATAGCAGTAACACGTATGATGGTGACAATATTGTCTATAGAATAAACTCCCATTGCTGTTCACTAATTTGATCCCAAAGGGCTCCCCACATAGCTAAGGGATATAGGGTGACCTCCTCCAGCACCATGGCAATTGGCAAGGGACTGAGGATAGCAGAGGTCATTCCTTCTTACATGTATGATCTGCCAAATGCCCAGATTTGGTTCCACCCTGTATCAAAGAGGCTTAAGTAACCATCATGACTTCACAGGGTGCTGGTTCCATGACCCAAAGCATATTGGACAACTACAGAGGTAGAGAACCAAAGGCTCAGGGTCTATGAGAGCCTCTATTTTGGGGACATCCAGCATATGGCCAGTTATTCTCACTCTAATGGTATATAGTGCAAGGCTTAGTAGGGCAGTTTCTTGCATCAGAAGCCTTCAATCAACTTATAACCTTTATGGCTGGTCCATTGACCACAGTGAGGGCATGTCAGGAGGTTACTAAAGCCTCTACAATAAAGGAAACTCTCATAGCACTAACAGGAGTGCCCATTGGTTTAGATTAAGACAGATTCTAGAGCTTTTTGTTGGAAGAGGCCCATTCGAGCTGTGCTGATTTGCAAGTAATAGCAACAGTGAGATTAAGACAAAATCGTAAATGAGGACTATGTTGCCCTCAGAACTCAGAAATGGGTAAAAGATGCTGAACTTACATTAACATTGCGGGTGATGAGACTGTCAGTAGTTGGTTTTTGACAGTGTCAAGGATGGAGCAGTTCTGGGCTTACCAAATAAATTTTAGGAACTTAACAAAGGTGTTGAAACCTTACAATAAGTGTGGGGCAATGGCCCATCCCCTCTTTATGAGCTCCTTTATGAGTATACTTAATGAGTGTGTCAAATAAATCTCTTTGGAGGAGGGTGTCTCTTATGTAACATCATACCTGTGCTCCTGGAGAATGGTGGATACAGTTAAGAACTTTCCTGCAAAGACTATTTGCAATGGCAAGGTTGCTGACATACCCCGTGGGTAGCCTGGTAAATGTGTATCATGTCTCTTCAGAGGTGAAGGCAAACTGAAGCTGAATGGCTGTTGATACAGACACAGAACAGAAAATATTAGTCAAATGTAAAATGGCAAAATGTTTGCTGGTGCAGATTCAACGGAGTCAGTAATTTCAATAAGATTGGATATGGGGCCTTAATGGACAGGACCATAGGATTAAGATTGCAGTAATACACTATGAAGTACCATTCAATTATTCCAGGTTTAAGAACAGGCTAAACTGGGCTGTTAAATGGAGAAGGAGTGGGGATAATTACCCCTTCATTCATTAGGTCTTATGTAATAAGTTTCATACTTGAAGGCCCTATTTTGAATTTACATTGTGCCATATTAACTGTTTTTTGTTTGTTTGTTTTGTTTTTTGTTTGTTTGTTTGTTTTTTGAGACAGAATCTCACTCTGTCGCTGGGCTGGAATACAATGGCACGATCTCAGCTCACTGCAAACTCCACCTCCTGGGTTCAAGCAATTCTCTTGCTTCGGCCTTCTGAGTAGCTGGGATTACAGGCACCACCACACCTACCTAATTTTTGTATTTTTTGTAGAGATGGGGTTTCACCCTGTTAGCCTGGCTGGTCTTGAACTCCTGACCTCAAGTGATCCACCTGCCTCAGCCTCCCAAAGTTCTGTGATTACAGGCATGAGCCACCACAACTGGCTCATATTAACTATTTTAATTAGGCAGTCCTTAGAGTCTCATTTTGTCAAACCAATTTTTAAATGCAAAGACTTAATTTAATTGTAATTTATAACTTATTGGGTCCAAGCATCCGTGCCCACTATGGGATATTTTTGGGCAATGGTATTTTAATCATGGAGAATTAAGACAATAGTTCTTGTACCACATCTCCTCAACACATAATCAGTGGCCAGAGTAAGTGACTGTGGAGATCTGCCCAAGACCTTACTCTGCAAAGATAGATGAGTGGACCATGGAATGAAGGCATTCAAGCACCTAGCCTTGCAGTAACAGGTGGGCTGAAGCACAGGGTTCCGTCTCAACTGGACACCCCCTTTCCCACCTCAATGCTCTCTTGGGGCCAGTAGTAGACAGGGTAAGCAAGCTGGGGCTCAGAAGTGCAGGTCCATGTCTCCATCAGCCAACTCCTTCCAAGGGGTTGCCTGCCCTCTCCATTTGTGGAAGCCTGGGGGTTGTGCCTACAAATAAAAGAGGTCCAGGAAAACAGTGGATCATCAAGGGAGAGGTTAGAGGCCAAAGTGGAATTTCAAAATAGTACTGGGGTTGCTGCCCTCCAGGAGCCAGGTCCTGATGAGTAGTAGAACACAGAGGCTCAAAGTATGCCTCAGATGCCTGTGGCCTTGGACCCCAGAAGGACAGAGGGCATGGAGGATGGCTGAGGACTGGAAAGAGGACGGAGGTGGGGTGAACAGGGCAGCACAGGGCAAGGGGGAACTAGGTGAGGGACACTAGGTATTTCGCAGAGTCACCTCAAAGGAGAGAGCTTCGTGGTCAACGGGACTGGGAAGGCCAGGCATCCGTCAGGAGCCTAGAGCCCAGGAGCGGCGGCAGGAACAGCCGAGCAGCAGCTCTACTCCATACAGCACCCTTAGGATGCATCAGGCCACTTCGAAGTCCGCTTAGTCTGCAGCCACTTCTCTCTCTCTCTCTCTTTTTTTTTTTTTTTAGCAGTGGTAAAAGTTTATTAAAAAGCTTTACAGCAGGAATGAAAGGGAGTAAAGTACACTTGGAAGAGGGCCAAGCAGGCAACTTGAGAGATCAAGTGCACAGTTTGACCTTTTGACTTGGAGTTTTATATGCTGACATACACAGCCACTTCTTGCTGCAGCTGGGTGGGCACTAAGCAAGACATGTGGCTGACTCCACCCATCCAGATCACAGCCAGCCTAGCCAATCTGGCAGGTATCAGGAGTCACACAAAAAGGTGCGTGATCCAACCTCCACCCATCCAGATCACAGCCAGCCTAGCCAATCTGGCAGGTATCAGGAGTCACACAAAAAGGTGCAAGATCCAACCTCCACCCTCAGTATGCCCACTCCCTGGCTCTCTGCAGTCCCCTTAGGGCTAACTCCATCTCCCCTTGCAGCTCCTGGGCTGCTAGAGGGCTGGGCCGGGGATCTGCAGCTAGGGTTACCCTGTCCTGTCCCTCTGTAAAAATACAAAATGTGCTTTTCTCTTGGAACAACATATGCCCCAGAGTTTGCTTCTTGCAGGGAAGAGAATGCAGTGACTTGACTGCCGTGGTTGAATCTGCGTTCCGAAAGACTGGACACCTTTGAGGATCAGGAGGTACTTCACTGCTATTCATTCTCAGATTCTTGAGCCTCTGGTAACCTGATTGGCTCCCCTCTGGATGGGGCGAAGAAAGATCACTAATGGATTTTATGACAGGACTTTGGCCCCAAGAGGTGTACTCCTCCATCAGAACAGAAATTGGACTCCAGGAGCCCAAGAGTTGCCTGAAAATTTGAATTAACCAGAGTGCCCTTTGCTTCAAGTTTGGGTCCCCAAGACAGAGCTCAGAGAACTGGAAGGACAGCTTCACCAACTGGGATCACCCCCTAAGATGTGACCTTGTCCCATAGCCAGGAGATGCAGTGCTGAAGGAAAGTTCTTGGCTTACACCACAGAGGGGGAAAAGAAGGCAGAGGTCATTGTATCTCATCTTCAAGGAAGTTAGCCCCTGACAAGCAGCCCACTCCAATGCTGCAATATTCTTGCCCTATCATGTGGAAAAGCCTGGCAATTTTACTAGAGGGCTCCAATTCTTTCCACTACCTTGAACATCATGCTGTGGAACAGAAATATGTCAGAGGATAAGGAAATGCTTCCACTCAATCCCTTCCATCCTTCCTATCTCAGGTCCATGACAAAGTGAGCTCAGAAAAAGTCTCTCTGGAGCCCATAGCCAAATGAGCAATCAACAAATAGAGATCAATCATGTTCACCAGCACTGAACCTCATAAGGTATGCCATTTAGAAGTGGTGAAAGCAAAATGGACTTCAATTACATACTTGCTTAACTAGAACATTCAAACAGAAACATGCTCTCCTTCCCATTTCCCTTAGCATTTGATGAAATGAGTTGAGATGGTGTATACCCAGCATATTGCAAAGTTTCAGTTACCTGAAAGTCCCAGGAGTGGCTCAGTATGTTGCACAAAGAATTTTAACTCTATTGACACCCCCTGTCTTAGTCTGTGTTGTTATAAAGGAATATCCTGAGGCTGGATAATGTATAAACAAAAGTGGTTTATTTGGCTCACAGTTCTACAGGCTGTACAAGAAGCATGGTGCCAGCATCTTCTTCTGGTGAGGGTTTCAGGGTGCTCCCACTCATAGCTGAAGTCAAAGGGAAGCTGGCATGTGCAAAGATCACATAGCAAGAGTGGAGGCAAGAGAGAAGAGGTAAATGCCAGACTTTTTAAACAACCAGTTCTTGTGGGAACTAATAGAGCAATAACTCACTCATTACCGCGAGGACAATGTCCAGCCATTCATGAGGAATCTGCCCATGACCCAGACAGCTCCCATTAGGCCCCACCTCCAACACTGGGGATCAAATTTCAACATGAGATTTGGAGGGGACAAACATCCAAATCACAGCATCCCACCCTTTTTTAAGCATGTTAGAATTACACGTTTTAAAAAATTGTATCCAAGACAGTTTCCTGTCTTATTTTAACCAGTAGAGTACCCTCATACCTTCTTTCCCCTTCTCCTTTTCTCCCCTCTTTGTCTTACATTGCAGCAAATTCTTCCCTCCCAAATGGGTGCGAGAGAAGGAAAAAAAGGTGAAGGGAACCATATATCATTGACCGTCACATACACGAATAGGTCAAATGAAACCAGCCCTCCTGCTATTCATCCTGCACTCCTGGTCCCTGGTCATGCAGGCATTCTTTAAGAGATAATCCTGGCTTGTCAAAAACGAAAGGACCATTTCAGGTCATTTTGTCCAAGCATCTGAAAGGTGCATGTGAGGAAACTGAGGTCTAGAGAAGGAAAAGGGATTGGCCTAAAGTTTTATAGTGGCAGAGACTGAAACTAGAATTCTAATTCCAGATTGGCCTACTTCTTTAACAGTGTGTTTTCTGTGAAAGTCAGCTTCCATTGGTATTTCAGGCAACCACCAGCAGATGGGAGTAGACCTGTTTGCTTCAGGATTGGAGATATATTCTGAGAAATGTGTCATTAGGCAATTTTGTTGTTGAGCAAACATCTGAGTATACCTACACACACCTGGACGGTATAGCCTACTACACACCTAGGCTATATGGAACAGCCTGGTGTTCCCAAACTACAAATCAGTACAGCATCTTACTGTACTGAATGCTATAGGTAATTATAACATAATGGTAAGTGTTTGTGTATCTAAACCTATATAAGCCTAAAAAAATACAATAAAAATATTGTATAAATGATAAACAATGGTACACCTGTATAGGGCACTCACAGTAAATGCACTTTGCACGACTGGAAGTTGCTCTGAGTGGATCAATGAGTGAGTAATGAGTGACTGTGAAGGCCTAGGACATTAGTGTATACTACTATAGACTTTATAAATACTGTATACTTAGGCTACATTAAATTAATTTTTTAAAGTTTATTTTTTCAATAATCAACCTTAGCTTACAGTAACATTTTTACTTTATAAATTTTAAGTTTTTTCTTTTTGACTATTTTGTAATAACACTTGGATTAAAACATAAACATATCGTACAGTTGTACAAAAATATCTTTCTTATATCCTTATTTTATAAGCATTTTTTTCTATTTTTTATAACTATTGAAACTTTTTTTGTTAGAAACTAAGACAAACACACATATTAAGCTAGATTTATGCAGGGTCAGGATCATCAATATCACTGTCTTCCACCTCCACATCTTGTCCCACTGGAAAGTCTTCAGGGGCAATAAAATGCATGAATCTGTCATCTCCTATGATAGCAATGCCATTTTCTGAAATACCTCATGAAGAAAATGACTGAGGCTGTTTTACAGCTAAGTTTCTTATAAGTAAAAGGAGTACATTCCAAAATAATAATTAAAAGCACAGTAAATACTAGGCCATTGGAATTTTTCAGCTCCATGGTAATCTTACTGGATCAACTATCTGTAGTTGACCAAAGCATCATTATGTGGTACGTGACCATACACAAGTTTCTCTGGAGCATAAGGTGATTTGGGAGGTATGACAAGAGGTTAAATTAGTTAACAGGCAAAAGAATAGGCAGCATCTGCCTAGTGAGGGCCACATATTCAGTGCACAAAAAATACTTGTTGAATGAATAAATGAGGCAAGAAAAAGAGTTTGGGACCTGATTGTCAAAACTAAGGAACTTGATTTCCATTTTAGAGTGAACAGTAAGCTTTTGAAGGATATGTTCAGCGGAGTGTCACAAAGTGGTGCATTAAGGAGAAAGTTTCCATTACTTTGTGAAGGAGAGACCAGAAAGAAGAGAGACTAGGAACAAAGTGAGCAGTTAGGAGGCGTTGCACACCTCTGCTTCTGGTGGTGACAGGCTACATAATTTAGACTAACTGTTCCAATAAGGACAACTAAAAAGATAGATGAAATATAAAAATAAATTATATTTATTAAGAGCTAAGGAGTGATGAAGCTAAAATCTAGAAAACAAGAACCAAGTTAGGAAAACCCAGCACCCAAAGCTACTTTTGCCTGAGGGCATTTGCTGAATCAAAAAAAAAAAACAAAAAGAGACTAATGGTGAACCAGAAGTAACCAGCTCTTGCATGAACTTGCAAACTAGCTACTCACGACCTGAGTAGTCCAAAGAACCTCAAGCCCAGAACTTGGACAGGGTTTACAGTGGTCCTTGACATGTACTGTCCCAAGGCATTTGTTAAAAGCAAATTGAAATACTTTCCACAGAAGGTTTTGTCTTCCTAGGCCTGAAATCAGTTTTAAAAATGTTTTTTCAATAACATATTAGTACATAATCAAAGATAAGTAGGCACACAAGGAAAAAAATACATTTTAAGTGACAGCCAGAAGAAAAAAATAGGCAACACAAGTTCACAAAGACTTCAGGTATTAGAATTATGAGACAAAGGCTCCAATCATTATGGTTTCCCATAGTTGAAATAAAAGATAAGCTTCAGGCCGGGCACGGTGGCTCACGCCTGTAATCCTAGCACTTTGGGAGGCCGAGGCAGGCAGATCACGAGGTCAGGACATTGAGACCATCCTGGCTAACATGGTGAAACCCTGTCTCTATTAAAAATTCAAAAAAATTAGCCATGCGCGGTGGTGGGCGCCTTTGTCCAAGCTACTCGGGAGACTGAGGCAGGGGAATGGCGTGAGCCTGGCAGGTGGAGCTTGCAGTGAGCCGAGATGGCGCCACTGTGCTCCAGCCTGGGTGACAGAGCAAGACTCCATTAAAAAAAAAAAAGATAAGCTTCAGAATATCTTCAGGGAAAGAAAACCAAAAAATGACATTGCAATTGTATTTTAAGGTTCCAGTTCCAAGATGACTGAATAGGAACAGCTCAAGTCTACAGCTCCCAGCGTGAGCAACACAGAAGACAGGAGATTTCTGCATTTCCAACTGAAATACTGGGTTCATCTCACTGGGGCTTGTCAGACAGTGGGTGCAGCCCACAGAGTGTGAGCCGAAGCAGGACAGGGCATCACCTCACCTGGGAAGCATAAGGGGTCGGGGAATTCCCTTTCCTAGCCAAGGGAAGCTGTGACAGGTGGTACCTGGAAAATCAGGACACTCCCACCTTAATACTGCACTTTTCCAAGGATCTTAGCAAACTGCACATCAGGAGATTATATCCCACGCCTGGCTCAGAGGGTCCCACGCCCATGGAGCCTCTCTCACTGCTAGCCCTGCAGTCTGAAATCGAACGGCAAGGCGGCAGCGAGGCTGGGGGAGGGGTGTCTGCCATTGCTGAGGCTTGAGTAGGTAAACAAAGTGGCTGGGAAGCTTGAACTGGATGGAGCCCACCACAGCTCAAGGAGGCCTGCCTGCCTCTGTAGACTCCACCTCTGGGGGCAGGGCATAGCTGAACAAGAGGCAACAGAAATTTCTGCAGACTTAAATGCCCCTGGCAGCTTTGAAGAGTAGTGCTTCTCCCAGCATGGAGTTTGAGATCTGAGAACGGACAGACTGCCTCCTCAAGTGGGTCCCTGACCCCTCAGTAGCCTAAATGGGAGACCCTACCTCCCAGTAGGGGCTGACTGACACCTCATACAGCAGGGTGCCCTTCTAAGACGAAGCTTCCAGAGGAAGGATCAGGCAGCAACATCAGGTTGCAATATTTGCTGTTCTGCAGCCTCCACTGGTGATACCCAGGCAAACAGAGTCTGGAGTGGACCTCCAGAAAACTCCAACAGACCTGCAGCTGAGGTTCCTGACTGTTAGAAGGAAAACTAACAAACAGAAAGGACATCCACACCAAAACCCCGTCTGTACTTCACCATTATCAAATACCAAAGGTAGATAAAACCACAAAAATGGGGAGAAACCAGAGCAGAAAAGCTGAAAATTCTAAAAATCAGAGCGCCTCTTCTCCTCCAAAGGAACGCAGCTCCTCGCCAGCAACGGAAGAAAGCTGGATGGAGAAATGTCTTTGACTAGTTGAGAAAAGAAGGCTTCAGACGATTGGTAATAACAAACTTCTCCAAGCTAAAGGAGGATGTTCGAACCCATCACAAGGAAGCTAAAAACCATGAAAAAAGATTAGACGAATGGCTAACTAGAATAAACAGTGTAGAGAAGTCCTTAAATGACCTGATGGAGCTGAAAACCATGGCATGAGAACTACGTGACGCATGCAGAAGCTTCAGTAGCCGATTCGATCAACTGGAAGAAAGGGTATCAGTGATTGAAGATCAAATGAATGAAATGAAGTGAGAAGAGAAGTTTAGAGTAAAAAGAAATGAACAAAGCCTCCAAGAAATATGGGACTATGTGAAAAGACCAAATCTACGTCTGATTGGTGTACCTGAAAATGACGGGGAAAATTGAACCAAGTTGGAAAACACTCTTCAGGATATTAACGAGGAGAACTTCCCCAACCTACCAAGGCAGGCCAACATTCACATTCAGGAAATACAGAGAATGCCACAAAGATACTCCTTGAGAAGAGAAACTCCAAGACAAATAATTGTCAGATTCACCAAAGTTGAAATGAAGGAAAAAATATTAAGGGCAGCCAGAGAGAAAGGTCCAGTTACCCACAAGGGGAAGCCCATCAGATTAACAGCAGATCTTTTGGCAGAGACTCTACAAGCCAAAAGAGAGTGGGGGCCAATATTCAATATTCTTAAAAGAATTTTCAACCCAGAATTTCGTATCTAGCCGAACTAAGCTTCATAAGTGAAGGAGAAATAAAATCCTTTACATACTAGCAAATGCTGAGGGATTTTGTCACCACCAGGCCTGCCTTACAAGAGCTCCTGAAGGAAGCACTAAACATGGAAAGGAATAACCAGTACCAGCCACTGCAAAAACATGCCAAATTGTAAAGACCATTGATACTAGGAAGAAACTGCATCAACTGACGAGCAAACTAACCAGCTAACATCACAATGACAGGATCAAATTCACACATAACAATATTAACCTTAAATGTAAATGGGCTAAATGCTCCAATTAAAAGACACAGACTGACAAATTGGATAAAGAGTCAAGATCCAACAGTGTGCTGAATTCAGGAGACCCATCTCACATGCAGAGACACACATAGGCTCAAAATAAAGGGATGGAGGAAGATCTACCAAGCAAATGGAAAACAAAAAAAGGCAGGGGTTGCAATCCTAGTCTCTGACAAAACAGACTTTAAACCAACAAAGATCAAAAGAGACAAAGAAGGCCACTACATAATGGTAAAGGGATCAATTCAACAGGAAGAGCTAACTATCCTAAATATATATGCACCCAATACAGGAACACCCAAATTCATAAAGCAAGTCCTTAGAGACCTACGAAGAGACTTAGACTCCCACTCAATAATAATGGGAGATTTCAACACCCCACTGTCAACATTAGACAGATCAATGAGACAGAAAGTTAACAAGGATATCCAGGAACTGAACTCAGCTCTGCACCAAGCAGACCTAATAGACATCTACAGAACTCTCCACCCCAAATCAACAGAATATACTTTCTTCTCAGCACCACATCGCACTTATTCCAAAATTGACCACATAGTTGGAAGTAAAATATTCCTAAACAAATGTAAAAGAACAGAAATTATAAAAAACTGTCTCTCAGACCACAGTGCAATCAAACTAGAACTCAGGATTAAGAAACTCACTCAAAACCACACAACTACGTGGAAACTGAACAACCTCCTCCTGAATGACTACAGGGTACATAATGAATTGATGGCAGAAATAAAGATGTTCTTTGAAACCAATTACAACAAAGATACAACCTACAAGAATCTCTGGGAGACATTTAAAGCAGTGTGTAGAGGGAAATTTATAGCACTAAATGCCCACAAGAGAAAGCAGGAAAGATCTAAAATTGACATCCTAACATCACAATTCAAAGAACTAGAGAAGCAAGAGCAAACACTTTCAAAAGCTGACAGAAGGCAAGAAAAAACTAAGATCAGAGCAGAACTGAAGGAGATAGAGACACAAAAAAAACCTTTCAAAAGCTCAATGAATCCAGGAACTGGTTTTTTGAAAAGATCAACAAAATTGATAGACCACTAGCAAGGCAAATAAAGAAGAAAAGAGAGAAGAAACAAATAGACACAATAAAAAATGATAAAGGGGATATCACCACCAATCCCACAGAAATACAAACTACCATCAGAGAATACTATAAACACCTCTATGCAAATAAACTAGAAAATCTAGAAGAAATGGATAAATTCCTGGACACATGCACCCTCCCAAGACTAAGCCAGGAAGAAGTTGAATTCCTGAATAGACCAATAACAGGCTCTGAAATTGAGGCAATAATTAATAGCCCACCAACCAAAAAACGTCCAGGACCAGAAGGATTCACAGCCAAATTCTACCAGAGGTACAAAGAGGAGCTGGTACCATTCCTTCTGAAACTATTCCAATCAATAGAAAAAGAGGGAATCCTCCCTAACTCATTTTTTGAGGCCAGCATTATCCTGATACCAAAGTCTGGCAGAGACACAACAAAAACAGAGAATTTTAGACCAATATCCCTGATGAACATTGATGCAAAAATCCTCAATAAAATATTGGCAAACCAAATCCAGCAGCACATCAAAAAGCTTATCCACCATGATCAAGTGGGCTTCATCCCTGGGATGCAAGGCTGGTTCAACATATGCAAATCAATAAATGTAATCCATCATATAAACAGAACCAAAGACAAAAACCACATGATTATCTCAATAGATGCAGAAAAGGCCTGCGAGAAAATTCAACAGCCCTTCATGCTAAAAACTCTCAATAAACTAGGTATTGATGGGACGTATCTCAAAATAATAAGAGCTATTTATGACAAACCCACAGCCAATATCATACTGAATGGGCAAAAACTGGAAGCATTCCCTTTGAAAACTGGCACAAGACAGGGATGCCCTCTCTCACCACTCCTATTCAACATAGTATTGGAAGTTCTGGCCAGGTCAATCAGGAAGGAGAAAGAAATAAAGGATATTCAATTAGGAAAAGAGGAAGTCAAATTGTCCCTGTTTGCAGATGACATGATTGCATATTTAGAAAACCCCATCATCTCAGCCCAAAATCTCCTTAAGCTGATAAGCAACTTCAGCAAACTCTCAGGTTACAAAATCAATGTGCAAAAATCACAAGCATTCCTATACACCAATAACAGGCAGAGAGCCAAACCATGAGTGAACTCCCATTCACAATTGCTTCAAAGAGAATAAAATACCTAGGAATCCAACTTAAAAGGGATGTGAAGACCTCTTTAAGGAGATCTACCAACCACTGCTCAACAAAATAAAAGAGGACACAAACAAATGGAAGGACATTCCATGCTCATGGATAGGAAGAATCACTATCATGAAAATGGTCATACTGCCCAAGGTAATTTATAGATTCAATGCCATCCCCATCAAGCTACCAATGACTTTCTTCACAGAATTGGAAAAAAACTACTTTAAAATTCATATGGAACCAAAAACAGAGCCCGCATTGCCAAGACAATCTTAAGCCAAAAGAACAAAGCTGGAGGCATCACACTACCTGACTTCAAACTATACTACAAGGCTACAGTAACCAAAAACGGCATAGTACTGGTACCAAAACAGAGATGTAGACCAATGGAACAGAACAGAGCCCTCAGAAATAATGCCACACATCTACAACCATCTGATCTTTGACAAACCTGACACAAACAAGCAATGGGGAAAGGATTCCCTATTTAATAAATGGTGCTGGGAAAACTGGCTAGCCATATGTAGAAAGCTGAAACTGGATCCCTTCCTTACACCTTATACAATAATTAATTCAAGATGAATTAAAGACTTAACTATTAGACCTAAAACCATAAAAACCCTAGAAGAAAACCTAGGCAGTACCATTCAGGACACAGGCATGGGCAAGGACTTCATGACTAAAACATCAAAAGCAATGGCAACAAAAGCCAAAATTGACAAATGGGATCTAATTAAACTAAAGAGCTTCTGCACAGCAAAAGAGACTACCATCAGAGTGAAAAGGCAACCTACACAATGGGAGAAAATTTTTACAATCTACCCATCTGACAAAGGGCTAATATCCAGAATCTACAAAGAACTTAAACAAATTTACAAGAAAACATCAAACAACCCCATTAACAAGTGGGCGAAGCATATGAACAGACACTTCTCAAAAGAAGACATTTATGCAGCCAACAGACACATGAAAAAATGCCCATCATCACTGGTCATCAGAGAAATGCAAATCAAAACCACAATGAGATACTATCTCACACCGGTTAGAATGGTTATCATTAAAAACTCAGGAAACAACAGGTGCTGGAGAGGATGTGGAGAGATAGGAACACTTTTACATTGTTGGTGGCAGTGCAAACTAGTTCAACCATTGTGAAAGACAGTGTGGCGATTCCTCAAGGATCTAGAACTAGAAATACCATTTGACCCAGCCATCCCATTACTGGGTATATACCCAAAGGATTATAAATCATGCTGCTATAAAGACACATGCATATGTATGCTTATTGCGGCAGTATTCACAATAGCAAAGACTTGGAACCAACCCAAATATCCATCAATGATAGACCGGATAAAGAAAATGTGGCACATATACACCATGGAATACTATGCAGCCATGAAAAAAGGATGGAGTTCATGTCCTTTGTAGGGACATGGATGAAGCTGGAAACCATCATTCTGAGCAAACCATCACAAGGACAGAAAACCAAACACTGCATGTTCTCACTCATAGGTGGGAATTGAACAATGAGAACACTTGGACACAGGGTGGGGAACATCACACACCAGGGCCTGTCATGGGGTGGGAGGCGGGGGGAGGGATAGCATTAGGAGATATACCTAATGTAAATGATGAGTTAATGAGTGCAGCACACCAACATGGCACATGTATACATATGTAACAAATCTGCACGTTGTGCACATGCACCCTAGAACTTAAAGTATAATAAAAAAAGTGGCATTGCAGTTTGAAAAATAATCAAATAGGATTTCTAGAACTAAAACATATAACCATAAAATAGAGAGTTTAATGGATGCATTTAATAGATGGCTAAACACAACTGTTAGATGATGATAAGTGCAATGGAGAAATATTAACTTAAGAGAGAATTACTGAAATGGAAGATAGGTTAGAATAAATCATCCAGAATTCTGCCTAGAGAAACAAATTATGTGAAAAAAGAAAAGATAGGGTAAGAAACGTAATGAATAGAATGAGAAGATCTTACATACATATAAGTCCCAGAAAGTAAAGACTCTTTTCTGAGGAAATGAGGAAGATGATAGTCAAACATTTTCCAGAACAGATGAAAAGCATTAACTAATCTACAGATTCTGCAAACCCAGTGAATCCTAGACAGGATAAATAAAAAGAAATCTGTACCTACATACATCATAGTGAAAATGCAGAATATCAGAGAGGAAGAAGGCTATTATAATGATCAAAATTAGAGGTAATGGAGTCTTAACCCTGGGCAGGAACAAAATAAATTGAGACAAGGGGATGGGCCTTTAGACTCTAGCCTTTAGAATGCCTTTTGCTCAAACTTTCCATGAAAGACTATTTTATAAAGATGTTACCCATTTCATTCCTAATAAATAAAAATACATTTGTTAACAAATGAATTTATTGGAGCAACCTGATACCTGGAAGCCATTTCCAATTGTCTTTGTCATACATGGAAGGCTATGGTTTTATATGTCCCTTATCCCATGGGACCTGAAAGAAATATTTTCCACAGGAATAAAATGCTAGTGGCAGCTGAACTTTAAGGCTAGAGAAATGTGCTTTCACGTGACTTTCTAACAGAAAGGAGAATAAAAGTGAATTTATTTGTTTGTTTTTGAGACAGGGTCTCATTCTGTTGCCCTGACTAGAGTGCAGTGGTGGGATCTCGGATCACTGCAACCTCAGCTTCCCAGGCTCAAAGCAATCCTCCCACCTCAGCCTCTGGAGTAACTGAGACTACAGGTGCATGCTACTATACCCAGCTATTAAAAAAAAAATTGTAGAGACGGAGTTTCACCACGTTGCCCAGGCTGGTCTTGAACTCCTGAGCCCAAGGAATCCTCCCGCCTCGACCTCCCACCGCGCTGGGATTACAGGTGTGAGCCACCGGGCCTGGCCAAAAGTGAATCTTTATAGGAATTCTTCCTTCTGCTTACCTGCTTACTGTGCAACTTTCACTCTGCTTCTAAGGAAAAGTATGTAAAATGAACAATTTCATAGTTTCCAGGGAGTCTTATTACAACCTTCAAGGTGGACCATATGTACTCACTTATTGGGCTATCTAAGCTTGGCTGGCATAGAATTCCTGCAGGGGGGTTCATGTTTGTAATAGATCTAAAAATGCAATGGCCTGTCTTTGGAAGGAGTCAGATTTTTACTTGTTAATAGAGCTGTTCATACAGAGATTGAATGGTCACTTGTTAGGGATATGATAAAGAAAACTGTGCTCCATATGGGATGTTATTTCAGAGATTCTGTGGTCCCCTGAATGTCTAAAAATTTCTGACAATTTAAGCCAAAAGCAGCTGTCTGTGAATCCTTCTAAGAAGAATTTAAACTGTTTTTGCTCAAAATATGTCCAGCATTTATTCTATTTGAGAGACAAATATCTTATATAGCCATAAAGACCCCCATCACCATCACAGAAAACTGTTTCTTCAAGAAAAGATATTGGGAGGGCAGGAAAGCCTTCTCTGTTGCCTAGTGCCAACCCAACCAGAAAGAAGTTCAACAGTGAAGGCATTAACCTGCTTTCATCTGTGGTATGCAATATGTCACCAACAATTTTGATCAAGTGTCACAAAGGGAGGGATAGCTGGGTTTTAATTCTGATTTTGCAGCGTTTCTCTTTACTTTTGCCAGGCATTCACAATTTGTGTAGGCCACAGCTCTCTCCCAAAGCCTGTGAAAGCCTACATTTTAGTATCTGTAGCATCTTTTAGAATTATGTTCCTCCGTTACTACGGAAGAGCAGGATCAGGGAAAATGTTCCATTACTCTAAGATTTATCCCAGGGACTTGCTGTAGCATAATATACTAAAAAGGGCATTTGACTACAAATATGAAGATCAGAGATAGCTTCTGAATCTGTTTTCTTATCTGAAATATGGAGGTGATAATAATGCCTGTTTGTTAACAGAGCAGCCCTAACAGTAGGGAATCCCTATCTGTCAAAGCTTCTGAGCTCTGTGATTTCACTTCCCTCATCCTGGTCAGGTTTCTCATAATCTCCATCTGGAAGAGTTGCTGTCACTATCACTTATAGCCACCAGGGGTCCTCAGCAATCCTGATCTAATCGTGAAATGAGCCTTTTTATTTATCTAATTGTTTTCCTGAATCTGGGTAAGCCAGGCTGATATTTTCAAAAGGAACCTTCTTCAGAAGCTCAGGGATAAGCACAAGGAACAGAGACCATTGTGAGCAAGGAGATTTTAGTGCACAAATAGATGGCTTTGTGCTTCTACATTTGGGTCTTAGCTGCCACCAGCTACTCTGCCCTTCAGTGGGGCTGTTGATGGCTGCCCTCTGGGCACCCCTGCCCCTGCTCCTGCACCCAGAGGATGAGAAACAAGAGTCCTATACAAAAGGTGAATAGTAGCCCCTGCAGTTTTGTAGGGTGCAGTCTGTGTGGCCATATGTGTTGCCTTTGGTGAGAAGATCTCCTTTCTAACGTGACTCTCTTCTGAGTGTCAGAGACCTGCATTAGTCTTGCACCGGCCCTCAATTGTTATAGGATCCATGTCAGGCCCCTCAGTTCCTAATTATTATACCCTTGCATTCTTAGCCAAGTTCTCTCTGCTCATGTTAAATTTTGACCAAAGGCTTTCCTCTTATATAGACTTATTGTATCAATATAGTGTACATTTGTGGTAATAGAAATAATTCATAACAAGGCACTTAATCCTGTCAGTAACTCTAGTCTCTACTTCTCAACACTGCTCCAAAACATCCCTTTACTCCATTATCTCTCACTGTGAGTAGTGCTCATAATGTATTCCAGATGCACCTCATATTCCACAGTCCCCTTTCAATTAATTGGGATCATGTGACTAGTTATAGACAATGAAATGCAAACATAAGTGACCTATACCATTTCCAGGATGAGATATTTGAGACCCAGTGCATGATCATAAGATCTCTCTTTTTTGCTCTTGTAACTCTTTGCCAGATGTTGAGATGATAACATCAAAGATGGAGGGAACCTAGATCCCTGAGCCGTCAGATGAAAAAGAGAGCTGCAGACAGGCATTTGAACTCATGTGAGCTGGAAATCAAGCTTTGTATATGTATGTTAAGCTGTTTAGATATGAAGATTTATTTATTATTTTATCAAAGCCTACCCTGTCTTAACAAAGACACTCTCTCTCTTGCACTCCTGTCAACACCTGTACCATTATTAGAAAAGTCTATGAACGACTCTTCCTTCATGTTTTATAGGTAGCTTGAATCCAAAATAACCCAGTCTTGGGCCAGGTGCAGTGGCTTGTGTCTGTAATCCCAGCACTTTGAGAGGCTGAGGCAGAAGGATTGTTTGAGGCCAGGAGTTCAAGACCATCCTGCATAACATATTGAGACCCCATCTCTACTAAAAAATTTAAAAATTAGACATATAAAAATATGTGCCAGTCTTACCCTAGTCCCCAAATATCTCTTCTTTTAGGCTGTTCTCAATCTTAGTGAATGGATATTCAGTTGTGACCTGATTGGTGACCTAGAAGTCATCTATGTCATTTCCTTTTATCTCTCCACTCTCCTATCCAGGAAGTCATCATTCATTCATTCATTCATCAAATGGATATTGAATGTCTATTACGTACAAGATACTTTTAGGAAAACTGGGACATAATAATGGAAAAAAACAAGAAACAGTCAAAAATCTTTGTCATCATGGAACTTACATTCTAGGAAGGGAAGGTAGACAACACACAAGCAAAATAAGTAAAATACCTAGTCTATTAGTTAATGATAAATGCAACAGAGAAAAATAAAGTATAGAAGGAGGATAGAGAGCACTGCATGGGGGGCTGATTGGAGGGTGAAGATGCTATTTGAATAAAGTGATCAGAGAAGACCTCAATATGAAGATAGCATTTGAGCAGAGACTTGAAGGAGATGAGGATGCCAGTCATGTAGACATCTGGGGGAAAAGCATTCTAGGAGAGGAGACAACAAAGGGAAAGCCCTGAAGGTGGAAGTGTGTTTGCTGTGTTCAAAAAAGAGCAAGAAGGCCCGTGAGGCTAGAACAGAATGAGTGAGGCAGGAGGAATAGGAGATGATATCAGAATGGAACTGGAATGGTGACTTTCACATGAAGTGAGATGTAAGCCAACGGCAGGTTTTAGACAGAGGAGTGACATGGTCACACTTATGCTTTAGAGCGTTCACTCTGACCACTGCAAGGGGCAAGGACAGAAGTAGGAAGACCAGTTAGGAAGCTACTGCAATAACTCAAATGACAGATGATGGGCTCAGACCAGAGTTGTAGCAGTGGAAGTGGTAAACAAAGTGGTCAGATTTTGGTAATATTTTTAAGATAAAGCCAAAGGACTCCCTGACAGATTAGATGTAGGATGTAAAAAAAAGAGAGGAGGCAAAACAAAAGAAAAGACTCCAGGACTTTAGGTTTGATTAGGTGTGATAATGGACTTGCCATTTACTGAGTTGGGGAAGACTCTGGAATAAAGAAGTTAAGGTGGGCGTAAAGCCAAGGACTTGGTGTTTTGTTTTTTATTGTGGTAAAATACACGTAGCATAAAACTTACCATTTTACCCATTTATAAGTATATAGTTAAGTGGCATTACATATAGTCACATTGTTTAATGCACTTATTCTCCTCTCTCCCAGCCCCTGGTAACCCCCATTCTACTTAATGTCTCTAAGAATTTGACTATTTTAGGTACATCATACAAGTGAAATCATACAATATTTGTTTTTTGTGTCTGGCTTATTTCACTTAGCATAATGTCTTCAAGGTTCATCCATGTTGTAGCATGTGTCAGAATTTCACTCCTTTTTAAAGGCTGGATAATATTCACACACACACACTATATATATATATATATATATATATATATATAGTGTGTGTGTGTATATATATATATACACACACACACATATATACACATATATATGTGCTACTATAAACATTGATATACAAATATCTGTTTGAGTCCCTGCTTTCAATTATTTTGAGTACATACCCTGAAGTGGAATTGTTGGATTACATGTTTATTCTATGTTTAGTTTTTTTGAGAAAAAGACATACAGTTTTCCACAGTAGCTGCACCATTTTACATTCACACCATGAATGTACAAAGGTTCTAATTTCTCCCTATGCTCACCAGCACTTGTTATTTTCTCTTTGTTTTTTTTTTTCTGTTCTGTTT
The DNA here is from genome assembly GCF_000001405.40 of Homo sapiens. Lineage (NCBI taxonomy): Eukaryota > Metazoa > Chordata > Mammalia > Primates > Hominidae > Homo > Homo sapiens. The sequence continues at coordinate 106,418,606 of NC_000023.11, forward strand.
TGTTGATAATAGCCATCCCGATGGGTGTAGAATGATATTTCATTGTGGTTTTGACTTTAATGTCCCTAATTATTAGTGATACTGAGTATCTTTTCATGTGCTTATTGATCATTTCTGTATCTCCTTGGGAGAAATGTCTATCAAAATCCTTTGCCCAGTTTTTAATTGTTATTGTTGTTGTTGTTGTTGTTTTGTGTTGTAGGAGTACTTATGTAATCTGGAATTTTTTTCTTCAACTTTTATTTTAGATATAAGGGGTACACGTGCAGGGTTGCTACATGAGTATGTTGCACTTGGGTAGGGAGCATAGTACCCAATAGGTAGTTTTTTGACCCATGCCCCACTCCCTTCCTTTCCCCTTTAGTAGTTCCCAGTGTCTATTTTTCCCATATTTATGTCCTCTTGGGCTTAAGGTTTAGCTCCCACTTATAAGTGAAAACATGAAATATTTGGTTTTCTGTTCCTGCATTAATTTGCTTAGAATTATGTCCTCCAGTTCCATCCATGTTGCTGCAAAGGACATAATTTCACTCTTTTTTATGGCTGCATAGTATTCCATAGTGTACGTGTCCCACATTTCCTGATGAGGACCTAGGTTTATTCCATATCTTAGTTATTGTGAATAGCATGGTGATGAACATATGAGTGCATGTGTCTTTGATGTAATGATCTGTTTTCCTTTGGGTATATACTCAGCTATGGGTACAATCCAGATATTAACCCCTTATCAGACATATGATTTGCAAATATTTTCTTCCATTCTTTGTTTTTTGCCTTTTCACTTTTCATAGTGCCCTTTGATGCATAAAAGTTTTAAATTTTGATGAACTCTAATTTATCTATTTTTTTCATTTATTGGCAGTGTTTTTGGTGCCATATCTAAGAAATCATTGTTAATTCAAATGTCATAAAATTTTTCCCTTACTTTTTTCTATAAGTCTTATTGCATTTAGGTATTTGATCCATTTTTAATATGGTGTAATGTAAGAATTTAGTTTTGGACATTTTACATTAGTTTTGATTATTAGACATTTAAGTGTTGATGTTAGACAGGAATTTGAATATATGATATCTTTCTTTTCTGATCAGAACATTCCTAGTCTCCCTATGAGAGCCTAGCTGTTATGAATCATCTCTGAAACTAAGAGAGGAGAAAAATTCCAGAAGGTGGAGCTCATAGAAGATAAAGACTTGGAAGTGGCGATCAGATTTGTTGATTAGAAAGCTCATTGTTGAGCACTGAAAGAGTAGAAAGCTGAGTGTCCCATATTGAGGAGTGAAAAGAGGGTAGAGACAGGCACTCTCTCTAAAGGATTTACTATGTGGCCTTCTTTGCCTTTTATTTTGATAGTCTTGTCTATCAAATTCTCAAGCATCTGTCAAGTGTTTTGGTGATAAAAATGATCGAGAAGATTTGTGTCTCCAACTGTACCTCAAGGAGACCACCCTCTTCCCAGGAAAGGATATTATAACTCTGGCAGTGAGTGGGTTTTACAGACAGATTTTGACTTAGACTAAGTTTTAATCAAGGGAGCATCAGAGTCAGATAGGTTTAGGAGTTCTGCCTTCCACCAGTTGTGTGACCTTGGACAAGTCACATTCCCTGATCCTTAGTTTCCTCATCTGTTAAATTCAATGTTGTGAATATTAAGTGAGATAAACTTAGTAAAGCAACCAGAGTAGTTCCTGGCATAGTAATTGTTAAGAAAGGGTTGATGATAAAAGAGAAATAATACTCAGGACAAGCCAAAGATGGAATGAGGTCCCCATCAATGGAAATGCTCAAGAACAGACTACATGACTACTTGGTGGGAACTTTATAGAGAGGATTCTAATGGCTTTACCAGCTGAACGTTGAAGTTCCTTCTAATCTTCAATTTTATAGTGCTGAGAATCCCAAGCAATAGCAATGCAGACATAAAAGTTGTCTCTGCTAATAATGGAGACCTCATGCTCAAATAAGGTCTTTTGGGAGCAACTGGTCTAAGGGTGAGTGTACATGCTCTTCAGGGGACTATGTGTGTGGGGTGGGGAGGAAGGAACATGTGTAGTATCTCAGGTTCAAGAGCACACTGCCAGCTGTGCTGTCTGCTTCTGCCACACGTGGCACCCTGCCTCAGCACTACATGTTCTTCCCATAATCAAATAAACACCCAAAGAGACTGTATGTTCACTTTACTCCTTGACTCAGCCAACTGGGGCTTCCCATACTAATTTCTCATTTACTCTTTCATGGTTTTATCATAATTGACTCCCACTTGGGGAGAAGACTTTAGAAGTTGATGCAGTGAGAAAGAGTGTTTATTAATTATCTAAGCTTTCATGCGTGGCTTACAAAATCTTTTTCAGTTTGTCCTCCAGGTCTTCCTTCATGATGCTACTTCCCACTATGCCTTTATTACACCACTGCTCCTGATCCTAGTTCAAGCCTTCATCCCTGACCTAGACTTTTCCAATAGTCTTCTAATTGCTTTTGTTTTCTCCTCTGATGTTCACTCCCTCTTTAATCCTGTCTTTGTCCAAGCCATTTACTAACTGACTCCTACCTACCCTTCTAGCTCTCTCCTCAATGCCCTTCCTGTCATACACACTCAGCTTCAACATAATGGAGCCACTGGCCTTTCTCTGAGCAACCCCTTCTTACAGTTATTCACTTTTCATTCTTCTGACAAAATTGCATCTTTCTTTTAAAGCCAAGACCATATACCTCTCTCCCCAAACCCACCTGTGAGGGCTGTAACTGAACGTGCACTGTGTGGTTCTCTTTGTGCCTGCATCACATACTACCTTTCATTAGAGTTCTGTGTATTTATGTCTCATTTCCTCTAAAAGCTTGGAAGCTTAATTTCTCTCATCAGTAGCTGCATTCTCTCCATATTCTTTCTCGTTTGAAAGACAAACTATTTTTGCTCACAGTAATTTATCCCTTGAATCCTTACCCTCATTTCACAAATAAACAAAGAAATCCAAATCAGGTTGTATGTCAGTTATAATGAAAAGTAACTTAATGCCTGACATCCTGAAAGCACAAGTTACAGAAGGCATCTTAGGTACTAACTGACAATGCAGAAGTTTGAATGAAAAAAAAATCAGACTACAATTGATCAATTCCACTGAATGTTGCCTAGGTGTTCCTAATTAACAAGGAGCAGCATGTGCTCCCCTGGTGTCCCTTTTCCTTTTTCAGAAATGTCGAACCCAGTGGGGAGGGTCGCTTAAACTATTTATTTGACTCATTTATTAGCTTGTGAGTGTGAATAACTTAAGCTTTAGGCTTGTACTTAGGCATTATGGTTGTTTTTTTTTTTTAAAGAAATTAGCCATTCTCTAGTTTGCTCTTCAGCATGTGGGCATACTGCATCTATTTAACCCTTGAATGTATAGGATGGGCTAGCATAGAAACCAGAGGTGGGTATAAAACATTTATTTAGGCACTATCAATTTCCACAAAATGAGATGACAAAAACTCATCTTAGCTCCTCTGACGGCTCCCGTGTTCCTGATGCTGTTTATGAAAACATTGCTTATTACAGTGAATTGGTTTCCTTAGACTTGTTTTCTCTTACATGGAGCCTATTGGGTTGAGATGGAGTATAAAGGGTCAATATGCCTTAATGACAAACAGTGACTATGGCTATGTTTGCTAACACTGACATGACGAAAGTGGGGAAAAGGCATTGGACATTTGGAACTGTGTGCACACATATTCAAGAGCATAAACCTATTCCAAAAGCCATTAGGTGCAGGAAAGCTTTGCTGTTAACCTATAGATCCTATTTAGGAGTCGCTTATGGAAATGAAGTCAGAGTGACCCTTCTTGTGTTCCATTAAATGTAAACACATTAAGAGAGCTTCTTTTCACCAAAATGCAATATTGTGGCACTCTGTTTATGCATAACTTCACTTCAGATTTATTAAAATAAATAGAAATGCTTTTTTCAGCTTGAGGATCATGTCGGAAGGAAACTTAATTTGCGAAAGGTACTCTCTACAAGAGCTCACTGGTCAGAAAATGATCATCCTACTCCAGATGACGCATAACAATAATTTAATCCTCACAGCAACCCTGTAAGGTAGGTACTATTATTCTTCCCATTTTTCATCCAGAAGGGGAGAGACTGTAGTAGAGGTCAGAGGTTAGACCCAGAGGTCTGAAGTCAGACTGCCTGGGTTTGAATCTCAGTTCTGTCACTCACTAGTTGTATAATCTTAAGCAAGTACCTAACTTCTATATGCCTCAGTTTCCTCATCACTAAATTGAGATAATAATATAACTTCCTTATATGGCAAAATGAGTTAATATGCAGAAACACCTAAAACTATTGCCAAGCATATGGTCAGTCCTCAAAAAAATGGAAGACCTTCTTTTTCTTCTTCTGGAATTAGGTGACCTTTTGCTGGCATGTCAATAGGACAAGTGGAAAGGAAAAATGTGGAATCTTATCCATAGTTCCTGAGATGAGCTATGTGTTTCTGACTGGGGCATGAGGGAGCACGGGCAGTTGTACAGAAGGATTGGAGAATGCAATCTAGAGAGAGTTAGTGTCTGGAATGTGTCCCAAATGTTTCTGACTGAGCCCCAATCTCCTGGAGTCCAGGAGATGAGAAAAGGCCTTTCCCTATACAACAAGTCCCTAGGAAGATTCTTGAACTCCAAGGAATATATAAACTGCTAAGCTCAATTAATCACAATGAATTTAATTTTAAACTACTACTTTACCCTCTTAATTTAGAAGTGACAATTTACAAAGTGACTAACTGCTCATCATAGTTTTTCCTTGGGAGACCTGAAGCACAGTTGATAGCTAACTTAGTAGGGGAGTCAAAAATCTGAGTCACATGGGATCACCTTGTAATCTTACCTCGTAATTTCTGATTGTACTTGATGTTTTACTGTCACTTAATTTAAATGTTTCAAATATAGTTCAAAGCTCTCAATCCATATTGAACTAACTGGTGTCTCCCCTTTATTATTCAGTCACTCTCTCGGGTAGTTTCTATAGCCCCAGCTTCAGCATTTGTACCTTCCTGTCAGCAACTTTGTTTCAGATATTCATGTGGTCACAGGCTGATTCACAATGGAGCACAGAACAAAATACAGAATTTCTTCATGTTTTCAATTTTCTATAATGAAGGATAAGGGCACTTACAACAATCACCCCCATGGTGAATAAAGGAGAAATTTAGCTGAACATAATGTGCGTTGGTTTGAGTAAGGCTCAATCTTATACTTCTCATTTAAAATTGGATTCCAGTTTCTGACCGCCTGAAGGATTTCACAATTGCATGCTTGAATATGTGGCTCCATCCAGCAACACTGGCAATAAGCAAGGAACCATAAGGATCCTTAGTACAGAGAAACTGGCCAGGCCTCTGAGCAGGTAGACTCAAGGCAATCCAATATTCTTTCACTCATTCTTGTAAACAATATTTATTGAAAGAGCATGATTTGCTAGGCACTTTGCCATGCACAGCCATATACACATTCTGCCCTCTAGGGATGTGATAATTTGGTACAAATACAATGAAATAAGTGATTCCAATACAGTATGGTCCTGTGATATACATAAGAGAGATTCCTAAACCAGACTTGACAGTTTGCAAATAAAATTGGGTGATTGGAGCAGGGTTGGAAAAAGTACTAATCAGGCTTCTATATATTTTCCTCAACCCTGCCCAAATCTATAAGCAAGTCCTATTTCAAGGCAAAATATAAATCTAACCAATTCTCAGCATCTTTGCCTTTTTCACGCTAGTCCAGACCACCATCGTCTGTCAGGTGGACTACTACAATAGCCTCTTAACTGGCCTTCCCACACATTTTTTTTCTCATAGCAAATATCACAGATTAGCTCACTTGATTCCATTCCAGCCCCATTTATTGCATGGCTTACTGCACGATAGAGGTTGAAAAGCGACTACACTTCCTGAACTTTTATCTTCATGGCCTGGATTTCACAGATGACTTGGCCTCTGTCAAGTGGACACACCTGCATGAAATTTGGAAGGGGAAGTGAATGAAAGTTCATGCTTCTTCTGTGGTTTCTGGGTTTTGCTAAAGAGCATGATCTTGGAAGACTTCTTGGAAGCTTTCTTCTGCAGCAGCAATAATAAAGGTATTTGTTCCCGGTTTTGTGGGTATCAAAAAGCATGGCATGAAACACCCAGTTTGTTTATATAGATCGAGGATGAGGCACTGTGGTCTTGGAGCTGCAGTTTGTAATGATTTCAGCAGAAGCAGTGTGGTCCTAGAGCCTGCTATTTGGAGTAATGGCTTTTTCACTCTCCACCCTCCTGATTATACCAGTCTTCTGGTGTTGTTCAGAGAATAGTTCTGGAAATTCAACCTAGTCTTTTATTCTGGCTTTTTAAAACATCTTTGTAAGTACCTAATTCCCCCTTCCTGCTTAAATGTATTAAAGTGGTTTCTGCTATCTGTACCAGTACTCTGCATGCTACTGTTGACACTGAAGGTAAAGGAAATCTTTAAAAATGAATACCTGATACTATAACCTCTTTTCTTGAAACATTCCAATGGCTTCTCCCTGCTACTAATAATAAAAGCCAAACCGATAATTTCCTTCCACTCTACCCTGGCTCACTTCACTGAAGCTCTACTTGCCTTCTTGCTGTTTCTCAAACACACCAAGGACACTTCTGCCTCAGGTGTTCATACTGTTCCCATCACCTGGAATACTCTTTCTCTAGATGTTGCATGGTTCAAATTTTCACTTAATTCTAGTCATCTCCTTCTAATCTAAAGTAGCCCAACATCACTCTCTATGACAGTACCCTGTTTATTTTCTGCAGAGCATCCATCATTCTGAGACCATCATGTTTATGTCCTTTATTTGGTACATCATCTGCCTCTCTCTGGTAGAATATTAGCTATCAAAGGGTATGGACCTTGCTGTAATTTTTAGTGGATTTATGGGAAAAAAGCAGCAACACATACAAATTGAGAAAATACTGAGGACTTCAGGAGGAGGAAGAAATAGAAGATACTAGTGATTTTTGAGTGCTGCTGGGGTGTTCAGGGTATTTGGGAAAGCAAAGCACCAAAGACTGAAAATTCCAATTTCCCAAGAAAGGTAGTACTTTTAAAGAACGGTCTTGCAATTATGGGATAGAGATGATATATGCAAGCAATGTGAAGAACATCCAGACTTGTCTGCAGTGGGTGTTATTATTTCATTGGCATCCAACTAGAAAGCTAGTTTATGATCTGTACTGCAGCCTAGTTGAGATTTTTCTTCCACAAAATCATGTTCTTGGTGCAGTCTGGTCATTTGGGGAGTAATAAAACAGGATGTTGACGTTCAGATCACTTGAGGGGACAAAACTGCACTTTGCAAGTATCTCCTGGGTATTCAGCCTAACACTATGCATTCTGGGGTGGGAGTAAAAAGAGAAAGATTCAACCACTACCTGCAAAGAGGGAGGAAAGATGAAATACTCAGCAATAGGGTCAGGGAGCTGACTAAGAAAGGACCACCCTGTAGGAATCGGTTGGGATGGATGCTCTGGAGATGGAAGAGAGAAGAACAGAGAATTAGAAACCATGGCATCAGTGAACAGGAGACCTTGAGGTGCTTTGGAACTAGGAGATAATTCAAATCTAGTTTGGGTTTGAATTGATCAGACATTTTTATTCATAAAGCCAAAGTCAAAGGAAGTATTAGGCACTGCAGTGTTGATTTCCCATGTCCCTGGATCACCTTCCTCAAAATCTCCAGGTATACTTTTTCAAAAATAAGATTTCCTCCACTTGCCACATCCTCTCCTTGGGATAACTCCAAAGATTCTGCAATTTAAAATCTTCCTTTGAAATAATTTTTAGGATGCAAAGATTTGAGAGACACTAGTATTGACCATAGATAATTTGTCAAGTGAAAAAATTCTGGAACGGGTCTGCTGTCACAAATGAAAGCATACCTTCTCATTCTTTGAAATGCAGAATCAAGCTGATTCGAGTGCAGTGGTGTTTACAACTAATTGGTCAGAACCAGTTACAGATTTCCTTATTCCTTCTCCACTCCCACTGCTTCACTTGATTGGCCTTAAAAAATAAAAATAAAAAATAAAAGTTAGAGTCCATTGCAAAACAGGGGAATCCTGTCAGACTATCTTCTCTTCAGACAGATTTAAACATGGTATGCAACATCCTTTTCTGTACTCCAATATTCCTATCCCCACCAAAACATACATACATGCTCTAATGTATGAAGGGAAGTGTTATTCTCTAACACCAACATGATGACGGGGTTCCATTGTGGGAGTATGACATTATTGAGTGATATTTAAGCTGGTTGTGAAATATAACACATCTATAGAAAAGTGCATAAAAAGAATATATTATAAGGAATAAATTATAATGTGAGCATTCCAGTAACCACTACTTGAGTCAAATAAAGCATGACCAGTCCCCCCAAAAGTACCCCCCCCATGCTCTTTCCTTACACATTCCTGGTTGTTTTATATATTTTATCATCTATTTATTTATTTATTTATAAAGTTTTTCAACTTTATAAAAATGGCCTTATATAGTATATATTCTTGTGTGTCTGGGGTTTATTTTTCTTTGATGTTATGTTAACAAGATGCATCCAACCTGTATATAGCCAAGTTTGTTCATTTTATTTTCTGTATGATATTCCATTTATGGATATATCACTATTTATATAAATATTCAACTAGTGTTGAAATTTTGGTTGTGTCCAGTTTGAGACTACTATAAGCAATTCACCTCTTGGCCAGGTCTTCTGGCTTATGTGTGCATTGGGTTTTCTAGGCTAAGTGCTTAGCAGTGGTGTTGCTAGGTCTCAGGGTAAATATATTTTAAACTTTAAAGAATACTGGCATATAATGTTTTTATTCAATTCTAAATATTTCTTAGTTTCCTTCAACTCAGAGGTTAGTCAGTAATATGCTATTTTGTTCCCAAACATTTGGGTTTCAGAGCCATCTTTGTGTTAACTGTGGATAAGCATTATGATGAGAGAGCCTAGATTTTACAATATCAATCATTCAGAGATTATTGTGGCCTCTGTTTTCCTAATTCATAGCATATTTCTGTAAATGGTGCTCAAAAGAATTTGTATTCTGTTTTTTGGGTGTAGAGTTTTATATTATCTAATGGCCCAATTTTATTATTGTGTTTAAGCCTTTTATATTGCTGCTTATTTTTGTTTGCTTGAACTTTCAGGTTCTGAGAGTGGTGGGTCAAAATAATCAGCTACAAATGTTAATGTGTCTATTACTTCCTACAGTCTTAACATTTGTTGTTACCTAATAACATAGTTTAAAAATGCAGGACTGAAAGTTGGCATAACCATGAAGACAAATAAACAATCATAGTTGAATAACATACCTCTCTCAGAAATTGATAGAACAAGCAGGGAAAAAAAATCAGTAAGTATATAGCAGTATTGAAAAAATAATTAATGAACTTGACCTAATGGACATATGGATCTATGTGCAGCTATACCTTTATGTACTTATATATCTATATCTATCTACATCAGCATATACCAAGCAAATGGAAAGTACAATTTTTTCCAGACACATATATAACATTTATAAAAATTGACTGTATCATGTTCAGTCAAAAATTGCAAAAGATTGAAACCACCCTGATCATATTCTCTGACCATAAGCAAATTAAGCTAAGAATTGACAACAAAATATTAACTAGAAAAAATCTTATTTTGTAAATAAAGAGTCAATTTAAAAGACTTCATGGATAAAGAGGGAATCATAATGGGGATTTGAAAACAGTTTGAACTGCAAAATAATGAAAATACCAAATAACAAAATTTGTGAGATTCAATTAAAGTAGAAATCAGAAGAAAGAGATGAAAACCTGAAAGTTAATTATTCTTCCCAAGTAGTTAGAAAAAGAACAACAATAGTGACTCAAGAAAATAATTAGAAAATACTATTACAACTAAATTTACAGTGGCATTAAAAATATAAAGTACATGGAAATAAATCTCATATAAAATGTACAAGACCGCCACAAAGAAAATTATATAACTTTATAAAACATGACAGAAATAAATGAGGATATGCCAGATTCATAGTTTGAAAAACTCAATATCTTAAATATGTTAACACTCCTGCAATTTATTAGTAATTCTATGTAACCGCAATCAAATTCTAACAAGTCTTATTTTGTGGAATTTGTCAATCTAACTCTAAAATTTATCTGGAAAATCAAAGGATCATAAATAGTCAAGATACTCCTAAAGAAGAAGATGGTGGAAAGATTTACTCTACCAAAAATTTTCTCATTATAAGACTATAATAATTAAGACAAATTAAAATAAATACATCAACAGAACAGGATAGGGAACCGAGGAACATCTCCATTCCAACTTTTTCTCTGATTATTCCCTTCATCTTCAGGTCATAACCGCAACCTGGCTATTCACTGAGAATATAACTTACACTGAAGTCCTCTTCAGTGGAGACTTTGTTCTCTCATACAACATGTACCTTAAGGCCAAAAGAGATAAGGGTTTTTGTCACTCCCATTTTGCTTCCAGACCTTTCCTCATTATTCTTTTAAATAACTCCTGTCATTATGAGGCTTATACCATACTCCATTATGTTATTTTCCATTGATCATAGCCATCCACTGGTCTTCCTGTCTTACACATCTTACCATCCTCCAGATGATTCCAACATCCCCATCAACTGCTCAACAATTTGATCTTCTCATTTCCAGTGAAACAATGTTAGCCACACCTTCCCACAGACATACTCTCAATTTATTCTTCATCCTAAACTACTCTAAATTAAAATAACCCTGTCGTGAACCAGTCTCCTAGCCATGCTCCTCTCTCATTCTTTATTCGCCCTACATATGTGATTTTTAAAGATCTCATTGAGACCTCCTGTTCCTTGACCTCTCTATTTTCTTCCCATTTGCTCTCTCTTCTCCCTCTCTCTTCTCTCACCATTGTTTGGTTTGAGGGCATTTTCATCTTTACCTTCTTTTCCTTTTCACATTCAGGCTTACTAAACTGTCAAGACATCTGCTACCACTTATTCCTCTATAGCTTTAACACCTCCTGTGTTCCCATATCCAGTGATGGCTGACGTCCAATTGCTAATTCTCAATTCTATATACTTCTCAATATGTCTTCTATCACTACCTTAGTTTAGGCCTTCAGCATCTCACTTAAATTACAGCTATAATCTGTATTTCATTCTTTCCCCTCTCTGATTCTTTCTCCACATTGCTTCCAGAGTGGCATTGCTAAAACACAACTCAATTCCAAAATTGGAGCCATTTAATGCCTTCTTGTAACCTTGAGGGTGAAGGCTAAACTACTCAGTTTCCAGTTGATCTCCTGCAGCTGAGGCCCCTGCCTGCCTCTTTACCCTTAACTCCCACTACTCTGCCTCATAAAATCCTTTGCTGCAGTCACACCAAAACATTGGCAGTACTCCAGAAATACTCTTTCATGCCTTTACGACTTTCTTTGAATGTACTCTTCCTTCTGCCTAGCGGTCCCTCTTCCATGTCATTATATTTCTCTCTCTCTAAGTATCTCCTTGTCTTTCAAAATCCAGCTTACCTAAAACTCCTGTGTGCTTACTTTGCAATATTATTGCACTTATCCACCTGAACTGTGGTCATTGCTTTGCTAGCCAATAGACTTTGAATTAGTCACTAGACTTTTTGATAGCCACTAGACCTTAAGCATCTTTGAGGTCAGAGACCACGTCATTTTCTTCGCATAGCTGGCTGCAAGATCAAAACCAAGTACAGGGTAGGTGCCCTTTTAGGAAACTTTTATTGGTTGAGTGAAGAAATGAACAAATTTCTCACCTCTCTTGAACTTCATGGTTCTAATGATACCTCAGGAAGAATAATAAATTGTTTTCCAACATATAGATAATTTATTTAGCAAGACAAACCTAAATGCAGTGTAAAATACTCTTATTTTATACTTCAAATTAGTTGTGAGTTGACTAGATTGCTGCAAATGCTGCCAACAGATCTATCAGCTAGATATAGCTGGGCAAGAGACTACCTCAGAATGAATCCTTAAGTCATCAATGAGTCTTCAGGGCACATAGAGCAAATCTGAATCTAACATGAAAATTACTCTTGAAAGTATGACAAGTTAGGATACATGATGACAAGTTTTAGGGGAACTTGTTCTGTTTGGGATCTAAGCAAGTCAACTCCCCTGAGATTTAGAGTATAACACTGAATAATACATAGACAAAGTAGCATCAATATCATTGACTTTCCTCAGCTATAGAAGGAAGTATCCCAAAGCCCAGCCCTACTGAAAGACAAAGTTGTTAGCCCTAGTGCATCTGCAAGGAGACTTGCAAGGCAATTTATAAGTTTAAATGTCAGGGAAAAGTGTTTTAAAGAAGTGCAGTCACCTGTGGTCATTACTTTTATTTACATAGACCCAGAATACAGAGCAAAGACAGACTATGGCAAAAGGTGGCAACCTTTCCTTAGGGCCTTTTTTCCAAATGTTTTTTTCAGTCTTTCCCCCAAATTATTGAGTTAGAGGCAGTAGCTCCTTTTGTATGGAGTGCAAATAATATCTGAAAGAAGACACTTTAAGAAGCCTCTTCCTGCCTTTTGCTCTCAATTCAAACCCGGTTCAGGCTGGAGACTCCCTACTTAAAACCTCGCAGATCTCTGGGCAGCTCTGCTGGGTCTAAGACCAAGGCCATAGAATATGGAGTAAATAGCTTCTGTTCTGCTCCCTCACCATAGCCTCCTCCAGTTCATCCTGATGGACACTGAGGACAGCAGGGCAGGACAGCAACAGGAGAAGACCAGAGAATCCAGTGAAGACCCAAAGGGAGAACCTGCCCAGAAACTAGTTAGCTAAGGCCAACTCTGGCAGGACAGTCAGAAAAAAGCCAATCTCTCCACTTCCCAAGGGCCCCTTCCTCCTCCAGCCCCTTCAGATGCCCATATCTCAAGCCTGGATGGAAGGAGCAGACCTGATGGATAGGGATCAGGATTGAAATCTGAAAAACATTAGGTTCCAAGAGCTAGGAATTCCTGGAATCAAAAATGGGAAGTGCTTCTGAGCTCAGATGGTTTTGTGGTAGGGAAAGCTTAGAGAGGAGCAGTCAGAGTCTTGAATGTACTGTTTACTGTTACATCTCCAGCATTAACAATGGTGCCTGGCACATAGTACGAGCACAGCAAAGTAAATAATTATTGACTAAATGACTGCATTGGCACATAATGAAAGAGCAAATGACTGTAAGAAAGGGTAAGTCTTCAAAGACAAAGATAGCATAGAGGGCAGAGAAAGGGCAGAGCTTATTTGAGGATCAACTAATAGGCTAGTATGATTAGGTGTACAGAGCTAATGGAGTGTTTTTGTGTAGCTGTTGAATACAAGGCTTATCTGTAGGCAGTAGAGGCAGAAACATTGTTATAAGATTTTGAATGATCAGAGTTAGGTTTTAGAAGATTAATTTGGCAATAATATTAAGAATGAATCTGTGGGGAAAGAGGTGAATGTAGGAGAAAGTTGGATGAGTATGGCAAAAGTTCAGGCAAGTAGTAATGAAGCTAATGATACCAAGAGTTGGTGAGAATGTGGGGCATGTAGAACTCTCATATTCTGTTGTTGGGAGTATAAACTGGTATAACCACTTTGGAAGATAATTGGTGTTACCTAGAAAAAGTTGAATTTAGGAAGATCCTATTACCCAGATATTTCAAATATTCTAGGTCTAGGCATATACTATAGGTCAGGGTTTCTCAAACTTAGCACTATTAACATTTTGGGTCAGGTAATTCTTGATTGTGGAGAGCTATCTTGTGTATTTTAGGGTGTTTAGCAGCATCCCTGGCCTCTATCCACTAGATGATAATAGCACACCCTCAGTTGTTGTAACCAAAAATGTTCCCAGACAGAAGTAAATGTCCCTAGGGAGTAAAATTGCCCCCAGTTGAGAACCATTGCTCTAGAAAAAATCTTGTACATGGGCATCAGGGTATATGCTAAAAAGATTTGGAGCATCATAATTTGTAAAGGCATACAATTTTCATGGGATAGATAACCATACAGAAGTGAAAACTGATTACTACAGCTACAAACATCAACATGGATAAATCTCACAAATCACAAAGTTGGTGGGAGGGAAGAATAAGCAAAAAAATGCATATAGTATAATTACACTTATATAAAGTCCAAAAAATGGACAAAATCACAGTTACTTGTGCAGCGAACATGTAAAGAAAATAAGTGAATTATTAGCAAAATTCAGGATAGTGGCTACCTCTGGGAAAGAATGAGGGTATGAATCAGAGAGGGCACATGTGGTTTTCAAAGTCATTGACCATGTTCCGATTCTTAAGGTTGGTGATGGGTACAGGATTTTCATTTTATTCCGTTACATACCTTACATATATGCTATGTTCTTTTCTGTATACATGAAATAGTCCATAATTTGTAAGGAAGTAATGAGGTCTAAACGGAATGGCAACTAGAGGCAACTAGAATGGAAAGGAGGGCACCAGAGTAAATAATTGCATGAAGGAGAGGAGAAACAACTTTTAGGTGCTTCTTGAGTGGACACAAGAGTTTTAAGCTCATTTTCTTCATAGATTTGGTGATGAAATTAATGATTCCTTATATTCTAAGTAAACATACATGATCCATTTCTTAGACTTCTCAGGAATACAAGTTTCATGCCTTAAAACCAATCCCACTACATAATGTGATTCAAAGAACTTGATAATGGCATATTTAATAAAACTTCATTGCCTCAGAATTCTGCTCCATTAGACTTCTAAAACATGTACTCATTAGTATCACTTAAAGTCATAAGCATCTGAAAATAGGGGGCTTAGAATAAGAGTCATTCTTCATCTCTAACACTAGTTTCATTAGAGTATTTCTAACTGTACAGAAAGCTGATTCCAACTCCAAACCCCTTCACCCCACTCTTTTTCCCCAGTGGTTACCCCCCAGATAGTGAAATAAAAGGAAAAGTTGTGATCATACTCTTTCAAAAGACTGAGCTATAAACTAAATAAAATATTAAAATATTTTCCTGGACATGGCAAAGGGGAACAAGACAGGCCTTTCCCTAAAAGAAGCACAAGGTGTTCAACTTTGAAGGACTCAATGAGAACTTTTACATATGTGAAAATAGAAAACCCCACAAACATCCAGAGAAACAGAAATACAGGAAATATTCTGATATTATTAGGAACAAGCTCTCAAAGACTCAGAGAAGCCTGATACACCAGAGCCATAGCAAACCCTTGAGAATAGCAAGTCTAACTTCTGCATAAGAATGTGGGGAGGCAAAGTGGATCCCAGAGAGGAGAAGGTGCTTGACCAAGGTCCTCCAGCTAACCAGAGGCAGAGCTAAGGCTAGAATCCTTATATCCTACTCTTGGCTCTTTGTTGTTCCAGAGGCTAAGAATGAGCCATGGATATTGTTATTCTGAATGTTAGAGCTAGAAGTGCCCTTAGAAATCATTTGGTAAAATTCTCTGTTTATACTGATGGGATAACTTAGACCCAGAGAAGAGGAATGACTTGCAAAACTCATCATGCTGGAGCTAGAACTTAGTCTGCACACTATAAATACTGCACTTAGCCAAATCTTCAGGTTTTTAACTCAAAATTTTCAGTTTTTGTACCAATGTATCTAATGAACAGGGATTTTTAGTTACAAGTAACAGAAAAGCCTCTGAAACTGACTTAAGCCAAAAGGAAATTATTAGCTGACCTAACTGGGAATTTCAAGGGTATATCCAGTAGTTCAAACGATATTAGTTCACTTTTCCTCTCCCCCTTCACTTTTCAGTTCTGCTTTTCTTAGGCCTTTTCTCTCCTATACTAGATGGGATTTCATATAGAGAGATAAGACTTACATGGAACAACTTTAACAACTCCAGTAGAACAATAACAATAACTCTCAAGGACTTTATATCTCTTTCAGAAAAGGGCTCTGATAAACCCTTGTGTGGATCATATGTCATTGCATCGACACTTCCTCAGTTAGGGTGGCTTTCACCATTTCACTTCCATTATGCTCTTGCCATGAAAAGGGAAAATGCCAATTCATTGTGGGATGGGTATTCCCCTTGGTAAAGTAGACATTATTTTCACCCCATTCATAACTGACTTTGAAGGCAAAAGTAAATGATAGATGGGAAAGGTAGGAGAAAAAGGGCATTATCTATGCTTTAACCTCATAGATCAAGAATAAAAGACTGGGTCTCTTAGTTAATAAACAACAAATAAATAAATAGATGTGCAGTCAGTGATTCTATCTCATATTATTGCATGACACCAGGAATGATACTTCATCATTCAGATGGAGTAACCTCTCCCCAATTCACATTTTCTCATTAGAACAACAAGGATAAGAATCTTAGTGCAATCCACTGCAAAGGGCTGTGATGACCAAGGGTGCCATATTGCTCACCTCTGGGGAGGGAAGGAGTGGCAGTCCTATTACAACCTGAATGCCAGGATGATGAAACTAATGCTGGTCAATACATAACTTTTTGCAGTGGCCCTGGTTGTGAGAATTCAATGAAATGATGAATGTGAAAGCATTTTGTAAGCTGTAAAGTTTGTCAGAATTTATCAAAGACGTTGTATCTGCCTTCAAGAAGCTCACATGCAAGTTGAATCAGAGAAGCAAAACCACAAAGATAGATTTTTTTAAATATCTGAATTTGTTATAGGAATTTGACAACTGCGGGGCTGGTTAAACAGAATCTGTAGGGCTGTTGCCTTTGCATCTGATTTTGAATCTTAAAGTCCACAGGTCAGGCAGCAGGGAAGGAAAGACAAATGTAAGATGGGGGAGAGCAAAAACAAGATGGGACCCACTGGCGTACGCTAGAGCTCACAAGATAAACTGAGACTCATGTCTGTTCTTGATGGCTCTGATCTTGGTTGTGTGAGTGTCCTGGAGAATTTGGGGCCCTTTGTTATTGAACTAAATAAACAATCTGGTCCAGAAGTTAGAGAAGCTAAAATAGAATTCAGAGAAAGGTGTAGCAATTGCAGGCCTGGCTGCTGCATTATACCACCAAGATGAGCCAGGAGATATGTGGCAATGTTTATGAGCTGTAAAATGACAGCTGCTTCCCTTCTGTCTTGTAAAACTCTCACAAGAATCTCTCTTGTGACCCACCATAACCTGTAGAAAAGGAAATTCTTGGAAACATAACTTGGCTTAGCCAGTTGGATACATTACAAACCCAAGTGTTAAGTGGAGACAATTGGTAGGAACTACTTTCTCATTGGAAGACAGATAGGGTTACAGGAAGAGGAGATATGTTGAGCAAGGGCACAGATGTGAGGTATGGGGTATGTTTGAGAATCAATAACTAGCCTAGTTTTTCAGACATTTGGACTGTAGGAATAGGAATATATGAAACTAAAATAAAGTTTGGAGTAAAACAAAGCAATTCTTGAATGCTAGATGACAAAACTAATGCCATGTTGAATGGAGAAAATATTAAAAGTTGCTAAGCAGGTGAATGCCATTTTTGGAAATTTAATCTGTCAAGTAGGTACACGATTGAACAGAGGAGGGAAGGACTAAGGCAGGAGATAAGCTTGCTGCCAAACAGAGGACTTGGCCTCATTTTTGCTCCATCCTAGTTCTCAAGCCTTGGAGAGGCATGAAAGGGCACAGGAGCCACTCAACTGCTCCATGGCATTCAGTTGCTAGCTCTTGTGCTCTGTGTGATCCTTCAGCCCCTTAGTTCTAGTAACAAATTTCTCTCTATCTCTCAAATACCCCTCACTGTGCCCAAGAGGTCTTTTGCAATAATCGATGATTGGTGTGACAACAAGAGATACAAGGTTTTTCTGAGAGGATCAGTGCCAAGGAATATCTCATGGAGCTATTGGATACTGGCTGCATACTTGGGCCAATTAAGCACTGTTCTTGGAGGCACAAATGTACACATTTGCACATTATAGGGAAAGAAGAAAGCATAAGACCCCTACTGGCTTGAGACTTTGCAATAGCTCTTCAGTTCAAATTTCAGCAGGTGGTAGAGAGCAAATGCTTCAGTGTCAGGTCTACCACACTTAGTGTGCAATTGGAAAGTCCGAGCAGAGATGCATGCCAGCCCTGGACCTGGAACTTGAAGTCAGGGCCACAAGTACTGAGTCCTTGATTTAAGCTTACTAAACGTGGCACCCCAGGCAACCACCCTTCCTCTCAGGGCCTTAGTTTCTTCATGTGTGTAATTGAAGTAATGACAATCCCTTCATTGCCTGACAGCTGCAGTAAGGGTCCCCTGAGATGACAGCTGTGACAGTAATTGGTAAAATTTTAAAAGCTGTACTAAGGAGACAAGTCCTCGTGGTTATTGTAAAGGAATCTTTACTAGCCTGAGAAATGCTATAGCCCCAGTAGTGCTTAATAAATAATTCCCGGTTCTTTCTGCTGCTACAACTAAAGGTTTTTGACTTACAAGGAAAACATTTAATTAGAAGAAAGACTGGGTAACTTTCATTGTGAGGTAAAGTTAACACTGCAGCCTTCAGTGAGGCCTGGGAAGAAGTTGCTCCCACTCATTCCATCATTCCCTCACTAATTCTTTTGGACGTTTCTCTTTTAAACCTTTGTTCCTCTCCTTTTTCCCTTTTCTTCAACTGAGTTCATCTCACAGCCCACCCCTTGAACTTATCTCCATTTCTCCTTTCCCCTAAACTTGCTCCCATTCTTTCTTACTTCTGTTATGTCTTTGTTTACTGAAGTCCCCTTTTTGCCTGTGTTTGTCTGACTATCTCTGCTTTTCACTCTGTCTCTCTTGCCCCCTCCCTCTCTGTCTCTCTCTTTCTCTGCCCCCGACTCTCTCTCTCTCTCTCTTTCTCTCTCTCTCCCTCTCTCACATACACACATTTTAAAAACGAATTCTCTCTGCTGAGAAATTCCAGAAAAGACAGCCTTCCAGCCATTGTTGCTAGGCAACCCATTATCTCATGGCCGCCCCCACATTTTCTGTCTGCTGCTCCTTCAAAGCTTTGCTATTCAGGCTCCATATTATAGCTCAGATTCAGTACACCTGAGGAAAGAACAGGTCTGGTTGGCTCACTTATAGTTGGCCAAAGGTTTCTCAGCTTCACTCCATGATATCTAAGTTGCTGAAAATACAATAGAGGGAAAAGCTAAGGAAAAAAAAAAAAGTATTACAGGATGGTATGTACTCCTACATACTGCTCTCCAGAGAAGGAGGTTCTTAACTTGCTATGTATGGAACTCCTAGGTACACTATTGAGAAACCACAGAGGCTGAAACCACCTTTTGAAAAGTCATGTAAAAATCATATATGTATATTTATTTGTTCTTTTTATTGCTGGTTGTGTGAAGGTTCATAGCTTTTATCAAATTCTCCAAGGAAGAAAGGCTTTCCAGGAAGTTCTTCCAACTCTTATCAAATTGTCTGTGCTGAATGTTTCTCATTGCGTCCTGCTCATAACCCGTCTTTCCACTCCTCCACCCTGCTCTGACATGCATGGACTGCTTCAATGGGCCCCCTTGCCCAGTGGTTTCAAGTTGGCTTCAGCTACCAGGAGGCATCTCCAGGAGATCAATGGGAGAGGTTGTAAGAGAAACAGAACAGAGTATTTATTTCCTTGGCTACTGCCCTGCTAGCCCACCATGGGTTTGTGGTGCTCCCCTATTGAACATCACGACTTCTGTCAGGAAGCTTTCCCTTTATGTCCGCCATCTCCCTTCAGGTTCTGGTAACTGCTCTCCTCGTATTCTTTCAGACCTAGGGAAAGTAAGGGTTATGGCAATTAATAGCCCCAGGGAAACTTGTTGGTTCCCTTAAACCCTGCCCACACATCAGTAAACAGTCTGTTTATTAAACCTACCTCAAATTATCCAGTTTGAGAGAGCTATATGTTTTCTGCTGGTATATACCCTTACTATAAAGGTGATCATATAAAATTAGAAGATCAAGGCTAGATATGGAAATTTGGAAGTTATTCACAAATAGCAAGTATTTGAGTAGGTGTAGCCGTTTTTAAAACTCAGCTTTAATGGCCATAATATTCTGTCTTCAGTGACTTCATCAGGATTCATTGATAATAATGGAAAAAGCAGAACTATTTGAGAGTTCCTAACTCTGACACACAGTTCTGATGGATTACCTGACGGTATTTATCTCTACAGCAATGACCACTTGAGAGCAAGTGCAAACCTTTTAGCAATGGGTGTTTCACCAGTCTTGATTCAATGGGCGATCTCGACAGTTCTTTATCATCCCATCTTGCCCAGGTGTTCCTGCTGAACACTCCATTAGTGAGCAATGGGATCCTTGAAACATGGCTCTCATATGTGGATCACTGATTGGGTTTTTCCCGAATGAAACTTGATGGTTTTACCCTTTTGACTCCATTCCCTTCTCCCCTCTTCCCTCCCCAATCTGTGGAATCTGGGGCAGGATAAGAAAAGAAAACTAGGTTACAAATGTTTCCAAATCTTCTCTGTCTTACCCTACACCTTGGCTACACCTACTCAAATACTTGCTATTTTTTAATAACTTCCAAATTTTGATCTCTAGCCTCCACCTTCTAATTTTATATGATTACATTTATTAGACAGAGTCCCAGCAGAAAACATAGCTCTCTCAAATGGGATAGTTTGAGGAAGGTTTCATAAAGAGACTATTTACTGATGTGTGGGCAGGGTTTAAGGGAACCCTTAAGGGTTTCCCTGAGTTTATGGATTTTGAAAAACTCGAAAGGCAAAATTTTGACGCCTTCGTTCTCTGGTTACATTCTGCCAACTTATTTAAATCCATGGGTGATGTCTAGCATTTTATCTGGAGTTGGAGAGGGTCTCAGGTAAAATTCATTGAAGCATAGAAGAGGAAACTGCATAGGTGTATGTTCCAACACCTTTACTTGTCACAAGAATTCCTGGAATGAGGTGAGGCCACCTTACACACTGGCTATAGATGGCAGGAACATCCAAAGTCTTTGAGAATTAGAAGTCCCTCCACCCTCTTTCTGTGAATTGGGAGGGTTTTTAGAAAAAGTCTGTGAGAGGGCCGGGCACAGTGACTCACACCTGTAATCCCAGCATCTTGGGAGGCCAAAGCAGGAGGATCGCTTGAGCCCAGAAGTTCAAGACCAGCCTGAGCAACATAGTGAGACCTTGTCTCTACAAAAAATAAAAATTAAAAAATTAGCCAGGTTTGGTGGTGCATACCTGTGGTCCTAGCTGCTCCAGAAGCTGAGATCGGAGGATCACTTGAGCTCAAGAAGTCGAAGCTGCAGTGAGCCATGACTGTCCTACTACACTCCAGCCTGGGTGACAGAGCAAGACCCTGTCTCAAAAAAAAAAAAAAAAGACAGTGAGGGCTGTTTTATTCACCTAGAATAATATGGAAAAAAGTTGGGGAGGGCAAAGGATTTTTGTACTCTTCATATGTGTTGGAGGGTCCCATTTGTAATTGAGGACACTGTTTGGGAACTCATCTGTAATATATTAGACAAGATGATATGACTTGGAGATTCCACTTTACTGAGTCAATTTCAAGTTTTCACATTTTAAATTTTCTGGTTTCACATCTAACATCTAACTGGCCATTCTAGAGATATTCTAATAGAGTTTGCAGCTGCTAGTCATGCTTACCTAATATCATGAAAAAGACCAGGATATTGCCCTGGCAGATAACGATGAGCTACTTTGTGAAATCCTTCATGATTTTGTTAGGAAAGCCTGGAGAATTACACAGCATGAACAGCAAGGCACCGTATGCAGAGTTCATGTCTCAGGAAAAATGCTATCTTCCATATATGTGCTTTGTTCACCCACAATTGATTAAAGCACCCTAAAGATTTTTTATTTTGTGAAACATCTGGCCCATCAAAAATGTTTGAATAATTCTGGGATGAATGGGAAGACCTACTCATTTGAAACAGCAAATTCACTAAGGATAGTGATTAGTATGGGAAAACATATTTTTTTTTTGTACAAACGCCTCAGTTGGTGATACATTCATGTGTCTGTGTAGGAGGAATAGGGGAGGGGATAAAAGGAACAAGTATATCAATACCCTCTGAAATGTGCTTACAGTGCAAATAGGTGATTGTGTCATTTTGGGTCCTCCAGGAAGCAGACACTGAGTGAGAGATGCAGGAGTACAAGAGGGCAACTGTTGAAAAAAAAAAAGAGGGAATGAAGAAGGATTGGGCAGGAGAGACTCAGACCTCAATGCAGATCTGACAAAGTCTCAGCCCATCAAATGAGGAGCTCTGGAGCAAACATTTCCCATTAGATGAATTCTGCATTGGGAAGAAATGGCCAAGCCTTTGTTAGTCATTGTCTGGGGCCTGCCCAGGAAAAGTCCTGCCCAGGAAAAGTCCTGCCCAGGAACCAGGAAGAGTGGTTTTAGCTTAAAAGCTGAGAGTGATCTTAAAAGCACTAGTAGCTGGAGGCTGTCAGCTCACTTCACTCCTTGCTGAATGGCAAGTTCTTGCTTGAAGGGAGATCCAAACAGCAAACTTCTGTGGCTGCCATAATGATACATTGAGTTTGATGGCAGAAATATCTTTACTCTTTTATTCTAAAATTATTCCTATTTTCCTTATTTCACAAACACTTGACCCTGTGGTCTTTGAATAACATGAATAACATATATAGGACCCTGAGTTTTCAGGTAAGTAGCAAGTTCCTTATGCAGTCTTTGATATGAAGACTTAGATGAGTCAGTTGGTAGCAAGGGTAATGCATACAGAGTAAGACCTCTGCTCTAAATAGTTGACAGTGTCTAAGAGTCTGAAGAACCAAGGAGAATGCTGGGTTTAGAATATCTCTGAGAAGAGCACTCCAAGTATCGGGAGAGTGGTGGGTCCAGAGATGAAGACCCCCAAACTATCTCTCCCATAGCCACAAGGAGGCACCTGGGCCACAAAATGCAGTCCTATAAACCTGACATCTACAGAACTGACTGGGAACTCAGGGACATATAAGGCCAATATAGATTCTCTCTTCTCAGAGTAAGGATTCAAATCCATGGTGGATATAAGGATTTTCATGGAGGCTTTCATACTAACCGTCTGTCCCAGGACACACTAAGTCCTTGGGGCTCTAAAACTGCACAGAGCAAAATCTTCATAATAATATAGCTCCTTGGAAGGCCATCTGAGAGGCTTCTGGGAAGTTTTGCTTCTACTATTCGGTTGTAGAGTTACCAGCCTCTGTAGCACATATTTGGAGTAAAGACACTTCTGGGGAAACTCCTCCTTTGCCTACTCAGCCAGCTTAACACAACTAGTGTTAGTGTTAAGCTCCTCTAATTCTAGGGGATTTTAATTTGCATGAGCTCATTTCTTATAGCCTAATTGACAACCTGGAATAGAAGCATTTGGTCAACTCATTTCATCTGGTGTATGAGAGGTTCAAGTGAACTCTTTGGTATACTGACATAAAAATACTACGGATAATTAATAATTATTGAGCACTTATCATTTTCCAGGTACTGTATTAAGAGCCTTACATGATTTTTATCATTTAATCTTTCAACTATCATATATGGTATGCACAGTTATCCACATTTAACATATGAGAAACCAAAGACACAGAGGTTAAATAACTTACCCTAATTCATACTGTCTGCTAAGAAGTAGACCTAGGATGCACACCCAAGAGATCTGGCCTCAGAACACATCCTCTTAATAACTACACTGTAATACAGGCTGCTTCCTCAGATGCAGAGTCTGCAAGTCATCTCAGCCTTATGGAGTGCATCTTCCTCTCAGAAGATGCAGGAAATAGTAACGGGCAAGGAGTAAATAATTTAAGTGGAAGTTATTATATTTGGAAGCTCAATTCTGACTCTACTGGGGTGGAAGGATATTTGGGCAGCTCTAGAAACTGGAAGTGGGCATGAGAACCAGGCAAACTAGTCAGAGAATGGTGATGGTAGGTTCAGGTAAAGGACTGTCCATGATGTATACTTTAACCCATAAAGGCACTACAAAGGACACTGTGGTAAGCAATGTCATTTTACTTTCTACTTTGGCCTAGAAAGGATGTCATGCAAACGTGGTGAGACAGGAGTATTTGGAAGGCCTTAGTACTGGGAGCCTACATCTGCATGAAACTATGGCAAACTTCAGTTCCAGTCAAGCCAAGAGTCAAGTCTAGGAGAATTAAGAAATGCAAGAAGGAGCAAGCAGGTCCCAGCTGGTCAACCAGTATGGTCCAGAACTCAGAAAATCAGAACCCACAAGAACACCAGAAAATAAGTTAGATGTTATTCAAATATAAATGTTTTTGCTCTTTTCAGATGCAGCCTACCTTTCGAATTAGGCCTTCTGAAGTCAGCAGGTATGAATTGTAGTTGAATATGAAAACTTTCTCAGTATGTGATATATATGGTATCCCATCATATCCAGTTGTGAGAGAATCTTGGTATGTGTTTCCATACTCAAGGAATATTTGAGTATGTGTTTCCTTGAGTATGAAACACATACCAAGATTCTCTCACAACCAGATATGATGGGATTCTCAAAGCTACTTGCAGTTTATTTGTATTTTACACATATCTACTATGATTTTAGTTATGTTTATGTAGAAAAATAAGGCAAATAGAGTATTTTTACATTTTACATTACACAGGAACTCAGACACCACATCAGTGTCAAAACTGGTTTTGGTTTTCAGTGGACTAATCCTTCACAAAAAAGATTAAAGTGTAATTTTAAGTTTGTCAAAATAGAGTTAACATGATTAAGTTGAGTAAAAGAGCCAGAAACAGAAATAAGGAATACTGAATGTATACATTCCTTGAGTATTCATACTCAAGCACTTTGAGCTTTTCTTTCAACTTGACCTGCCCAAGCCCCCTTCATTTCGTTTCCTACTGGACTTTGAGTTCCTTGAGAACAAATCCTGTGTCTTATTTATTTCCACTTTGTCAACTCGTAAAGCAGTGGTAAACGTTCAACAAACTATTGTTGAGTGAACGCTATCTTATTCCTACCTCACCACAATATTTCTGTCTTTGAAATGGTCAACTAATTAACTTAACCAATTAATTCATTAGTTAAATAATTTATTTAAAATGTTTATTTTTATTTACTGCTGTGCTACGGACTTTGCTTTCAGGAAGTCTATAGGTAATAAGAAAAGTCAAATAGGCAATCTATTGCAGTATGGTAAGATAACTACTGTAGTGATATGGGAGCACCTCATTAGAAAAACAATGACAGAAAACTTAGGTGATACTGGACTTGAGTTCTGAAACATGAACATAATTTATTTAGCCAGGTGAAACAAGAGAGAGGTAAGCAGGGGGAGCAGCATGAGTAAATGCACAAAAGCAGAAGAGAGCATAGAAGTTTCAGGAAATGGTATGTTATTCAAGATGACTGGGAGGTAAAACATAAAAGAGAGAGAGATGAAGCTGGAAAGGTAGTCAGAGCTCAGATGATGCAGCACTTACATGACAGCTTGAGAGGATTAAACATTATTATGTGTGCAATGGGAAATGGCATTCGTTTGTAACTTATGACTCTAGTGGCACTATGAAGGATAGACTGAAGAAAGCTGGACTGGTTGTAGAGAACTGGTTAGGAGACTATTGCAGTAATTCAGGTGAAAAATGGTGACTTGAACAAAGGTAGTAGCAATGAGTATGGAAATGAAGAAATGGGCTCAAAAGACACTTAGAAGATTGAACCAGTAAGAGTCAGTGAGATATGGATGACTCCCAAATGATGATGCCAATAACTAAGGTAGTGAATGCAGAAGGAGAAATACATGCAGGCAGGGAAGCGATGAGTACAGTTTGGACATGAGTTTGAAGAAATTGTAGTATGTCAAAGACAAGATGGTACCCATTAGAAAGCTGGACAGGAGAAATAGGAGTTCAGGAAAGAAACCTGGGATATATAGATTTCCATGTCATAAGCATAGAGGTGACATTAAAACAGTAAACAGACAAGATCGACCAGAGAACAAGAAAAGAAGAGAGCCTAGGAAAGGGCCCTGATGAAGACCAATATTTAAGAAACAAAGATAAGAAGAGAGCTTCTGAAGGAGACTGAGATAGAGCAAAGAGGATGTCAGCTGTTAAAACTCAAAAGCTATAAAGTTTCCAAAATTGGCATATGATCCCAGGTGCATTCTATGTTCCTTTGGCACTTTGGTTTTAACCTCAAGGGAATTCCTTTACTTTCTTGCAAGATCAGCTATGCATTTAGTAAGACATTTGCTGTAATCTATTCAGCAACTTGGTTTGTGGAGCAAGAAAGTACTTCAGAATACCTAATCTACTGTGCTATCAGAAGTATTCACTGTGTTACTTTTTAAAATAAAAAGTGGATTAAAAATATTTTCTCCCATTCTGTAAGTTGTCTGTATACTCTGTTGAGAGTTTCTTTTGCCATGCAGAAACTCTTTATTTAAGTAGGTCCCACTTGTCAAATTTTGTCTTTGTTGCAGTTGCTTTTGGGGACTTAGCCATAAATTATTTGCCAAGGCTGACATTTAAGAAGGGTATTTTCTAGATTTTTCTTATAGGATTTTTATAGTTTGAGGTCTTACATTTACATCTTTAATCCACCTTTTGTTAATTTTTGTATATGGTGAAAGGTAGGGACCCAGTTTTGTTCTTCTGCATATAGACAGCCAGCTATCCCAGTACCATTAACTGAATAGGGAGTCCTCTCCCCATTGAAATTTTGATTAACTTTGTTGAACATAAGATGATTGTAGATGTGTGGCTTTATTTCTGGTTCTCTATTCTGATACATTGGTCTATGCATCTGTTTTTGTACCAGTATCATGCTATTTTAGTTACCATAGCCTTGTAATATAGTTTTAAATGAGGTAATGTGATGCCTCCAGCTTTGTTCTTTTTGCTTAGGATTTCTTTGGCTGTTCAGCTTCTTTTTGGGTTCCATATGAATTTTAGAATAGTTTTTTCTAATTCTGTGAAAAATAATGTTGGTAAGTTTGATAGGAATAGTGTTGAATCTGTAAGTTGCTTTGGGCAGGATGGCCATTTTAATGATATTGATTCTTGTGATCCAAGAGCATGGGATGCTTCTCCATTTCTTTGTACCAACTATAGTTTCTTTCAGCCATGTTTTGTAGCTTTCCTTGTAGAGATCTTTCATCCTTGGTTAGCTATATTACTAGGTATTTCATTTTTGTGTTGCTATGTAAATGGGGTTGTGTTCTTAATTTGGCTCTCAAGTTGAAAGTTATCGGTGTATAGAAAGCTACTGATTTTTGTGCATTGACTTTGTATCCTGAAACTTTACTCAAGTTGTTTATCATTTCTAGGTACATCTGACAAAGGTCTAATGTCCAGAATCTACATGAAACTTAAACAAATCAACAAGGGAAAAACAAATAACCCCATTAAAAAATGGGCAAAGAACATGAACAGAGACTTCTCAAAAGAAGACATACAAGCGGCCAATAAACATATGAAAATATGCTCATCATCACTAATCATCAGACTAATGCAAATCAGAACCACAATGAGATACCATCTCACACCAGTCAGAAAGGCGATTATTAAAAAGTCTAAAAAACAACAGATGCTGGCAAGGCTGCAGAGAAAAGGGAATGTTTATACACTGTGGGTGGGAATATAAATTAGTTCAGCCACAGCGGAAAGCAGTTTGGAGGTTTCACAAAGAACTTAAAACAGGACTACAGTTCAATTCAGCAATCCTATTACTGGATATATACCCAAAGGGAAATAAATAATTCTATGAAACAGACACATGCACTTGTGTGTTCATCGCAGTGCTATTCACAATTGCAGAGAAATGGAATTAACCTAGATGCCCATCAATGGTGGATTGGATAAACAAAATGTGGTACATATATACCATGTAGTACTATGCACCCATAAAAAGAATGAAATCATGTCCTTTGCAGCTACATGGATGGAGCTGGAGGCCATTATCCTAAGCAAACTAACACAGGAACAGGAAAGCAAATACAGCACGTTCTCACTTCTAAGTGAGAGCTAAGCATTGAGTACACACAGACATAAATATGGGAACAATAGACACTGGGGACTACTGGAGGGGGGAGGGTGGGAAGAGGCCATGAGCTGAGAAACTACCTTTTTGGTACTATGTTCACTACCAGGGTGACAGGATCATCTCTACCCCAAACCTCACCATCAAGCAATATACCCGTATGCAAACCTGCACATGTACCCCCTGAATCTGAAATACAAGTTGATTGCAACATGATAAAAGAGCATTTATGAAAACTGACAAGTAATAACATACTTAATGGTGAAAGACTGAATGCTTTCCCCTAAGATCAAGAACAAGACAAGGATGTCTACTTTCACAATTTATATTCAACCTTAAACTGGAGATTCTATCCAGTGAAATCAGTCAAACAAAAGAAGAGGAGGAGGAGGAGAAAGAAGAAGAACTAAGAGGTATCCATATTGGAAAGCAGAATTAAAACTGTCTTTCTTGGCAGACTTCATGGTTATCTATGTAGAAAATCCTACGGTTTCTGCAAAAAGCTACTGGAAATAATGAATTTGGTAAGTTTGTAGGATAAAGATCAATATACAAAAAACATCTAAATTTTTATATACTAGCAATGAACAGTTGGAAATAGAAATGTTAAAAATGCATTCCCAGTTACAATTACACAAAATATATGCAATACTCAGGGGGTAATTCTAACAAATAATATGAATGACCTGTGCAACAAAAACTAGAAAACATGGCTGAGAGAAATTAAGATCTAAATAAATGGAGAGATATAAAATGTTCATGGTCTGAAAACACAACATTGTTCAGATGCCATTTTTCCCCAATTTGGCCTGTAGACTCAAAACAATTCCAATCAAGCATTTTTTGTAGAAATTGAAAAGTTGATTCTAAAATCCCTGTGGAAATGCAAACAATCTGGAATAGCCAAATTCTCTTTGAAAAAGAAACAAATCAGAGGACTTACCCTGGCTGATTTCAAGGTATATCTTAAACTACTGTAATCAAGACACTGTGGCATTGGCATTAAGATAAACAAATGGTGTTGGAACAATTGGATGGCCATATGCAAGAAAAGAACTTTGATCCATACCTTGCTCCATATAGAAAATTAATTCAAAATGGATCGTAGACATAAATGTAAAACCTAACTATAAAACTTCAAGAGAAGATACAGAAAAAAAATTGAGAGTTTAGGTTAAGCAAAGGTTGCTTTGATAGGGCACAAAAAACATAATCCATAAAACAAAATTTTAATAGAATTTCATCAAAATTCAAATTTTCTAGCCTGAAAGTCGCTATTAGGAGAATGAAAAGACAAGCCATAGGCTTGGGGAAAAAAAATTCAGAAATCGTATATCTGATAATGGCTTACAACCAGAATATATAAAGAACTGTTACAGTTCAATAATAAGAAGACAAACAATCTAATAAATAAAATGGACAAAAGATTTAAATAGACTCTTCACCAAAGAAGATTTATCAATGCCAAATAAGTATGCATAAAGATTTTCAATATCGTTAGTTATTATGGAAATGCAAGTTAGAACCACAATGAGATGCCACTACCTGTTCACTAAAATGGCTGACATTCAAAAGACCAATTATAGCAAGTATAGACAATGATGTGGAGCAACTGGAATAATTTTACACTGCCACTGGAAATGTAAAAAGGTACAACCACTTTGTAAAATACTTAGGCAGTTTCTTTAAAAGTTAAACATGCACCTACCTTATGGCCCAGTCATACCACTCTTAGATATTTACCTGAGTAATTAAATCATATGCACATGCACATTTAAAAACTTGTAACAAATGTTCATAGTAATTTTATTCATTATAGCCTAAAACTAGAAACAATGTAAGTGCTGATCAACAAGGGAATGAGTAAACAAACTGTGGCACGTTCATGCAATGGATTACTACTCAACAATAAAAATGAACTATTGATACATGCTACAGCATAGATGAAGCTCAAAATAATTATGCTGAGTGAAAGAAGCTAGACCAAAAAGAGTATATGCTGTATAATTCCATTTATATAAAATTCTATAAGATGCAAGCTAGTCTCCAGTGAAAGAAAACAAATTGATTGTTGTATGGGGATTAAAGTGTGAGGAGGGATGGGAGGGATTACAAAAGGGAACAAGGAAACTTCTGGAAGTGATAGATATATTCTCTATATTGATTGTGGTGATGGTTTTACAGTTATGTTCATAAGTCAAATTTTAAGTCAAATTTTACAGTTTGAGCAATTAGATGCAAATATGTACAGTTAATTGTATGTAAACTATACCTGAATGAAGCTACTAAAGAACAGTTGATTCTTGCTTTTTGTTTGTTTGTTTTGTTTTGTTTTTGAGACAGAGTTTCACTCTTGTTGCATAGGCTGGAGCGCAATGGCATGATCTTGGCTCACTCAACCTCCACCTACTGGGTTCAAGCAATTCTCCCTGCCTCAGCCTCCCGAGTAGCTGGGATTACAGGCACCCACCACCACGCACACCTGGCTAATTTTTCTGTATTTTTATTAGAGACAAGGTTTCACAATGTTGGCCAAACTGGTCTCAAACTCCTGACGTCAGGTGATCCACCCGCCTCAGTCTCCCAAAGTGCTAGGATTACAGGTGTGAGCCACTGTGCCTGTCCACGACAGTTGATTCTTTTTTTTTTTTTTCATACTTTAAGTTTTAGGGTACATGTGCACAACGTGCAGGTTTGTTACATATGTATACATGTGCCATGTTGGTGTGCTGCACCCATTAACTCATCATTTAGCATTAGGTATATCTCCTAATGCTATCCCTCCCCCCTCCCCCCACCCCACAACAGGCCCCAGTGTGTGATGTTCACCTTCCTGTGTCCATGTGTTCTCATTGTTCAATTCCCACCTATGAGTGAGAACATGCGGTGTTTGGTTTTTTGTCCTTGTGATAGTTTGCTGAGAATGATGGTTTCCAGCTTCATCCATGTCCCTACAAAGGACATGAACTCATCATTTTTTATGGCTGCATAGTATTCCATGGTGTATATGTGCCACATTTTCTTAATCCAGTCTATCATTGTTGGACATTTGGGTTGGTTCCAAGTCTTTGCTATCGTGAATAGTGCCATAATAAACATACGTATGCATATGTCTTTATAGCAGCATGATTTATAATCCTTTGGGTATATACCCAGTAATGGGATGGCTGGGTCCAGAACGGTTGATTCTTTTTTTTTTTTTTTTTTTTTTTTTTGGAGATGGAGTCTCGCTCTGTCGCCCAGGCTGGAGTGCAGTGGCGTGATCTCAGCTCACTGAAAGCTCCGCCTCCCAGGTTCATGCCATTCTCCTACCTCAGCCTCCCGAGTAGCTGGGACTACAGGTGCCACCACGCCCGGCTAATTTTTTTTGTTTTTGTATTTTTAGTAGAGATGGTGTTTCACCGTGTTAGCCAGGATAGTCTTGATCTCCTGACCTTGTGATCCGCCCGCCTCGGCCTCCCAAAGTGCTGGGATTACAGGCGTGAGCCACCGGGCCCAGCCAATTATTAAAAGATATATATATTTAAGAAATAGAGTCCCACAGGCTGCCTACTTGGAACACAAACTTACAAATTTGTGTCAAAACTTACAAATTTGTGTCAAATCTTAACTTTATCTTACCTTTACAAACTCAGGGTAACTTCCATGAATCTACTGCCAAGATGTACAGATTGGTGTTTCTACCTCAGTAATCCTGCCTCTGTAGGAGGTCCTTCCACATTTACATTTTTTCCCTCTGGTTTTATGAATCTGGAATTATTGTGCAAGTTTTAGGAGTAGAACATCATAAAAATAATCAAGTGAATTATCACAGAGAACGAATGCAGGCCTAACCTGTAGAGTATTCTATTTTAAAATTATGACATCAGAAATCCAAGTGAAAACCGGTTTAAATGCAGCATATAAAATGGCTAGAGACACATGAATTGGATGACACCTTTTATGAACACAATCTTAAAGTATGAGTCACTCTTACTCTTAGTAATGTACTCTTATATGGTCTATTTTAATCCTCCTAATTTATTTTAAAGCTGATGTCACATCTATTCTACTCTGAGTATTTTATAATGGCTTTTGAACACAAGTAATGTAATTCTGATGTGATCAGAATATCAGAAAAACTTGCTAATAGAGAAAATAGCCAAATAGCAGAGCTGTCAGAGATGCTCAGTAAGAGTAGGCACAATGACAGAATCCTTCCCTTCTCTGAGTTTTGAGAATTAAGCTGGAGTCTGATCATCCCTTGAAGCTGCAGGCTAAATTATGTACTCCCTTCCTTTGTAAGATCTGCCAAGTTTGTATCCTCTCTTCCAATTCCAAATTATTCATGGATTTATCTTCTAATAAGCTATAAGAAAATTAGGATGGGGGGCAGGGAGAGAGAGACAGAGAGGCTTCTGATTTGAAGATATAGCCACAGCACTGATGAAATTCTGTGTGTGTGACATTAGTCTAGTTTCCTTCTTCTTTTGGGGGCAAGTTTTGTTATCCCTTAAATTAAGAGGTTGAATAAGATGGGTGCTAGGGCCTTTTTATTTCCAACTTCCTAGGTTTCTTTTACTATCAAGAGAGAGAGAGAGAGAGAGAGAGAGAGAGATGGGGTCTCACTGTACTGCCCAGGCTGGTGTTAAATTCCTAAACTCAAGCGATCCTCCAACCTCGGCCTCCCAAAGTGCTGGGATTACAATTACAGGCATGAGCCACAGTGCCAGGCCTAACTTCGTAGAGTTCTATGAACTGAGAAAGGTCTTGACTTATTCTTGATTTTTACAACCATTTCACTGGTCTTTGGCATTTCTCTCTTTTCTGCCAAAATTCTACATCAAGGTGATACATTTCTCCATCTACATTGTCTCCTAGCCTCAGTCAGTGTCATTGCCAAATATGGTAAAGACAAGGTTTTAACAGTGACAAGGGCTGTTGCCTTTCCCCCTGAGGCTGCAGATTCTCAGGCATCTATCTCTTTCATATTTGTTGACAGAGGCTGCAACTTACATCCCATGATGGCATACCTCACAGCCATATTCCAGTTCCATGTAATTGAATGATTCACTGTTCATCACAATGTGGTAACTCTTGTCATAGAACATCAAGGCAGTAAGAATGCCCTTAGAAATCACCTTATCGATCACCCTCTCCACCACTACCTCCATTGTTTTCCAGATATGTGTGAGGATTAAAGGAGGGAAGAGATTTGCACAAAGCTACACATGGAGTCCACAGATCAGGATTAGGACCTAAGGATTCTGATTTCATGTTCAGTACTATTCCCACAGGACCTCTTTATTAATCATATTGCCGGACAGAAGGATTTATTTTATCTTGCCATTCATTCCTTCCTTCATTAAAAAAACATCACCGAATGCTTACTACATGCCAAACACTACTCAGTGCTGGAGAAAATGCAGACAGGAATGAGCTCTCTCTGTCCTGAGGTTCACTCAGGATGTTAACAAAGGATTGCTACTTATAGTACTGACTTGGGCTCATTGCAGTAGAACAAGCCATCATCATTACCACTGTCCTACCTCCAGGCTCCCACCCTCCTGCA
This sequence comes from Homo sapiens, assembly GCF_000001405.40. NCBI lineage: Eukaryota > Metazoa > Chordata > Mammalia > Primates > Hominidae > Homo > Homo sapiens. The sequence continues at coordinate 106,452,176 of NC_000023.11, forward strand.
CTTAGCTAAGCAAGGTCCAAAATGCTTTGAAATGAAGGCAAAACATAGCATTAAATTTTATTGATTCACTTCAATGCATAAGCATTCACTGAACACCTGTTGATTCAATCCTAACCTTCATTCTAAGAATCCAGTGCATCGTAAAGATGGAACTAATCATAAGAGAAATCTCAGGTTCCCATGGAGTGGTTCTATGAATGTTCACTATGAAAGATAAACTTCTATTATCCCTGAATGTTCTTTACAATGGTCCTTGCATATTGCATCTTGTTTTCACAACTGTGTGAACTATGAAAACAGGAATTATTATCCCCACCTTATTGAGGCTCGGAGATGCTGTTTGACCTACCAAAGTGTGCAGGATATGCTACAGCTGAAGTGCCTGACTTCTCTTGCCATATACATACATATATATGTATATTCACTCTGGATGTTAACCAAGGATTGCCTCTTGTATATTTTTATAAATTATATATAATTATACATATAATATATAATATATTATGTATAATTATATATAATATTTATATTTTATATTATTATATATTATATATTATGTATAATTATATATATAATATATAATATAATATAATATAATATATGATATGATATAATATATGTTGTATAATATATATTATATATTATAATTATCATAATTATTATATATTATATATCATAATAATTATATATTATATAATATTATAATAATTATTTATATTATATATTATATATTATGTAATATATAATATATAATATATAATATGTAATATATATTATATATTATATATTATATAATATATATTATACAATATATATTATATAATATATTATATTTTATATAAATATATAAATTTATATATATAAATAAATATAAATATATATAAATGAGACTACCACCTAGAGCAGTTTGTTTGCATCTAGAAAAGGTAAAATATGAAAGCCAATACAATTAACCAATAAAGAGTTTTATTCCCTGGCAAATGAAGAATCTTCCAGAATAGTGACTGTGTATTGGAAAGGATATTCCAAGGAGATAGCGACACACTAAGAAATGGGTACAAATAGGAAAGACCAAGCATCAGCGATTAAAGAAGTAGTAGGCACTTGGAAAAAACCCCAGTTTTGGAGTGCAATGGGTCAAGGCCAGGTATAAACTAATAATAAACGGGAGAAGCAAGTTCCTGTGAGCTAAGGATATTGCAAGATCTATAATAGAAGTAAAGGTGGGAAGAAGCAGTCAATTATCACAAGCCTTGGTCAGCAGAGTCTTGTTTGGCAATGGAAGGAAGGGAGAGAAGAGCAAGCAGATCACCAAAGGTTGGATAGAAATGTTTCTATAACTTGAATTACACACATTCAAATATGCCCATTAGCAAAGGGCATGAGATGGGAGAGAGGAAAAGTGGTTGATGATGCCTGTTAATTAATTTATGGCCAAGGGTGAGTGTGAAGCAGAGACATGATCCAGATGTTGCTTCGTTTGTTCTCATTCCTGAGAGCCCATAATCTTGTGAGAACTCTGAGCATGATTCCAGTGGTTGAAGATGAGTATTAACATTTTTTTGAGGTCCATTGGTTGAAGATGTGCATTAACATTTTTTTGAGGTGAAATTCACATAATACAATGTTAACCTTCATTTCTGAAAGATAGTTTCACTGAAAATTATTGGTTATTTAAAGTTGTTTCATGAATGGGGAAAAGCTGAAGGTATGCCCTTTGAGAACTAAAACAAGACAAGGATGGCCACTTTGACTACTCCTATTCAACATAGTACTGGCAGTACTAGGCAGAACAATCAGGCAAGAGAAAGAAATAAAAGGCATCGAAACAGGAAAAGAGGAAGTCAGACTATTTCTGTTTGCTGATTATATGATTCTACACCTAGAAGATCCCATAGTCTGTGCCCAAAGTCTTCCAGATCTGACAAACAACCTCAGCAAAGTTTCAGGACACAAAATCAAAGCACAAAAATCAGTAGCATTTCTATACACCAATAACATCCAAGCCAAATCAAGAGCACAATCCAGTTCACAATAACCACAGAAATAATTGAATAACTAGGAATACAGCTAACCAGAGAAGTGAAAGATCTCTGCAATGGTAATTAAAAATTACTGCTGAAAGAAATCTGAGACAACCCACAAACAAATGGAAAAACATTCCATGCTCATGGATAGGAAGAATCAATATTCTTAAAAAGGTCATATTGCTCAAAACCATTTGCAGATTCAATGCTATTCCTAAATTTTTATAACAAAGTTGTGAAAAGAACAAAGCTGGAGGCATCACACTACCTGACTTCAAACTATACTACAAAAACAGACGCATAAACCAATGGAACAGAATAGAGAACCCCAAAATAAATTTGCACATCTACAACCATATAATCTTTGACAAAGTCAACCAATCATATGATCTTCGACAAAGTCAACCAAAATTTCAATGGGGAAAGGACTCCCTATTCAATAAATGATGCTGGGATAACTAGCTAGCCATATGGAGAAGATTGAAACTGGACCCCTACCTTTCACCATATACAAAAATCAACTCACAGTGGATTAAAGACTTAAATGTAAAACCTAAAACTGTTAAAATCCTATAAGTTAACCTAAGAAATACCATTCTGGACATATGACCTGGCAAAGTCTTCATGACAAGGACTCCAAAAGCAATTGCAACAAAAACAAAAATTGACAAGTGGGACCTAACTAAACCAAAGAGCTTCTGCACAGCAAAAGAAACTATCAACAGAGTAAACAGTCTACAAAATGGGAGAAAACATTTGCCAACTATGCGTCTGACAAAGGTCTAATATCCAGAATCTGTAAGGAACTTAAATCCATAAGCAAAAAACAAGCAACCCCATTTAACAAACAGGCAAAGGACATAAACAGAGATTTTCAAAAGAAGACATACACACAGCCAACAAGCATATGAAAAAAAAAAGACTCAATATCACCAATCATTAGGGAAATGCAAACCAAAACCACAATGAGATACCATCTCACATCAGTCAGAATGGCTATTACTAAAAAGCGAAAAAATAACAGATGCTGGCAAGGCTGTGGAGAAAAGGAAATGGTTATGTACTGCTGGTAGGACTGTAAATTACTTCAGCCACTATGGAAATCAATCTGGAGTTTTCTCAAAGAACTTAAAATAGAACTACCATTCCACCCAGCAATCCCATTTCTGGGTATATACTCAAAGGAATATAAATCATTCTACCATAAAGATACATGTACACATATGTTCATTGTATCACTATTAAAAATAGCAATGACACAGAATCAACCTATATGCCCATCAATGGAGGCCTGGATAAAGAAAATGATGGTACATATATACCATGGAATACTATACAACCATAAAACAGTACAAAACAATATCCATTGGAGCAACATGGATGGAGCTGGAGGCCATTATTCTAAGCGAATTAACAAAAAACCAAACACCACATGTTCTCACTTATAAGTGTGAGCTAGACACTGAGCACATGTGGACACAAAGAAGGGAACAAGGGGCCTACTTGAGGGTGGGAGGTGGGAGAAAGGTTGAAAAGCTGCCTATCAGGTATTATGCTGATTACCTGGGTGACAAAATTATCTGTACACCAAAACCTCGTGACCTGAAACTTACCCATGTAACAAACTTTCACATGTATTCCTTGAATCTAAAATAAAAGTTGGAAAGAAAAAAACAAATATAAAAAACTGAACAGTGTAGTGTTTCCCCATGTCCTTATCACTTGGCCTTGATAGTTATCAACTATCAATGCTATGCTTGTTTTATCAATGTCATTTTATTTTTTACTTTTTTTTTTATTTTTTTAGACAGAGTCTCTCTCTGTCACCCAGGCTAGAGTGCGGTGGTGCAGTCACAGCTCACTGCAGCCTCAACCTCCTGAGCTCAAGCAATATTGCCACCTCAGCCTTCCAAGTAGCTGGGACTACAGGCCCATGCCACCACACCCGGCTGATATATGTTTCTTATTTGCAGAGACAAAGTCTTACTATGTTGTCCAGGCCGGTTTCAAACTCCCCTGCTCAAGCCATCCTCCCGCTTTGGCCTCCCAAAGTGCCAGGATTACAGCTGTGCTTGTTTCATCTAGCTGTCTCCCCTCTTCCCATCTCCTCTCACTTTATTAATATTTCTTTCTTTAGTTCTTCTTTGAGGTAAGATTTACATATATTAAAATACACCAATCCTAACTTTACAGTATTGACCAATGCAGACACCAATGTAACCCATAGCAAGATACAAAATATTTTCTATCACCTCAGAAAGTTTTGCCATATCTCTTCCAAGTCAAACCCTCCCACTCTGCTAACAGGCAGCCACCGTTTTACTTTTTTTAATCATAGGATAATTTTGTCAGTCTTAGAATTTCATATAAATGAAAGCATACAGCATGTACTCTTTTGTGTCTAGCTTTTTTTTCACAGCATAATGTCTGGAAGAAGTATTCATGTTATTGAGTCTATTCGCAGTTTGTTTCTCTGTATTGTTGAGTAGTTGTCTATTAAAAGAATATGTCAAATAAATAAGTAAGTTATCTCAGCCTTTTAAATGTCACTGCCTCATAGTCTCCATGATTTTGATGAGAAATCAGCTGTTAATTTTATTGAGGATCACTTATATGGAACAATTCACTTCTTTCTTGCTGCTTTCAAGATTCTCTGGGGCTGTCGACAATTGATTATAATGTGTCTCAGAGTGGAAGTTCCCTTTATGTTTATCTTATCTTGAATTCATTAAGCTTTCAGATGTGCAGATTTTTCTTTTTTTATCAAATTTTTGAAGTTTTCAGCCATTAATTCTGCAAGTATTCTTTCTGCTCCTTTCCCTCTTTTCCTTCTAGTACTACCATTATTCATATTTTGGTGTGTTTGGTGTTGTTCCATACTTCTCTGACTCTGTTCAGGTTTTTGTAATTCTTTTTTCTGTCTCCTGCTCAGACTGCATAATTTCAGTTGATCTATCTTCAAATTTTCTGATTCTTCTGCCTATTCAAATGTGTTGTTGAAACCCTCCCGTGAATTTTGAATTTTAGTTTTATTGTACTTTTCAGTTCCAGAACTTCTATTTGATTTATTTTCATAATTTCTATCGTTTTATTCATATTCCCTATTTGTTGAGACTTTGTTCTGGTTTCCTTTATTTATTTGAGAATACTCAAAACAGTTGGTTTAAAGTCTGTGTCCAGTAAATCCAATGGCTTACTCCCTAAAGGACATTCATTGTTAATATAATTTATTCCTGTGAATGCAATATTTTCTTATTTCTTTGCATGCCTCCTAATTTTTATGAACACTGGACATTTTGAATGTGATAGTGTAATTACCATGGAAATCATATTTTCCCCTCATATGGTTTGTTGATGTTGCTTGCTGCATATTTTAGTTGCTTGTTTATTTTATGACATTTCTAAAGTAATTTTTTAAAGACTTTGTCATGTGAGGTCTCAGAAGTTTCTGTTCCTTTAGCCTGTGGTCAGCTAGTGGCTTGACAGAAATGTCCTCAAATGACTGGAGTCCACTAAAAAAAAAAATAGAAAAAAATGTACCCTCTGGTCTTTACAGATTGGCTCAGTATTGGGGGACTCTTTTGACAGTCAATCCATTTACAACTCTGCCCTAGCCTTCCCTTCTGCTTGCACTCAGCCTAAAGTCAGACAGAGGTGACAGCTGAGGGCCTTCTCAAGACTCAACATGCATCCTGCCCCAGGCATGTACATGGCTTACTAGATTCTCCATTACATGTGGGAGCTTTTCAAAGCCCTTATTCCCTAAAGTATCATAACTCCAGTCCCAGCTTTTCCTCACAGGATTTCAGTGTGTTTATTATTTACTCAAGCTGTAATCTTTGCCCCAGGTGCCAATGGCTTGTTCTTTTTTTTTTTTTTTCGATATTTTTAAAGAACACCTCCTGCTTAGACATTTTTGTGCCATGAGGGAGTTCCAAGTTAGGCAAAACAAAGGCAAGTGCCTTGTTTCAATCCTTCAAGGAACCCCAGACAGGTAAAAATATATAAACACAATTCCTTGGAAACAAGTTATGCTCTGCTCCTTTTGAAACCCAGTGTCCCTACAGGGAATACAGGCTGTCAACTTCAAGATTGACACCACACCAGGAAGAGGAGTGGAGGAAGGCTATTAAAATGCCACAAAACTCTCTTACCATGTTTGTCTCCTTTTTCTGTATTCAGCATTCCCTTGGTTACCATAATCCTCTAACTATATTCCAGAGCTCCGATAATGTTGATTCTGGCCATTTTTGTTCATTTTAATGGTGTTTCTGTGAAAGGACAGGCCCTAGGAACTTCTTAGTCTCTCATTGTTGCTGACTAAAGGTGGGCATTTTGCAAACAGTATATAGACCTTAAACCCAAGCCACAGACTTCATCTGGTGCTTGACATGACACACTGATTCTTTGCAGCACTGGTGGCATACTGGTGGCAACAAACTTAGCTGATAAATAGTATGCCTGAACATTCTATTTAATTGCAGAAGTCAAAGTGAGCCTTTTAAAACTGAAGACCTATTAGAAGAAGCAGCTCTCTACAACAGCTAAGTGAAAGGGCATTGAGCCTAGACTGCCTGGCTTTGCAGCCTGGCACTTCCATATACTAGCTGCATATCATTGGACAACTTTTCTAACTTCTCTTGTCTCAATTTACTCATTTAAATAATGGGGATGGCAATGGCACCTACTTGCTAGAGGGATGTTGTGAGGATTAAATGCATTAATATCTCTAAAGTTTTCAATAGAGTCTGACATAGAGTCTACAAGTGTGTTTGCTACTATTGTTGTGTCACTTCTTTACTGAAAGCCCCACAATGGTTTTGAATTTCTTTCCTCAAAGTAAAAGCCAGAATTCTTACAATGGCCTTGTCAAGCCCTATACGATCTGGCCTCCTCATCACCTCTCTGACTTCTTTTTCCCACTACTCTCCTCCTTGCTCACTCAGCTCCAGTCAATATGGCCTCTTTGTCATTCCTCAAATGTGCCAGGCCAGCTCCTATCCAGAGGCCTTGCCATCAGCTGGTGCCTCTACTTGGATCATTCTTCCCAAAGACATCCTCAATTGCAAATTTCCTTACCTCCTTCTTTGGACTCCATTAACATCTTTACTCATCCTTTCTTTATATTAATTCTCTAGTACTAAACCTTTTATTGCTTGCTTCTAATATGTTGTAACATACGATAGTAATGGAATTCCCTCACTCTCTAGTACATTACTGCTTCATATGACCTTTACTATCAGAGAGAGAAAAAAGTTCACCACACAGAAGCCTCATATAAATTGTTGAGGAATATATTGATTTTCTCTAGCAAGTACCCTGTGATAGATAATCTCCTTAGGGTGGAAATGGCAGTCAGAATTGTTGCCATTGAATTGGTCTTTATGAATCCAATAGGGATATTGTGATACCAGGGTGAAAGAGACCAAGTGTCAATACTTAATGAAAAAAGACAAGTTGGCTGAAGTTACTGTAATAAGGGGAAGAGCTGAAGCAGTAATAATAGGAATCTTACTCAGAGACAGTATGAGGGAATATATTAACTCTCTAGTCCTATGTCATAATCTAGTCCTCAGGGAGCTTGATCTCCTCTGCATTCCTCAAGACATCATGCTCTCCCATTACATTGATAATATTATGCTCATCAGACCTGATGCACAGGATGTGGCAACTACCCTAGACATCTTGGTAGGATGCATGTATGCCTTAGAATGGGAAATAAAACCCACAAAAATTCAGGAGCTGGTTTCTGAATGGTTGGATGAGGTTCAAGACTACACATCTGGGTATCTGCGATATCCAGGGCTCCCCTCCAGCAAAAAAACAAACAAACAAATAAACAAACAAACAAAAACCACCTAATTCTGGGCCTGTTGTATTGGTTTTCTGTTGCTGCATAACAAATTACCACATGGAGGAGGGTATGTGTGTGTGTGCATGTGCGTATGTAAAATCTCACAACATAATAACAAGAGTGACATCCCATCACCTTTGCCATATATTTTCTGTTGGTTAGAATGAAGTCACAGGTCCTGCCCAATATAATTCAAGGGGAGGGAATTATACAAGACTGTCAATGTTGGAAGGTTAAGATTATTGGGAGTCAGTTTAGGATCTGTCCACGACACTTGGACTCTTTGACGTTCTGTTCTAGTGATGTGGGGATAGTAGAGTCACCACCCCAGGTCTCTGTTATACATCCCAGGCCCCAGCATCCCTCATTCCTTAGCACTTCACTGCATACTCTGAGCTCCATTCCTTACCTCAAAAGGCTTCAATATTCATATATATGGATACTGAAGCTCATTTTTCCCCTGCTCCTTGCATACAGCTACTGCTTCTTGATCACCACTTAGTGCTAAGAGTATACATTAACAGTGCACTTAACCCTCAGGAGCACAGACCCAGTGAGGTGGAGCCTGAAGGCCTCTTTAGGCTGAGATCTTGGAGCCAATTGGGCAGCAAATTCAGGGCTCCAGGTAACTGGAGAATATTTGGGGTTGGGAGGCACGGGCTCTGAGTGTGTACATCCCCTTGACCCTACACACTGAATTCTTGGCCACTTGCAGAAAGGCAAGACTGGAAGAGGGAAAGCATGAAGCCTCTAAAGTGTAAAGCCCATTACAAGCTTTCTATAGTCTAGGTCTCAGGGCAGTACTATATTTAACAACTGGTTGGCATAGGCACTGGGATAGCCAGCCTCCAAGATCACCCCAGTGATCCCCGCCTCCTGCTGCTTATGTTCCAGTGTAGTGCCCTCTTTCATAGAGCTGACCTATGTGACCAATAGTAAGATATTGTGGACGTGATGAAGTATGACATTAACGCTAGGACATAAAAGACATTGTGGCTTCCATCTTACTCTTTCTTGAATTGTTCACTTTTACAGAAGCCAGCTGTCATGTTGATATGGTTTGAATTTGTTACCTTCAAAACTCATGTTGAAAATTAATCCTCTTTGTGGTAATAGTGAGAAGTGGGGCCTTTGGGGAAGTGATTAAGTAATGAGGGCTCCACCTTCATAAACGGATTAGTGAGTGTCCTATAAAAGGGCTGGAGGGAACTAACTTAGATCCCTTTTACTCTTCTACTCTTCTGTTGTATGAGGACACAGTGCTCGCTCCCTTTTGCCATTTCTTTCGCTTATGTCATGTAAGAACACCTAAACAGCACCATCTATTAGGAAGAGGCATTCACCAGACACCAAACCTCCCAACACCTTGATCTTGAACTTCCCAGCCTCCAGAACTATAAGAAATAAATTCCCATTGTTTATAAACTACCCAGTCTCAGGTGTTTTGTTAGCAGCACAAACAGGCTAAAATACATGTCATGAGGACACTCAAGCAGCCCAACAGAGAGAACCATGTGGTAAAGAACTGATACTTACTATCAATAGCCAATGATATATCAAGGTATCCTGTCCATAGCCATGTGATTAGAAGCAAACCTTCTGGATATAGTCAAACCTTCAAATGACTTTAGTCACAACTGACTTCTGAACTGTAACCTCATGAGATACTCAAAGATGATATTATCCATCTAAACCACTCTTTTTTATTTATTATTTTATTTATCTATTTTTTAAGTTGATAAAAGGGGTTTAATTGGCTCACGGTTCCAAAGTCATACATGAAGCATGGCTAGGGAGGCCTGAGGAAACTTACAATCATGGCAGAAGGAGAAGGGGAAGCAGGCATGCTCTACATGGCTGGAGCAGGAGGAAAAACTAAACCACTCTTTAATAACTGACCTACAGAAACTGTGAGACATTAATTATTTGTAGTTTTAAGCCACTCCATTTCAGGGCTTATTTGTTATGTGGCAAAAAATAATAATAATAATAATTAAAACAGATGTTTGGTGCCAAGAGTAGGGTGCTGCAGTAACAAAACCTAACATGCGAAATGACTTTAAAACCAGCAGAGGGCTGAAGCTGGAAGGAGTTTGGAGAGAGTATTAATGAAAGTCTAAGATTCTTGGAACACACCATTATCAGAAACCTAACCATCTTTATGAAGGTTGCCTGTGAGAGCTTAAGGGAAAGTAAAGAAAACTTTATTGGAAACTGGAGGAAAGGGATCCCTTGTAATTTAGTGCAATGATGTGGAGAGTAGAAAACATGTTCACAATTTGGATTGTGAATATACCAAAGGGTATTTCCAAAAAGAATGTTGACGGTGCTGCCTGGATTTTTTTTGGGGAAAGGGGGTGCTGTTTATAGCAAAATGTGAGAAGAGAATGTTAAGGGACAGACTTGAGCTTAAACAAAATGGAGACATAATTTGCTGCTTTCAAAACCCCCAGTGTCTCCAGATGGAAAATAATGCTAAAGTTAAGAAAGGGCATCTAAGCAAAGATCAAATCCAGAACCCTTCCAGGAAAATATGATATAAAGATGAAGCCAGTGATGCAATTATAAAATCCATTATTAAGGCCTAAAAAGAAGTGGAGAAGTACCTCAGAAAAACAATATTCCATCTAAGAGGATTATGGGTGTTGTCCCTAAGCAGTCTTAGCAGAAGTCCAAAGCCAAATGAGCTTATCTAAGAGAGTTGTGTATATACCTTTTGTCTAATGGAGTAAATTCCCATGTCTTAGTCCATTTTGCACTGTCATAACAGAATAACTGAAACTGGGTAATTTATAAAAAACAGAAATGTATTTTTTCACAGTTCTGGAGGCTGCAAAGTTCAAGACCAAGATGCCAGCACCTAGTGAGGGCTTTCTTGCTATGTCTTCACATGGCAGAAGACAGAAGGGCAAGAGAAAACCAACTCTGTCCATTAAGCCCCTTATAAGGGCACCTACTCCCATTCATGAAGGAGGAGCCCTCATGGTCTAATCACATTATAAAGGCTCCACCTTTTAATACCATTACATTGGCAACACCTGGTTTTGGAGGGGACATATTCAAACCATAGCACCCAATAAAATTTTTCGAACATCATGTCTTTTGTAGATAGATAGAGAGATAGAAAGACAGTTCACCAACATGCCATGGACCAATCAGAGCCAATTTAAGGCCCTTCAAATGACACGGCATAGATAATTCTGACTTGGACTGCCCATTCATTTTAAAAAATGGTGACAAAAGGCCTTGTGCCTTTTTTGGTTATAGCCATAGGAAACATTGTGTGTTACTACGTGATAATACATTGTTAAATGTCAACAGTAGTGACACAAATGGATTGTGGATGCATTATGTTAACTTTGTTTTAACAGACTCTCTTCAGACACCTACTAAAAAGAAAACACAGTGCTATGTGTTTCAGGAGAAATAGATAAATAAAATCCTTTAAAGTCCCAAACATTCAGATGTCCACCCTCTAAGGGGTGGAGGAGAATAGATACACATATATAAGCAATGTTAATATACACTAGGATATGAGATGTGCTGCCATAGTATATAAAGATACTGATGCCAATTAGCAAGCATCCAGGCAGTCTTAACTAAATGTAGAAACAAGGCCTTCTACCCTAAAACCCCTGGCCCTCCCCTTCTCTGATCCTCTACTCTGGCCAACTCAAACTTCATTTTTTTCCTTAAACAGGTTCCAGATAATAGGCCCATTTCCTCTTTTAAGTGTTCTTTTATGTTAAGAAATATTTCAGACTTACACAAAGGTATAGGAATACTACATCTGTGAACCCACCTCCCAACTTTAGAAGCATATTACAAATAGAGGTGAAGTCCACTGTGTACCTCTCCCCAATTAAATTCTCTCTCTTTCTCCACAAGATCTAATCACCCTCTTAAGGTGCTTATCATTCTCATATATACCTATCTGCATGTTACATGTGTATGCATCACTGACATGTATGCCTTTTACTATAAATGTATGTAACCACAGTCATTACAGTGATTGTTTTACATGTTTTTAGACTTCATATGCATGGTATAATACTTATATCCTTCTGGAATTGTTTTTTTTCCCTTACCCACTTTTCACTGCCACCACCAAATCTTTGCTTCTTGTTTTTAGTTGAATTGGGTCCTTCAAAAAGATATGTTGAAGTCCTAATCCCAAGAACCTGTGAATGTGACCTTATTTGAAAATATCTTATTTGCAGATGTAATCAATTTAAGATGAGGTCATACTGGATTAGGTGGGCCATTAATCCATTACTGATGTCCTTATAAAGAAGATACACAAAGACAGAGACACAGGGGAAAACACTGTGTCTGTGAAGACAGAAGAAGAGGTTAAAGTGATGAATTTGCAAGCCAAAAGATACTACAACTTGATGGCAAAAGCTAGGAGAGAGGCATGGAATAGATTCTCCATCAGAGCCTCCAGAAGGAACTAACCCTGCCATCACCTTGATTTCAAACTTCTAAACTACAGAACTGAGGCAATAAATTCCTGTTGTTTTAAGCCACTCTGTTTGTGGCAATTCATTATGGCAGCCCTAGGAAATAAACACATCCCTCCAGGCACTCTTTGTGTCTCAGGCCCCTGAGAATTTTAGTCTCTTTCCCAGTCCATACTTTACTGTGCTGTTCAGTTTACCTGCAACCATACCAAGTTAGAGAATTAGGGCTGGTCCTACTGTAGGTGAAGTTTGTTTTCCCCCATTGCTCTAAACCAGTGGTTCTCAAACTTCAGTGTGTTCAGAAGCACCTGAAGACATGAAAGACTTGTAAAACCCTGATTGCCAGTCTACCTTCAGAATCTCTGATTCAGTAGGTCTGGAGTAGGGCCTGATAATTTGCATTTCTAACAACTTTCCAGCTGATGCTGATGCTGATGCTGATGCTGACAGTCAATAGCAGCCCACTAGTACCATGTGGTCTCCAGATAAGCTGGGTCATTCATCTGATTCTTTCAATAAAAGTCAGTAGAGACTAGACCTCTATCTCTGTCATTACACAAATTGTTTATAGCTTTGTATTTTATTTTGGGCTGCAATAACAGAATTTTTAAAAGGCTTACCAAATAGTCGAAAGATTTATCTTAATGATAATATGCTAAACCAAAACAAAAAGAAACAAAGATAAATTTCATTCAGTATTATTTTTGTAAAAAATAATCTGCAAAGTACTCATTTCAAACAAGCTTTTATTTTTTAACATGAACAAATGCTGTCAAATATATATGTAAAATGTAAGAGTAAAGTCAGATATCAGTTGATATCATTTTTGTGTAATGAACTTTAGCAAAACCAGTTGTTTGAGCTACTGAAAACTAGAACATCCATGAAGAGGAAATTAATTTCTTCTTTCTCCATCTATTTATTTCTCTGCCTCCAAGCTGTAAGATGAAATAAGAAACAATTAACATTTGTACACCATTAACATGCACTAATAACTTTCTAAATCTATGAGTCAACCCTGTATACATCTGTTGTCTCAATAAGGAGAAAACAAAACATTTTCCTCTTGTAACACAGACCCTTGGATGTTAGCATGCTCATACATTCGATGATTTCAATGATCAGATCATATTAACCTTGTTGCCCTCTTGTGCACCACTAGCAATGCTTGTTTTTTTCTTGAGAGGTCACTTTATGAATTCCATAAATCTTTCCACCTTAAAAGTCTGTTCTCTTTACACAAGCCATATATATTCCAGACCCTCAGTTTCCATGTGAGAATGAGGCTGTTATCAGACATCCACAGATAAGAAAATTCAGAAAGATAGTGAAAGGCAATAAAGAAAATATAAGCTAAGACTTAATTACCAATTCAGTGATAAATGATAACTTACTAATTTCTATTCTTTTGAATGTCATATGAAATAAAAAGATATAAACAGAACTAATATTTATGTAGTAATCACAAAGTGTGGTCTCACTTGAAATCCTTAACTTTTTACTACCTTGTAAGTACAGTAGTCAACCTTCTCAAAGACATTATTAATACAAGAGACTACATTTCTCTGGTAGAGCGATTAAGGCCAAACTAGTGCATGGCCCAGCCACTTTGCTGCTCCTTCTTCTTGTGACCTTTCTCTAAACAAATATTGATCTCCACTACTGAGTCTAATAGATTTCCCATCTGTAGCAATCTTAGAGCTACAAGATAAAGGACTTGTAGCTATGACTGAAGTACATTTCAGAACATATTGCCTTCTATTTATCTAATATGAAAATACATTATCAACATTAAACTGTTTTAATTTTACCAATATTTTGCTTACTTAGCTTACAGAGAAAAATTAAAAACATAACACTGCTAGTAAAAGGTATATGTCAGAAGTGGTTAGCTAATACTCAAGACTATACATGAATACCTGGATTTTTTGAAGGGGCTGTGCTCTGCTGAGTCCAGATCCTTTTCAAGTCCTTCTTCCAGTTCTTCATTTTCATCCTCTTCTCTCTCCTTCTTGCCTCCAGCTTCTTGAGCCTCCTCATCAGAATTTTCATACTTATATTCAGCCGCTTCTTTAGAGAAGAATAATTCAGATATTGGGAGACGTTCTTGGAAAAGGTATTCCAGTTTATCCTCAGTAGCCGTATCCCATACTCTATGCTCAGCAGAACCTGGGGAATAGAAATATGTAGGGGAAAAAGAATAGCTGAGAATGTTCCTACTGGTAAGTACAACACTTCCAGGACCCTCACATTTTTGCTTCTTGATATTTTTCACCATAATATTTTTCCCCTCTTTCCAACAGATCTCACACCCTGTGCTGCTGATTGTTCCTGGCCCTTGAGAGAAGAGATCGGAATCATCTGGGTCTGATAATATTTGACATGTTTTTGTCAGAACTTCACTTCACTGAAAAATATTTCTATAACTTAAATTTTGTGGTGAAGCTCATTGGTTTCTCAACCCCTGAAAGATTTATTTTCACATCTTTCAAGTGCTCTAGTACAAGTTCATCATTTTCTGGGATCATCCTACCAAAAATCCTTACATTTTTAAAAGCTGTCAACCTAAAGCGAGGTATTCCATCTATTTGTCCTTTGTTTTCATGCTCTTTCCATTTCCTCCCAAGCTCCTTCCTTCCTGACCACCTACTTCCCACTGACATTCACTTTCTACGGGCTCATACATTACACTGATAATCTCAGATCTTTTATCAAACAGAGGTTGATAAAAGGAAGCACATTTTTTTCAAGACCGTAAAGACCTTTATAGACTTGAGCTTCTACTTGTGCATATGCTGCCTGAAGTTTCCTGACAGCATTGACCCGCTGCTGAACCAAGGCAGGTAGGGTCTGAGCAACTAAGCCAGCTGTGCCAATAGAAGTTGCAAGGGCCCCCCAGGACTTTGCTGCCACTCTCAGGCCTCAGCCCCCTACGTTGCACAGGCCCCAGTCTCCAAGGATTTGCAGGCATCAGCCAGCACCTCACTCTCACAGGCCTCCACCTCCCCTGCCGTTTCCTCTGCCTGCAGGAATGCAGCGACCTCTGCAGGTTCCTCTGGCTCCCCGGGCAAGGCTCCTTCTGCCAGGTACACGCCCTGCCAGACCTCGGCTCCCACTCCTGGGTCCTCCTGCTCCCGGGTGCGCTCACTCCCAGATGCTCCTGTTCCCAGGTCCTCCCGCTCCCGGGTCCTCCTGCTCCCAGATCCTCCCACTCCCGGATCCTCCCACTCCCCTGGCGCAAGTGTCTCTCCCCGCTCCTCATGTTCCTGGAAACAGCACGCAGTCTGCATGGGGCCGGACCAGGATATGGTCTTTATATTAATAATAAATACAGTATAGAAAGAAATGGACCAGATACTGGAATAGGGACTGAAACGTCACCATGGGAACTCACAGGCGCCACAAGCAATTTCTGCATCCTCTTTGTTGTCCTTTTCCTTCTCCTCCTTGTCCTCATCCTCAGCCTCCTCCTCGTCCTCCTCTTTGTCTTCATCCTCTTCCTCTTCTTCACAGCCCTCCTCCACTCCTTCATAGTCCTCCTCCTCTCCTTCATAGTCCTCCTCTCTTTCATAAACCTCCTCCTCTCCTTCATAATCCTCCTCCTCTCCTTCTTCTTCTTCCTCCCCCTCTCCTTCTTCTTCTTCCTCCCCCTCTTCACCCTCCTCCTCCTCCTCAAATTCCTCCTCCTCCTTTTCCTCCTCAAATTCTTCTTCCTCCTCCTCTCCCAGCTCCTCCTCCTCTCCCAGTTCCTCCTCCTCTCCTAGCTCCTCCTCCTCTTCTACTAGCTGAAAAAAACCAGTTCTCGATGGGGACCCAGGCCTCATCTTCCTCCTCCTCCAAAACAGCTTCTATTGCCTCCTGGAAATCCTCAGGGGCTACCTCTGCCTCGGCTTCAGCCACCCATTCTTCAGGCACCAAGGCACTCCCGATGAATCCAGGGTCCAGGGCTGCCCCGTCACAAGCTCCACTCTGGCTATGTTGGGCCAGGTCTCACTTCTCAGAGGTAGACATGGCAGGAGGGACTCACCAGTCAGGACCTCAACTGGAGCAACAAATGGGGCTGCAGCGACAAAGGCAGCAAAGATGGCGGCCACCCAGATCACTGCCGCTGAGGAGAGGGAGTCCGCTGGCAGTCAGGCCTGCTGCAAAGTGGTGGGGGTGGCAGAGAAGGCGGCCAAATGGGAGACAACAGTCTGTGATAGTGGCTGTGGAAGCCCCGGAACACGAAGGTGGGGCGAAGTGGGACCCGCCAAGGCTGCCACTAAAATGGCTGCTGACAAGGTCAGCCACAGGGGCAGAGCCTGGATGGGTCAACAAATGGCAACTTCCCTTCTTACAAGCTGTAAACTCACTTGCTGAGACGTGACAATGGAGATGCTCTGTGTCTAATGAGTGAGCAAGGTCCTCAGTTTCCCTTGAGGCCTCAGGGCGCTGGGCTACCCACCCCTGCTGCCCCTCACTGAGCTCACACAAGTGTGGTCCTTTTAATCCTACCGTTGCCAACAAACTATAGTGTTCTGATATGCTGGGCCTCCTGGGGCATGTGACCTTAATTTGTTTCCCAGTTTCCACCTGGAGACACCTTGTGCCAGTAGGGACACTGTCATAAATAAATAAATAAATCAGTATATAGATCAAATATCAGTGATGGTACAGAGAGAGAATTTGGATATTTTAGCATTATTAAATCTACTTAGAAAAGAATACATAAAGTTTAAATGGATGCGGTCAGAACGGAGTTGAAGAAGTGTTAAAAACAGGAAAATGGGGAGGAGCCAAGATGGCCGAATAGGAACAGCTCCGGTCTACAGCTCCCAGCGTGAGCGACGCAGAAGACGGGTGATTTCTGCATTTCCATCTGAGGTACCGGGTTCATCTCACTAGGGAGTGCCAGACAGTGGGCGCAGGCCAGTGTGTGTGCGCACCGTGCGCGAGCCGAAGCAGGGCGAGGCATTGCCTCACCTGGGAAGCGCAAGGGGTCAGGGAGTTCCCTTTCCGAGTCAAAGAAAGGGGTGACGGACGCACCTGGAAAATCGGGTCACTCCCACCCGAATATTGCGCTTTTCAGACCGGCTTAAGAAACGGCCCACCACGAGACTATAACCCACACCTGGCTCAGAGGGTCCTACGCCCACGGAATCTCGCTGATTGCTAGCACAGCAGTCTGAGATCAAACTGCAAGGCGGCAACGAGGCTGGGGGAGGGGCGCCCGCC
The DNA here is from genome assembly GCF_000001405.40 of Homo sapiens. Taxonomy (NCBI): domain Eukaryota; kingdom Metazoa; phylum Chordata; class Mammalia; order Primates; family Hominidae; genus Homo; species Homo sapiens. The sequence goes on from NC_000023.11 coordinate 106,469,734, forward strand.
ATTGCCCAGGCTTGCTTAGGTAAACAAAGCAGCCGGGAAGCTCGAACTGGGTGGAGCCCACCACAGCTCAAGGAGGCCTGCCTGCCTCTGTAGGCTCCACCTCTGGGGGCAGGGCACAGACAAACAAAAAGACAGCAGTAACCTCTGCAGACTTAAGTGTCCCTGTCTGACAGCTTTGAAGAGAGCAGTGGTTCTCCCAGCACGCAGCTGGAGATCTGAGAACGGGCAGACTGCCTCCTCAAGTGGGTCCCTGACCCCTGACCCCCGAGCAGCCTAACTGGGAGGCACCCCCAGCAGGGGCACACTGACACCTCACACGGCAGGGTATTCCAACAGACCTGCAGCTGAGGGTCCTGTCTGTTAGAAGGAAAACTAACAACCAGAAAGGACATCTACACCGAAAACCCATCTGTACATCACCATCATCAAAGACCAAAAGTAGATAAAACCACAAAGATGGGGAAAAAACAGAACAGAAAAACTGGAAACTCTAAAACGCAGAGCGCCTCTCCTCCTCCAAAGGAACGCAGTTCCTCACCAGCAACGGAACAAAGCTGGATGGAGAATGATTTTGACGAGCTGAGAGAAGAAGGCTTCAGACGATCAAATTACTCTGAGCTACGGGAGGACATTCAAACCAAAGGCAAAGAAGTTGAAAACTTTGAAAAAAATTTAGAAGAATGTATAACTAGAATAACCAATACAGAGAAGTGCTTAAAGGAGCTGATGGAGCTGAAAACCAAGGCTCGAGAACTACGTGAAGAATGCAGAAGCCTCAGGAGCCGATGCGATCAACTGGAAGAAAGGGTATCAGCAATGGAAGATGAAATGAATGAAATGAAGCCAGAAGGGAAGTTTAGAGAAAAAAGAATAAAAAGAAATGAGCAAAGCCTCCAAGAAATATGGGACTATGTGAAAAGACCAAATCTACGTCTGATTGGTGTACCTGAAAGTGATGTGGAGAATGGAACCAAGTTGGAAAACACTCTGCAGGATATTATCCAGGAGAACTTCCCCAATCTAGCAAGGCAGGCCAACGTTCAGATTCAGGAAATACAGAGAACGCCACAAAGATACTCCTCGAGAAGAGCAACTCCAAGACACATAATTGTCAGATTCACCAAAGTTGAAATGAAGGAAAAAATGTTAAGGGCAGCCAGAGAGAAAGGTCGGGTTACCCTCAAAGGAAAGCCCATCAGACTAACAGCGGATCTCTCGGCAGAAACCCTACAAGCCAGAAGAGAGTGGGGGCCAATATTCAACATTCTTAAAGAAAAGAATTTTCAACCCAGAATTTCATATCCAGCCAAACTAAGCTTCATAAGTGAAGGAGAAATAAAATACTTTATAGACAAGCAAATGCTGAGAGATTTTGTCACCACCAGGCCTGCCCTAAAAGAGCTCCTGAAGGAAGCGCTAAACATGGAAAGGAACAACCGGTACCAGCCGCTGCAAAATCATGCCAAAATGTAAAGACCATCGAGACTAGGAAGAAACTGCATCAACTAATGAGCAAAATCACCAGCTAACATCATAATGACAGGATCAAATTCACACATAACAATATTAACTTTAAATATAAATGGACTAAATTCTGCAATTAAAAGACACAGACTGGCAAGTTGGATAAAGAGTCAAGACCCATCAGTGTGCTGTATTCAGGAAACCCATCTCACGTGCAGAGACACACATAGGCTCAAAATAAAAGGATGGAGGAAGATCTACCAAGCCAATGGAAAACAAAAAAAGGCAGGGGTTGCAATCCTAGTCTCTGATAAAACAGACTTTAAACCAACAAAGATCAAAAGAGACAAAGAAGGCCATTACATAATGGTAAAGGGATCAATTCAACAAGAGGAGCTAACTATCCTAAATATTTATGCACCCAATACAGGAGCACCCAGATTCATAAAGCAAGTCCTGAGTGACCTACAAAGAGACTTAGACTCCCACACATTAATAATGGGAGACTTTAACACCCCACTGTCAACATTAGACAGATCAACGAGACAGAAAGTCAACAAGGATACCCAGGAATTGAACTCAGCTCTGCACCAAGCAGACCTAATAGACATCTACAGAACTCTCCACCCCAAATCAACAGAATATACATTTTTTTCAGCACCACACCACACCTATTCCAAAATTGACCACATAGTTGGAAGTAAAGCTCTCCTCAGCAAATGTAAAAGAACAGAAATTATAACAAACTATCTATCTCTCAGACCACAGTGCAATCAAACTAGAACTCAGGATTAAGAATCTCACTCAAAGCCGCTCAACTACATGGAAACTGAACAACCTGCTCCTGAATGACTACTGGGTACATAACGAAATGAAGGCAGAAATAAAGATGTTCTTTGAAACCAACGAGAACAAAGACACCACATACCAGAATCTCTGGGACGCATTCAAAGCAGTGTGTAGAGGGAAATTTATAGCACTAAATGCCTACAAGAGAAAGCAGGAAGGATCCAAAATTGACACCCTAACATCACAATTAAAAGAACTAGAAAAGCAAGAGCAAACACATTCAAAAGCTAGCAGAAGGCAAGAAATAACTAAAATCAGAGCAGAACTGAAGGAAATAGAGACACAAAAAACCCTTCAAAAAATCAATGAATCCAGGAGCTGGTTTTTTGAAAGGATCAACAAAATTGATAGACCACTAGCAAGACTAATAAAGAAAAAAAGAGAGAAGAATCAAATAGACACAATAAAAAATGATAAAGGGGATATCACCACCGATCCCACAGAAATACAAACTACCATCAGAGAATACTACAAACACCTCTACGCAAATAAACTAGAAAATCTAGAAGAAATGGATACATTCCTCGACACATACACTCTCCCAAGACTAAACCAGGAAGAAGTTGAATCTCTGAATAGACCAATAACAGGCTCTGAAATTGTGGCAATAATCAATAGTTTACCAACCAAAAAGAGTCCAGGACCAGATGGATTCACAGCCGAATTCTACCAGAGGTACAAGGAGGAACTGGTACCATTCCTTCTGAAACTATTCCAATCAATAGAAAAAGAGGGAATCCTCCCTAACTCATTTTATGAGGCCAGCATCATTCTGATACCAAAGCCGGGCAGAGACACAACCAAAAAAGAGAATTTTAGACCAATATCCTTGATGAACATTGATGCAAAAATCCTCAATAAAATACTGGCAAACCGAATCCAGCAGCACATCAAAAAGCTTATCCACCATGATCAAGTGGGCTTCATCCCTGGGATGCAAGGCTGGTTCAATATACGCAAATCAATAAATGTAATCCAGCATATAAACAGAGCCAAAGACAAAAACCACATGATTATCTCAATAGATGCAGAAAAAGTCTTTGACAAAATTCAACAACCCTTCATGCTAAAAACTCTCAATAAATTAGGTATTGATGGGACGTATTTCAAAATAATAAGAGCTATCTATGACAAACCCACAGCCAATATCATACTGAATGGGCAAAAACTGGAAGCATTCCCTTTGAAAACTGGCACAAGACAGGGATGCCCTCTCTCACCGCTCCTATTCAACATAGTGTTGGAAGTTCTGGCCAGGGCAATCAGGCAGGAGAAGGAAATAAAAGGTATTCAATTAGGAAAAGAGGAAGTCAAATTGTCCCTGTTTGCAGACGACATGATTGTTTATCTAGAAAACCCCATCGTCTCAGCCCAAAATCTCCTTAAGCTGATAAGCAACTTCAGCAAAGTCTCAGGATACAAAATCAATGTACAAAAATCGCAAGCATTCTTATACACCAACAACAGACAAACAGAGAGCCAAATCATGGGTGAACTCCCATTCACAATTGCTTCAAAGAGAATAAAATACCTAGGAATCCAACTTACAAGGGATGTGAAGGACCTCTTCAAGGAGAACTACAAACCACTGCTCAATGAAATAAAAGAGGACACAAACAAATGGAAGAACATTCCATGCTCATGGGTAGGAAGAATCAATATCGTGAAAATGGCCATACTGCCCACGGTAATTTACAGATTCAATGCCATCCCCATCAAGCTACCAATGACTTTCTTCACAGAATTGGAAAAAACTACTTTAAAGTTCATATGGAACCAAAAAAGAGCCCGCATCGCCAAGTCAATCCTAAGCCAAAAGAACAAAGCTGGAGGCATCACACTACCTGACTTCAAACTATACTACAAGGCTACAGTAACCAAAACAGCATGGTACTGGTACCAAAACAGAGATATAGATCAATGGAACAGAACAGAGCCCTCAGAAATAATGCCGCATATCTACAGCTATCTGATCTTTGACAAACCTGAGAAAAACAAGCAATGGGGAAAGGATTCCCTATTTAATAAATGGTGCTGGGAAAACTGGCTAGCCATATGTAGAAAGCTGAAACTGGATCCCTTCCTTACACCTTATACAAAAATCAATTCAAGATGGATTAAAGATTTAAACATTAGACCTAAAACCATAAAAACCCTAGAAGAAAACCTAGGCATTACCATTCAGGACATAGGCGTGGGCAAGGACTTCATGTCCAAAACACCAAAAGCAATGGCAACAAAAGCCAAAATTGACAAATGGGATCTAATTAAACTAAAGAGCTTCTGCACAGCAGAAGAAACTACCATCAGAGTGAACAGGCAACCTACAACATGGGAGAAAATTTTTGCAACCTACTCATCTGACAAAGGGCTAATATCCAGAATCTACAATGAACTCAAACAAATTTACAAGAAAAAAACAAACAACCCCATCAAAAAGTGGGCGAAGGACATGAACAGACACTTCTCAAAAGAAGACATTTATGCAGCCAAAAGACACATGAAGAAATGCTCATCATCACTGGCCATCAGAGAAATGCAAATCAAAACCACTATGAGATACCATCTCACACCAGTTAGAATGGCAATCATTAAAAAGTCAGGAAACAACAGGTGCTGGAGAGGATGTGGAGAAATAGGAACACTTTCACACTGTTGGTGGGACTGTAAACTAGTTCAACCATTGTGGAAGTCAGTGTGGCGATTCCTCAGGGATCTAGAACTAGAAATACCATTTGACCCAGCCATCCCATTACTGGGTATATACCCAAAGGACTATAAATCATGCTGCTATAAAGACACATGCACACGTATGTTTATTGCGGCACTATTCACAATAGCAAAGACTTGGAACCAACCCAAATGTCCAACAATGATAGACTGGATTAAGAAAATGTGGCACATATACACCATGGAATACTATGCAGCCATAAAAAATGATGAGTTCATATCCTTTGTAGGGACATGGATGAAATTGGAAACCATCATTCTCAGTAAACTATCGCAAGAACAAAAAACCAAACACCGCATATTCTCACTCATAGGTGGGAATTGAACAATGAGAACACATGGACACAGGAAGGGGAATATCACACTCTGGGGACTGTGGTGGGGTCGGGGGAGGGGGGAGGGATAGCATTGGGAGATATACCTAATGCTAGATGACACATTAGTGGGTGCAGCGCACCAGCATGGCACATGTATACATATGTAACTAACCTGCACAATGTGCACATGTACCCTAAAACTTAGAGTATAATAAAAAAAAAAAAAAAAAAAAAAAACAGGAAAATAGCCGGGCGTGGCGGTATGCCACTGTAATCCCAGCTACTCGGGAGGCTGAGACAGGAGAATTGCTTGAACCTGGAAGGCAGAGATCACACCACTGCACTCAAGCCTGGGTGGCAGAGCAAGACTCCGAAAAAAAAAACAAAACAAAAAAAAAAACGGGAAGGTGATTAAAGAATGAATGTTGCTAAATCCACCTGCAGTCTCCAAAGAGTGAATAAGGATAGAGAGATAGTTTTTAAAGGACCAGGACTAACCATGACAAAGAGTAAAAGGACAAGCTTCCTAGAATGATTTCTGAGACAATAGTACAGGACACTTTGTCGTATTTAGCCCCATTTAGTTAATACATCAAGTGTAAATGATCTTAAAATTATGAAGCAATCAACAACTATTTTATACTGATTCCATTTACCATTGTCAGTGAGCACAGAAGCACCAAAAGAATTGTAAACTAGAAATAAAATTCTAAGCCCACCCCATTAACTGAACAGACCCCCTCTTGGCCAGGGGGAACCCAGGGAAACCTTAAAAACTGAGTTCCCCGCCATGACAAGACGGGAGGTCAAACATGCCTCATGATGCCCCTTCCCTTTTGTAGTTTAGACAGCAACCAACCTGCAGAATGTTAAAATAGAGATAATACGACTGACAAAACAGAACCTTGTGGCAATAAGACACCAAATTATAAACAAAACCTAGGACCATGCCAGGCAAGGGTTAAGTCATGCCTGCAGGCCATCAATCTTGCTAAAGAGGTCATTTTGACCCAGTATATTGTGATTGGCTCTGATATAGCATCCTTATCTTAACTTGAACTTTTCTTTCTTCTGACCTCAAGTTTTAGACAGAGCCTTACTCCTTTAACCAATTGGAAATTAAATAATCTCCAAATTCACCTATAATCTGTAAGCTCCACTCTCCCTCAACCCTGTGCTTCAAGATATCTTGTCGAACCAATGTCTACCTTCCATGTATTGATTTATGTTTTTGCATGTAATTCCTGCCTCCCTGGAATGTATAAAACCAAACTGTATGGCATTCTATTTACTATCAGCAAAAAAATAAAAAAATAATAAACAAACCGTAGCCTGGCTTCCTCAGGACCACTTACTCAAGGCTTTTTGTGTTAGTGTTTTCCCTGAACCGCAATCACTCATATTGGCTCAAAATAAACCTCTTTAAAATATTTTACAGAGTTTGGTTTTTCTGTAAACAGAATGCCAGATGAATCCTCTGGATTTCAGACATATTCCTCCCTATCCCCATTATGCAGCAACAACCTTTATCTGTGCATGGTGCAGAGGCCAAAAGAAAATCTACCTCTGTGCCCTCTAAGGCAGATTAATTGGAGAAAAGGCATACACATTTATTAACACATACACAAGAAGAATCACAGAGTAATTGCCTCATACCCCAATGGGGCGTAGAAGCTTATATACCATCATGAAATTGCAGAAAGAATGGGGGCTTGGATTCTGGCAAAACAGGTTATTGTGGCAGAACAGGTTATAGGAGGGGGAAGAAGAGAGATTCTGTTGAGGGGCAATAAATGATTACTAGGGAGAATGAATAGATCTTGGGACAGAGATTAACTTGTAAATAGTTTTCTTGGGAATTTGAATGAGTGTGACAGATATTACCATGTGAAAGGGTTTGTTCAGGTGTGGTTCTCTTTGGTGGGTCCACACTTCAGGCAGGAAAAGAAACTTCAGAGAACTCTATCTGTGCTTTGGGAGAGACAGAAGATTGAGAGACAGTAGGGAGGAGGATGGTCAGAGAGATCTAGATGTTTTTTCAGTTCAGCATGTCAAAGTGCCGTATTTTGGGGTATCGGTTTCTGAACCCCAACAGTGATAATCACGGTTGATTTTCCCTATTGATATATAAACTCCTTTCTTTGCCTGCTGATCCATTGCCATGAGGAAATTGAAGTGACCAGGTAGTGGTTGTAGCCTCAAGTTTAATAGAAACCAACCTGTGTCTCTTACTGGAAGCAGTCTCTCTTGGGACACAGGATATCTAATATGGCAGACCTTAAAGTTTCAGGGATAGGAAGTACACATTGTGCAAATGTGCTATGGAGAATGATGGTGAGAAGAGCTGTTGTAGCCTCTTTACAAAGAAAGGATGGACCCCTGTAACAGTTAATTTTAGATGTCAACTTGATTAGATTGAGAGATGTCTAGATGGTTGGTGAAGCATTGTTTCTGGTTGTGTCTATGAGGGTGTTTCCAGAAAAGATTGACATGTGAGTCAATGAACTGAGAGAGGAAGACATGCTCTCAATGTGGATGGGCACTAATCTGGGGTTAGACCTAGAACAAAGTATCCAGAAGAAGGGAGATATTCAGCTTGTTTAGTTTTCTTTTTCATGCTCTCTCTCTCTTCTACAGCAGGATGTCCTTTCCCCTCTACTGCCTTTGGATATCAGACTTCAGGTTCTTCGGCCTTTGGACTTTGGGACCTGCACCAGCAGCCTCCTAGAGGCTTTCAGCCCTTCAGCCTCAGATTAAAGTCTTCACTGTCAGCTTCCCTGGTTTTGAGCTTTCAAACTTGGACTGAGCCACACTACTGTATTCTCTAGGACCCAGGCTGGTGGGATCTTTCACACTCCATCTTGTAGAAAACCTATCACAGGACTTTGCCTTTGTGATTGTGTGAGCCAATTTGTTACTGATAAAGCTGGTCCCCCCCAAAATTGGATCTTTTCCTACTAAGTGTTGTGAAGCCAATACGCAAAACCAAAAGAAAGCCTCGAGCAGTGCAGTCTTGTTTGATGGCCATGAAATTGAGAAGCAGGAGTGTGGCTCACAAATCAACTTCTCAGTTCACTCATGAGAGCTGGGAAAACACAGATATAGGATATCTTTAATGAATGGGTTGGGCATTAAAAGCAAGGGGAGGAATATTCATGTCTTTTCCGGTAATGGGCAGAAAACTTCTCAAAACCGGAGTACCACCTTCTGTTTTGTCCTTCTATGGTTTCTTCCAGTTGTTGTCATGAAGACTGTCAATGGTCATGATGTTGGTGGGTGTGTTATTTAGCATGGAAATTAGACTATAATGAACCTAGAGGTTCTTCAGAGGTTGAGCTTCCATCTTGGATCCCACCGTCTTAGCCCATTTGGTCACAAAAGGGAACTTCTGACCTCAGGCATTCTGTGTCTTAAAGATAAGCAGAGTTTAAGGCAAGGTAGAAATTTACCTACACCACGTAGGCATTACGCTGGGTAAGAATTCTCCCTACAATCCCCACCTAAAATTTAATTCAGATGTCAAGACTGATAACATCTTACACAAAGCAAGAAGGTATGATTTATTACTTACATAATAAATGCTTTCAGAGGAGAGAAGGGCAGGCTTCCCACGATGATCTGAAAATGGCTTGAGAAAGTGGAAAAAGAAGACTGACTTCAGGTTTTTGTTGTGGTTAGGGAGAGGGGTCATGATGAGGGTTCCAATTGCACAAGTATGGACTTGCATGGTTTGAACCTCCTGCTAGTGCCCAAGGAGAAATTACCCAGGACTTTTTATCAGTTTGCCCAGATATGGGGTGGAGGGGAAGAAGGGGGGTTGAGGTTTAAAAGCTCTCAGCATTCAAATATTCAAAAATGGAATCAGACTCCTTTGTATCATGCTGCTATAAAGACACATGGCCACGTATGTTTATTGCGGCACTACTCACAATAGCAAAGACTTGGAACCAACCCAAATGTCCAACAATGATAGACTGGATTAAGAAAATGTGGTACATATACACCATGGAATGCTTCGCAGCCATAAAAGGGATGAGTTCATGTCCTTTGTAGGGACATGGATGAAGCTGGAAACCATCATTCTCAGCAAACTATCGCAAGGACAAAAAACCAAACACCGCATGTTCTCACTCATAGGTGGGAACTGAACAATGAGAACACTTGGACCCAGGAAGGGGAACATCACACACTGGGGCCTGTTGTGGGGTGAGGGGAGGGGGGAGGGATAGCATTAGGAGATATACCTAATGTAAATGACGAGTTAATGGGTGCGGCACACCAACATGGCACATGTATACATATGTAACAAACCTGCACGTTGTGCACACGTACCCTAGAACTTAAAGTAATATATATACACACACATATATAAAGAGCCAGTCTGATGTTTTACTCCTTGGTTCCCAGATTCACATACTCTAGATTTGGAGGCCACAGCATCAAATATCAGTTTTTATTTCAGATCCTGGAGGAAAGTGCCCTAGCTGCTCAAAGTGTTGCACCTGAGCTGATACATTAGCTGAGCTGCTTTACCTGAACAATAGAATGAAGACAAACACAAAGGAGATGCTGATGAACATAAATACTACTCCCTGGTGAGCCTGAATGTAGTCTAAGGCCAGTCTATTATTCATTAAAACCTATACAAAAAAGTTTAGACTGATTAGCTGATGTTATAGAGTTTGTGGCATCTCATTGGCTATGGTTGCTAAAGATAATGATTGGTACCTGATCATTGTCTCTGGGGCATGGACACTGATGCCGGGGCATAGAACCAGGAGTAAAAGTACCCCCCAGCTAGGACAGCCCTCTTTATCCAGTGTTCCAACAAGGGATAAAATGGGTGGTATCACCTTCAGTGATTACTGGGAGCCATACATGAGCTAAAAAATCACCACTACCCCCAGTGGAAATGTTCTGTGGCCCCCTCTCTAATACATACAAGCATATAACCTGAAGAGGCTTCTTATACTTGGTTTTGTATTGTTTTGGTAAAATCACATGGGTGACGTCACTGAGTAGACACAGTTTTGATAGCCATACATGGCATAGGCCATTGGTGTGTCAGAAGAATCATGTGGATTAGTACCGGTCACACATAAACAAGATTGCACTGGTCAGAGTGTTTGTACATGCATGAAGGGATCCAAGTTTGATAGCCGTGGCTATGGGAGATTTTCAGCTTTTTAGCATGTGGATGAGAAAGATGGACCTCAATGTGAGTTAGTCAGCTGCGGCTACCACTTCACTCAGATGGACCATGGAGATGTTTGCCAAGCAGTAGTACTGAATCCAGGGGACATAGAACATTGATTGCTTCCCCCATTCCCATACCTTCCAAGGTCTAAAGACCGCATATACTGAGGTTGTTACTTTCCCCCAGGCGATGAGGTTGTTGCTCTCCCTCCATGGCCACACAATCTGTTGGTCCTAATCCAGTAGTCAGTACCTTGTCTATTCACCCATCCATCTCCCACTTGCTCCCAGACCCATCCAGATGTGCCAGGGGTTATGTGGGCTATGGTACAATAGTAGGAATTTCAGTGATATATTATTATCTATTCAATGATCTAGTATCATCTATTGCTGCTTGAGTGAGCCACTGCAGTGGTAAATCCAAGCTTCAGAAATTCTACCAACGGATCATTATCCTTGTGATCTGTGACATCCCATGCCCAATGACAGAAGCTAGGTGATAGCAGGAACAATAGGTTGGAGTCTATCTCACTTTGTTGTCTAAGGTGAAAAAAAGAGGAATGGTTGGAGATTGTCAGTGTAGAATCCCTGATCTAGAAGGCTGGTCTCCTTGTTCTCTGACCCCTTCTCTCTTGACATTCACACAACCATTCAAAGATAAATATTTCTTACAGAGAGAAGCCTCAGATAATAACCATACAGTCTGACTATGATGTGTAGTCCACAATTCTGGCAACATAGCTTGCCTAGAAATATTTTACAGTCAAGGTTTTGAAAATTTACTCCACCTCTTGATGATGCCAGCAGCCTGAGCATGAAAAGGGGCATGGGATGCATGGCGAATGACATCCCCATCAGTGCACTGTTGGGTCTCCTTAAGCTTGAACACTGTGCTTTGGAAGACTGTAAGTGGCAGAAACAGTAGAACTCAGACTCAAGTATTACCATGGTATTCCCAGAATCTGCAACTCACACAGGAATGGCAACTTCATAGCTGGAATAGATTTCTCTTTTTTTTTGAGGTTTCCAACACATTTTATTTTGCAGACCACTGCTTTGTAGCTTTTGAGGACAACATCTGTATCAATTCCTATAAAATGTCCAATCAATTTCAGTTCCGTAGCAGGCTCTTCCAACTGGAATAGATTTCAATGGCTGTTAGATACCAGAAATAGCCACAAGGTGGCAGCAGAGAATGGAAGTAGACCCTCAGGAATGGTCAAGGCTCAAAGTTGTGTCACCTACTGACAGATGACACAGATGGAATTCTTTTAAGCCCATTGGATTATGGTGGAATAGTCACTTGCCCAGTCCTATGATGAATACAGATAGCATTGCTATGCACATGCAATTGGCCACATTGTTTGATTTAGGCTTTTCTGAGTATGGATGCTTTCCTTTGGCATTCACATGGATTACATAAATGTTCTGTCTGGCTGCAGATATAGCTTTCCAGAGTTCCTGGCCCAATAGAGGGGTGCCTTTTATATACCAGTAGTCATTCTCCATGAATTCAAACAGACAGCTGAGCTGTTTTCACTGACACTAACCCAAGTGTCAGTGAAAATACAATATGCCATTTCTCTATGAGTATTATATAGGACAAGGATGGCAGTATTCAAATCAGCCAATTGTGCTGACTGGCCCTCACTGCAGGAGGTCTTCCAGGGCTGTCCTTGGGGCTTAATTACTGCCAATACCCAGTGAGACCATTAGCTTTTACTTCAGCTAAGCCATCAGTAATCCAAGGTCAATCATCCTTGGGGATTTGGAAGTGTGATCACCAGATAGCAAAAGGCTTCCCTTGTGAATGAGCAAGGGGAGGTTCAAAAGCCTCTAAAGGTATGTAACCTTTTTGTATATGGAGGACACAGTTGTGGGACCAGATCTGCCTCTCTCTTAAATATAATATTTCCATTTAATAAAAGAAGACTGTTGGGCCTTTCTGACTTTATTGTAAGCATCTGAATGAACAAACCCAAGATGGAGGTGTCTGGGCAAAATGTTACCTGGCATTCCAGAATAAGGTTCTCATTCTCCACAACTTCCCATTAGAAGGCCAGTTAGTTATTTCCCAAATGGAGTGTGATGGGTGGCCTGGTCAGGGAACTCGACGGGCACATACAGGTGGAAGCAGTCTCTCTTTGGTAGAAGCTCAACACAGCATAGTCATCAGTAGCAGATACTTGTAGTTACAAGGGACCCTTGGGGTTTTACAGGCCCATGTCACTGCCCTAGCCTACCTGTTATTACCATAACCAGTTAAATTTTCTAGATTTTCTGCTCAACACATACATAAGGTGCAACAAACTGTCTGGATGAGGCACATAATGTCTCGAATATCCAAACAGTCAAATTAACTTCTGGGCTCCTTTTTAGGTAGTGGTGAGTCAAAATGCAAGTAACTTTCCCTTTTATATCTTAGAGATTGATATTTGAGCCTTAGCCCACATGGCTCTCAATAATTTGACTTGGGTGGTTGGTCTCTATATTTTATTAGGAGTAATGAGCCACCCCTTGGCTTTCATGCAAGTCAGCAAACAGCCATTACCACTTGTTCTTTACTGGGGCTTACCAGCACAATATCATCAATATATTGGAATCAAGTTATCCAAGAAAGGAAAAAGAACTTATTCCATACATCTGCACGCTCACTGATGGCAAACACCAAGAAAATATAGCTTCTCCAGATATAGCATAGTAATTGTGTGGGAGCTACAGGGACAATGGCTAAATTCAGCTGGCAATAAGCCTCCACCTCCCATTCACCTGTTTCACTAGACACTCAGGGCCATTGTCAAGATATAAAAGCTTTCAACACTCCTACTGTCTTTAAGTCCTTCATTAAGGCCTTGATTACTTTCTCATCTCCTGGAATTCTATATTATTTGTGTAGTGTAATACAGGAGAGAACTGGAAGTCTAGTTGGTGGTTTTGGTGTAATCTTCTCACTATCATCATATTGCAAGATGCTCTTTTTCACAAGTGGGAGAATCCCCCTTCTTAGACTCTATGAGTACTCACAGTAAATGCATGTAAAACAGCAATAGCAATTATACATCAAGCAGTAAGAGTAACAGCAGTAGTGGGAGTCTAAGTGACCACACCCAGATGGTTACAGTTAATCCCCTTTTCTGTTTCACTACATCGCCAAATTCAGCCAATTCACTGGTAGCACTTGTCCCTCAACAGAATCTGATAAGAGAGTTATTTAAGCACTGGTATCCAAACAAGCCACAAAATTTCTCATCTCCTACCTTTACCCCATGCCACATTGTACCCTTGCAGAGGCATATGACCTCTGGGCCCCACTGGGGACAGAAAGACCTTGACCTCACGCTTAGTCCCCCTTCTTCAGATCACGATACATGGGCTTAGGGTCCAGCAGTGGAAATGCTGAAGGAATGATAGCCAGTTGGCTACTATAGGATAATAATGAGGAAGTGAGAAGCCAGTTGACTATCATTCTATGGTAGCCAACTGGCTTCTTGCTTCCTCCTATAAAGACGGAACCCACAAATGGGGTACCCAGACTACCAACATTTCTATCCAGCTAACTAGAAATGGCTTCTTACTTCCTCCTATAAAGAGATATTGATCTCCATGGAGAAATCTGTCCCCACTGAGGCACTTTAAGTTTCAACCGGATAAACAACTGCCTGTTTGTGCCCCTTCTCCCTATGCCTATAGCTCCTATCTGGACCCAGTTGCTTCAGTGCTCAACCCATTAATCTCTTCTTTGAGAAACTCTGTTTTACAGCCAAATCTATATTGACTTATGGCTAGGTTCCTTTGTAGGGGATTTATTCTTTTTCCCACTGTTCTTTATTTTATCTCAGATTACAGAAATTTTGCTTAGATGAGGATGGGTCTGTCTTTCTCTTAGGCATTTTTCAACCTACAATCATAGCCACCTGCACAGGGTCTCGAGGTACTAACAACAAAGTTAGTCATCCACTTTCACTTTAGGGAGGCAGAGAATAAACACTTATCAGGCATTCTCTGGATGAAAGGCTCGTTATCAAAATTAGCATTCTGCCCATGGTACAGTCATTCTGGAGCAGCTACAACCATCATGTTTTGAACAACTTCCTCCTTGGTATTCTCCCCAGGTTCAACATAATATCGTCATTGAAATAGAAATTGAAACCAGCAAAGCCATGGTTTGTGACATGATTCTGCCCTGACTGAAGAGTCTGTATGAATCATATGTGAGAAGGCCTGCTTGCTACCATTCACTCTGTAAAGCATAACCGTTCTTCTTTCAGCACGAGACGCACCAACTGAATCTCTAACAGCACCCCACTCTTTGGACAGAAGTTTTATCAGGTTTCCCTCCTTTGCCTCTTGGGTGCATCTTACTACTCTGCATGGGGTTATATTGCAGTTACAGGAATAGTAATCGTGGTTTTCAAATGGGGGAAAGTTGTGCTTTTCTCTTTGACAGGAATCAGAGGTGTTTCCTTTGTCCCCTACTCTGTAGAAGAGGATGCCTTTTGAATAGTTTATTGTAATCTGACCTCTTACACTCAGTGTCTATTCATCAACTCACCTCATGTTCAAAAAGCAGACCATTTACCTTCCCCTTAATTTACTATTTGGGCAGACACAATCCCTCCTATCTCCCAGGGAGCTTCCTTACATCCCTGAATTGTCCCATAGGTCCCCTGCCTTTTCTCTTTCAAAAAGTCATTGTCTATATTGGCACCTTGCTTCCTATGCCAATCCTTGCAGAAACTCATTCATATAGGATGGCATGGAGTAGCTAGACTCCAAAGGAAATGATTAAGTAAGCAAGCATATCAGTTTGCCACACTCCACAAGTGCCAAAAGAAGACAACAACATTTAATGGCTCAGAGCAAAACAATTTATTATTTACAGCACATCAAACAGCAGGAATATCAGCCTGGTAGCACCAATTTACCTGTCTCCAACTTCCACTATGCAACCTGGAAAGAGCAGGTGGGCTATAAACACTGGGTTGCACCACAGCTGAGCAACCAGAGCCAAGGGTTTAGCACCTTTCTATAGCAAGCAGTTAACCAGCCAGTCATTTTCTTCTAGGAGAGAGTAATCATATAATGGTTCTGCTGGGTGTCATGTCATGTCAGTAATTCTCCTTTATTCTCCCTGATTCCCATTCAAAGCCTCAAGATCTACTCCCACATATGTTCCCAGGGTTTGTGCCAGTATATTTGAGCCAGGTTTTCCATTTCTTTTGGTTGTAACATCTTTCCTCCAAGAGCAGGGACTTTACTTCCCAGCTCTGCCTATAATGCTAATTGGTTTGGTTGCAATGAGAGTGCAGATGTTGAATGTGCCCTTATGTAAATCTCCTGTGTTGGTAATGTATTTTCAGGGTCTCCAAGTCTGAGGAGGTTGCTCTCCTCTAGCAAGTCAGAGGGGCAGGTGTAGGGGAACTGCTGCTGATCTGAAAGATTAAGGGGAATCTGGTAGTTCAAGATTCTCAGGCTCTTCCATGCAAATCTCCCTAATCCAAGTCTTACGGTTACTGTTTTTCATGAGGTCCCTGATTTTGACATAGGAGACCTCTTCAAGTTATATATCCAGTGCCATTTTGAATCTCTACCCCCCTTACAATTAGCTCCCAGCCCTGATTTTCAGCACAGTCTTCCTTGCTGCTGCAGATGAGGCTCTCTTTAAGCACAGCTGTATAGAAGACTTCTGGATTTTACAAGGGCCTAGGGTCGATGAGTCTGTTATTT
This sequence comes from Homo sapiens, assembly GCF_000001405.40. Lineage (NCBI taxonomy): Eukaryota > Metazoa > Chordata > Mammalia > Primates > Hominidae > Homo > Homo sapiens. The sequence continues at coordinate 106,486,017 of NC_000023.11, forward strand.
TCATTTCTGTTTTATTAATTTTTACTGAAGTATAATCTACAGGAAAAAAGTGAACAAGCCATAAGCATAAAATTCTATGAATTTTTGCAGTGTGAACACATCTATGTAATAGCTCTCAGAATGAAAAACAGAACATTGCCACATACCAGACTCCCCACTGATGGCTGCTTCAAATTATTAAGCCTCCTGAGAATGAACACTTACCTGACTTGTATCATCATAGATTAGTTTTGTCTATTTTTGAGCTTTATATAAAAATAGTCATATAATACTATTTTGTAACTGATTTCTTTTGTAAGATTCATTCGTTTTTGTGAGTAGTTATAGACTGTTCATTTTCATTGCTGTGTGCTATTTTATTGTGTGAATACAACACAATTTATTTAATCATTTTACTTTTTGTAAATGGGGAAGTTTTTAAATTGTTGCCTAGTATAAATAAATAGTAATGCTATGAACAATCTTATACATGTGTTCTGGTGAACATATGCATATACTTCTGTTGGATAAATACCTAGAAGTAAAATTTGCTGTATTATAGGTTATGCATAAATTCATACATATTAGATATTGCCATGTAAATTTCCAAGGTAGTTGTATCAATTTCCACTTCCACTAGCAGTTTTTGACAATTCCAGTTGCTCATGTCTTCAGAAAGAAATGATATTTCTATCATTTTTCATTTTATCTATTCAGGTGTGAGAGTAAAAGTATTACCATATGGCATTAATTTTCATTTCCCTGATCCTGATGAATAATGAAGCTGAGAATCCTTTTATTTGTTCATTAGTCATTTATATTAGCCATTTTTTCTGAATGGCCTGTTTATCTTTTCCCATTTTCCACTGGGTTGCCTGCCTTTTCTTATGGATTTGTAGAAATTCTTCATATATTCTGCATACAAATTCTGTGGTAAGTACATTTATTTCAAATAAATACTCTCATCAATGGACTGCCTTTTCTCTTTCTTAATGGTGCATTTTGATGAGCAAATGTTCTTAAATTGTATGTCTTTCTCCCTCCTTCCCTCCCTCCCTCCCTTCTTTTTCTTTCTTTCTTTCTTTCTTTCTTTCTTTCTTTCTTTCTTTCTTTCTTTCTTTCTTTCTTTCTTTCTTTCTTTCTTATACTTTAAGTTCTGGGGTACATGTGCAGAGCATGCAGTTTTGTTACATGTGTATACACGTGCCATGGTGGTTTGCTGCACCCAACAACCCGTCACTTATATTAGGTATTTCTCCTAATGCTATCCCTCCCCACTCCCCCCACCCCACAACAGGCCACGGTGTGTGATGTTCCCCTCGCTGTGTCCATGTGTTCTCATTGTTCAGCTCTCACTTATGAGTGAGAACATGCGGTGTTTGGTTTTCTTTTCTTGTGATCGTTTGCTGAGAATGATGGTTTCCAGCTTCATCCATGTCTCTGCAAAGGACATGAACTCATTCTTTTTATGGCTGCATAGTATTCCATAGTGTATATGTGCCACATTTTCTTTATACAATCTACCACTGATGGGCATTTGGGTTGGTTCCAAGTCTTTGCTATTGTGAATAGTGCCACAATAAACATATGTGTGCATGTGTCTTTATAGTAGAATGATTTATAATCCTTTGGGTATATACCCAGTAATGGGATGGCTGGGTCAAATGGTATTTCTGGTTCTAGATCCTTGAGGAATCACCACACTGTCTTCCACAATGGTTGAACTAGTTTACAGTCCCACCAAAAGTGTAAAAGTGTTCCTATTTCTCCACATCCTCTCCAGCACCTGTTGTTTCCTGACTTTTTAATGATTGCCATTATAAATGGTGTGAGATGGTATCTCATTGTGGTTTCGATTTGCATTTCTCTGATGGCCAGTGATGATGGGCATTTTTTCATGTGTTTTTTGGCTGCATAAATGTCTTCTTTGGAGAAGTGTCTGTTCATATCCTTTGCCCACTTTTTGATGTGGTTGTTTGGTTTTTTTCTTGTAAATTTGTTTAAGTTCTTTGTAGATTCTGGATATTAGCCATTTATCAGATGGATAGATTGCAAAAATTTTCTCTCATTCTGTATGTTGTCTGTTCACTTTGATGATAGTTTCTTTTGCTGTGCAGAAGCTCTTTAGTTTAATTAGATCCCATTTGTCAATTTTGGCTTTTGTTGTCATTGCTTTTGGTGTTTTAGAGATGAAGTCTTTGCCCACACTTATGTCCTGAATGGTATTGCCTAGGATTTTTTCTATGATTTTTATGGTTTTAGGTCTTACATTTAAGTCTTTAATCCATCTTGAGTTGATTTTTGTATAAGGTGTACGGAAAGGGTCCAGTTTCAGTTTTCTGCATATGGCTAGTCAGTTTTCCCAACCCCATTTATTAAATAGGGAATCTTTTCCCCATTGCTTGTGTGTGTTAGGTTTGTCAAAGATCAAATGGTGGTAGATGTGTGGTGCTACTTCTGAGGCCTCCGTTCTGTTCCATTGGTCTATATATCTGTTTTGGTACCAGTACTATGCTGTTTTGGCTACTGTAGCCTTGCAGTATAGTTTGAAATCAGGTAGTGTGATGCCTCCAGCTTTGTTCTTTTTGCTTAGGATTGTCTTGGCTATGTGGGCTCTTTTTTTGGTTCCATATGAAGTTTAAAGTAGTTTTTTCCAATTCTGTGAAGAAAGTCAGTGGTAGCTTGATGGGGATAACATTGAATCTATAAATTACTTTGGGCAGTAAGGCCATTTTAATGATATTGATTCTTCCTATCCATGAGCATGGAATGTTTTTCCATTTGTTTGTGTCCTCTCTTATTTCCTTGAGCAGTGGTTTGTAGTTCTCCTTGAAGAGGTCCTTCGTAACCCTTGTAAGTTGTATTCCTAGCTATTTTATTCTCTTTAGTAGCAATTGAGAATGGGAGTTCACTCATGATTTGGCTCTCTGTTTGTCTGTTATTGGTGTATAGGAGTGCTTGTGATTTTTGCACATTGATTTTGTATCCTGAGATTTTGCTGAAGTTGCTTATCAGCTTAAGAGATTTTGGGCTGAGACGATGGGGTTTTCTAAATGTAGAATCATGTCATCTGCAAGCAGAGACAATTTGACTTCCTCTCTTCCTATTTGAATATGCTTTGTTTCTTTCTTTTGCCTGATTGCCCTGGCCAGAGCTTCCAATACTATGTTGAATCGCAGGAGTAGTGAGAGAGGGCATCCTTGTCTTCTACCTGTTTGCAAAGGGAATGCTTCCAGTTTTTGCCCACTCAGTATGATATTGGCTGTGGGTTTGTCATAAATAGCGTTTATTATTTTTAGATACGTTCCTTCGATACCTAGTTTGTTGAGAGTTTTTAGCAGAAGCGGTATTGAATTTTGTTGAAGGCCCTTTATGCATCTATTGAGATAATCATGTGGTTTTTATCATTGGCTCTGTTTATGTGATGGATTACATTTATTGATTTGCATATGTTGAACCAGCCTTGCATCCCAGGGATGAAGCCCACTTGATCATGGTGGATAAGCTTTTTGATGTGCTGCTGGATTCAGTTTGCCAGTATTTTATTGAGGATTTTTGCACTGATGTTCATCAGGGATATTGGCCTGAAATTTTCTTTTTTTGTTGTGTCTCTGCCAGGTTTTGGTATCAGCATGATGCTGGCCTCATAAAATGAATTAGGGAGGATTCCCTCTTTTTCTGTTGTTTGGAATAGTTTCAGAAGGAATGGTACCAGCTCCTCTTTGTACCTCTGGTAGAATTCAGCTGTGAATCCATCTGGTCCTGGACTTTTTTTGGTTGGTAGGCTATTAATTGCTGCCTCAATTTCAGAACTTGTTATTGGTCTATTCAGGGATTGGACTTCTTCTTGGTTTAGACTTGGGAGGGTGTATGTGTCGAGGAATTTATCCATTTCTTCTAGATTTTCTAGTTTATTTGCATAGAGGTGTTTATGTGTCCGGAATTTATTCCTTCCAGTGGGTTCTTGGTCTCACTTCAAGAATGAAGCCATGGACCTCGCAGTGAGTGTTACAGCTCTTAAAGGTGGCGCGTCTGGAGTTGTTTGTTCCTCCTGGTGCATTCGTGTTCTCACTGACTTCAGGAATGAAGCTGCAGACCCTTGCAGTGAGTGTCACAGCTCTTCCAGGTGGTGTGGACCCAAAGAGTGAGCAGCAGCAAGATTTATTGTGAAGAACGAAGAAACAAAGCTTCCACAGCATGGAAGGGGACCTGAGTGGGTTGCTGCTGCTGGCTGGAGTGGCCAGCTTTTATTCCCTTATTTGTCCCTGCCCACGTCCTGCTGATTGGTCCATTTTGCAGAGTGCTGACTGGTCCATTTTACAGAGTGCTGATTGGTCCATTTTACAGAGCGCTGATTGGTGCATTTACAATCATTTAGCTAGACACAGAGCACTGATTGGAGCATTTTTACAGAGTGCTGATTGGTGCATTTACAATCCTTTAGCTAGACACAGAGTACTGATTGGTGCGTTTTTACAGAGTGCTGATTGGTGCATTTACAATCCTTTATCTAGAAACAGATTGCTGATTGGTGTGTTTACAATCCTGTAGCTAGACAGAAAAGTTCTCCAAGTTGTCACTCAACCCAGGAACTGCAGCTGGCTTCACTTCTCATTTATAGTATTGTCTTACGGTAGCTTGTATTTCTGTGGGATTGGTGGGATATCCCCTTTATCTTTTTTTATAGCATCTATTTGATTCTTCTCTCTTTTCTTCTTTATTATTCTTGCTAGCTGTCTATCTATTTTGTTGATCTTTTCAAAAAGCCAGCTCCTGGATTCACTGATTTTTTGAAGGGTTTTTTGTGTCTCTATCTCCATCAGTTCTGCTCTGATCTTAGTTATTTCTTGTCTTCTGCTAGCTTTTGAATTTGTTTGCTCTTGCTTCTCTAGTTCTTTTAATTGTGATGTTAGGGTGTCAATTTTAGATCTTTCCTCTTTCTCTTGTGGGCATTTAGTGCTATACATTTCCCTCTACAAACTGCTTTAAATGTGTCCCAGAGATTCTGGTACATTGTGTCTTCATTCTTATTGGTTTCAAATAACATCTTTATTTCTGCCTTCATTTTGTTATTTACCCAGTAGTTATTCAGGAGCAGGTTGTTCAGTTTCCATGTAGTTGTGTGGTTTTGAGTGAGTTTCTTAATCCTGAGTTCTAATTTGATTGCACTGTGGTCTGAGAGACTGTTTGTTATGATTTCCCTTCTTTTGCATTTGCTGAGGAGTGTTTTACTTCCAATTATGTGGTCAATTTTAGAATAAGTGCAATGAGGTGCTGAGAAGAATGCATATTCTGTTGATTTTAGGTGGAGAGTTCTGTAGATGTCTATTAGGTCGGCTTGGTCCAGAGCTGTGTTCAAGTCCTGAATATCCTTGTTAATTTTCTGTCTCATTGATCTGTCTAATATTGACAGTGGGGTGTTAAAGTCTCCCATTATTATTGTGTGGGAGTCTAAGTCTCTTTGTAGGTCTCTAAGAAGTTGTTTTATGAATCTGGGTGCTCCTGCGTCGGGTGCATATATATTTAGGATAGTTAGCTCTTCTTGTTGAATTGATCCCTTTACCATTATGTAATAGTCTTCTTTGTCTCTTTTGATCTTTGTTGATTTAAAGTCTGTTTTATCAGAGATTAGGATTGCAACTCCTGCTTTTTTTTTTTTTTTTTTGCTTTCCATTTGCTCGGTAAATATTCCTCCATCCTTTTATTTTAAGCCTATGTGTGTCTTTGCACATGAGATGGGTCTCCTGAATACAGCATACTGATGGGTCTTGACTCTTTATCTAATTTGCCAGTCTGTGTCTTTTAATTGGAGCATTTAGCCCATTTACATTTAAGGTTAATATTGTTATGTGTGAATGTGATCCTGTCATTATGATGCTAGCTGGTTATTTTGCCCATTAGTTGTTGCAGTTTCTTCATAATGTCGATGGTGTTTACAATTTGGTATGTTTTTGCAGTGGCTGGTACCAGTTGTTCCTTTCCATGTTTAGTGCTTCCTTCAGGATCTCTTGTAAGGCAGGCCTGGTGGTGACAAAAATCTCTCAGCATTTGCTTGTTTGTAAAGGATTTTATTCCTCCTTTGCTTATGAAACTTAGTTTGGCTGGATATGAAATTCTGGGTTGAAAATTCTTTTCTTTAAGAATGTTGAATATTGGCCCCCACTCTCTTCTAGCTTGTAGAGTTTCTGCAGAGAGATCTGCTGTTAGTCTGATGGGCTTCCCTTTGTGAGTAACCCGCCCTTTCTCTCTGGATGCCCTTAACATTTTTTCCTTCTTTTCAACCTTGGTGAATCTGATGATTATGTGTCTTGGGGTTGCTCTTCTCAAAGAGTATCTTTGTGGTGTTCTCTACATTTCCTAAATTTGAATGTTGTCCTGTTTTTCTAGGTTGGGGAAGTTCTCCTGGATAATATCCTGAAGAGTGTTTTCCATCTTGGGTCCATTCTCCCCATCACTTTCAGGTACACCAATCAAATCAAAAAAATTTGGTCTTTTCAGATAGTCTCATATTTCTTGGAGGTTTGTTCATTCCTTTTTAGTCTTTTTTCTCTAATCTTGTCTTCTTGCTTTATTTCATTAAGTTGATCTTCAATCTCTGATAGCATTTGTTCTGCTTGATCGATTCAGCTATCAATACTTGTGTATGCTTCATGAAGTTCTCATGCTAAGTTTTTCAGCTCCATAAGGTCATTTATGTTCTTCTCTAAACCAGTTACTCTAGTTAGCAATTCGTCTAACCTTTTTTCAAGGTTCTTACTTTCCTTGCATTGGGTTAGAACATGCTCCTTTAGCACGGAGGAGTTTGTTATTACCCACCTTCTGAAGTCTACTTCTGTCAATTCGTCAAACTCATTCTCCATCCAGTTTTGCTCCCTTGCTGGCAAGAAGTTGTGATCCTTTGGAGAAGAGGTGTTCTGGTTTTTGGAATTTTCAGCATTTTTGTGCTGGTTTCTCTCCATCTTTGTGGATCTATTTACCTTTGGTCTTTGATGTTGATGACCTTCGCATGGGGTCTTTGAGTGGATGTGCTATTCCTTTCTGTTTGTTAGCTTTCCTTCTAACATTCAGGCCCGTCTGCTGCAGGTCTGCTGGAGTTTGCTGGAGTTTGCTGGAGGTCCACTCCAGACCGCTGGCCTGAGTATCACCTGTGGAGGCTGCAGAACAGCAAAGATTGCTGCCGATTGCTGCCTGCTCTTTCCTCTGGAAGCTTCATCCCACAGGGGTACCTGCCAGAGCTCTCCTGTATGAGGTGTCTGTCAGCCCCTACTGGGAGGTGTCTCCCAGTCAGGATACATGGGGGTCAGGGACCAACTTGAGGAGGCAGTCTGACCCTTAGCAGAGCTCAGAAGCTGTGCTGGGAGGTCCACTGCTCTCTTCAGAACTGTCAGGCAGGGAGGTTTAAGTCTGCTGAAGCTCCACCCACAGCCATCCCTTCCCCCAGGTGCTCTGTCCCAGGGAGATGGGGTTTTTATCTGTAAGTCCCTGACTGGGGCTGTTGCCTTTTTCTTTTTTTTCAGAGATGCCTTGCCCAGAGAGAAGAAATCTGACAGTCTGGCCACGGAGGCCTTGCTTAGCTGCAGTGGGCTCCGCCCAGTTCAAACTTCCCAGCGGTTTTGTTTACTCTGTGAGGGTAAAACCACCTAATCAAGCTTCAGCAATGGCAGACGCCCCTCCCCCCACCAAGCTGGAGCATCCCAGGTCGATCTCAGATTGCTGCTGTGCTGGCAGTGAGAATTTCAAGCCAGTGGATCTTAGTTTGCTGGACTCCATGGGGGTGGGACCTGCCTAAACCAGACCACTTGGCTCCCTGGCTTCAGCACCCCTTTCCAGGGGAGTGAATGCTTCAGTCTCACTGGCGTTCCAGGAGCCACTGGGGTACGGAATAAAAAAAAAAAAAAAACAAAAAAAAAAAACGTCTTGCAGCTAGTTCAGTGTCTGCCCAAATGGCCGCTCAGGTTTGTGCTTGAAACCCAGGGCCCTGGTGGGGTAGGCACCAGAGGGGATCCCCTGGTCTGCAGGTTGTGAAGACCATGGGAAAAGCACAGTATCTGGACTGGAGTGCACAGTTCCTCAGGCTCAGTCCCTAAGGGCTTCCATTGGGTTGGGGAGAAAATTCCCCAACCCCTTGCACTTCCTGGGTGAGGCAATGCCTCAGCCTGCTTCGGCTCACCCTCCGTGGGCTGCACCCATTGTCCAACCAGTCCCAGTGAGATGAACTGGGCACCTCAGTCGGAAATGCTGAAATCACCCGACTTCTGTGTCGATCTCACTGGGAGCTGCAGACCGCAGCTGTTTCTATTCAGTCATTTGCCTGGAGAGATCCCCCTTGTGTCTTTATTGTTAGTACTTTTTTCTCTTTTGGTGTGTCCTGATAAGAAAATTGTTGCTTACTACAAAGTCATGAAGATATTCCCTGCATTCTCTTTAAACTTTTTTTTAACTTTCACATTTATATTTGGAAATCTTCTCCAACTGATTTTTGTTTTGTTTTGTTTTGAGATGGAGTCTCACTCTGTCACCCAGGCTGGAGTGCAGTGGTGCGATCTCAGCTCACAGCAGCCTCTGCCTTCTGGGTTCAAGTGATTCTCCTGCTTCAGCTTCCCACGTAGCTGGTACTACAGACATGCCACCACACCCAGCTAATTTTTGTATTTTTGGTAGAGACAGGGTTTCACCATGTTGGCCAGGCTGGCCTTGAACTCCTGAGCTGAAGTGATCCGCCCGCCTCGGCCTCCCAAAGTGCTGGGATTACAGGCATGAGCCACCATGCCCGGCCCCAATTGATTTTTGTTCATAGTTTGAAAAGGAGTCACACAAGATTAACTTTCTTTTTCAAATAGATATTCAACTGACTAACATCAGTTCTTGAAAAGGCCATTCTTTCCACATTATACTTCAGTGTCACATTTATCATGGATCATGTGACTCCTATGTATATAACTGTATACACATACATTTTATGCTCTTTGTGATGAGTCAGTGTGTGTATGCATATATATGTACTCCATACTTTAATTCTTATAGTTTCATAAATAAGTTTGAAGGGCAGCAATCTATGTCCTCCTTTTTCAAGATTACTTCTGTATGTTTGCCATTCTGCATTTTCATAGACCTGCACTGTCCAATATGGTGGTGACTAGCAATGAATCACTATTTAAATTTAAATTTAAAATAATTAAAAATAAATCCAATTTTAGAATTCAGTTTCTCAGCCATTTTAGCCACATTTCAAGTGCTTAATAGCCAGATATTGACTACTGTCATAAGCAGCACAAATATAGAATACGTCCATTATCTCAGAAAGTTGTACAACGTTACTAACACATTTCAAATGTTTGTCACTTTTCACACATATACACACTCACAAACAAAACCTACAGGGATAAGGATTTGGTTTGGGTTTAATCTTTAGATCAACTTGGGGAGACCAATGTCCTTGCAGTAATGAATCTTACAATCCTTATGAACAGTCCTGGACCCAGGTGTTAGTAGCTCAGCTATGTATGATTAATACTGTATAACTAATGTAAAAAAAGGTAAAAACTGTAAGAAAAAGAAACATAAAAGAGGCTGTTCCCCGTCTTCTACAATGTGTTAACCAGAATATCCAGTATATAATAAAAATTTCTAGGTATGCCAAACAGAAAAGTGTAATTCATAAGTAGGAAAATTAAAACCCAATAGAAACAAATCATTAGGTGACATGTGTTAGAATTAGCAGTAAGAATGCTGAAGAAATGGAGGACTCTATCAAATTAATTGACCTAATTTATATCTCTAGAACACTGCCTAACACTTTTTTTTCAAGTGCATATGGGCTTTTTACTTAAACTTTTATATGCTGAGCCATAAAACAAGACCTAATAAATTTCAAATATCCAAAACACAAAGTATGTTCTTCCATCACAATATAATTAAATTAGAAGTTAATGATAACATGATCTCTAGAAAATTCCCAAATATTTGGAAGTAAGCTGAGCAACACTATTCAAAACAACCCACACGTAAAAGAAGATATGACAAAGGAAATTGGAAGATAATTCAACCAGAATATTTGGTAGAATTTACCAAGTGGTGGGCTGAGAGCCAGCTAATAATACTAGCTCTTGAAAGATATTGTTAGAATACCTTCCCAACTCTGCTTTCAGTGACATCACGTTGATAGCTTGAAATCAGCCACAGTGCGAGATTTTATACCACAGAAATTGACAAACGCTAAGAAATGCTAAAAATAGAGCTTCTTCTGAACATCGACCCCCTGCAACCAACCCAGAAGAAAAGTTTGCTAAACACATACCAGAATACCACTGAATTCACCAGTGAAGCCATCTGGATTGGGAGTTTTCTATGTATGGAGATCTTTTTAAGTATTATTATTATTGATACATGTTTTGTTTATTATGTAATTCACTATTTTAAAGTGTACATTTCAATAATTTGTAGTAAATTTACCAAGTTGTACAATCTTCACCTGCTATGGTTCAGAATTGGTTTTTTGTCCCCACCAAAACTCAGCTTGAAATGCAATCCCCAATGTGATGGTGTTGGCAAGTGGAGCATAATGCGAAGTGATTGGATCACAGGGGCTCCACCTTCATGGGTGGCTTGGTGCCATTCTTCCAGTAGTGAGTGAGTTCTTGCTCTGGTGACACTGGACTAGTCCCTGTGGCAATAGATTAGTTCGCATAAGAGTGGGTTGTTGTAAAGCCAGGATGCCCCTTGGGTTTTAGCTCTTCACGTTTGTCCACTTCCCCTTTGATCTTCTCCAACATGATGTGATGTAGCATAAAAGCCCTCATCAGAAGCCAAGCAGATGCCAGCACTGTGCTTCCTGAATTTTCCAGCCTGTGAAACCATGAGCTAAATAAGCCTCTTTTCTATATAAATTACCCAATCTCAGGTATTGTTATAGCAACACAAAATGGACCAAGACATCACCATAAATCAGTTTTAGAATATTTTCATCACTCCAATATGATTCCACATGCATATTTTCTGTTAGCCCCCATTCTCCTTGTCCCCAGCCAGGAAATAACTAACTTCCTGTCTTTCTAAATTTGCCTTTTATGGGTATTTCACATATATGGAATTATACAATATATGGTCCCATGTCTAGCTTCTTTCAGATAGTATATTGTTTTCAAGGTTCATTCATGTTGTAGCATATATCAGTACTTTATTCATTTCCATTGCTGAATAATATTCTATTATATGAATTGACCACATTACATTTATCCATTTCAACAACTGGTGGACCTTTGGGAGGTTTCCAATTTGGGGCTATTATAAATAATGCTGCTCTTTTCATTCCTGCACAAGTTTTATGAGGACATATGTTTTTATTTTTCTGGGATATGTAACTAGGAGTTAAATTTTTGAGTCATAGAGTAACTCAATGTGTAACTTTCTGAGAAACTGCCAAAGAGTTTCCAAGTCTGCACAATTTTACAATCCCAACTACAACACATGAAGCTTCAATTTTCTCCACATCCTGTACAACACATTTAGTGTTTATCATATTTATTTTAGCCATTGTCGTAAGTTTGAAGTAGTATCTTATGATATTAATTGGCATTTCCTAATGACTAATAATGTTGAGCTGCTTTTCATGTGCTTATTGGCCATTTATATATCTTCTTTGAAGAAATATCCATTCAAATTATTTGCCCATTTTTTTCATTGTGTTATTGGTCTCTTTATTGTTGGACTACAAAAGTTCTTCTTATATTCTGACAGAAGCACCATATCAGATACAAACTTAGAAAATATTTTCTCAGTTTGTGAGCTGTCTTTTCTTTTTTTTTTTTAAATTTTTTTTTTATTATACTTTAAGTTTTAGGGTACATGTGCACATTGTGCAGGTTAGTTACATATGTATACATGTGCCATGTTGGTGCGCTGCACCCACTAACTCGTCATCTAGCATTAGGTATATCTCCCAATGCTATCCCTCCCCCCTCCCCCCACCCCACCACAGTCCCCAGAGTGTGATATTCCCCTTCCTGTATCCATGTGATCTCATTGTTCAATTCCCACCTATGAGTGAGAATATGTGGTGTTTGGTTTTTTGTTCTTGATGAAATTGGAAATCATCATTCTCAGTAAACTATCTTTTCATTTTTTGATGGTGTAATTTAACAATCAAAAGTTTTAATTTTGATGAAGTCCAATTTATCTTTTTTCTTTAGTGAGGCTTCTGGTGTCATATCTAAAAAGCCTTTGCCTCACCCACAGTCATGAAGATTTATTCCTACGTAAATTTTTTGTGAGTTATCTTTTCACTTTCTTGGTGGTGTAATTTAGCCAACAAAAGTTTTTAATTTTGATGAAGTCCAATTTATCCATTTTCTTTGATTATGCTTCTGGGGTCATATCTAAGAAGGCATTGCCTCACTCCCAGTCGTGAAGATTTACTCATAGGTTTTATTCTAAGGATGTTATGGTTTTAGCTGTTATGTTCATGTCTGTGATTCAGTTTTAGTTAATTCGTATATGCTGTCAGGTACAGTTCTAAATCTATTGTTTTACATGCAGATACCCAGTTGTGCCAACACTACTTGTTGAAAAGACCACCCTTTTCTCCCATTGAATTGTCCTGGCACTCCTATTAACAATTCAGTGACTACAAATGTAAGGGTTGAGAACATTTTCTTTTATTCCTAGTTTCTTGAGGGCTTTTATCAAAAAAGGCTGTTGGAGTTTTCAAATGCTTTTTCTTGGTCTATTGAGTTCATGTGCATTTTTTGTATTTTATTCTATTTACATGGTGTATTACATTACAGTCATGTGCTGCGTAACAATGTTTTGTTCAATGTCAGACTACAGATATTACAATGTTTCCATAAGATTATAATGGAGCTAAAATATTTCCTATTACCTAGTATGTCATACCCGTCAAACTAGGATGTCATACCCATCATAACTTTGTAGAAAAATGCATTGTTCATGTGTTTGTGTTGATGCTGGTGCAAATAAACCTACTGTACTGCTAGTCAGTATAAAAGTATAGCACATACAATTAGGTACAGTACTTAGTACTTGATAATTACAATAAATATATGTCATTGGTTTACATATTTACTGTACTATACTTTTTATTGTTTAGAGTATACTCCTTCTACTTAAAAAAATAGGTAACTGTAAAACAGCCTCAGACAGGTCCTTCAGGAGGTATTCCAGAAGAAAGTATCATTATCATAAGACATGACAGATCCATGTGTATTGCTCCTGAAGACTTTCCAGTGGTACAAGATGTACAGGTAAAAGACGATCATATTGATGAGTCTGACCCTGTGTAGGCCTAGGCTAATGTGTGTGTTTACGTCTTAGTTTCTAAAAGAAAAGTTTAAAAACTTTTTAAAAAATCTTAAACATAGAAAAAAAGCTTATAGAATAAGGCTATAAAGAAAGAAAATATTTTTGTACAACTGTAAAATATGTCTGTGTTTTAAGCTAAGTGTCATTACAAAAGAGTCAAAATTTTTAAAAATTGAAAGCTCATAAAGTAAAAAATGTTATGATAAGCTAAGGTTAAATTATCATTGAAGAAAGACAAATATTTTTAAATATACTTAGTGTAGCCTAAGTATACAGTGTTTATAAAGTTTACAATAATGTACAGTAATGACCTAGGACTTCACATTCATTCACCACTCACTTACTGACTCACCCAGAGCAACTTCTAGTCCTGCAAGCTCCATTCATGGCAAGTTCCTTATATAGGTGTACCATTTTTTATCTTTAAGATAATATTTTTACTGTATCTTTTCTAGGTTTAGACATGTTTAAATACACAAATACTTACCATTGTGTTTTAATTGCCTACAGCATTCAGTACAGTAACATGCTATACTGGTTTGTAGCCTAGGAACAATAGGCTATACCATATAGCCTAGGTGTGTAGTAGGCTATACCATTTAGGTTTGTGTAAGTACAGTGTAGGATGTTGGCACAACAAAATCGCCTAATGATGTGTTTCTCAGAACATATCCCTGCTGTTAAGTGATGTGTGACTGTAATTGATATTCATGTGTTAAACAAACCTTGCATTCCTGGGATAAATCTAATTTAGTCATGATATGAAATCCTTTTCATGTGTTGGGTTAGGTTTGCTAGCATTTTGTTAAGCATTTCTTTCATCTGTCTTCTTAAGAGACATTAATCTGTACTTTTCCTTATGTGTGATATCTTTGTCTGGTTTTGGTATTAGGATAATCCTGGCCTCACAGAATGACTTGGGAAATATTCCTTCCTCTTGTATTTTTTGAGAGATTTTGTGAAGAATTTGTATTATTTTGTTTTTTAAATATTGGACAGAGTTCACAGGAAGCCATCAAGGGCTGGGTTATTTTTAAAGGGATTTAAAAATTACTAATTCAGTCACTTTAATTATTACAAGTATTCTCAGATTTTCTATTTATTATTGAGTAGTTTTTAGTATTTTGTGTCTTTCTAGGAAATTTCTCATTTGCTCTAGGATAACCAATTTATTGACATAAATTGTTTATAGAATTTCTTTGTAATTATTTTTATTTCTGTAGGGTTTTTTTTTATTAGTAGTGCCCCCTTTCTTATTCATGATTTTAGTGGTTTGAATTTAATATCTCTTTTTCTTGGTCAGTATACCTAAAGCTTTGTCAATTTTGTTGATCTTTTCAAAGAACTAAATTTTGATTCATTGATTATCTCTTTTTCTTCTATTCTCTATTTGTTTATGCCCATTCGAATCTTTATTTCCTTTCTGCTTGCTTTATGTTTAGTTTGTTCTTGTTTTCCCACTGAATTTCACAAATTCAATTATAACTGTTATAACAATGACAAGAGAAAACGTAAATACTAAGAAGACAAACAAGCTAATTTTTGAAATGGGCTAAATATTTGAATTGGCGTTTATCCAAAGAAGATATATGAATGGCTGATAAGCACAGGATATAACTTCTAACATCATTAGTCATTAGGTATATGACAACCCAAACCGCAATGAGATAGTAATTTACAACCACTAGATTGGGTATAATAAAAAAATAGCCAATAACAAGTGTTGGTGAGGATGTGAAGAAAATGAAAGTTTCATACATCACAGATAAGACTGTAAAATTATGCAGAAATATTGGAAATTCTTTGGCAGTTTCTCAAATAGTTAAACATTGAGTTATCCTATGACTCAGAAATTCAACTTTTAGTTACATATCTCAGAGAAATAAGAACATATGTCCACATAAAAACCTGTACAGGAATGAAAATAGCAGCATTATTTATAATAGTCCAATATTGGAAACCTCTCAAAGGTTCACCAACTGATGAATGGCTAAATGAAATGTGGTCAATTCATATGATGGAATATTATTCAGCAATGAAAAAGAGTAAAGTACTGATGTATGATAAAACATGGATGAACCTTGTAAACAATATACTAAGTGAGAGAATCCAATTACAAAATACCAAATATTGTATAATTCAGTTTATATGAAATGTCCAGTATTCTGGGTAAACTCATACAGTGTTGTAATTACTGTGGGGCTAGGAATGGGAGAGGGAAGGGACTTCAAATGTATTACAAGGCTTTGTTTTGGAGTGATAAAATATTTTTGACATTAGATAGTGGTCATGTTTGCACAACTATGTGAATATAGTAAAAATCACAGCATTGTACAACTAAGATAATTAATTTTAGGATACGTAAATTATGTCTTAAAAAGAGGAGAGAGATCAAGAGATGAAGAGAGATGGGACATGGTGAAAAGGGCTATGAGATGTGTAATTGCAGTTCCAGAAGGAGAGAAGCCGAAGAATGGATAAAATAAATATTGAACACGAAAATAGCAAAGAATATTGTAAAAATAATAAAAGATATAAAGCCATACATCAAGTCGTGCTACAAATCCCAAGCAGAATGCATGTAAAGAAATCACACATAGGTGCATTACAATGGAATTACTGAAAAAGGAAAATATTAAAAAACCAAGTCCACAGAAGATATTTAAATGGAATTTACAACAGGAAATTGGTTAAAATAGGTGTTCAGAGTGCCAGAAATAACTACCAATCCAAGGCCTGGGAAAGCAATTAGGATATTTGGGTAAGACTTGGACCCAGACCTCTGATAAAATGGGCTGCCCAATTAGAGATGGCACTGAAACAGCTTGGAGAAAGAGCCCCTACCGAATTGGAACATTTACATTTAAATCAGGGGAGTTGCTTAACTGGTACTGAAGTCTCAGGTTCTTGAAGGAGGAGTCCTTCTGAAGTGAAAGCCACCATAATAACAATAGTTCTTCATATTTAGAGAGAAACTATGAAATTGGCCCTCCTGTTCCTACTAAATCCACATGGCCCTGCCCAGGTAGATGTCTTTTGTGAGGGTGACAAAAAGAAACAGGAAGCAGAGAGAAGAAGAAGCAACTTTGTTCTCCCTCCTTCAGACTTCCTGTCTCCCTTTGTTGTCCTAGTCAGTCTAACAGGAAGTAAAGGAGAAAAAGGGTTGGTAGAACCTCTGCCTCAGAATACTGTCAAAGGAAAATGAAAACTTGGGACCCTAATTTCACTGTGCCAAAAGAAAAGAATTAAGCTAAAAGCTGAGTCATGCAAGAAGCCGCCTTTCCTTTTGTTCCTAAGCAGATAGCTACAAATAAAAAGTTAAATATCTCCACAGGTAGCTACTCTGTGTTCACCTTATTTTATGTAAAATGCCAATTTACTGAGCATGAGACCAGAACATAATTGACTCCTTCCTTACTTGCTCCTTTTCTCTTGCAGCATGTGGATTCAGTAATGTGACCGTACTCTCCCTTTTTCCCCTCCAGCCTGCTTTTCCCCTTTAAACACTGAAGCCCTGAGAATCATCTTTGGGGAAAGGCACAGACCTGTCTCCCAGGTGCATGTCCTTAACCTTGGCAAAATAAACTTCTAAATTGATTAAGATCTGTCTCAGATACTTTACGGTTTACAAATTGGTAACCACAAAGGGAGGGATTCTGAGTGGAAGTGCTTCTGACCTGACAGCTTGGGCTTGACCTCTAGACAGCTTGAGCTGTCTTTATTGCTCAAACCAATAGGATGATTTGCTGAGGCCTGGGAGCTCCCCACTCCAGAGAATCCCTGATATCCCAAAATTTGGCTGAGATCTAGGTTTATTTTGCTGTACATCTCCTTTTCTAGAGTTTTACTCACTTCCAACAGGGAAGGCAAGTTTGAGTATTTTCCTTCTTCTAGGATGGTACAAAGAAATCTTTAGCCTGGGCCCCAGTTCCTAGGTAAGTATCTAAATTGGGGTTTTGTCTTGGAAATTCTTTTTAATGACTAAAGTTAAGATTAACAACCGGCTGGTCTTAATTTCTCCTTACCATTAGAGTGCTGAGTAATTATATAAAATGTGTAGCTGTTTGTTTTGCTTAACTGGCTTTTTTTTTTTTTTTTTTTTTGCTTATTTGTTTGTTTCTGTTTTTGTTACTGTTTCAGTCTTTCTCCCATTGGGTTTTGACCAATTCTACCTGACTTGATCAAATCTAAAGTTCAAAATTATGGGGAACAAGGACTCTGAATTGGCTAAATTCCTGTAACTGGAAAAAAAAAAAAAAGGAAAAAGATAAAATGACAAGAAAAAGGAAAAAAAAAAAACTTTTGACTACCCTGAGGGGTTTTATTTACATAGCTTGGCACTTTTTGCCAGCCAAGCCAAAATGAAAGAGCAATGGTTGTCATCCACCCTGTAGTTCAGTAGCTAAGGTTCTGCCCCCTTTTTTGTTCACCACAATAGCCTGGGTTTTATTGCTAAATCAAGTCCCTTCCAGTTTAATATTTGTGTTACTTTTGAAATAGCAATTTGTCCCAGCTAAAATATGGTGAGATTTAAAAGGATTTTTTTCAGAGCTCAATGGTTAAAAGTCAGCTTTATTAAAAGCTAATATCCAAGGGGTGTGTGTGTGTGTGTGTGTGTGTGTATGTGTAAGGTCTTTATGGTTTTTTTTTTCTCTCACAGGATCTTGATTTCTGAGAACAAGATTTCTTTCTTTTCCATCAACTGAATTTAGTTTTCTCCATTTACTTTTGCCTGTTTCTCCTTTCTCTTGCCACCCTCTGCTGCATAAGAGACCTAAAATAATTTCTAACAGACCGAGATTCCTTATAGAAAACAGAGAAGGCACCAGGCTCCCTTTTTGGTGAGAAACTTCTGTTTCTCCTTACGGAACCCCAAGAGTGTAGAGACAAGTTCCTCTCAGATCTTAAACTGCTTACTTGTGTATTGTGTTACCTGATTTTTTTTTAACTGAAATAGCTATTAGAACAAACACTACTCGAGTGTGTAAGATAAAAAAGGGTGTGGTTTAGATACTTAGAGAAATATGTTTGTAACTAAGTGCATTGTAAAAGTATTATGTGGCCAAGTCCCATGACATTTTTTTCTTTTTGGAGACACAGGATTCAGTGTAGGCTCTGCCCAGAGCTCAGAAATTCAGTTAAAAGATAGCTACTAAATTTAAAACTACCTGTCTGAATAAAATTGACCTCCTTATAAAATCCTGTGATAGATTTCTATAACTTTATGTTTGACATGGCATGCATTTTTAATCACCCTCTCTCATACCAGACTCTCTCTCTCTCTCTCTCTTAATCCCTCTCTGTCTCTATCTTAATCTCTCTCTCTCTGTCTCTATCTCTCTCTCCTGGCCACTTTGAGATGTAAATTTCCCTATCTGATTTTCACCTGAGTTGTTCCTTTGATATACAATTTTAGGGCTATGTAGCTGACACTTGCCTAGGGTAATGAAACAGGTTATCAAGAAATCGGAAGTCTAAAATAGGGAAAAAAGAGGTCTTATGAATCTATAAGATCTACTATCTGTG
This sequence comes from Homo sapiens, assembly GCF_000001405.40. Classification (NCBI taxonomy): domain Eukaryota; kingdom Metazoa; phylum Chordata; class Mammalia; order Primates; family Hominidae; genus Homo; species Homo sapiens. Next base: position 106,504,839 of record NC_000023.11, read on the forward strand.
TGTCTAATACATCTATGAATTTATGTGTCAAGTATATAACGTTTCACTATCAAAAGTATATAAAAGAGCTCTAACTGATTGGCTTGAAGGAAAATAAAGTGCTTAAATAAAATACTTTATCATAAAAATAGAAACTTTAAGCTCGAGCGTGTATTCAAGTTCACGAGTTAAGTAAACCCTTAATAAATAAGCTGGTTTTAAAATTATTAGTAAAATAAAATTAGAAATGTCTTCAGAATCGTCAACATACATTTTGTTTAAATTTATTGGTCAAGCGGTTTAATATTTATCTCTGCTAGGTATTATAAGGTGTCAAAATTTGGCATGAGGGTTATAATGCTTGCAACTCCCAAAAGAATTACCTTTGGTTGTGTAATTTTTTGATAAATAAGGCATTTAATATTGTGCATTTAACAAAAACAGCTAAATCCTGGGTTGTTGGCCAAAAAAAAGAACATTTATTTAACCATAAGGTTCTTACTTAGGTAAACACCTGAAATTCACAGGCTATAAAAATGGTTAACAGGGAAGTAATTTTAAATGATGACTATCACAGTTTTCACAAGTAATCTAGGTAAGCTATTTAAAAAATTAATTAGGGCAATGGAAGAAATGGTTGTAAATAAAAGTACTATATAAGTTAGAATCAAAAGTCATATAAAATTAAATAATAGATATCCATTAAATGTCTGGGTTATTTCCAATTTATCTTTAAAGATTTTGTTATAGGAAAACATTTTTCTAAAAAAAGTTTATATTTAAGGAAAAATAATTTTTGTCTAATTCAAAGAACACTTAAAGGCGATTTCTGAAACAGGGTAAAAGGAAGCAGTAAATAAGAGCAATGTAAAGAAATGTGTAAATATAAAGAGGTATTTTTGGTGAGAAAGGTTAAAAGGAAAATAATTTTAATTGAGAAAGAATCTTGGGCTGAGCACAGTGGCTGGCTCATGCCTGTAATTCCAGCGCTTTGGGAGGCGGAGGAGGGTGGATTACTTGAGCTCAATAGTTCGAGACCAGCCTGGACAACACAGCGAAATGCCATTTCTACAAAAAATACAAAAATTAGCCGAGTGTGGTGACAGGCATCTGAAGTCCCAGCTACCCAGGAGGCTGAGGTGGGAGGATAGCTTAAGCCCAGGAGGCAGAGGTTGCAGTGAGCTGAGATTATGCCACTGCACTCCAGCCTGGGTGACAGAGCCTGACCCCACCTCAGTTAAAAAAAAAAAAACAACACTCTTCCTGTGTCTAATTAATTCAATTCAAGTACTCTTTTCATTAGTTTTAACCTACAGATTATCTAAATAAACTCCCGCTAGGGAAAAGCAGTCACACTGCAGAAGGTCTTTTCTTTTGACTTTTGGTAACTGGCCTAACAAACAGACTTTAAGTTTTATTGAAATAATTCCTGTGCCATTGTTATTAAGTTTTGATTTACATAGAAAAACTGAGATTACTTTTTAAAATTAAGGTTATTACATCTATATAACTTTCTGCATTGCTTTCAAAGTCCTTGTGCCATTAAGTTGCAGGGCTTTGACTCCCGGGTCTAAAAGGGACACCAAGTCCTGCTAAATCATAAACATTGACAGCAGTTAAAGCCTCGTCTTCAGACCTGGTAGAAGATGACAATCAAAATAAACTGAATTCGTGAGACACAGGGCCAGAAATTAAAATTATTCCAACTCCTCTAAGCCCAGGGACTATCGTGTGAGATTGTAAGAGCCGATTTTGAGAGATACATTTAGTTCAGTTTCTCTATGAGTTAACCATTAATATCAAAGGCACACTGATCCAAGACCAGTGTCTGGGCCCCTATGTCAAATTAACAAGCTTTTCTTGGAGCATTAACCTAGTCTTTAATAAAAAAAAATTATAAGATTATGAAAAGGTTTAGGAAAATTATGTCTTGTGGTCAGGATAAATAAAATGTAATAGATTTGTTAATAAGATTTGAGAGACAGATTTAATTGACCTCATGCTGTCTTTATTGGGGCTTATTATTTGGGAGGTTAAGTCTCCTCTCTCAAAGAATGAAGGTTTTTTTGCCTTTAAAAAAAATCTTTGAGTTATCACTTTGGCTAAATAAATGACTTAGTTTACAATTAACTGTGAGCCTATTTTATGATATCAAGTGTTTTAAGCTTTTTATATTTGAGAAACTTTCTCAAATAAAATTGTAAATTCAGTCCTCATTAGTTGTTTGATGTTAGGTCCCCTGAAGTCCAAAAGAGACATATTCAACTTATTTGGTATAATAAAATCATATAGGAAGTATTGTCAAATATGGAATGGTGTTTAACCTTCTTTGGATTATATTTATAAAAGGCATTATTATATGCATTCCAAAATTGTATGAGAGTCCTGTGATTCTGATATGTCTTAGTATATGTTATCAGTAGTAATTATTATTATGTAAAATTGTTGTATGCCACAGAAGTAACCAAATTTCCTCGTTAATTGTGTCTTTAACCATGGCTATTCTAAGACTTTTGTCATCCACAATTGTTATTTTACTTTGACTCTTTTATAGAGCAATTTATAATCAGCAATAGAACTCTGAGGAGTACTCTTAAATATAGGCTTTGATAACTTTAGAGATTGTGCCAGTGGAATAGAAATAAAAATTTCCAGGGCTCTCATGGAGAGCTGATGTATTCATGAGGATTGCTGACCCAATATCAGGCAAAACAAGAGTTAATAGCATGGACTGAACTAATAAAAGAAAAATAAACTTTCTATAATTTGTTTTGCTTAAAATGTTGATTCTTTTTGTTTTGTTTTTCAGAGTCAAATTTTTTTTTCTTTTGATCTATTTACAGCTTTTAGTAATGGAGTAAAGTTTACTCCTCTGAGGAAAACTTGGGGCAAATTTCTTTCTACCTGATTTCTCCAGGATTTGGAAAATATTTGTGAGTATTCTTAAATTATGGCAATATAGTTATTTGTGTAAGTGCAATGAGAATCTGTTTTTCTTGTATAACAGGACACCATTGAAAACACTGATTATTTTACCAAGGCTTTGACTGGAATGGCATGCTCTCAAATATAAACAGACTGCTTTAAAGAATCAAAGTTGATTTATGGAGCTAACTAAAGCCCTTTGGAAAAACTGGCCTCAGACCTTGTCTACTCAGTCCATACACAGGGTTCCTGACCTGTGGTAAGTAAAGAACATCATTTTCTGACAAGCCCAGAAACCTCAAGTTATCTCGGGACCTACAAAGGTGAGGAATTCACCCAACTCATACAAGTATTTACAGGTGCATTTAAATCCGTGGCTGGGGTCAAGGATTTAAAAGGTCTAATCTAAGATTCTTTATGGAACAAAGTGCCATCAAAGCCAATTTTTTAAAAGAGCCTATATGGCAAATAATTATTCTTGCTGCACTTTATGCAAGTAATCAGGCCAAATACAATAAAACTAAAACTTATTTTGCAAACAAATTGTTCCTTCCATGATTTGTCTTTGGTAAAACTTGGAGACTAGAAAGAGAAAAAACATATATTTCAAAATAAACTAGAGTAAACCTCTTACTAGATTGTAGCCTTGCCAAATGTTTTTCAATTTTTATTATCTTCTAAAATTTGGACTGAATTCTAAAATGTTTTCTATGTCTTCAAAATAATATTTTCAATTTTTTCTCTTCTTTTTTCCCAGTTTTCTAGATTTAAAATTACTAAAAATTAAGCTGTGCTTTCTTAAAGCCCTGTGAACTGAAGCTAGGCAACTTAAACTTCAGAAGAAAATAACAGCAACCTATTTATATACATGAACTACTTTCATACGTGTATACTGATGTATGAAATTCAGAGTAATATGGCCTACATCTGTTTTGCAGGATTGTTCTCTTGTTTTCTGTTTGTGTGTTATTTTCTTTCTCTCTTCCTCCCCCTATTTTTTCTTCATAGGTCATGTGACTTCACAACCATCTAAAAATGAGTTTTCCTAACAATGTGGGAACTAGTCATCTAGGAATAAACTGTCCTAGCTACAAGAGATCAGACAAAACCCAAGACCAGAGACTCATTTTCTTCTAAAATGCTTTCTCTGAAAAATTTAAAAAAAGAAAAGAGAGAGAAATGTGAAAGGAAAATAAAAAGTTGGGACTCTAATTTCACTATGCCAAAAGAAAAAAAAATTAAGCTGAAAGCTGAGTCATGCAGGAAGCCTCCTTTCCTTTTGTTCCTAAACAGATAGCTACGAGTAAAAACTTAAATATCTCTACAGGTAGCTACTCTATGTTAATCTTATATAAAATGCTGACTTACTGAGCATGAGACCAATATATAATTGACTATTCCCTTTCCTGTTCCTTTTCTCTTCTAACACGTGGATTCAGTAATGTGACCATACTCTTCCTGTTTTCCCTCTAGCTTGCTTTTCTCTTCTAAATATTGAAGCCCGCAAAATCATCTTTGGAGAAAGGCACAGACCTGTCTCCTGGGTGCATGTCCTTAACCTTGGCAAAATAAACTTCTATATTGATTGAGATCTGTCTCAGATACTTGTTGGTTTACTCTACCAAAGCAGAATATGGAATGTGGAGATGAGAGTTTCAAATATTCCTACCACCTGATTCTTCCTAAAGCATGTATATTTCAAAGAAAAACCTCAATATGTGCCTCAGATACTATGCCATTCTTTCTCTCAAGTTTCAGTCATAGATGCAGAACCAGTACAATAAATAAATGATAGAGACAGACAAACATAAGGAGTATTTATTAAAAAGAAATGGAATATGTGATTATGAGGGCTGGCTAAGCAAATCTGAAATTCATAGAACAAGTGGCAGGAAGGGAAGATCACATGCAGAAAAGAATTCCATGGGCATGGGCTGACATAGTTGTTAACAGGGTATCAGGAAAGGAATATGCAGTGATGGTTGAACACTTGTAGACTCAGCTGTTCTTTGGAGTCTGACTCAGGAAATGGCTAAATCTTCTTTTAAGGCCTTCCACTGATTAAGTCAGGACTGCCAGGTGAATCTACCTTACTTGTAGTCAACTGATTAAGAGACTTTAATTGTATCTGCAAAATCCCTTCAGAGCAGCACCCACATTAGTGCTTGATTGAATAACTGGGAAAAGGTGTTTGTGGGCTACAAGACAGCCACTGCCCTCTATTCTATCACCATAGTTTATCCTAGCCAAGTTGAAGTTGATACATTAGAAAACTATCATACTTTTGAAACATAATAAAAATGAAACAACTGTGACATCAACAATATCCACTACCAAAAATGAAACCACACAAATCACATACATAATTAAGGGCTTATTATTTTATGCTAAGGGGGTCATTTACAGACTTAGATAGTGGTGTAACTAAACCCATTATGCTCTTTTTTTTTTTTTTTTGAGACAAGATCTCACTCTGTTGCCCAGGCAGTAATGCAGTGGTGTGATCACAACTCATTGTAGCCTCAACCTCCTGGGCTCAAGTGATCCTCCCACATCAGCCTCCTGAATAGCTGAGACTACAGGCATGTGCCGCCATGCCCAGCCAATTTTTTTTGTATTTTTTGTAGAAATGGGGTTTCACTATATTACCCAGGCTGGTCTTGAACTCCTGGGCTCAAGTGATCTGCTGGCCTCGGCCTTCCAGAATGCTGGGATTACAGGCATGAGCCACTGCGCCCAGCCAAACATGTTCTTTAGAGCAGTGGTTTCTAAAATAGAATGTGGGCTAATTCAGGAAATTCACAATATGATCTGTTGGGGGGGGGTCAACAAATAAAATAATATAACTTTCACTGATATTCATGTATATCTCATTTCTTATTCAAATTTTTGTTTCATATTGTACAATATTATTTCCTTATAATGTATGTATAGACACAAACATATATACACAAAGTATTTATTATAAGGAATTTGAATACATGATTGATGATTGCAGGGGCTATTTTCCTATGTTATAAATATGGATACATTATTTGCAGTTAACTTCAAGCACATTTTCCTTCACAGTGGTGGATGATTAGAATGTTTGCAAACCTCTTTTTTAAAGAACTCATTCACCATATGGCCCTCCCACTATAGTAGTTATTTTATGACATAGAAACTAGGAAGTGGAAGTAAAGGCTAGTGAATCAGCCAGCAGTCTTTCCTCAGCATGGATTGCCGTAATCTCATACAACAGGAGAAATTAAGCCCATTTATGCCTAACAAACTCCACTTCCCTCAACACACCATCAATGATAGAAAACAAATAAGTTTGATGTTGATGCAAGTATCCCACACAGTTTGCCTGTGAACATACCTGCTAAATGTATCTGCTTCCTTGCAAATATAAAAGAGTCATCCCAGAACAAGTGGTCTTAGTTGCCATAGAAACAAGTTCTTCTGGCTGATGTCAGCCTACTATAGCAACTAGGAAGTGAAAATTCATTCACAGAATCAGAGCCATAAGTACTAACTCAGCTACATATACCCTAGCCCAATTCAAGAGAGACACACAGAAAGAATATGAGAAGGCAACCAAGGAAATACACTAGAGGGCAAAGCTTTTTAAACAGTGGACTAGAGATAGAGTATATGGTGGTAAAAAAAAAAAATTCTATCCATCCAACATAGACATTGTTTGCTTTCCCATCCCATGAAAACCTTAGAACTGGCAATAACACATGCTGGTGCTAAAAGTGATCTCATAGGCCACACACTCCAAATCCATATCCACTCCCCAGGTGCCATTTTGTGAAACCAATAATTAAGTAACGAGAGAATAAATTCATATGTGACACATTTGTGTATACCTTTTGTAAACCCTGTGTACTATAATAAAGTGTTTGTCAGGTTCTGAATTCCATACCAGGAAGACAAAACCATAAACTCATAAAAATGGTGTCACTTGGGACTCCTGATTTCTGATGCTAGCATTCAGTGATTCCCATTAATTCTTGCTTCAGCTAAAAAAATTTTCTTCTAAGACAAAACAATGAATCCAGTCATCAGGGAAAGATTTTCAGCTGGTTCACAAGATTAACATATTTCTGTGACACTTCTCCCATCTGTACTTCTTCAGAGGCAGAACCTCAAACCATATCCCTATTTCTTACGTGCCTCACAATACTGTGTATGAATGGTTGCATGAATAATTGAATGAAATGTCAATTAAGCTGTTAGAAGATGAAATTAAAAAAGAAAACAGAAGCTCAGAAATTTATGTCTATTTTCCTCTTATACAGCATCCCATGTAGAGATGTTGTAGTCACAACTATCCCAAGGTCTGTCATGAGGCAAGGTAAGTCTGCATAGGTGGGAAGCTCAATAATTCATGGTCAAATTGGAATAACATTAGGAGATGATAACTTAGTGAAGATGAGTCTCCCAGGTTTAGGGGAAGGCAAACCAGATACTAAGGTACTGTCAGGACGAAAGAATGCAGATCAATATTTAAAGAAATTCACATGAAGATGGCAGGAGAGGAAAATGCTTCCTCACAATAGAAACAAATTTGAATAATGTGCTCTGTACTCTAATCTCCACAAGAAGATAAATTTGAGCCTGTCACATTTGGGGATTTGCATTCCTCAGGCAATACTAAAACCTCCACACTGCTAATTGATAATGAGGCTATGAGTTAAGTATCTTAAATATATATCATGTTAAGATTAAAAATAAAATAAAATCTCAGGGAGGAAGAACTCGACAGACACATTATCACAGTACACAGGTAAAAATAGCTCCTGTCACACTGTGGTCAATTGGTTTAGGAGACAGAGATGCCATATGACACATTTCTTGCTGGGATTAATAAGCAAAGCAAGAGGACTCTTCTATGAACGGTTCTAGGGAATCTAAAAAAAGAAGTGACCACATTCCCCACTGGATTAACAAGAGAAGGGCCAGTATGGGCCAGATTTATACCTGTAGCCAAACTAACTGAAGATATTCAACAGTCTCTTAGTAAAGAGAACAATATCAAGACCACATTCTAACCTCTGTGATTTTCCAGAAAGGCAACATTGTAGGGTTGTTTTAAGGTTGAGTTGTTCAAATGAGTGCCACTCCAAAGGACAGATGTGGGTTTGATTTGCAGCTCTACCTCTATTATACGAAATTGAAGAGCAGAGGCCATTGAGACTTTCATAATTGTAGTTTCCTTATCTGCCATATGATGGTTTTAACAGCTTTACTGAGATATAATTCATATAACATAAAATTCACCCATTTGAAGTGTAAATTTCACTGGTTTTTAGTTTATTTACAGATAGTGTTCAGCCATCATGAAATTCAATTTTAGAACATTTATACCAACTCAAAAAGAAACCCCATATCATTTAGCTATCCTCCACATATCCCCGGTCCCCTCATCCAGCCCTAAACAACGACTTATCTATTTTTTGTCTTTACAGATTTCCATATTCTGGACTTTAATATGAATGGCATCATACAGAATTGGGATTGCTTTAAAAAAAACTGGCTTCTTTCACTTAGCAGTATAGTTTCAAGATTCATTAATGTCGTAACATATACCAGTACTTCATTGCTTTTTATCACCAAATAATATTGTATGAATATACCACATTTTAATTATCCATGTATTGATGGACACCTGAGTTGTTCTGTTCTTTTTGGGGAGAGTTTGTGAAGAATTGATATTCATTTTTGAATGTTTGGTAGAATTCAGCAGTGAAAGTATCTGGGCTTGAACACTTCCTTGTGGGTAGTTGTTTTGTTTCATTTTGTTTACTGATTTAATCTCATTACTTGTTTCAGGTATATTTAGATTGTCTATTTCTTCTTATGTCTTTTTTGGTAGTTTGTATATTTCTAGGAGTTTGTCCATTTTAGCTAGGCTACCTGATTTGTTGGCATACAATTTCTCATAACATTTTATTTTAATTCTTTTTATTTTGTAAAGTCATATGCCCACTTTCATTTCTGATTCTAGTAAATTGAGTCTTTACTGTTTTTTCTCAGTCAGACTAGCTAAAGGTTTGTCAATTTTGTGAATCTTTTCAAATAATTGAGTTTTGGTTTCATTGATTGTTTTCCTATTTTTCTGTTCTCTATTTTGTTAATTCCTACTACAATCTTTATTATTTCCTTCCTTCTGCTTGCTTTAGGTTTAGTTTTGTTCTTGTTTAGACAGATTATTAATTTGAAGACTTTTTCTTTTTTTTAATAAAGGCATTTACAGCTGTAAATTTCCATCTAAGCCTTGCTTTAGCTGCATACTATAAATTCCACAGGATATAAATGATTGTTTTCTCTTCACCATTTTCACTAAGAAATGGGTCAGTGGAGCTCTTTATGCTATGATGCCTGAAATCAATCTCCTCTAAATGCTAAAAATATTAACACCTGCTTTAAGGAGTTGATAAAAGAACACAAAACAGCATGCTAATTCATCTGGAAAAATAGACAGATTCATACTTACAAATATCCCATAACAGAAATATCATGAAGGCAAATCAAATATATCATATACAAATATTTTATAGAGCTACAATTATTTCAAAATGTTGGTACTAACATGAGTTTTTAGCAAGTGGCATTATGAAGAAACAGGAAGGTTGGAAGATAAGATCAAAGAAGCCCAAGTTATCCCAGGGAACTGCATACAGGTCCTTGATGCATTCAGTTTCAGACTAGAGGTATGGGTCTCTACTATTGCTTGAATTTTATTATGCACGTACACATACAGACATATGTACAGTTATGTGTTACATGATGATGTTTTGATCAATGATGTACAGTGGTCCTATAAAATTATAAATACTTTATTTTCACTGTAACTTGCCTATGTTTAAATACACAAATACTTACAGTTACCTACAGTACTAGGTACAGTAACATTTGGGTTTTTAACCTAGGGGCAATAGCCTAGATGTGTAGTAAGTATACCATCTAGGTTGTTGCAAGTACATTCTATGATGTTGGCACAATGATAAAATTACCAAACAGTGCATTTCTCAGAACATATCCCCATTGTTAAGCAATGCGTGACTATATATGTGTATACATATATATATATATATATATATATATATATATATATATATATATATGCATGTGGGGAAGACACAAATTGCAAAGGGAAAGCAAAGACATAAAAATATCCAATAAATATGTAAAATATGTAAATATGTAAAAAGGTAGCCACACTGCTGAATACTCAGTCAAATGCAAAGATGAACAGCAATTAGATTGTATTCCAATACCTCCACCCACTCACCATTTAATAGGCAAAGAAGCAAAGAATGACAAAGCACAGTGTTGGACAGGGATTGAGAAGTCAGGCACTGTTGGGCACATGCCAAAGATCAAACAGCTTGGAATGAGGGGACCAAAATAGGATTTCAGGTCTTTCTGTCTCCACAGCAGGCAGGTGTGCTCTCTCCAACATTCATCACTCCCTCCTGGACTTGGAATTTAGACTGTGTTATAATCTAAGCTCAAGTTCTCTCTCTCTTTTTCTTTTTCTCCCTCCCACCCTCCCTCTCTCCTTCCCAATTTCTTACAAAAAGTAGAATATACAGATAAGTATCAAAGCCAGAGAAGCCTGCATAGATAGGGGCCAGATGACCGACATAGGGAAGTAAGTCATACTGCCAACATGTGCATATTTAGGCTTTATGGACACAAAGAACTTCCTACCACTCTCAGCTGAAGACCAGGGGCAGGGGGTGCTTATGTAACTAAATAGGATCATAACATAATGTTCTAACATTCACTGTATGTTTTTCCCTAGAAATTGGATCATTAACATAACATTGCCATTCTGCAATTTGCCTTTTTCACATTGCATGACATCTTTCGATGTCAGTACATTTAATTCTATCTCCTTTATAATAGTTCAATTAGTATTCCATTGAATGCATATATGAAAATAATACCATGCAGTATATCATAGTCTATTAAAAATAATTTTAGTGTATTCTCACTCTCTTTTCTGAGAAACTGGGAAAATGCATATTTGTTACATCTCATAACTAGACATTGTCTATGGTCTAAAAATCAAAGAAGAGAAACACACTCTCAGCATACAGGTAATTAGAGACACAAGGTACATAGACAGCTCTTTCCATCCCATAGAAAATTCAACTTTCACCTGAAGATAAGGCTCTGTGTGTATGTTTGCACTGTGTGTGTGTGTGTGTGTGTGTGTGTGTGTGTGTGTGTGTGTTGTCTGGAAGATAATGGAAGAGGCCACGAAATGGAATATTCTGCTTTCAGTTCAATTACTTTTGAAGTATAAGAATACTCATGGGAACAATCTAAAAACATGTTGAAACTGACCAAGAAGGAACTATCGATCATTATCAATGCCATCAGCTGTTTTGGATTAACATTTATATATATACTTCTAAATATTTGTTCCATTAACACATATGAACCATTTTGAAAATATTTTTCTTTTAAACTCAACAGAAGATTTGAATATTCTTCCATATTCCTGTATGATTATATCTTTTTGTGTATGAATCACTTTCAATGAATGTTGTCTGCATATTTTTAAATATTTAATTTCAGTTACTTTTCAGATTACAAAATAATACAGAGTTAACATAAATGAACATTAACATAAAACAGGGAGGAAATAAGTAAAACAAGAAGGTTAACACCCTGGTCACTTCAGTCCTCAGTCCTTTGCGAGGTATCTTTTATAAAGAAATTTGTTTGTCCCCCTCCCAGTTATTTTTCATTGTATATTCTGTCTCTATAAGCATGCAACTCTGTTATCTTTTTGCCATATATGTGAATTTTACGGATAAATAGAGATAGAAATTGATATAAATACATCAATATATAGACATAGTGATATTGATCTCTAGCATATCACTAATACTATATACTGAAGATCACCTGATTTTTAAACTAACCCCTAATCTTCACAGGTTCTTGATAGAAATGAGTATCAAAAACCAAAAGTTGACCACCAATTTAAATTTCTCAAGGACTGCAATAAAATTACCATTAAAAGCACAATATTGTAACCGATGATTCCTCTACAATAATTTCAAAGTCTGATGAGAATCTTCAGGGAAGAAAATTCCCAAATGAGAAATTCACAATTTTCTAATTCTGCTACCCTTCCCTCTCCCTTTTTTCTTTACCTCCTTTCCCTTTCTGAGCAATTTAGTCCAAATGCTAAATTGGACTATTGTGACATTAGATGAGCCAGAGCAAAATGAAGCCATGTGTATTTGCATGTGTGTGTGTGAGTGGAGGTGGAGGAGTTGGGGAAAAGAAAGGGGGAATTGGTAGTGACCATGATGGCCCAGAGAAGAGTGATGGAGCTAAGTGAGGAGGGCATCTGTTAAGTAGTCCAGCACCAAATTTTTTCACAATCAGAGCTCATTTTCCCAATAATTCTTTTAACAAATAAATTGTTTAAGAAAGTTAGTCCCCTAGTCATGAGACATAAACTTTAATTTTCTCTCCTACTTAAGTATCCTTTTAAACATATCCCATACTAAATTCCTTTGTTAATTTTCTAAATATATTTTAACACCACATTGGATCCTCTTCCCTACATCATCCAGATCTAATGCAGGTCAGGAGGCCAAATTTCTTTCAAAAATGCTCTTTTAGGCTGGGTGCGGTGGCTCACACCTGTAATCCCAGCACTTTGGGAGACTGAAGCGGGTGGATCACCAGAGGTCGGGAATTCCAGACCAGCCTGACTAACATGGAGAAACCCTGTCTACTAAAAATACAAAATTAGCAGGGCGTGGTGGCGCATGCCTGTAATCCCAGCTACTCGGGAGGCTGAGGCAGGAGAATCACTTGAACCCAGGAGGCTGAGGTTGCAGTGAGCCAATATCACGCCATTGCACTCCAGCTTGGGCAACAAGAGCAAAACTCCGTCTCAAAAAAAAAAAAAAAGAAAGAAAAGAAAAATGCTCTTTTAATCCTCCACCCCCTACACCCTACAATAGGTAACAATTTCAAAATCCCATGCAATTATAACTAATTCAAAGGTGATGTTTTGAGATTAAAAAGCTATAGATAAAACTTTTTGAGATTAAAAAGCTTCCTGTTTCTCTGGAGATAGAAACTACATTATTACTAACTTCCAAGTGAGGAAAACACATGTGTAATTGTATAAAAAATGGTAATTTTTTAACATTTTATCTAGCCCAAAAAGTAGCATACAAGCATTATCTATTTTAGCAGCTTTATAGAAATATTTTTAGGATGCCATAAATTGCACCCATTTAAAGTATACAGTTCAATAGTCTTTAACATATTCAGAGTTATGTAACCATCAACATAATCTAATTTTAATTACTTTAACCATCTCTGAAATAAAACCTTCTATCCACTGACAGTCACTTCCTATCCCCCACATCCCCTATAGCCTCAATCAACCAGTAATCTACTTTCTGTCTTTATAGATTTGCTTATCCTGTACAATTCATATGAATGGAATCATACAATTTGTGATCTTTCACTCTGCAGTACGTTTTCAAGTTTCATCAGTAATGTAGAATGAATCAGTACTTCATTATTTTTATAGCAGAATAATATTTCATTGTGTACACATACTGTATTTTGTTTTTCCAATCTTCAGTTGATGGCCATTTTGGTTGTTTCCACTTTTTGGCTATTATGAATAATGCTGATATGAACATTCATGTACATGGTTTTTTTTTTGGTGAACATATGTTTTCAATTCTCTTGAGTATATGCCTAGCAGTGAAATTAATAGGTTAAACGCTAACTTGTTTAATATTTTGGGGAACTACCAAACCATTTTCCACAGTGTCTGCACTATTTTATATTCCTACCAGCAATGTTGGAAGGTTTTGATAACTACCCATCCCTTCCAACACTTGTTATTGGCTGTCGTTTGTATTATAGCCAAACTATTTTGTGTGAAGTGGTATTTCACTGTGGTTTTGATTTGCATTTTTCTGCTAACAAATGATGTTGAGCATCTTTTCATATACTTATTGGCCATTTGCCTGTCTTCTTCAGAGAAATGTCTTTTCAGATTTTTGTCCATTTTTAAATTAGGTTAACTTTCTATTATTGTGTTCCTGTATTTCTGTCATGATTTCTACTTTGACTTATGATTTATTTAGGTGTGTATTGCTTACTTTTTGCATATTTGTGAAATCCCAAAGCTTTCTTCTCTTATAGATTTCTAATTTCAGTCCATCTGATCAAAGAATGTAATATGTGTGACTTCGATTTTATTAATGAATTGAGATTTGTTTTATAGCCCAATGTATGCTCTGTCCTAGAGAATGTTTCATGTGCACTTGAGAAGAATGAGTATTCTATTTTTATTGGGTAGAGTGTTCTATCTGATAGATCTAGCTGTTTTATAGTGTTTTTCAAGTTGTCTATGTCCTTTTTTAATTTTTAAAATACTCTCTCAGCAGAATCAAAGTCTTCTATATCTTTGATGATCTGCTTAGTTATGCTACCCATTAGTAAAAGTAGGGTATTGTTGTCTCTTAATATTATTTTTGAACTATTTCTCCCTTCAATTGTGTCAGGTTTGCATTGGTATTTAGGTGCTCTATTGTTAGGTGCATATGTGTGTATAACTATTGTTTCTTCCTAATGATTAATACTTTTATCATTATAAAATGTCCCTCTTTATTTCTAAACATTTTTTGTAAAGTTTATTTTGCCTGACATCCTCTAATGACTTCTGTTTGCCTGGTTTATCTTTTTCTATTCTGCTACTTTCAACCTATTTGTACCTCTAAATCTTAAGTATGTCCCCCCTTAGACAACACATAGTTGTTAGACCATAGTTGTACTTGTTTTTCTCCAGTATTAGTATTGACTGGATTACTTTGATTGGATTACTTAATCCATTGACATTTAATGTTATTATTGGTATGTTTGCATTTGGGTCTGCCATTTGCTTTATGCCTGGGAGACAACCCTGTCTCTATAATAAAAAATCTTATTAGAGTTCCTTTGTACACAATGTCTAATGTGTTTCTGTTTCTCTTAGTGTATTCAACGTATTTTTTATTGTCTATGGCTTGCAACTTTTTGACTATGATGTATTTGGATGTGTATCTCTTTCTAGTTATTCTACTTGGAATGTGTTGAGTTTCTTGATGCATAGATTAGTATTTTGGGGCCTTTTCAGACATTATTTCTTACAATGTTTTTTCTGCTTCTTCCTCTCTCTCCCTTTTTCCCTTGATGCTCCCACTGAAGTACTGTAAATGAGATATAATCAAGGTATCATTCTATGGGTGAATCACTAAATTATCTTTGGAATATCATAAACATGGAAATTGTGCAACAATTAAAATTAATGATGGAGATTTAAAATATGAAAGAGAAATACAAAATCAGATGACTAAAATTGGAGCAGAACAAAAATTACATTGTTATTTATGAGATACAAAAAATACCTCATTTTTTCTTTTTATTGCATATATCTAAGGTGTATGACGTGATGTTGATATACATATATATATACATATGTATGTGCAATCATGTGAAAATATTACGAGTCAAGCATCTCCTCAAATAGTTATCCTCTTGTGGGAAGAGTATCTGAAATCTACTCTCTTAACTATAATTATCATACTGCACATTAGAGCTCTAGGCTTGTTAATCCTATGCAACTACAAATTTGTACCTTTGTCAAGGGATACACTTCGACAAGGGTACAAAGTTGTATCGTCCCTAGTGACCAGCGAGATGTAGGTCACTACATCCCCTCTGCCTCTGGGAATCAATGTTCTACACTATTTCTATATATTTGACTTTTTTAGATTTCACATATAAGTGAGATCATGCAGTGTTTTTCTTTCTGTGTCTGGCTTATTTTACTTAACATAATGTCCTCCAAGTTCATCCATGTTGTTGAAAATGATCTGCTGTCCTTTTTTTTAAGCTGAGTTATATATAGGTAATACATATATATGTAATAGTATATATAGTATATATAATATACATATATATGTAATAGCATATATAATACATATATGTAATAGTATATATACTATATATATACTGTATATATAGTATATATAGTATATACTATATAATATGCTATATAGTCTATATATAGTATATATATACTATATACACTATATATACAGTATATACAGTATATATATACTATAGACTATATAGCATATTATATAGTGTACTATATAATATAGTATATATAGTCTATATATAGTATAGTTTACTATATAATATAGTATATATAGTATACTATATAATATAGTATATATAGTATACTATATAATATATAGTATACTATATAATATAGTATATATAGTAGACTATATAATATAATATATAGTATACTATATAATATAGTATATATAGTAGACTATATAATATAGTCTACTATATAATGTAGTAGACTATATAATATAGTCTACTATATAATGTAGTAGACTATATAATATAGTCTACTATATAATGTAGTAGACTATATAATATAGTCTACTATATAATGTAGTAGACTATATAATATAGTATATATAGTAGACTATATAATATAGTATACAATATAATATAGTATATATAGTATACAATATAATATAGTATATATAGTATAGAATATAATATAGTATATATAATAGACAATATAATATAGTATATATAGTAGACAATATAATATAGTATATATAGTAGACAATATAATATAGTATATATAGTAGGCTATATAATATAGTATATATAGTAGACAATATAATATAGTATATATAGTAGGCTATATAATATAGTATATATAGTAGACAATATAATATAGTATATATAGTAGACAATATAATATAGTATATATAGTAGAGAATATAATATAGTATATATAGTAGACAATATAATATAGTATATATAGTAGACAATATAATATAGTATATATAGTAGACAATATAATATAGTATATATAGTATACTATATAATATAGTATATATAGTATACTATATAATATAGTATATATAGTAATACATATATTATATAATATATATAACAATTTGTTGGTCCATTAATCTATTGACAGACACTTAGGTTGTTTTCATACTGGCTTCTGTGAATAATGCTGCAATGAATATGGGAGTGTTCATATCTCTGTGAGGTTTAGATTTCACTTTCTTTGGGTATATACCCAGAAGAGAGATTGCTGGGTCATATGATAGTTCTATTTTTAATTTTCTGCCTGAATCTCCATACTGTTTTCCATAATGGCTGACCAATTTACATTCCTACCAACAGAGTACAAGGATTGCCTTTTTTTCCACATCCTTGCCAACGTTTATCTGTTATCCATTTGATAACAGCCATCCTAATAGGTGTGAGGTGATGTTGTGGTTTTGATATGCATTTCCTTAATGATTAGTGATGTTGACCACCTTTTTATATACCATTTGGCCATTTATATGTCTTCTTTAAAGAAATATCTATTCAGGACTTTTATCCATTTTGTAATTTGGTTATTTGGATTTTTGGCTATTGACCTCTCTGAGTTTCTTATGTATTTTGGATATTATCCCTTTATCAAATATATGGTTTGCAAATATTTCTCCCATTCTGTGGATTGCCTTTTCACTCTGTTGATTGTTTTCTTTTCTGTTCAGAAGGGTTTTAGCTTGATATAGCCCTACTTGTTTATTTTTGCTTTAGCTGCCTGAGCTTTTGGTAGAATATTCAAAAAATTATTGCCAGGGTCAATGTGTCATAGCTTTCCTCTATGTTTTCATCTAAGAGTTTTATGATTTCAAGTCTTATGTCTACATCTTTCATCCATTTTGAGCTGATTTTTAAGTATGGTGTAAAATAAGGGTGCAATTTCATGATTTTGCATGTGGATGTCCAGCTTTTCCAACACTATTTATTCAAGAAACTATCCTTTCCCTATTATGCATTCTTGGTTCCCATGTTGAAAATTAGTTGACCATATATGCTTGAGTTTATTTCTGGGCTTTCAATTCTGTCTATTGGTCTTTGGTTTGTATGCCCATACCATGCTGTTTGATTACTAGAGCTTTGTTTTACATTGTTTAATATAATTTGAAATTAAACGTATGATGTATCTAATTTGTTTTTCTTCCTCAAGATTGTTTTGGCTATTCAGGGTCTTTTGAGTATTAGTCCATTTTGACATTACTGTAAAGATGCTACCTGAGACTGGGTAGTTTAAAAGGAAAGAGGTTTAATTGACTCACAGTTCTGTATGGCTGGGAAAGCCTCAGGAAACTTACAATTATGGTGGAAGGTGAAGGGGAAGCAGGCAGCTACTTCCAAGGCACCAAGAGAGAGATCGTGTAGGGGAAACTGCCACTTTTAAAGCCACGAGAGCTCATAAGAACTTCCTCACTAACAGGAGAACAGCATGGGGGAAACCACCACCATGAACCAATCACCTCCCACCAGGTCCCTCCCTCGACATGCGGGGATTACAATTTGAGATGAGATTTCAGTGGGGACACAGAGCCAAACCATATCAGTATGAATTTTATTATTTTTTAAGTTTTTGTGAAAAATGCCATTTTAATTTTGATAGGGTTTGCTCTGAAGCTGTTTATCCCTTTGAGTAATATGGACATTTTAACAATACTAATTCTTCCAATCCATCAATCCATGAACACAAATTATCTTTCCATTTATTTGTATCATCATCTTCAATTTCTTTCATCAGTGTTTTATAGTGTTCAGTATATAAATCTTTCATGTCCTTGGTTATGTTTATTCCTAGGTATTTTATTCTTTTTTATACTCTCATACATTTAATTATTTTCTTGATTTCCTTTTTTGATAGACCATTATTAATGCAAATAAATGCAACTGATGTTTGTATATTGATTTTGTACACTGCAACTTTACTAAATTTGTTTATTAGTTCTAACTAGGGTTTTTTGGGGGGGCGGGGGTGAAGGAGTGTTTAGGGTTTTATATTATACATATATTTTATACATACATCTTTACATATATCATCTGCAAAGATAATTGTACTTTTTCCTTTTCAATTTGGATGACTTTTTTTCTTCTTCTTTTAATTGTCTGATTCCTCTTGCTAGTACTTCCAGTACTATGTTGAACAAAAGTGGCAAGAATAAACATTTTTGTTTTGTACTGGATCTTAAAGAAAAAGCTTCCAATTTTTCCCCATTGATTATGATGTTAGCTATGGGATTTTCATAAGTGGCCTTTATTATGTTGAGAAATACCCTTCAATACTTATTTTGTTAAAAGTTTTTTTAATCATGAAATGATATCGAACTTTGTCAAATGCTTTTCCTGCATATATTGAAAAGATCATATGGTTTTTATATTTCATGCTCTTCATGTGGTGTATTGCATTGAATTACTGTGTATGTTAAGCCAAACTTGCATCCCAGGAATTATTTCTATTTGGTTACGGTGTATAATCAATTTGGTGCTTGTTGAATTTGATTTTCTAATATTTTATTGAGAATGTTTGCATCTATGTTCATCTGAGATGTTGGCCTGTATTTTTTTTCTTGTGGTATCTTTGTCTGGCTTTGGTATCAGGGTAATGCTGGCCTCAGAAAATGAGTTTGGAGGTAGTCCTTCTACGTCTATTTTTTCGACGAGTTTAAGAAGGATTGGTATTAATTTTTCTTTGAATGTTTGGTAGAATTCAGCTGTGAAGACATTTGATCTTTGGCTTTTCTTTGTTGGGTGGTTTTTGTTTACTAGTTTAATCTCTTTATTTGCTATTGGTCTGTTCAAGCTTTCTATTTCTTCTTGTTTGTTTCTTTTAGTGATGGGGTATCACTCTGTCACCCAGGCTGGAGTGCAATGAGATGACCATAGTTCACTACAGCCTTGAGCTTCTGGGCTCAAGTGATCCTCCTGCCTCAGCCTTTCCAGTAGCTAGAACTACATCCAGCTAAAATTTTTGTACAAATGAGATCTCTCTATGTTGCACAGGCTGATCTCAAACTCTTGACCTCAAGCGACCCTCCCATCTCAGCCACCCAAAGTGCTGGTATTATAGGCATGAACCACTGTACCCCACTTTATTTCTTCTTGATCCAGTCTTAATAAATTGTATGTTTGTACGAATTTATCTGTTTTCCCTAGGTTATCCAGTTTGTTGGCATAAAATCACTCATAATTGTTTCTTGAGATCCTTTTTTAACTTCTGAGACATATATTGTAATGTCTCATTTTTATTTGAATCTTCTCTCTTACTTAGTTTAGGATTAAGGGTTAACCTTTAGTTTCTTAATTAAGGATTTGTTCATTTTGTTTATTTTTTCAAAAAACAAACTCTTAGTTTTGTTGATTTTCTTCAATAGATTTTCTATTCTCTATTTAATTTATTTCTGCTCTGATCTTTATTATTTTCTTCCTTCTGCCAACTTTGGGATTAGTTTGTTCTTCGTTTTTGTGTTGTTTTGTGTTGTTTTGTTTTCGAGATGAGGTCTCATTCTGTTGCCCAGGCTGGAGTGCAGTGGCATGACCTTGGCTCACTGTAACCTCTACCTCTCTGGCTCAAGTTATCCTCCCACCTCAGCCTCCTGAGTAACTGGGACTACAGGTTTGTGTCACTGTGCCCAGCTAAGCTTTGTATTTTTTGTAGAGACGAGGTTTCACCATGTTGCCCAGGCTAGTCTTGAACTCCTGGACTCAAGTGATCTGACTGCCTTGGCCTCCCAAAGTGCTGGGATTACAAGCGTGAGCCACTGTGCCTGGCCTGTTCTTCTTTTTCTAGTTTCTTGAGATGTAAAGCTTGGTCATTTATTTGAGATCTTTCTTCTTTTATAATGTAGGTGGTTACCACTATAAATTTCCTTGTTAGTACTGCTTTTGCTACATCTCATAAGTTTTGGTATGTTGTTTTCTCATTTTCATTCATCTCAAGATAGTTTTACTTTTCCCTTTTGATTTCATCTTTGAACCAATGGCAGTTCAAGAGTATGTTATTAAGTTTCATATGTTTGTGATTTTTTTTATTTTTTTGCTGTTATTGGTTTCTGGTTTCATACCATTATGATTGGAAAATATACTTGGTATGAATTCAGTCTTCTTAAATTGAAACTTGTTTCATGAACTATTATATGATCTATCCTGGAGAATACTCAGGTGAATGTGCTTGTGGAAAAGGTATATTCTTCTATTGTTGGGTGGAAACTTCTGTGTATGTCTGATGGGTTCATTTGTTTAATACTATTGTTCAATCTCCTGCTTCTTTATTGATTTTCTGTCTTGATGTTCTATCCATTATTAAAAGTGGGGTATCGAAGTATCCTACTATTATTGTATTGCTGTCAATTTTTCCTTTCAGATCTGTCTGTATTTTCTTTATATTTAGGTACTCTCTTTTGGGATATATAGATATTTATAACTGATATATCTTCCTATTGCATTGATCATTTTGTTATTATGTAATTAACTTATTTGTCTCTAGAGACAATTTTTGACTTAAAGTCAACTTTGTCTGATATAAGTATAGCCACTCCTGCCTTTTTTGATTATCATTTGCATGTAATATCATTCTTCATCCCTTCGCTTTCAGCCTATATATGTCCTTAAATCTAAAATGAGTTTCTTGTAGATAGCATACATTTGAAGCTTGGTGGTATTTTTAAAAATCCATTCAGCCACTTTGTATTTTTCCCCACTCTGTAACTTTTTTCCTACTCTATATCTTTTTAATGAGGAGCTTAGTCTCTTTAAATTTAAAGTAATTATGATTAAGAAAAGATTTACTATTGTCATTTGGCTACCTGTTTTCTATTTGTCTTGTGGCTCTTGCTGTTTTTCTGCTTGCTGTCTTCTTTTGTTTTCATTTTTTCTCTTTTTGTAGTGATAGGTTTGGATTTCTTTCTCTTTTTCTTTTGTGTGCAATTTCTATAGGTAATTCTTTTGTGGTTACCAAAGGACATCCATAAAATATCTTGTAACAATCTACTTTAAGCTGATAATAACTCAACTTCATTTGCATGCAAGAGCTCTCCATTTTTACTTCTCCTCCCTTCACCCTATATTTTATTGATATCACAATTTACATATATTTATGTTATGTAACCATATACATAATTTAGTTGTAGTTGTTTTCAATACTTTTGTCTTTTAACTTTTATAGTAGATTCATATTGATTTACCTGCCACTGTTAGAGTAGTACAATAATCTTGCTTTGTCTAGTTACTTTCACCAACGAATTTTATGTTATCTTGGGCTCTCATGTTACTGTTTAGTGTCCTTGGTTTCAGCTTGAAAAACTCCCTTTAACATTATTTTTAAGGTGTATCTGGCGGTGATAAGCTTTTCTTTGTCTAAGAAAGTATCTACTCTTCTTTTTTTTTTTTTTTTTGAGATGGAGTTTCGCTCTTTTTGCCCAGGCTGGAGTGCGGCTCACAGCACCCTCCGCCTCCCGAGTTCAAGCAATTCTCCTGCCTCAGCCTCCCGAGTAGATGAGATTACAGTCGCCTACCACCACGCCTGGCTAATTTTTGTTTTTTCAGTAGAGACAGGGTTTCACCATGTTAGCCAGTCTGGTCTCGAATGCCTTACTTCAGGTGATCCACCCGCCGTGGCCTCCCAAAGTGCTGGGATTACAGGCGTGAGCCACTATGCCTGGCCTACCCTACATTTTTGAAAGACAGATTTGCTGAATATAGTATTCTTGTTGACATGGTTTTTTTCCTTTTAGCACTTTGTATATATCTACTCACTGTTTGCTGCCCTGCAAGGTTTTTGCTGAAATAACTGCTGAAAGTCTTATGGAGGTTTCCTTGTACATAACAGGCTGCTTTTTCTCCTGCTGCCTTCAAAATCATCTCTTTGACTTTAATTTTTGACAGTTTGATAAAGTGTCTTGATGCGAGTTTCTTTGGATTCATCTTATTTGGTGTCCTTTGAGCTTGCTGGTTATGAATTTCTATTTCATTCCCCAAGTTTGTGACGTTTTCAGTCATTTCTTACTTGAATAAGCTTTCTGTGTCTCCTCTCTTCCTTGATCTCTAGAAATGAATATATTGGTCCATTACATGGTGCTCTATAAGTCTCTTAAGCAATCTTCACTCTTTTCTCACTCCTCTTCATTCTTGTATTCTCTTCTGATTAAATGAATTCCAATGGCTTGTTAGAGTTCACTGATCCTTTCTTCCACTTGATCTACTTGGCTGCTGAACCTCTCTATTGGATTTTTATAATTCAGTTATTGTATTTGTCAGTCTTATACTTTTTGTTTGGTATTTTTTTATGTTTTCTATCTGTTTTTTGAAATTCTCACTTTGTTTATGCATTGCTCTCCTGAACTCAATGAGCATCTTTATGATTGTTATTTTGAATTTTCTAGGAGGTAAATCACTTATCTTTATTTCATTAGAACGTTTCTGGAGATTCATATTTCTTTCGTTTGAAATATACTTCCCTGTTTCTTCATTTTTTCTTGGTTCTATGTTGGTTTCTGCACATTACATAAGAATATCCCCTCTCCCAGTCTTAACAGAAACCTCATGTAGGAGATGGACCTTGCCAGTCAGCCTGGCTAGAGATTCTAAGTGCCCTTCAAACCTTTGTGCTTGTCCAAACTGCTGTCTTTGTTCTTAGTGGACCTCAGGAGATTAGGTTGTGCCAAATCCTGTCAGTTCCCCAAGACAGGCAAGATAGAAGCCAGTCTCTCAAGATGCAGTAGGAAAAGTTGTAGTATTAGATGTGTGTTCCTTCTCTTTCTATCCTCAGGAAAAAGTTGGGATCTGTAGTTTACCTTGCTTTTGCTCTGCAGTAAGCTGGAGAGAGTATCTGTGGGAAATACCTATATACTCATTCAGACCACACGATATCTCAACCTGTTGCTTTATTCTTTGCAGTAGGCTGGCGAGAGTATCTGTGACAAATACCTATATATTCATTCATACCACACACTATCTCAACCTGTTGCTTTGTTCTTTGATGTTCCTTGGGGTTTAGTGAATGTCAACGCCCATCTGCTCTCAGAGACAGGTCAGCTGGCTGTAGGCTTGGCTTTATCTCTGGAGTGGTCCAGCAGAGGAGTTATGGAAGGTGCCCACACATCCATTTAGGTTCCCAGTGGACTAATTGCCTGCTCTTTCAGCTCCCAGATGCAGGCTAATTAAAGGTCAGACTCACAGGAAGCAGCTAGGAAAGTCAGGATGTTAGGTTTGTAGTCAAACCCCTTCCAGGGAGGAACCTGGAGCTGTGTGTTCTTACTTGCCTAGTCTGTGCTGAGCCAGGGGAAATAGCTACTGAAAGTGCTCGTGCCCACATTTAAAATCACCTCTTTGTTTTCTGTGGTCCATGAAGAATCATAAATGCAGAGCCCCCATCAGCTCCGAGAGCTAGGTGATTTAGGACCCTGTCCCTCAGGTGGGAGCTGTAAAATTTGAGGTGCTCAAAGTATGGACAAACTCCTTCCAGGAAGAAGTTGAAGACCTGGTTTTATCACTGGAGTGAGCTGGGATGGGGAGAAGGCATGGGAAGTGCCCATGTGCCTATTCAGGCTCTGAGAGGTCTATTGTTTACCTGCCCCATCAGCTCTCAGATGCAGGCTAGTTAGAAGCCTGATCTTCAGGCACCAGCTTGGAAAATATTTAGACAAACTCCCTTCCAGGGAGAAACAGAGCTAGGCATTTTTGCCTGCTTGCTCTGCGCTGAGCCTGGGGCACTTTCATTTGATTCCTTTCCTATGTGCTTCCTTTGTTATTTGCCTGTCATTTGTCTGTCCCTGCCACAGTGCTAGCAAGTACCACTAATCTGTTTTTTATGTCTTCTCAGAAGAGAGAGAAGATATTAAATGTGTTTTTGTATAGCAGGTGACTAAACAGCTTGATATATAGAAACATACACAAGAATATTAAGCAAAATACTGATGCAGCTGTTTAAAACAATTAGGTTGAATTCAATATATGTATATACACATATAAAATGTACCTGAATAGTTAAACACTATAGAATTAGCAATGGATTATGGATATTTTTATTACTATTACAGATGTTATGGATGTTTTCATTACTGTTTTATTATTTTGTATTTTCTGTAATGATCATGCACTGTATTGATAGTATAAAATCAAGTAATCAAATATTAGGAGAATAATTTTTTAAACCAAGTAGGCTGAACTCTGTTAAATAATATGGAATGATGACATGTTATATAAAATGACTTAATTGCAGAAATATATATATGGAATGAATCTTTTGGACAAAATAATCACAGCTGTAAAATAGCATCATTCCTTAACTTAAATACACATTGCTCCCCATCTTTAACTAAGGATAATAGAACTTCCCGTGCACTCAAAAAAGTTTGCGTACAGACATGGTAGCTGTAGGTTGATGATACAGAATCTAAATTCGTGTCAACTAGGAATGCAGTCTGCAGTTCTTTCCTTTACACACAGTTGTATTGTCTACTGTTTTGGAGGAAAATTGTGAGAGAGAGGTTTAATGTTTAAAATGTTTCTCGTTGAACAGTATGGAGCATGATTTCTGGCCTCTGACCTGATTCCAAGTCCATGAAGCAATGATGACTGGTAGAGAGAGTACACTCACCAGCTGGGAAAGCAGACAAACCTGGATTCTGATTTTGACTTCACAACTTCCCAGTCATGTGGCTCATTTCCTCATACCCTTGCAAACACTCTGTTGTATCATTTGTCTTTTACTCTGCAACTCTGAATAGGTGGAAAAAGTGAAATATCATTGTTGTTTATATTTGCCCTTTGTTATTACTGAAGAGGAATACCATTGTATGTATCTATCAGCCATTTTATTACTGTGAGTGTGTTGAGAATATGAGTGGGCTCAATAAATACCATCTCATCCCCACTATGGTCAGGAACAAATTTAGATATACCACAATGTAAAATATTAGAGGCCACAAAATTTAGTCTAATATGCCAATAGACCATGGCACATTTATGGATTTATGGATCATCTGAGGTAAACTTTGATTTCTGTGTTTCCATCTCCCATCTTTCCTATGTCTCCATGTTGCCTCTTGCTATAAACTAAAGCTGGTACCAAACTCTTTTATTGGTGATAGCTGTATGATATAGTTTAATATATTGTGGTGCTGGTTTTCTCATTTTAAATGCATTATTGCCTGGTCCATTTTCCCATGTTTACATTTCCAGATGAGCTACAGTGTTGTATGTGTTTGTTCGTTTTTTAACCTATGAGGAAGGCTCTACTACTACCTTTATTTGACATTTGAGGAAACTTATGACACAGAAGGCTTAGAAATATGCTTAGACACATACAATAAGTAAGTGGCAAGACTTGGACTCAAAACCACAAGTCTTTCTGAATTTCTATCTGAACAGAAAGCTCAAATAAGAAAATGCTCCAAATTATTTCTCCATGACAAACTATGAGAGATTTAGACTTATTTTTTGAGCTATGACTCTCACCACACCCCACTAGGAAAAGGATGGAAGGCTTTGTTCAGTGTTATAGCAAGAATGATTCTACTTCATCCTGGCCCTTTTTCCATTAATCTCTTGAGATTTGTGGTTGCTTTATCTTGCTTTATAGTCATCCAATTGGACCACAGAAAGTGACTTACTCTGCTCATTAATCCCTGGATAAGCTGTTTCATACTGCATCTCTGTTCTCTGACTTTATTATTATGGGCGTGTAATGTGGTGATGTGTTTGGGAGGTCCTCTTTACCCTTTTAAAAAATCTATTGTTTAGTCTTATCTTTGTATCATCCTAAAAGGTCTAATTCCTAGCATCCTTTTGGAAGGTGTATCAATTTAGCACTGCGTTTCGTATCAGTTACATGTTGCCATAACAATGGTGCATTAAAAAGACCTCAGTAGCCATTTAGAACATAAGTCTGTAGCTGAGTGATTTAGTCTGGATTCAGTTGGGTGGTTTTTCTGATTATGGCTGGGTTCAACTGGATGTATGTGTGTCATCTGGCTGTTGGCTGACCTGGGCAGGACTCCTTTAAGAGGCCTGGGGTGACTTGACTATGGTCCACTTGTCTTTTGTACTTCATTGGGTTAGTCTTGGCACACCAAAAGGGCATTTTGGGGAAATTCCCAGTGGGGTGTGGGGAGCAGTTATGTCTCACCTCTTGAAGAACACTGGGGATATCTTTAGGGTTAGGCAACTTGGAGTCAGCTAGAAACAAAGAAGGAAGGCAGGGCACACAAATCTTGGTTGTGACAACATGCTCTTGCTAGCAAAGACTCCAGCCAGCAGCTGTACCTACATACAAGGCTGAGCTAGTGGCCCCATCTGACCAGGGAGCACAGTTGGCAGTTTTTTCCAGCTTGGGTTCCTAGCTAGAGGTCCAGCCTGGCCACAAAACCCATTATATAAACCTACGCAGGCAAGGAGGCAAGCCAAAGACCCTGCTTAACTGCAGAACATAGCCTCCAGCCTACCTGACCAAGAAGGATGAACAGGAACACTGCCCAGACTCAGAGCTGAGTGTATGGCCCCACATGGGCAAAGAGCCAAGCTGGTAACACCACCTAACTGGGGAGCATAGCCTGTAGCCTTATTTAACCATGGAGCCAGAACAGTGAGCCTACCCAGCTGTGGATCCTTGCCTATGGCCCTACCCTTTCCAGAAGCCAAGCCAGCAGTCCTACCCAACTGAGGAGCATAGCCTGGCTCCATTCAACTAGGGAGGCTGGCCAGCAACCCCAGCCAGCCACAGAGCCCAGCCTACAGCACCACCCAGTCATGAAACCCAGCCTACCACCTTGCCCAGTGATGAAGCCCATTCTACAACCCTGCCTGATTGTTGAGCACAGCCTGTGGCCGTGCCCAAGCAAGGATTCCATTCAATGACTTCACCTAATTGCATACAAAGCCTGAGACCCTGTACAACCAGGGAACCCAGTCAGTGATCACAATCTACACAACCCAATCTGCAGCCCTGCCTGATTGCAGAAACCAGCATTTAGCCCAACTCAACTGCAGGGTACAACTTGTGGTCTCAACTGACCATGCAGCCCTTCCAGCAGCCCTGCCCAACCATGGAGCTCAGCCAGCAGTCCCACATGATTGTAGAGCACAGCGTGCAGCCCTGCCCAGCTGTGAAGTATAGTCTATGACCCTACCCTGACCAATCTGGTGCCTGGTAGCAAACTAAACCAACTGGGGAGCATAGACAGAACTTTGACAGCATAGGGAAACCAGCCATTGAACTTGCCCAACTGTGCTGTGATGCACAGCCTACAGCCCTACCCAAATGCAGAGCCCAGCCTGTGGCACTGCCTAACTGCAGAGCACAGACTGAGGCCCTTTCTGAATGAGGAGTCTATCCAGTGGCACCACCTGGATAGGGAGCACAGTCTCAGGCCTCTCCCAAATACTGGTATTGTGAATCCCAGACTGCAGCTCTATCTAATCACAGAATTCAGTCAGTGACACCACCTGGCCAGGGAGCACTGCCTGTGACTGTGTCTGAGCAGATGCTATCACGGAGCCCAGCTATTGGCCCTGCCTGACTATAGAGCCCAGCCAGCGGCCCACATGACTTCAGAGCACATCTAGCAAGTCTACTTGACTGCAGAGCCTAGCAAGTGGCCCTACCTGACCTCAGACATTGGTCAGCAGCCACACCAAACTAGACACCCCAAGGGTAAGCCCTGTCTACCTACAGACTCTATCAGCTGGCCTATCCAGAAACCTAGACTGGACTGACTAGCGAAGGTCTTTTTGCCAACGAAAACCTTTAAAGACTGGAAGAGGTGACTATTTCCAAAAATGCACAGACACAAATGTAAGGATAAAAGGATCATAAAGAATCAGGAAAACGTGATACCATCAAGAGAAACAAATAAATCTCTAATAACTGACACTAAAGAAATGTAGTTCTATGACCTGATTCAGAATAATCCTCTTAGAGAAATTCAGTGAACTCCAAGAAGATATAGATAACAACTAAACCAAATTAAGATAAGAATACACGGATGACATGAAAAGCACAAAAAAAGAGACACAAATCAGAACAAAACCAAATAATTCAAATGCTGCCATTTCATTTTATTGATTGTTTCTCTGGCTGTACTTTTACACATTACTTTTCAACTCATTTGGGTAAATACCAAAGAGTACTACTGTTGGATCACATGGTATGAGTACATTTAGCTTTGTAAAAAACTGCCAATTGTCTTCCAAAATGGCTGTACCAATTGGCATTTACCAGCAAGGAATGGGAGTTCCTGTTGCTTTGCATTCTCACCAGCTTTTGGGGTTGTCAGTGTTTTGAATTTTGGCCATTATTATAAGTGGGTAGCGTAACTCACTGTTGTTTTACTTTGCAATTCCCTAATGACATGGTCATGTTAAACATCTTTTCATATGCTTATTTTCCATCTGTATATCTTCTTTGGTGAGGTATCTGTTTAGGTCTTTTGCCCATTTTTTAATCAGCTTGCTCATTTTCGTATCGTTGAGTTTGAAGAGTTGGATATTTTGGAGAGCAGTCTTTTCTCACATGTCTTTTGCAAACATATTTTTCCAGTCTGCTGTGTGAATTGTCTTCTTTTTCTCTTGACAGTATCTTTCACAGAGAAGAATTTTTTAATTTTAATGAAGTCCAGTTTATCAATTATTTCTTTCATAGATTGTGCCTTTAGTACCTATAAAGTCATTGCCACACCCAAGGTCACTTTGGTTTTCTCCTGTTATCTTCCAGGAGTTTTATAGTTTTGTGATTTACATTTATGTCTTGATGCATTTTTAGTTAACTTTTATGAAAGGTATAAGGTCTGTATCTAAATTCTTCTTCTTTTTTTTGAATTTGGTTGTCTAGTTCTTGTAGCATCGTTTGTTCTCTCCATTGTATTGCCTTTGCTTCTCTGTCAAAGTTCAGTTGGCTATATTTACGTGGGTCTATTTCTGGGCTCTCTATTCTGTTCTGTTGATCTATTTATCTATTCTTTCACCAATACCACATTGCCTTGATTACTGTAGCTTTATTGTGAGTCTTGGAGTCAGGTAGAGTCAGTCCTCTCATTTGTTGTCTCCTTCAATATTGTGTTGGCTATTTGGAGGCCTTTTGCCTCTCCATATAAACTTTAGAGTCAGTTTATTGATATCCACACAATTATTTACTGGGATTTTGATCTGAGCTCCCATGTGTTTTTTAATCTCAAACATGGTAATTTTCATCTCTAGCACTACAAGATATTTTTAAAATAGCCTTCTGTACTGCTGTATAACTGTTTGGACATATGAAATGTAGTTATAATAACTCTTCTAATGTCAGTTCTAAGTCAGTTTTGATTGATTGATTATTCTCCTTATTATGGATTATGTTTTTCTGCTTCACCAAATGCCTATTAATCATTAAATGGATGTCAGTTGCTGTGAATTTTACTTCGTTGGGTGCTGGAATTTTTGTATTTTCATACATGTTCTTGATTTTGTTCTGAGATGCATTTAAGTTACTTAAAAATAGCTTGACTCTTTTAGGTATTGCTTTTTTGACTGTGTTAAGCAGGTTTGGAGTTATATTCCATCCAGGGTTGATTATTCTGTTATTGATGTAAGACCATCCTGTGTATTCAACCAAATACCAAGTGAATTAGAAGTTTTTCCAGTCTGGCTAGTGGGAAGAAGCACTTTTCCCTTCTCTGTGTGAGCACTAGAGAGAGTTCTCTGATACTTTCAAGTTTGGTTTTTTTTTTCATGAGCTTGGGGTAATTTTCTCATGTACATATACCGATTACGATTCTTAGTATTTTCGGGAACTCTCTAACAACCTAGGAGGTTCTTTCTGTGAAGGTTCCTTTATGTTCTATCCTACAAGCTCTAGCCACCTTGATTTTCTCAGATTCTTAGTTCCAACTTTTCTACTCATGTAGTCCACTAGGCTTCACTTCAGTTCCTCTCCCCACACCGTGACCAGAACATTCTCTATAACTACCAAGTTGGAGCAATATAGGACTCACTTTGTTGTTTTACAGGCTCTAAGTTACCACTGCCCTTTGCTGATTTTTGTTTAGTGTTTTGAATACTATTATTCATATTTTTCTATTTATTATGGCTGTTTCACAAGAAGTTGAGGTAGGATGAATTATGAAAAATCCCTCCCAAATCTCCACATCCTAATGCTCAAAATCTGTGAATATGTTACCTATTGCAAAAGGAACTTTACAGTTGTGATTAAGTTAAGGATCTTGAATGAGGAAATTACCCTGCAATATCTTCATTGACCAAGTATAATTTCAAGTATTCTTGAAATAAAGAAGTCAATATGAACATAGAAGTAGAGAGAGATTTGAAGATACCACCTTGCTGGCTTTGATGATGGAAGAAGGAGCCATGAGCCAACGAATGCAAAGTATGCATCTGTAGATGCTGGACAAGACAGGGAAACGGATTCTCTCTTAAAGCCTCCAGAGAAACATGGTCCTGCTGATATATTGTTTCTTTCCCAGTGAGATTTATTTCCGACTTCTGATTTCCAGAACCGTGACATGATGAATGTGCATTGTTTTAAGCCACTAAGTTTGTGGTTATTTGTTACAGCAGCAATAGGACACAAATACAGAGGGTAAATTTTTTCCTTGTTACTCCATCATAGGTGAAAAAAAAGCAATAATATTCACTGTACATGAGTTATTCCTGAGGAAAAAAAGAAACAATTCTCAACTAATTAAATGGGGCCAGCATTACCCTAAAATAAAAAAAAAAATCACATGAAATGAAAACTACAGACCAAAGTGCCTCACTATTTTAAAAATATTTTAGCAGATTAAACCCACAATATATAACAAGAATAATACAGTGTTATCAAATGGAGTTCATCTCAGGAATGGACAGGTGGTTGATTTACTTCCTTTCCTCCAGATACCTGTCTCCCTCTGAAACTTCCTATGAACACAACATAACAACGAACCAGTTGGCAAAGCAGAAACAGAGTTAGCAGAGATAAAGCTTAAGTATCACAGAGCACAATCAGAAATGTGAGGCCGAGAGACTTAGACATACCTTATTTACCAACTGCTTACTAAAACAGATTTCCTACATAGTAAACAATAATAAATATTTTAAATATTCTGCCTTTCTTTTGAAACCTAATGAATGAATAGGAAAACTATTATATCAACAAAAATCACAACCAAAATTCAACTACTGAGAACAAAAGCTTTATTAAGGAGCTTATATTTTATGCTTATTGTAAAGGGGAACCATTTACAGATTTTAATTACTGATGTAGTAAGTTGAAAGTTTTCTTTTAGAGTAGCAATTTCCAAAGGGGTGTTCTGATACCTAGAGGGCGCACGAATGATTCATGGAGTCCAGAAAAAAGGTATTAGTATTCCCATTATACCCGTTATATCTCACAATTAATTTGTTTTAAAATTTGTGCATAGCCAGAGCAACAAAGCAAGACCGCATCTCTACAAAAAATTTAAAAAAATTAGTCAAGCCTGATGGCATGCACCTGTAATCATAGATACTCAGGAGGCTGAGGTGGGAGGATCACTTAAGACTCGGAGGTTGAGAGGCTGCAGTGAGATGCAACCATGCCACGGCACCCCAGCCTGGGCAATAGAGCAAAACCCTATCTCAAAAAAAATTTGCACATTCATAATTTACCCTCCTCAAATTTCCATATATATATAGTATAAATGAAGATATATCTTTTAGGGGTTCAGCAAAAATATTTCTTGAGAGAGGTGCATACTCAAAAAGGTGTGCAAACTTCTGCTTTACAAATTCAAAGATTACAGAGCTCTCACACTACAGGTGTCAGCTGAGGACACAGAAACAATGAAGGAAATGGAATAACTGGTGACTCAGCCACTTTAGTTTCTTTGCAGCAGTGGCTGCCAGCCTCCCCATGTAACAAGTAATCAGCCCCCACATTTGCAGCCATATATTCAATTATTACCTTCCCCCTCATATACACATACATTCACAGTGACGGTAGACACCCAAATTATCTTATTTTAATGCAATTATCACACACTTTCTGCCTATAAACATCCAAGTCCAATATTTCACCTCCCAGGATAAGATGGCATAGTCCAGTTGTCATAGAAACCAGAAGTACATCATGTTATTATGGTTAATGACAGTTTTCTATGGCAACTGGATAGTGCAAATTCATTCTCAGAGGCCAAATTTTAATCTCTACCTCAGAAACTTGAACCCCTCAATCTAATAAATGAGTGAATACCAGAAACTCACCAAGAGATATGCATTAGAGGGAAAATCTTTCTATACAGTGGTTTAGGGAATCAGTTTAGATAGAAGGATTGACAGTTTTGGCTTTCTTGTCAGACACACATCTGTGTTCCAGTCCCAGCACTGCACATCCTTGTACGATGTCCATAATACATTCTGGTCTGAAAGAGATCTCAGAGGTCACTCAGTCCTGATTCCGCTCTCACTTCCACATGGCATCTAATGACACAAATTCTCAAAGAGAGGGGGGAAATGAAGGCATGTCTGAAATACTCTCATTTCCCTTCAGTAAGTGCCTCAGATGTGAATCACAGAAGGACTTAGAACTCTTCTGTCTACCTGCAACCAGCAACTCACAAACTCAACAAAGACAACGGTCACTTAGAATGCCAGATACCAGAAAATGGTTTTCAGAAGCACCTGTCAGCACATGCCTTTGCTGAAGATCTCTCTCTCTGTGCAATATGTAGTGCATCTCAGTCATCACAGAAATTATATTTTGCCTAAGTCATAAGATAAACTTCTCCTTCCTATGATTACTCTAAAATTATCTGTAGAGCCAGAAATCATACTCCTGTCATTCAGAAAAGTCCATAGTCTTAAGGAAATAATTACAAGATTTGTTATTACATTAAATTATGTTATGACAAATTGCCTGACAAAATCAAAGCTACAAAAAGGAGGGGAGGGGAATACCAAAATAAAATAACAAAATAGACAAAAATGGTCTATTCAAAACTTAAATACTTCTCTTGAGAATGTTTTAATCTACATTCAATAGGGACATTGTTCTGTAGTTTCCTTTTCTGGTTATGCTTGTGTGCATGTTTTGTATTATGGTAATCCTGGCCTATTAGAATGAATTGGGAAATGTTCCTTTCTCTTCTCTTTTTTGAAAGTGTGTGTGAAGGATTTATATTCATTCTTCATTAAAAATTGGTAGACTGCATCAGTGACACCATCTGGATCTGGGGTATTCTTTGCATGAAGATTTTTAATTAATTTAATCTCTTTAATTGTTATAAGTCTATTAATCTATTTCTTTTTGAGTTGATTTTAACAATTTTTGTCCTTACATAAATTTGCTTATAATATGTAGTATTTCATGTTTCCAAATTGTCATGGCAACTGATGTATAAAAATAGTGTGAAAGAATAAAGCTTTGAAGCAATCTATTATTAAAAAACAAAATTAAATACTATGTATCCATTATAAAAATGAGGCAAATTTAAATATACCAACAGGAAAAATAGTAAAATAAAATCAAGTAATGGACTAATAAGTAACAAATTGTGTCATGCATTATAAAACATGCATATTGAAAAAGATGACCATATTTCTTCTTAAGACATAATTACTGATAAATGCATAGATAAAAGGACTTGAATGTTATACACCAAACTGTCGAAATTGTTGCATATGAAGTTAAGGTAGTAGCATTATGGGAGATTTGCTGAAATAAAGTTTTAGAATTCCTTTAATTTTTTAATGTTTTACAAGAATAACCAATTGATATTTTTACCTATGCAACTAAATATTAGTTTTAATAATACTATACAGATACAGGAAATGGTAAATCTGGCATGAGTGAAAAAAAAACCAGACAAGTATAGCAATTTTAACATTAGATAAAGTAAAATTCAAGGACAGTAGCTTTAAGAAGACATAAAGGGATATTTTATAAATATAATGCTAGAATAATCAAGATAATTGGCTGAGGTGGCACTGAGAAAAAAAGGAAACACAGGAAGGAGGAAACTTCCAATCCCTCTGTCAGACTTGCAGTCTCCTCACAACCACTAATGTCATAGACAGGGAGCCCCTGGAAAAGGAAAAATATAGACACAATACCAAAATGCAAAGAACAGAATATTGAAGGTTTCATAAACAATACAATCCACTTTTTGCCTGCTAAGAACACCACACACACACACACACACACACACACACAGACATCCATGCATTTTAATGAATTTTTATATTTCCATACATCAATAAAGCCTACCACTTTTTCCTAAGAAAATAAGTGTCCTTTATACAAGCAAAATAGTCTCACCATCTTCCCTCATCCACTCCCCCAAAAACAGACAAAGTCCTAAAAGTAATCCTATCCAAATATGGATGCCAGTCATCATATATTTTTTGAGTCAATCAATGCCACTCACTCTTCAAATTCAGTCACTGTTTGAGCTGAATATTCCATACAATAAGGTCTATACTGCAAGTTTAACCACCAATAACAATCAGTACACACAATAATCAGAAGTATTATAAAAGAGATAGAATAGGAAAGTAATTTATATATACAAATATATATGTGTATATATGTATACATACAAATATATATGTGTATATATGTATACATACAAATATATATGTGTATATATGTATACATACAAATATATATGTGTATATATGTATACATACAAATATATATGTGTATATATGTATACATACAAATATATATGTATACATACAAATATATATGTGTATATATGTATACATACAAATATATATGTATACACACAAATATATACAAAGAAGCAAAGAAAAAATATATATTGCTGCTAACCTCCTCATTTCTTTAACTATCCACAGAATCATAGTTAATATTTATATAACTATTTATAACTACCTTATTGTACAGACTATTCCCCGTTTCCTTTGGCTTCAGGCAGGACTCCATATCATCAAAGTTCTATATCTCACCAGTTAACCCATTCATTCCTGGAAGGTCAGAATCCTCAGGAATCTTGCCTTTTATTTTTGTTATTATAGCTTTGCATTAGTGTTTGCTACTACACATGGAATTACTAAAAGTTATTCCCAGAGAAATCCGTAATTTATACACATGCCCCCATTGTGAAACTGCAACCTGATTTCTCCTTGGTGAACGTCATAAATCATACCCAACAGTAGAGTGATCCCATTATTTTCCTGTTGTTTCAGTGGCATGAAAAACCTGCAAGAGCCAGGAGCAAGAGTCTACTTCCAAAATAATTAATATCAGCATAAAACAGTATCTTAAAGGAAAAAGCAGTAAGACATCAACAGCCTCTTGAAACAAAAAAAAGTGAAAACAATGGATTGATCTCTTAAAGATGCTGAAAAAATATTATAGGAAGCTTAGAATTTTATGTATAGTGAGCCTAACCTTCAAAATTGAAGGCAGATTTCAGAGTTTGTCTATGAGAAGCTGAGCAACTGGTATAAAACTATCCATTTTGTCATAAACAACCATAAATCTAGACAAAATATATCAGAGACATTTGGAGAAAACCATATACAACAAATGCAAAATTCGTATTTCTTTCGAGTATATATGGAATGTTTACAAAACAGATCATGTGCTAGCCATAAAACAAAATCAAAATCAATTAATTTCAAAATATTTGAATACCAGATAGTTTGCTATCCAAACACAAGGAAATGAATCTAGAAATCAAATGCCAGAAGAAATAGGAAAAATTCCCAAATATGTGTGTGTGTGTGTGTGTGTGTGTGTGTGTGTGTGTGTATTCTAAAAGCCCCGTTGGTCAACAATAATCTACAACGGTGATAAAGAAAGGCTTCAAACGCAACAAAAATTAAAACATATCAAGTAAAAAATGTGTGAAATTTAGCTTTTAGAAAAATTTATAGCCATAAATAGCTATATTAAAAAAGCAAATTTTCAATCAACAGCCTAAGTTTTTACTAGAATAGAAAAATTGAGTCAATTTAAGCACAAGATATGGAGAAGGAAATAAATAATAGGGTCAATACTATAGAAGACAAATTATAGAGGAAATTAACAAAGGCAAAATTAAAAAAATATTTATAAAATTGACGAACTACATGCTGGAATAATCAAGAAAGAGGGAAACACAATGAGCCAATACCAGAAAACAAAGATGGGCTATCACTACAGATTCTATAGACGTTAAAATAATAAAAGAATTTTATGAACATTGTATGCCAATACATTTAAAAACAGATGACATTGACAGAGTTATTTGAAAGGGCAATTTACCAATACCACAACAGTGAGAAACAGGAAATTTGGGTAGCTTGATATCTATGAAATAAATTCACCTCAAAATAAAAAATTTTCCCAGAGGATGGGAGGAAGCCCCAGACCCAAATGATCTCAATATGAAATCTATCAAACACTGAAGTAAGAAATAAGACCAATCTTACACTAAAAACTGTTAATAGAGGAGAAAAATGCTTTCAAATCATTTAATGAGACCAGAATAACAGCTCACATATAAACCATGATTGACGCCATGATTATTGTCTATTTTTCTTACAATTAAGAAAAAGACATCACAAGTAAAGCAATATGAAGGCAAATATCTTTCATGATTATAGATATAAAAATCTTCACCATGATATTTGCAAATCTATAAATATATAAAAATAATTATACATCATGGTGAAGTGAAGTTCATCTCAAGAATGGAA
Source organism: Homo sapiens (assembly GCF_000001405.40). NCBI lineage: Eukaryota > Metazoa > Chordata > Mammalia > Primates > Hominidae > Homo > Homo sapiens. The sequence goes on from NC_000023.11 coordinate 106,542,339, forward strand.
GGTTGTTTCAACTTTCAAAAATCAATAATTGTAAGTCACCACATTTTAAGTTAAAAGGAGATAAACATGAAGACATATGATAATTTCAATAGACACAAAAAAATGATTTGAGAAAATTCATCACTAGCTTCATGATTTTTAAGAAAACCCTCTTAGCAAACTATGTAGAGAAGAACCTATCTCAAAATGATAAAGAGCAGCTACAAAAATTCCACAACTAACACCATATTTAATGTTAGTAAATAAAGTAGTAAATGCTTTATCCTAAGATCGGGATCAAGGCAGGATGCCCAGTTTTATCACCTCTATTAAATATTGTAGTAGAAATTCTAGCCATTACACAAAAAGAAGACATTAATCTGTCTTGATTAATATGACATACAACATAATTCTTGATGTAGAAAATTTTAGAACTATAAAAGAACCAGTAGAATTAATAACTGAAATTAACCAAAGATGCAGGATATAAAGTTAGTATAAAAATCAGATTCATTTTTAATAGTAACAATAAATAATTCAAAAAATATGTTTAAAAATACTATACAAAACAGACTGGGCATGGTGGCTCATGCCTGTAATCCCAGCACTTTGGGAGGCTGAGGCGGGCAGATCATCTGAGGTCAGGAGTTCAAAACCAGCCTGGCCAAAATGATGAAACCCTGTTTCTATTAAAAATACAAAAATTAGCCAGGTGTGGTGGCACACACCTGTAATCCCAGCTACTCAGGAGGCTGAGGCAGGAAGATTGCTTGTACCCAGGAGACAGAGGTTGCAGTGAGCAGAGATCATGCCACTGCACTCCAGCCTGGGCGACAGAGTGAGACTTCATCTCAAAATAAATAAATAAATAAATATGTGTGTCTCTGTGTGTGTGTGTGTGTATATATATATATATTTATATGTGTGTATACATATATATATTTATATGTGTGTATATATATATGTGGTGTGTGTATATATATATATTTATATGTGTGTATACATATATATATTTATATGTGTGTATATATATATGTGGTGTGTGCATATATATACCATACAAAACAATCAAAATAATACAATGCTTAGAAATAAATTTAATAAAATATAGGTAAGACCACATCATTGAAAACTACAAAACATCACTGAAAGAATGTTTAAAGATCTAAATCTTAAATGGAGAGATATCCCAAGTGCATGGATTGGAAGATTCACTACTTTTGTTTTGTCTTGTTTTTTTTTGTTCTGTTGTGTTGTGTTTTGTTTTTTGAGACAGGGTCTCATTCTATTGCTGGAATGCAGTGGCGAGATCATGGCTCAGTGCAGCCTCAACATCCCGAGCTCAGGTGATCCTCCCGCCTCTGCCTCCCAAGTAGCTGGGACTACAGGCACACACCATCATGCCGGTTAATTATTTTTTTTTTTTGTATTTTTTGTAGAGACGGGATTTTGGCATATTGCCCAGGCTGATCTTGAACTCCTGGGCTCAAGGGATCTGTCCGTCTCGGCCTCCCAAAGTGCTGAGATTACAGGTGTGAGTCACCATGCCCAGCCTCAATACTCTTAAGATGTTAATTCTCTTCAAAGTGTTCTATGGAATCAATGCCACCTCAATCAAAATCACAGAAAGCTTTTATTTGTAAAAATTGAAGGGCTGCTTCTAAAATGTATATGTAAATGCGAACTTTGAATAACAAAGACAATGACAAAGTTGGAGGACTTACCCAATCTTAAATTGTAAGGTTTGCCACAAAGCTGCAGTGATCAGTACAGTACTGTGTTGGCTTAAAGAAAGATGTATAGATTTAAAAGGGCAGAATAGAGTCCAGAAACAGACCTGCACTTTGATGATCAATCACTTTAGGCAAAGGAATCAATACAATTCAATGGGAGAAAGAATAGTCTTCTCGTCAAATGGTGTCAGGAGAACTAGGTATCCGTAAGAAAAGTGAATCTCAAGCCCTAAATCACATCATTCACAAAAATTAATTAGAATTATAAACCTAAATGCAAAAGATATTTTTTTCTAGAAAACAGCATAGGAGAAAATTTTCATACACTTGGGGTAGGTAAGGATTTCTTAAAGATAACACAAAACGCGCCAATAGAATAAAATATTTTAAAATTGGACTTCACTCATGTTTAACTTTTCTTGATATTCAATAAACATTAAGAAAATAAAAAGGCAAGCCAATTCAATGCGATAAAATATTCACAATAAATTTATCTGACAATTGACTAGATCCCAGGATATATAAATAACTCAGGCTGGGTGCAGTGGCTCATGCCTGTAATCCCAGCACTGTGGGAGGCCGAGGCAGGCGGATCACTTGAGGTCAGCCTGGCCAACATGGTGAAACCCCATCTCTACTGGAGTTCAAGATCAGCCTGGCCTACATGGTGAAACCCCGTCTCTACTAAAAATACAAAAATTAGCCTGATGTGGTGGCAGGCATCTGTAGTCCCAGCTACTTGGGAGGCTGAGGCAGGAGAATCGCTTGAACCCGAGAGGAGGAGGTTGCAGTGAGCTGAGATCCTGCCACTGCACTCCAGTCTGGGCAACAGAGCAAGACTCCTCCGTCTCAATAAATAAATAAATAAATAAATAAATAAATAAATAAATAAATAAATAACTATTTCAACTCAATAATGGGAATACAACCCAATAAAAAATGGATACAAGACTTGAACAGAAAGCTCAGAGAAGACATGAAGGGTCAATGAACATATAAAAGTCTCCCCAACATCATTAGTCATCAGAGTAAAGGAAAGCACAAAGAGGTACTACTAACCAACTATTAGAATTACTAAATTATTTTTTAAGCTCATAATGCAAAGTTCTGAAAACTAGAAAATATTTTGGACTGAATGATAATTAAAATACAATGCATAAAACTTTGTTGGATGCAATTCAAATAGTGAATAGAGGGAAATTTGTAGCTGCAAATGCATTTTTTAGAAAAGAAAATTTTAAATCAATATTCTAAGATTTCACTTGAAAAAATCAGAAAAAGAAAAGCAAGGATAGTAGAGAAGGAGAGAAATAATAAAGATAATGGCAGATACCAGTAAAATAGTATACAACCATTAAAATAGGGAAAGTCAACAAAGCCAATAGTTAGTTTTCTGAATATCTTAATAAAATTGATAAGCCACAAAGAAAACTAATCATAATAAAATAAATTAACTACATCATAAAAATATATCACAACAGAGTCTATAGACATTAAAAGGATAATAATGGAATATTATGGACATCATGTAAATAAATGTGACAAATTAAATGCACACATTCTTTGAAAAATATGAATTACAAAATTGATAAGAGAAAGCTAGATTATCTCTGTAATCCTATGTTTGTTAAATAAATCGATTCTATAAAAACCTTCCCTCCAAAAACAAAACACTTCAGATCCAGATGGCTTCCCTGGTGTATTGCTGAAGATATTGTATCAACCTCAAACTGACAATAGAAAAAGAAAAAACAACTCCAAACTTTTTGATGAGGCTAGAATAACCTTGAAAGCAAGTCCTGACAGGGATATACCAAGAAAATTTACTTACAAAGCAATGTCCCTCATGAACATAAACATACAGACACAAAAATAAAAAGGGCCAAATAGGATGCAAAATTATATTCATCTTCACTCATCATCAAAGAAATACAAATATAAATAGCAATGAAATTCTATACCTTAACCTATTAGAATTTGCAAAATAGAAAAAGAATATACGCTGTTGGTAAGGGTGTGAGAAAATGGGCAACCTCAGACACAAGCCCTAGATCACACAGTTTGGAAGTGAAGGAGACCAAATCTGAACCCAGGTCTCTCTGTGTCCATAACAGATGGTTGTGCTCATTCTATTGCTCATCACCCACTCCTGTGTTGGGAATCCTATCTTGGCAATATTACCTATTGCATTTTTTTAAATGAAACAGCATTTTGAGATACTTGTAGATTTGCATGGAGTCATAGGAAATAACACAAAGAGATCTCTTGTGCAGTTTACCCAGTTTCCCTGTTGTTAAGTAGTAGTTCATGGTATGGATGTACCAAACCATTTAACCATTACCCATTGAAAGGTATTTGAATTGATTCCAGGTTTGGGCTTTTATGAATAAAGCTGCTATAAACATTCAAGTACAAGTATTTGTGTGTGCAAATGTAAAGTCTTTTTCTCTGAGATAAATGCCCAAGAACACAATTACTAGATAGTATAGTAGTTGCATGTTTAATTTTATAAGAAACTGCCAAACTATTTTCCAGAGTGGAAGTACCATTTTACATTCCCAGAGCAAAATATGATCCAGTTTCTCTGCATCATTGCCAGCATTTGGTGTTGTCACTATTTCTTATTTAGGAATTCTTATAGATTTGTAGTGATATCTCATTGCTGCTTTAACTCTCTAATAGCTAATGATGTTGAACATCTTTTCAAGCATGGGCTTCTTTGTCATCTGTATATCTAGTTTTGAAAAAATGCCTCTTTCTGTATTTTGTCCATTTTCTAATTATATTGTTTTGATTTTACTGTTGAGTTTTGAGAGTTCTTTATATATTCTTATACTAGTCGTTTTTTATACATGTGGTTTACAAATATTTTCTCACCCTCTGTAGCATATTTTTTAATTCTCTTCACAGGATGCTTTTCAGAGCAAAAGTTTTTAATTTCGAGGAGGTCTAATTTGTCAGTTTTTCCTTGTATGTATTGCACTTTTATGTCAAATCTAAGAACTCTTTGCCTACCCATAGTTCTGAAAGTTTTTTCCTGTTTTCTTCTAAAATGTTTAAAATTGTACATGTCACATTTGAGTCTGTGGTCCAAAATGGCTAATTTTGTATAAGTTACGATAATTGGACCAAACTTCATTTGATGGCCTGTGTATATTCAATTGCTCTAGCATCGGTTGTTTAAAAGGCTATATTTACTCTATTAAATTGCTTTTGCAACAACTGTGTTAAAAATCAGTTGGGCATATTTCAGCAGTTATATTTCTGGATTCTCTGTTGTGTTCCATTGATCTATGTATCTGATTACTGTACTTATATAGTAAGTCTTGAGATCAGGTAGACTGATTTCCTCCCACTTTATTCTTTTTCAAAATGTATTTATCTATGTTAGTTTCTCCCACTTTCCATATAAATTTTTTAAAATATTCATACATATTTACAAAATATTGCAGATATTTTGATAGAAACTGAATTAAATCCACGTAATAATTTGGATAGAATTGAAAGCTTTGCTATGCTGATTCTTTCAATCCATCAACACATTTTTTTTTCCATTTATGTGGGTCTTGTTTCATTTCTTTCATCAGTGTTGTGTAGTTTGCAGTATACAACTCCTATACATGTTTTAATACATTTACACCCACGTATTTCATTTTCAAGCAATTATAAGCAATATAGTATTTTTAATTTTGGCATCCATATGTTCATTGTTAATACACAGAAACTCAATGGATTTTGGTAGAGGTTTTTTGTGCCTCAACTATCTCTTTGTTTTTTTTTTTCCTCAGCTTTATTGAGGTATACTTGACAAATAAAAATTGAATATATCTACCATAATTTAAAAATTGTATATATCTAAGTTGTACAATGTGATGTTTTGATATACATATACATTGTGAAATAATTATCACAATCAAGCAAATTAAAATGCTTATCACATCACATAGTTACGTGTGTGTGTGTGTGTGTGTGGTAGAAACACTTAAGATCAACTCTCTTAGCAAATTTCAAGTAGGTAGTAAAGTGTTAACTATAGTCACCATGCTGCACATTAGATCTCCAAAACTTATTCATCCCACATAGCTGAACCTTTGTACGGTTTGACCAAGACCTCCCCATTTCCCCCACATCCCAGCCCCTGGCCACCGCCATTCTACTCTGCTTTTATGAGTTTGGCTTTTTTAGTTTCCACATATAAGTGACATCATGCAGTGTTTGTTTTTCTGTGTCTGACTTATTTCACTTAGCATAATATCCTCCAGATTCATCCATGCTGTTGCAAATTGCAGGATTTCCTTCTAAGGATGAATAATATAACATTGTCTGATGTACCACAGTTTATTTATCCACTCACTGAAAGACACCTTAGTTGCTTCCAAGCTTTGGCAATTATGCATAAAGCTGCTAAAAACATCCATGTGCAGGTTTTTGTGTGAACATTACTTTTCAATTCACTTGGTTAAATACCAAGGAACACTATTACTGGATCATATAGGAAGAATATGTTTAGCTTTGTAAGAAACTGCCAACCTGTCTTCCAACTTGGCTGTGCCATTTTGCATTTCCACCAGCAATGAGTGAGAGTTTCTGTTGTTCTATATCCTTGACTGCATTTGGTGTTTTGGTGTTCTGGATTTTTGCCATTCTAATAAATGTAGTGGTATCTCATAATTGTTTTAATTTTCACATCCCTGAGGGCCTACGAGGAGAAGCATCTTTTTATATGCTTATGAGCCACCTTCTTTGGTGAGGTGTCTGCCTAGAACTTTTGCCCATTTTAAATTGAGTTGTTTGTTTTCCTATTGTTGAATTTTAAGAGATCTTTGTATATTTTGGATAACAGTCCTTTCTCAGATATGTGTTTTGCAAATATTTTCTCCTAGTCTGTGGCATGTCTTATTCACTTGACAATGTCTTTCACTGAGCACAAATATTTAATTCTAATGAAGCTTAGATTATTAATTATTTCTTTCATGGACCATGCCTTTGGTGTTGTATCAAAAAAATTATTGCCAAACCCAAGATGATCTAGATTTTCTTTTGTTATCTTCTAGAATTTTTTTATAGTTTGGAATTTTACATTTAGGTCTATGATCTATTTTGACTTACTTTGCCTGAAGGGTATAAAGTCTGTGTTTAGGTTCATTATTTTGCATATGGATGCCTAGTAATTCCAGCAGCATTTGTTGAAAAGACTATCTTCACTCCATTGTAACACCTTTGTTCCTTTGTCAAAGATCAACTGACTATATTCCTGTGGTATCTTCTTCACTTTTGAAGTATAATTTCATTGTGTATAACATTCTAGGTTGGTGGAGTTTTCTTTCAAAACTTTATACATTTCACTCCATTATCATAGAGCTTGCATGGCATCTGGTGAGAAGTCTGCCATGATTTGTATCCTTTTTCCTCTACAGGTAAGGTATTTTTCCCTGTTGTTTCTTTCAAGATTTTTACTTTGTCTTTTCTGCAGTTTATGTTATCATATTTATCCGGATTGGTTTTTCTCTGGGATTCCTGGGTCGCTGATTTGATGTCTAGCACAAATTGTGTAAATTTGGTCATTGTTATTTCTGTTATGTCTTCCTCTCCATTATCTCTTCTGGCATTCCAATTACATATATGTTATACCTTTCGAAATTATCCCGTGGTACTTGGATACTCTGGGGTTTTTTTTCATTTTTCTCTTAATATTTCAATTTCAGAAGTTTCTATTAATCTATCTTCAGGTTCACTGACTTTCTTTGTCCTCATCATCTATTGATGAGCCCATCAACGGCATTCTTCATTTCTGCTACACTGGTTTTTTTTTTTTTTATTTCTAGCATTTTTTTAAAAAAATCTTGCTTAGAGTTTCCATCTATGCTTACATTACCCTTCTGTTCTTGCATGGGATCTACATATTGTCCTCTAGAGCCCCTAACATATTAATGATATTTATTTTATTTTTCCTGACTGATTCATTAACACCATCCAAGAAAACATGACATCACCAAATAAACTATATAAAGCACCAGGGACCAATCCTGGAGAAACAGAGATATATGACCTTTGAGACAGAGAATTCAAAATAGCTGTGTTGAGGAAAATAAAAAAAAAATCAAGATAACACAGAGAATGAAGTCAGAATTCTATTAGATTAAATTTAACAAAAGACTGAAATAATTTAAAAGAATCAAGCAGAAATTCTGGAGCTGAAAAATGCAAATGACTTATTGAAGAATGCATCAGTCTTTTAATAACAGAATGGATGAAGCAGAAGAAAGAATTAATGAGCTTGAAGACAGTTTATTTGAAAATACACAATCAGAGGAGACAAAAAAAAAGAAAAAGAATAAAAAACAATGAAGCACACCTACTAGATTGAGAAAATAACCTCAAAAGGGCACATCTATGAGCTACTGGCTTTAATGAGTAGGTAGATAAATAAATGGCGTAGAAAGTTTATTCAAAGAGATAATAAAAGACAACTTTCCAAACCTAAAGGAAAGAAAGATACCAATATCCAAGTATAAGAAGGTTATAGAACACCAAGCAGATTTGACCCAAAGAAGACTACCTCAAGGCATTTAATATTCATACTCCCAAAGATCAAGGATAAAGGATCCTAAAAGCAACAAGAGAAAATAAACAAATAACATTCAATGGGGCTCCAATATTTCTGGCAACAGACCCTTCAGTGGAAAACGTATGGGCCAGGAGAGAGTGGCATGACAGATTTAAAGTATGGAAGAAAAAAAATCTTTTACCCTATAATAGTATACATGGTGAAAATAATCTTCAAACATGAAAGAGAAATAAAGACTTTCCCAGACAAACACAAACTGAGGGATTTCAACAAAAAACTTGTCCTATAAGAAATGTTAAAGGGAATTCTTCAGTCACAGAGAAAAGAATATTAGTGAGCAATAAGTAATCATCTGAAGGTATAAAACTCACCACTAATAGTAAGTACACAGAAAAACACAAAATATCATAACAAACCACACTGTAACTGTGGTGTCTAAACTACTCTTATCCTAAGTAGAAAGACTAAATGATGAACCAATCACAAATAATAACAACTTTTCAAAACATAGACAGTACAATAAGATATAAATAGAAACAACAAAAAGTTGAAAAGCAGGGGGACAAAGTTAAGTTATAGAATTTTATATTTCCTTTTTGCTTGTTTTTTGTTGTTGTTGTTTATGCAAACAGTGTTAAGTTGTTATCAGCAAGCTACCTTCTTCGGGTCCCCTCCCTTTTTATGGGAGCTCTGTTTTCACTCTATTAAATCTTGCAACTGCACTCTCTTCTGGTCCATGTTTGTTATGGCTCCAGCTGAGCTTTCACTCGCCGACCACCACTGCTGTTTGCTGCCGTCGCAGACCTGCCGCTGACTTCCATCCCTCTGGATCTGGCAGGGTGTCCACTGTGCTCCTGATCCAGTGAGGCGCCTATTGCCACTCCCGATCAGGCTAAAGGCTTGCCATTGTTCCTGCAAGGCTAGGTGCCCAGGTTCATCCTAATCGAGCTGAACACTAGTCACTGGGTTCCACATGACCCACAGCTTCTAGTAGAGCTATAACACTCACCGCATGGCCCAAGACTCCATTCCTTGGAATTGGTGAGGCCAAGAACCCCAGGTCAGAGAACACAAGGCTTGCCACCATCTTGGAAGCAGCCCACCACCATCTTGGGAGCTCTGGGAGCAAGGACCCCTCGGTAACATTTGGCGACCACGAAGGGACCTTCAAAGCGGTGAGTAATATTGGACCACTTTTGTTTGCTTTTCTGTCCTATCCTTCCTTAGAATTGGAGGAATATACTGGGCACCTGTCGGCCAGTTAAAAACAATTAGCGTGGCCACCAGACTTAAGACTCAGGTGTGAGGCTGTCTGGGGAAGGGCTTTCTAACAACCCCCAACCCTTCTGGGTTAGGAACATTGGCCTGCCCGGAACGAGCTTCCACTTTCAATTTTCTTGGGGAAGCCGAGGGCCAACTAGAGACAGAAAGCTGTCTTCCCGAACTCCCAGCATTAGCCAGTTGAGATCATGGCACAGCCAGAAGTCTCTAGTCAATGCGTGTGCCCCTACCTTTCCTTCTGACCTATACCTCCTGGGTCCTGACTGTGACTTCTTGAAACGGTAGCCCCAAAATTCTCCTTACCTCTGAATCTACTTCCTCGGATCCCTGCCTCCTAGGTACTAATGGTTCAGACTTTCATTTCCTCTAGCAAGTTGTATCTCCAAAGGGATCTAAGGAAGCTCTATGCTGCATCGTTAGGCATCTAGGCTATAAACCCAGTGAGTCTTGTCCCTGGTGTCCCTCCTGATTTAGGTATACAGCTCTCAACATGGGCTGTTATGTGGGACCCGTTCCCCACCACCCTTGCCAAGACCCCAAGTTTGTAAATGGCTAAGAGAGGAAAAAGGGAGAGAGAGAGAGACAGAGAGAGAGAGAGACAGAAAGAGACAGTGAGGAAAGATACAGAGAGGAGAGAGACAGAGAAGAGAAAGAGGCAGAGAGACAAAGAGGGAGTCAAAGAGAGAAAGAAAGAGAAATATAGAAATAGTAAAAAAAAAAAGGCCGGGTGCAGTGGCTCACGCCTGTAATCCCAGCACTTTTGGAGGCCGAGGCGGGCGGATCATGAGGTCAGGAGATCGAGACCATCCTGGCTAACATGGTGAAACCCCGTCTCTACTAAAAATACAAAAAATTAGCCAGGCGTGGTGGCGGGCGCCTGTAGTCCCAGCTACTCCTGAGGCTGAGACAGGAGAATGGCATGAACCCAGGAGGCGGAGCTTGCAGTGAGCCAAGATAGTGCCACTGCACTCCAGCCTGGGTGACAGAGAGAGACTCTGTCTCAAAAAAAAAAAAAAAAAGAAATAGTAAAAAAAAAAAAAAAAAAAAAAAGTGTGCCCTATTCCTTTAAAAGCCAGGGTAAATTTAAAACCTGTAATTGATAATTGAAGGTCTTCTCTGTGACCCTATTACACTCCAATACTACCTTGTTGTCAGTCTAAACAAGGGCGTAGCCTGAAAACACTGAGACCACTGACAACCTGTAGCCTTCCTATCAAAAATCCTTAACCCAGTAACCCGCGGATGGCCCAAATGCATTCAATCTGTAGTGGTAACTTCTTTGCTAACAGAAGAAAGTAGAAAAGTAACTTTTAGAAGAAACCTCATTGTGAGCACCCCTCAACAGTTCAGAATTATTCTAAGTTGTTATCAGCTTAAAATAATGGGTCATAAAGATTGTATTTGCAAGCCTCTTGGTAACCTTGAACCAAAAACATACAATGCATACACAAAAACATAAATATCAAGAAACTAAATCATATCACCAGAGAAAAACACCGTTATGACAGGAAGACAGGAAGGAGAGAAAGAAGGAAAAGAAGACCACAAAACAACCAGAAAACAAATAACAAAATGGCAGGAGTAACTCCTTACTTATCAATAATAACATTAAATATAAATGGACTAAACTCGCCAATCAAAAGACAGGCAGTGGCTGGATGGATGAAAAAATAAGACACATTGATCTGTTGCCTACAAAAAACACACTTCACCTATAAAGACACACATAGACTGAAAATAAAGGTATGGAAAAAGATATTCCATGACAATGGAAACCATAAAAGATCAAGAGTAGGCCAGGCACGGTGGCTCACTCCTGTAATCCCAGCACTTTGGGAGGCCGAGGCAGGCAGATCACCTGAGGTCGGGAGTTCAAGACCAGCCTGACCAACATGGAGAAACCTCATCTTTACTAAACATACAAAATCATCCAGGTGTAGTGGTGCATACCTATAATCCCAGCTACTCAGGAGGTGGAGGCAGGAGAATCGCTTGAACCCAGGAGGCAGAGGTTGCAGTGAGCTGAGATTGCGCCATTGCACTCCAGTCTGGACAACGATAGCAAAACTCCATCTCAAGAGAAAAAAAAAAGAGCAAGAGTAGCTATCCATGTATCAGAAAAAAATGCATTTCAAGACAAAAATTACAAGAAGAGACAAAGAAGGTCAATATGTAATAATAAATGGGTTGATTCAGCCAGAGAATAGAACATCACTGCTGTTATTCAACATAATACTAGAAGTCCTACCTAGAGCAATTACGCAAGAGAAAGAAATAAAGGGCATCCAAGTTGGAATGGAAGAAGTCAAATTATCCTTGTTGGCTGATGATATAATCTTATATTTGGAAAAACCTAAAGATTCCACCAAAAAAATGATTATAATGGATAAACAAATTCAGTAAAGTTACAGGGTACCAAATCAACATACACAAATCAGTAGTATTTCTATATGCCAACAGTGAACAATCTAAAAAACAAATCAAAAAAGTAAACCCATTTTCCCATTTTCAATAGCCACAAATAAAATTAAATAGCAGGGAATTAACCACAGAAGTGAAAAAAATCTATAATGAAAACTACAAAAAATAATGAAATAAATTGAAGAGTACACACAAAAAATTGAGAGATATTTCATGTTCATGGATTGAAAGACTCAATATTGTTAAAATGTCCAAACTACAGTAATCTACAGATTCAATGCAATCCCTATAAAAATACAAATGAAATTATTCACAGGAACAGAAAAGCAATCCTAAAATTTAAATGGAACCACAAAAGACCCAAAATACCCAGTTAAACTAAGAAAAATGAAGAAAACTGCAGGAATCACTTTACCTGAATTCAAATTATGCTACAGAACTATAGTGAACAAAACAGCATGGTACTGGCATTAAAACAGACACATAGACCAATGGAACAGAAGAGAGAATCCAGAAACAAATTCACACACCTACAGTGAACTCATTTTTTACAAAAATGCCAAAAACATACACTGGGAAAAAGACAGCCCCTTCAATAAATGGTTCTGGGAAAACCGGATATCCATATGCACAGGAATGAAATTAGACCCATATCTCTTGCTGTAGACAAAAATCAAATCAAAATGGATTAAAGACTTTAGCACATCAAGCTATGAAACTACTACAAGAAAACATTTGGGAAAATCTCCAGGACATTGGTCTGGGCAAAGATTTCTTCAGTAATAACCCACAAGCATGATCAACCAAAGCAAAAATGGAAAAATGAGATCACATCAAGTTAAAAATCTTCTGCATAGCAAAAGGAAGCAATCAAAAAGGGAAGAGACAACCCACAGAATGGGAGAAAATACTTGCAAACTACACATCTGACAAGGGATTCATAACCAAAATATACAAGGAGCTCAAACAACTCTATAGGATAAAATCTAATAATCCAATCAAAAAATGGACAAAAGATTTGAATAGACATTTCTCAAAAGAAGACATACAAATGGCAAACAGGCATATGAAAAGTTCCTCAATATCATTGATCATCAGAGAAATGCAAATCAAAACTACAGTGAGATATCTTCTTACCCTAGTTAAAATGGCTTATATTCACAAGACAGGCAATAATAAATTCTTGTGGGGATGTGGAGAAAAAGGTGGGAATGTAAATATGTACAATCACTATGGAGAATAGTATGGAGTTTCCTCAAAAAACTAAAAACAGAGCTATGACACGATACTGCAATCATATTGCTGGGTATATTCTCAAAAGAAAGGAAATCCATATATCGAAGAGTTATCTGCACTCCTATGTTTGTTGCAGCCCTGTTGAGAACAGCCAAGATTTGGAAGCAACCTAAGTATCCACCAACAGATGAATGGCCAAAGAAAATGTAGTACATATACACAATGGAGTAATATTCAGCCATACAAAAGAATGAGATCCTGTCATTTGCAACAAGATGGATGGAACTGGAGATCATTGTGTTAAGTGAAATTAGCCAGGCACAGGAAGACAAACATTACATGTTCTCACTTACTTGTGGGATCTAAAAGTCAAAACAATTGAACTCATGGAGGTACAGAGTAGAAGGATGGCTACCAGAGGCTGGGAAGAGTACAGGGGAAGTCAGGGGAGGTAGGGGTGGTTAATGGGTACAGAAAATAGTTAGAAGGAATGAATATGACCTAGTATTTGATAACACAAAAGGGTGACTATAGTCAATAATAATTTAATTGTACACTGTAAAATAACTAAAAGAGTACAATTGGGTTGTTTGTAACAAAAATGATACATGCTTGAGAGGGTGGATACCCCATTTTCCATCCTGTGATTATTAGTCATTGCATGCCTGTATCAAAAGATCTCATGTACTCCATAAATACATACACCTACTATGTACCCACAAAAATTAAAAATTAAAAAACAGTTCAAGTGGCCAAGAACATAGTTTGGTGTAGTTGTAGGAGAATAAAGCAACAATTTTGTTTTTACTTTCATAAACTACTTCAGGGAAATATCCCCCAATCCACCATAATAAAGTAAAGAGAATTTCAAAGAATTATGTGTGGAGAGTATTTGGCTCCAGAAAATACTCCATTTATTTTGTATGACATAGTTCAGTCAATGATCAGTGGACCTCTGATCAGGCTGGACCTTTCAAAGGAGCAAAGCTATGACTTACATGACCTTCCAGATGGGCTTGCTGCTGTCATCAGGTCTGTAATTTGTAGTAACTTACATTTTTCTCTTTAACAGTCTTATGAAATAGATGAACCCAAGTTGATATTAACAGGAGTATCACAGGTGCTGTTCCAGGATGACACAAAACAAACTAGCAGCTTTATACTGTCAGACACAAAAGGTGAAAAGGGAGATCCAGCCTCCACCCTTCAAGAATACCTCCACCCTTCAAGAATACCTGCTCTCATGGAGCTCAAATCAAAAGCAGTAGTTCTTGCCCCTGGCTACACATTAGAGTCACCTGAAGTTCTTAAAAAATGCTCATGCCTGGACTCCACCTCCAGGTACTCTGATGTAGTTAAACTTTTTAATTACTTACCAGAGTATGAGTTGGTTCCTTATATAGTTTTTCATATGGAGGTGGCAATGTGAGCAAATAGATCATTCAAATAGATTGTGATTAATATTTTTCTCCCTGACATCTACTATTGTAGATGTTGAGAAAAATCTGTGGGCATAGGGAGAAGAGAACTGGTAAATCTGCTTGAGGGAATCAGGGACTGCTTCACCAGAGAGGTTATATTTGAACTGAGTTTCCTTTTTTAACATTTAAAAGTTTCAAAACCTATACAGGAGCTAGGCACAGTGGCTCATGCCTGTAATGCCAGCACTTTGGGAGGCTTAGGCAGGAGGATCGCTTGAGCACAGGAATTTCAGACTAGCTTTGGAAACACAGTGAAACACCATCTCTACAAAAAAAAAAAAAAAAAAAATTAGCCAGGAGTGGTGGCACACACCTGTAGTCCCAGCTACTTATGAGGCTAAGGTAAGAGGATCACTTGAGCCCAGGAGGTCAAGGCTGTAGTGAGCGGTGTTCATGCCATTGCACTCCAGCCTGGGTGATAGAGTGAGACCCTGTGTCAAAAAAATAAATAAAACCTACAAGGAAGTACTGAGAATAACATAACAGCACCTAGATGCCAGTCACACAGTTCTAAAAAATGTTTATATGTTTTATTTTTTGTCGTATTCCCTGAGAAAAAAATAAAAATGAAATAAACAATTGTAGATATGGTTGAATTACTCTTTATTCTCCTTCTCAAACCCATTGCTACTCTTCTTCCCCCAGAAGTAAGCCTTATCATGAATATTCCCAGTCTATATTTTTATACTTTTATTTCATATATATGTGTCCATTAATTATTTAGTATTGTTTTATGTGCTTTACAGTGATGTAAACAGTGTCATACTTTATTCATTCTTCAACTTGGCTTTTATCAGGAAACATTTTTTGAGATATATTCATGTTTGGGCATGTAGCTATAGTTCCTTAATTTTGGTGCTCAAACAGTATTCACAAAACTTTTGGTGCTCAAAAATTCCGAAGAAGGTAGAATCTTTCCAAGATGTACTGAGGAGCTACGATTTCTTTTTTCCATGAAGATTTTGCCATTTCTGGCAGAGGGTAGCTGATGGGGAATGAACAAACCAGATGAGATTTTGGTGGCCACAGGGAAACAGAGTGACAAATTTGAAAACTTGAGAGGACTCACACACATAACCAGAACCCCTCTCAAGACATTTGCTAAATTCCAAAACTGAAAAAGGAGGGAGCCTAAAAAGCTAAGTTGAAATCCCTCTGGAAAGTAGAATGGAATTTCCAATACTTTCTCAAGACCTGGGAGACAAAAACTCCCCAAGTGGAGTTATGCTGAGAATACTTCACTATATTCAAGGGGCAAGAGTTGGAGACAGAAAAGAATTTACTTTGATGATGTGCAACAGCTTTCCCTGGGGAAATCTGTCAATGTGAATGCAGCAATATGCTGACAATCAAGGTTCTGGCCTAGGCAGAGAGAAGTCTCTGGAAGCTGATTATATGTACATCCTATGTTCCAGCAATTCCACTCCTCGTTTTCTATACAACAGGAAGGTATATACTTACTCACCAAAAAATCTGTACAATAATGCTCAGAGAGACCCTATTCATAATAGCTCAAAACTGAAAATTACCCAAATGTCAATCAACAGTAGAATGGATCAATAAAATGTGGTATTATCAAACAACAAAATACCACACAACAATGAGACTGAACAATCCATAACTGCATGCAAAAATATAAATGAATATAATAAACATAGTGCTGAGTGGGAAAAAAAAGCCAGACACCAAAGAATATAAACTATATGATTCTATTTATATTTATATAAGTTTTAAAACATCACAGATAAAGCTAATTTGTAGCATTAGGAGTAAAGATAATGGTTTATTTGGGGGAGGCAGTTATAACAGAAAAGGGGCATAAATGTGGATTCTAGGGTATAGATAATATCCTCTTGGTGCTGGTTACATCAGTATGTTCACTTATTAAAATTTATTGAGCTAAATATTTATGATTTTTGTACTCTTAATATGTGTGTTTTACCGCAATTAAAAAATCAAAACTTTAAGATAAGAATAGCAAAAAAAAAAAAAAAAAAAAAAATGTGCACAGGCCCCACCACAAGGGATTTGGTTTTTATAAAGCTGTGATAGGTCCTGGAACAGCATTTTTCATACAAAGGTTTACTGGACAATCTTTTCTTTTTATCTGAGAATTAATTTTTTTTAATTTTACCCCCTTTATGGATTGTATGTCATTGTCTTATAACTTTGTAGGCATTTATTATGTCATTGTGTCTGGTATACTTACTGCAAATAACTTATCTATTATTTTATTTTCATTTTGCTCAAAATGTACTTTTTCAATTATAAGGCTTTATTCTTGAGGTCAAATTTTCTAATATATTCCTTTATGTGTTTAACTTCGTTATTATTTCAAGAATCCTGGCCATCCGCTGTAGTATAAAATATCCTATGTTTTTAATGCTTTCAAGGTTTCTACACTTTAATCTTTAATCTATCTGGAATTTATTTAATATTGTGAAATGCAGGGTTCTTGTATTGTACATTCCAAAAATTTTCTTTCTCTGTTTCCCCCCGAAAAGAAAGATGCACCAGAACCCTGGAGGAGCTATTTCCCAGACTTATATGAAGAAGTAAATTTGATCAGCAAAAGGGGTGAACCAGCATTGGACATGGAGGTGCCCCATACAGATTCCCTCTAAGAAAGGACGTATTGTCTGAGATGTCGGGAGTCCTGTCAGCAGGCAGTCTTCAGCTTTTAGCCCATCAAAGACAGCCTCAGTTGCAGGAGACATCTCACTCTGATACAGTGAGTGATCAAGGTGTGTGTGTGTGTAGGCCCAGATATTTTGACCCGATGCAAAACAACTCGGGCCACTTTTACTACAGATCTCTTCATACAGTCATCCAAGAGACTTTTGCTGTTTGGGCCTGCATTTCACCTTGATTTCTGCCCCTGCCCAATTCTGCTTTTTTCCCTTTTTTCCCCCACAGCTATTTATCCCAAGAGCACTCCCACATAAACATCCTGTACAATAAATACTGTTTCAGAATCTGCTTTCAGGAGAATGTAATCTGCAACATCTCTACTACGGCTACCAATTTCTGTGTTACTTGGAGTAAGGTTACGCTGCTTAGTAAATGGGCCCAGCAATAAATCAGATTCTTAAGAAGAGAGAAGTTTATGTCTGCTCACCTAATCATCTGTCATAAATATTTTTGATCAGTGGGAAGCTCTCCTCTATGTGTGTATTTAGATATAAAGGTACTTTCCTAAGGTGGAGATTTTAACCTAGGGTCCACAAACCCTTTAAAAAGGTCTAAGAGTAAAATTCAAAGGATGCATGAATTTGAATAAGAAAAAATCTTTCATTTCACCAATCTCCAAATGAAATTTACACCAGCCCCACTGTCTGATGTTGATCAACATGATTGAAACAACTTACATTAACAGGGCTCTTATCAAGTGTCAGGCTCTATAATAAGCACATTAAATGCTTTGCTGCAGTGAGTGTTTACAAAAACCTGATGACATGAATATTATTACACTCCCATTTGACAGATGAGGAAAATAAGTTATGCAAGGTTTAAGCATCTGCCCCAATGTCACAAAACAGTGTAAGTAGCAAAGCCGAGATTGTAATATAACTTCAGTGAAACCAAACTCAATGTTATCAATTAATTTTCTGAGCCACAAGTTACTTTCCCTCTCTGGGATTCCAATTTTTTATCTCTAAAACCAAAGTCTGAACTAGACCAAGAGTAAGCAACCTACATGCAAGTGGGTCTGATGAGAAAAAAATTTAAAATGGTTATGGGACACATATTTTTAAATAGCATATATTAATTACAAATGAAAAGTACAATGCCTGCAACAGCACTTTCACACTTTTGCTAAAAGGTTTCACCTTATGGCTAGAATTTCAGCTACTATGTCATTAATACTTATGCTCTTTTACGTACCAAATTATAATACTGGGGCTTTGAATACATATTTTCTGAGACAACATCTAGTTTGGTGGATGGAGGGGATGGCATATGCAGGCAAAATGTAGTTGTCAAAGGATATGGGGGTAGGGAGGTAACAAACTTCAGTAACAGTACAGACAAAAATACAGACTAACCAGGCGATTCCTACTTGAACAAGTGGAACACAGATACAACATTTAGAATGAAGTCTGATTAGAATACAGAAAAAAATATACGAGATATTATGTGAATAAATGACACTAACGATCTGAAAAGGAAATTAAGAAAATAATTATATTTACAACAGCATCATAAAAAGTAAAATACTTAGGACTGAACTAAGAAGGAGAAATATTTATACACTGGAAACTGTGAAGTGTTGCTGAAAAATTAACAAAGACACAAATAAATGGAAAGACATCCCTTGTTCATAGATATGAAGACAACATTGTTAAGATGTACACAGTACACAAAGCAATCTACAGATCCTTACCAAATCCTGACAATACTTTTTGCAGAAATACAGAAATTTGTCTTAAAATTCATATGGAATTTCAAAGGCCCCCAAATATTCAAAACAATCTTGAAAAGGAACAAAGTTCAAGGTTTCACATTTTCTGATTTTGACACATACTCCAAAGCTACAGTAATCAAAAAAATATGGTACTGACTTAAGGACAGACATATTAGAACAATAAAATAGGACAGAAAGCCCAGAAATAAACCCTCAAATACATGGTAAATGATTTTCAACAGAGGTGCCAAGACATTCAATGGGGAAAGGACACACTTTTCAACAAATGATATGACAAAACAATGGATATCCAAAAGCAAAGGAATTAAGGTGGACCAATACCTTATTCCACACCAAAAAAATCAACTGAAAATGAATCAGAGTCCTAAATGTAAGAGCTAGAACCACCAAACTCTTAGAAGAAAACATAATAATAAACCTTCATGACATTAAATTTGTTAATGATTTATTGGATATGACATCAAAAGTGCAGGGAACAGAAAAGCAAAGTGCACTACATCAAAATTAAAACTATTGTGCATAGTACATGTTTTATGGACTGAATTATATTTCCCCAAGTTTTCTATGTTGAAGCTCCAACCCTCAATGTGACTGTATTTGAAAACAGGGCTTTTAGGAGATAGTTTAAAGATTAAATTAAACAATAAAGGCAGAGTTCTAATCTGATAGGATTGGGGGCCTTATTAGAAATGGAGGAGAGACTGAGATTTCTCTCTCCACATGCAAGGTGCCAAGCAAAGGCCATGTGAGGACACAGCAAAAAGACAGCCATGAGCAATTAAGGAAGAGAGCCCTCACTGGAAACTAAATGAGCTGGTACCTTGCCTACAGGACTGTGAGAAATTAATTTGTATTGTTTAAGCCACCCAGTCAATGATATTTTTATGACAGCCTGAGAAGACTAACACAACATGATAGAAGAATGTATGTAATTTGCCTCAGAGTGCACAAAAAGTGCAGGTCACAGTGGAGTCTAAACCCAAATCTGACACGCGCCAAATGCAGACTTTTCTCACCTCACCAAATTTTTTGGAAAATCTTATGCTCTAAAGAGACGTGAGAAGGATATTCATGCCATTGTCACCCATCTCTCTGAAAGTACCCTCTCCATTGAAATTTCCTAGAATAACTCACAGAGCTGTGTGACCCATACCTCCCTATGAAAGATGCCCATATAATGTGCAGCAATGGCCGGGGAGCATGTCACTGTGGTATGAGAAGACCTGTTTAGGCTAGTGAGAAGAGATCCAGAGCTTCCTCTTCTATTTTCAAATGATCTTAACATTGATCTTAAAATTGACACTTAGGACTTTACCTTTAAAGCAAATCGAGTTCACTAAGACCATGATGAAGTTCAGTTTGAGGGTGTGGATAAGGCTTACAACTTTTCCTTTGGCTTTCCTTTCCATATTACCTTTTATCTCCTACTGGAATCCAGAAACATTGGGGAAGTAAGTCTCAGAGACTATTTTGACATGTTTTCACATCATCCAATAACTTTGCCAGTGGTTCCAGCCACTTTCCAGTGAAGAGAGTGTTTCCCATTTGCAGTTCTAGCTTCTTCTTTGGAAAATTCAGTGAGTAGATCATGTGCTGGAAGCCATGCAAGATCTCTATCATTGATGTGTCTGTAAGGTTGAATCCCAAACACCCCAGGATCTGAGTTTGGGTCCTGGAGTATGCCTCAAGGGAAAGCATGGCCAAAACTGCAAAAATGCTCACAAGAGAAAAGAAAGTGTTTCTATGTGGGATATCCACAATGAAACTCCAATACAGGTTGAATGCAAAGTCAGAATTAATTAATGATATTTTATATGGAGTAGCATTTTGTTGGGACAAATGGTAGGTGATTACTTTGCCTTCAGAGTTGTTAGGTGATGTACAGTGAACTGTAGCATGAAGCTCAAGTACCAAGTGAACCAGATAGAGGAATGGTGACATTTTAGAAGAAAGATACTCTATAAGAGATGAAGTAAGAGAACCATTAGGGGAACTTTGTTGGATGAAATACTCCTAGCCAGAGAAACATAATAATCTCCTACCTTGATTTAAAAACAATACCAAATTTTGATGAGGTATTCACCAGGGGCTGGGTGGAGGTCTCTCTCCCTTGAAAAACTGATGATTCATCTCATGTGGGCAGGGAGTAGGAGAAGTGGCTTGCTGGGGCACGGAAATAATGCCATGGCCTCTCATTTAGATGTAATAGCAAAATTATGAAATTGCTGTGAGTAAATTAACTTCATGGAAATTGAAGCACTTTTGATTTTAATCAGAGGCAGCCTTTTGAAGAAGGAAGAATCCTTAGATAAAACTAGTATTCCCTTGGCATACACTATTATCTGTAGATTAGAATTTTGGATTGTGTTTTTCTTTAATTTGGCCTTTTCTTAAGATAAAATCTGTAAGAGATGAGATGAGAGAAGATTCATACTTTCTTCTACTAAAAGAAAAAGGAGAATAATTTTCACAATATATGTTTTGTTGGGAAGGAAGGGTGGGAGTTTGTGGAGCCGTGTGCAAGATCACATGTTGAAATCCATGCATTTGTGCAATACATGGAAATCACAGAAGTATTTTTGAACAAGAAGGAGATAAAGATGTAAATGTCTACATTTTAGATTGCTCTTATCATCATTATCATCTAAAGAGTCATTTTACGTTGCAAGGCATTTAACACTGTTATTCTTAATATCCACGTGCATTATTTCTAAATTGCTAGTGAGGAAGCCAGAAAAATATGGTGTTACATGCTCTGAACTTGGAAGAATACAAGGCAATGGAGTAAGGGGGTCAGCTGTGAAATCACCAATGACCACGGACATGAGTGGTCAGAGGGAAGAGATCCCTGGAGTCAGGACAGGGCTCCTTCCTTAGACCTCTATCCTCTTACTGGGTGATATAATCCACTCCCAGAAACTCAACTTCTACCTCACAAAACTACATATCTCTAACTCGGATTGCTCTCCTGTGTTCCTAGCCGTTTATCCAGCTCACTGTTAGATATATCCACCAGGATGGTCCACACATATATCAATCTCAAAGTTTCCAAAAGTAAACTCATCATACCCTCAAGTCTTCTCCTTCTTTGTTCCACATTTTCAGGCTATCATATCACTGTCTACTGAAACCCCCATGCCAAAAATCTAGGCATTGTGCTAGGGGTTTTCTTCATTCTTATTGCTCACATTTAATGAGTCATGATGTCCTGTGAGTATTACCTTCTAAATACCTCTCAAAACTCCCTTCTTTCCATCCCTGCTGCCACTGCGTCAAGTCCAAGGCCTGAACTACTGCATCAACTCCCAACAGGCCACATTGTCTTCTATCTCCTCCATCTCATCTTCATTTCTTTCACACTTCATCCAGTCTCCATATTGTAGCCATAGTCCTCTTTCTGTAAAAAGTTGCTGAGACAGGTAGGAAGCCAATGATCAGATGGTCACACTTAAGCCTTGGATCCTGGAGCTGGCAGTTCAGACCTCATAGTGATTTGGAACTCTGACTTGCTGATAGAGATGTTAAAGGTTCCCAAAAAGAAAAAAACGTACTTATAAAGCATGCCCAAGAAGCCATTTGCATGTCTCAGAAAGAAAAACCTTTTCATCTCTATAACATATTCTGTATTGCAAAACTAGCTACACTTAGTTACTCATTAACCCCAGCATTAATGGCAAAATGATATTTTCAAAGCCAATACCTAAAACCAAGGCCAAAAGGAACAGAGTGAAAAGTGATACGCATGGAAATTTGGGTGATTGCTTTGGCTGCCAGATCCCTCATGTAAAACAAAAGAGAAAGAGGATTGTCAGAGCTGGAAGGCTCCCTGTCCCTGCTAGAAAAACTGTCTTTTCATCAGGCAGAATAAGGCAAAAGCACCAAAAGGCACCAGAATAAAGTTCTCACTACTGGGCTAAACAGTTCTGGGACTGGCAGCCTTTTGAAGGAGAAAGGTGAATACAGGCAGAGCTGGGTGAACCTCCTAATGGTGCTGTAGAAATTATTTGCAGAGGAAATGATGTCAAAGGTAGCTTCCAACACTAGATTGCTGGTGCTGCACACATGTATGTCTGCTCAGGGGGAAAAACCAGTCCTCTTTTGCTCACTAAAATCCCCTATGCCCTCCCCTGGCCACATGACTCCAAAAGAGGATGCAGAAGGAGGCAAAGAGAGTGGAATCAAATATTCCACTGTCCACTATTAACTATGTACTTATTATACGCAAAGCAGCAATGGGAACAAACAGAACTGGGCTCAATCAGGAGACACGAGTTCAACCTTGCCTCCGGCAGTTTCTAGTTCTAGTAATAGTAGTAGCAGGAGTAGTAGTAGGAGTAGCAGTAGCAGCAGCAATAGTAGAAGTAGTAACAGCAATTCCTGCATTTGAATATTTACCATGTGCATGGCATTTTGTGAAGCATCTGATTCCAAACACTGCCAGCTTCAGTACTACATTAAGAATGTATATGGGTTTCTCACTGCAGCCAGAGCTCCAGGTCTCATCTTCACTGCTCTGTGTCTTCTGCTCCTAGAGGTCTAGCCTCTGCGACCCTGTGACCTGCAGGACTGTAGACTTTCAGGGATGTGGCCATAGAATTCTCTCTGGAGGAGTGGCAAAGCCTGGATGCTGCTCAGCAGAATGTGTATAGGGATGCCATGTTAAAGAACTACAGAAACCTTATCTCTCTAAGTCTCTCCAAAATGGCTGACTAGACACAGCAAGGAGGAACATTGGCCACTAAGAGACTGGAACATCAGGAAAACTGGCACACTCTTAGCAGATTTTCAGAGGGAAAATGGAGCAAATGGAGGAGCACATAATGCACAATGTGCATTATGAGCAAATGGAGGGAAGACACAAATGCTGGACTGAAGTGGGAGAAAGCTGGAAATGCTGCACGGGGCTACTGTGCACAGGGCCTCATGCCTGGCCCCAAACAACTCTTGCGGAAGGGGAGAGTTGAACAGGCAAGGAGAAACCTACTCTTGCCACAGGCCTCGAGAATCCTGGCAGAACCCTTGACCACCACAGACACTTGAGTTGGCAGGGAGAGTTGGTTAGAGAAATGATAGGGGCAGAACTCCAGCCAGTGCAAAAGTCCAGAGTGTTCGATGCCAGAGCGTCTGCAGTAGAGCACATCCAGAGATGCCCATCCGACTAGGCTCAACTTTCTCCCATAGCAGACTTCAGCCCTAGGGGAACTATTGGTCCTGAATTCTGCAGGGCATTCTTGCCCATGAGATGGTGCCAGTCTAACATGAGCACACGTCGGACTGCTGGCCTCTGTTGGGGCACAAGCCTGGCCATGTCTGCCTACAGTGTAGCCCCCAAGACCCTGCTGGGATCCTAGATTATAGCTCCTCCACTGGTGGACTGTGCCTGACTGGCAGAGTGCTCCAGCAAAGTGGCCTCTGCAGACATGCACCAGCCCACCACTGCCCTTCCCCTACTGCAGCCTCCCCTGTGCTACCTTACCTGAATGTGCTTACCCACAGTCACCCCCCACATCACTTTGCCAGCAAGTGTGTGCACAGTTGGACCTTGCCTTCCCTTCCCTGACAGTGTGCATGTGCATATGCACCTTGCCGTGCCACTGTTGCCAGAGTGGTTGCACCCTGTACCCCCTTCCTGGCCACACCATCATTGTCATCTGAAGCCTTCCAGCCTTGCCCCTGCCAGAGCCCTGCCCTGTGCCAACACTACCTCCACTGAGAAACAAGGCACAGAGAACAATGGATCCTCCCTCATCCTAAGTGGCCACTGCTGCCTGCATGAATGAGCACAGAGGGTGCACACAGTCCTATGCCCACCAGCACCCTGCTCCCATGCTAACACCACCACTAATGTGAATGCATGCACAATCACCAGCGAAAATCACCTGCCTCCCCAAGCTGTGCTGCCACTGCTACTGCTGCAAATGCCCACATGGAGGTCAGCAACCAAGCACCCACTAGCACCCTGCAAGAGCCAAGGAGCATGCACCCTGTCACATTGCTGCTGCTGCTGACACATACAAACAAGGATGAATTCCACTGCCACTGCCTTATGGATTGCTTTGGCTGGCACCACCCATTGGAGTGTCGTGACCAACAGTCCAGGAGCAAATTGGCCCCTCCAGTGCAGCAGGTTCCTACTCTCGAGGAGCCAGAGAACAAAGCTGGGGTCTGGTATCAGTCTGACAGAGTTAGAACATGCAGTCCAGGAGTTCTGAGCTGAGCATTGGCCCCCTAAAATGTTCCAGAAAGAAGCCAATCGACTGAGTCCATGAAATACTGCAATCAAACCCCCAAGGTCATCAAATAAGATACAAGAAAAAATACTCATCCAAAGGAGAGCAGCTTCAATGATTGAAGCACCATTAGCTCACAAAGATGACAAAGAACCACTGCAAGAACCCTGACAACTCAAAAAGCCAGAGTGATTTCTTTCCTC
Organism: Homo sapiens; assembly: GCF_000001405.40. Lineage (NCBI taxonomy): Eukaryota > Metazoa > Chordata > Mammalia > Primates > Hominidae > Homo > Homo sapiens. Next base: position 106,567,897 of record NC_000023.11, read on the forward strand.
TAAACTGTCACAGTAATTCGCTAGCAAGGGTTCTTAACCAGGCCAAAGGTTCTTAACTAGGCTGAGATAGCTGAAATGACAGGAGTAGAATTAAGAATATGGGTAGGAATGAAGATCATTCAGATGCAGGAGAACATTGAAGCTCAATCCAAGGAAGCTAAGAATTACAATAAAATGATATAGGAACTAACACACAAAATAGCCAGTATAGAAAAGAATGTAACTGACCTGATAGAGCTTAAAAACACACTACAAAAATTTGATAATGCAATTGCAAGCATTAACAGCAGAATAGACCAAACTGAGGAAAAAATCTCAGAGTTTGAAGTCTAGCTTTCTGAAGTAAAACAGTTGAACAAGAATAAAGAATGAAGATTAAAAAGGAATAAGCAAAACTGCCAAGAATTATGGGATTATGTAAAGAGACCAAATCTGTGACTCATTGATGGCCCCGAAAGAGATGGGGAGAAAGGAAGCAATTTGGAAAACATATTTCAGGATATCATCCATGAGAACATCCCCAACCTAGCTAGCCAGGGCAACATTCATATAAGAAAATGCAGAGAACCCCTACAAGATATTTCCCAAGAAGATAATCCCCAAGACATATAATCATCAGATTTTCCAAGGTCAAAATAAAAAAATAAAGGCAGCTAGAGAGAAAGGACAGATGACCTACAAAGCGAAGTCCATCAGACTAACACAGATCTCTCAGCAGAAACCCTACAAGCCAGAAGAGACCGGGGACTAATATACAACATTCTTAATGAAAAGAAATTCCAACCAAGAATTTCATATCTGGCCAAACCAAGCTTCATAAGTGAGGGAGAAATAAGATCCTTTTCAGACAAGCAAATGCTGAGGGAATTCATTACCACCAGACCTGCCTTACAAAAGCTCCTGCAAGAAGCACTAATTATGGAAAGAAAAGGGTACTATCAGCCGCTACAAAAGCACACTTAAGCACACAGACCAGTAATATTATAGAGCAACCACACAAAAAGTCTTCAAAATAATCAACTAATGACATGATGACAGGATCAAACCCACACATATCACTACTAACCTTGAAGGTAAACATGCTATATGCCCCAATTAAAAGGCACAGAGTGGCAAGCTGGATAAACAATCGAGACCCAATGGTATACTGTCTTCAAGAGAACCATCTCACATGCAATGACACATATTGGCTCAAAATGAAGGGATGGAGAAAAATCTACCAAGCAAATGGAAAACAGAAAAAAACAGGGATTGCTATCCTAACTTCAGACAAAACAGACTTTAAACCAACAAAGATCAAAAAAGACAAAAAAAGGTCATTACATATCAGTAAAGGGTTCAATTCAACAAGAAGACATAACTATCCTATATATATATATGCACCCAACACAGGAGTGCTCAGATTCATAAGACAAGTTCTTAGAGACCTTCAAAGAGACTTAGACTCCCACACAATAATAGTAGGAAACTTCATCACCCACTGAGAGTACTAGAGAGATCATTGAGGCAGAAAATTGAAAAAGATATTCAGGACCTGAACTCAACACTGGACCAAATGGATCTGATAGACATTTACAGAACTCTGTACCCCCAAAAGGACAGAATATACATTCTTCTCATTGCCGCATGGCATATAAAATTCAGTGTACAATTGGACATGAAACAATCCTCAGCAAATGCAAAAGAGCCAAAATCATACCAACTACACTCTCAGACCACAGCACAATAAAAATAGAATTCAGGTCTAAGAAAATCATTCAAAACATGGAAATGAAACAATCTGTTTCTGAATGACTTTTGGGTAAATACTGAAATTAAGGCAGAAATCAAGAAGTTCTTTGAAATTAATGAGAACAAAGATAGTAACATACCAGAATCTCTGGGACACAGGTAAAGCAGTTTTAAGAGGGAAATTTAAAGCAATAAATGCCCACATTAAAAAGTTAGAAAGATCCCAAATTAACAACCTAATATTACAACTAAAAGAACTAAAGAAGCAAGAGAAGACCAACCCCAAAGCTAGCAGAAGACAAGAAATAACCAAAATCGGAGCTGAACTGAAGGAGATTGAGACACAGAGAAACATCCAAAAGATCAACAATTCCAGAAGTTTATCTTTTGAAAAAAAAAAGTTAGACCATTAGCTAGACTAATAAAGAAGAAAAGAGAGAAGATCCAAATAAAGATAATTGGAAACAGCAGAGGGTACATAAGCACTCACCTCACAGAAATACAAATGATCATCAGAGAATGTTATGAACCCCTCTATGCACACAAACTAGAAGATTTAGAAGAAATGGATAAATTTCTGGACACATACACCCTCTGAAGATTGAAACTTAGGAAGAAAGTTAAACCCTGAACAGACCAATAATGAGCTCTGAAGCTGAATCGGTAATAAATAGCTCACCAACAAAAAAGTTCAGGACCAGAAGGATTCACATCCGAATTCTACCGGATGTTCAAAGAAGAGCTTGTACCATTCCTACTGAAACTATTCCAAGAAATTGGGACTTGAACAATGAAAACACATGGACACAGGAAGGGGAACATCACACACCGGGGCCTGTTGTGGGGTGGGGAGAGGGGGGAGGGATAGTATTTGGAGATATACCTAATGTTGGAGATATACCTAAATGACAAGTTACTGGGTGCAGCACACCAACATGGCACATGTATACATATGTAACTAACCTGCAGGTTGTGCATATGTACCCTAAAACTTAAAGTATAATAAAAAAAGCAAAAAAAAAAAATGAAAGAAATTGAGGAGGAGGGACCCCTCTCCATCTCATTCTATGAGGCCAGCATCATCCTGATGACAAAACCTGGCAGAGACACAACAAAAAAAGAAAACCTCAGGCCAATATCCTTGATGAACGTTGATGCACAAATCCTCAACACAAACTGAATTCAGCAGCACACCAAAAAGCTTACCCACCATAATCAAGTAAGCTTTATTCCTGTGGTGCAGGGTCAGTTCAACATATACAAATCAATAGATGTGATTCATCACATAAACAGAACTAGAAACAAAAACCACATGATTATCTCAATAGATGCAGAAAAGGCTTTTGATAAAATTCAACATCGCTTCATGTTAAAAACTCTCAATAAATTAGGTATTGAAGGAAGATACCTCAAAATAATAAGAGGTTTCTATGGCAAACCCACAGCCAACATCATACCGAATGGGAAAAAGCTGGAAGAATTCCCCTTGAAACCTGGCACAAAGCAAGGATGCCATCTCTCACTACTCCTGTTAAACACAGTATTGGAAGTCCTGGCCAGAGAAATCAGGCAAGAGAAAGAAATAGAGAGCATCTAGATAAAAAGAGAGGAAGTCAAACTATCCCTGTTTGTAGGCGACATGATCCTGTATCTAGAAAACCCCATTGTCTTGGCCCAAAAGCTCCTTAAGCTGATAAAGAACTTCAGCAAAGTTTCAGGATACAAAATAAACATACCAAAATCACTAGCATTCCTTTATGCCAACAACAGTCAAGCCAAGAGCCATATCAGAAATGCAATCCCATTCACAAAAGAATCTCATGCTAAAAACAGAATAAAATACCAAGGAATTCAGCTAACCAGGGAGGTGAAAGATCTCTGCAAGGAGAACTACAAAACACTGCATGAAGAAATCAGAGGTAACACAAGAACATGGAAAAACGTCCCATGCTCAGGGATAGGAAGAATCAATATCATTAAAATGGCCATACTGCCAAAAGTAATTTATAGATTCAATGCTATTCCTATCAAACTACCTATGACATTCTTCACAGAACTAGAAAAACTATTTTAAAATTCATATGGAACCAAAAAAGAGCCTGAATAGCCAAGGCAATCCTAAGAAAAAAAAAAAAAAGAAAAGAAAACGCTGGAGGCATCACGTTACCTGACTTTCAACTATACCACAGGGGTACAGTAACCAAAACAGCATGATACTGATACAAAAACAGACACATAGACTAATGGAACAGAATAAAGAGACCGGAACCCAGAAATAAGGTCGCACACTTACAACCATCTGATCTTTAACAAAGCTGACAAAATCAAGCAATGGGGCATGGAAAGAAAATGTGGTACATATACACCATGGAATACTGTGCGGAAGTTAAAAGAACAAGATCATGTTCTTTGCAGGAACATGAATGGAGCTGGAGGCCATTATCCTTAGCAAACTAACACAGGAACAGAAAACCAAATACTGCATGTTCTCACTTATAAGTGGGAGCTAAAAGATGAGAACACATAGACACAAAGAGGGAAACAACAGACATTGGGGCCTACCTGAGGGTAGAGGGTAGGAAAAGGGAGAGAAGCAGGAAAAATAACTATTGGGTACTAGGTTTAATACCTGGGTGATGAAATTATCTCTACAACAAACCCCTATGACGTGTTTATCTATACAATAAACCTGCACATGTACCTCTGAACCTAAAAAATAAGGTTTTTAAAAAAGAAAGAGTAGACCAAGAAATAAGACACTTGTACACTATATGTAGTCTAAAAGAAACTCATTTTTAATATAAAAATACATATAGATTAAAAGTACATAGATGGAGAAAGATATACCATACCAACACTAATCAAAAGAAAACAAAAGAACCTATGTTAATTTCATATAGAGTTGACTTTAGACCACAGAAAATTATCAGGGATAAAGATGGGCATAACATAATGATGAATAGGTCAAATTTGATAACAGATGAAGTGGGTCAATTCCTTGAAAACCACAATCTGCCAAAACTCACACAAGAAGAAACAGACAATATGAATAGGCTTATATCGATTAAAGAAATTGAATCAATAATTAATAAACATCTAAAACAGAAAGCACCAGGCTCAGATGGGCTGACTAGAGAATTCTACCAAACATTTAAGGAACAGTTGTACCAATTCTTTGTAATCTCCTTTAAAAGATAAAAGCAGGGGACATACTTCTTAACTCATTCTACAAAGCCAACATCATCCCAACACTAAGGCAGACACAGACAATCTAAGCAAACGAATTCACACCAACATCTCTCTTAGACACTGCTGCAAAATCCTCAACAAAATATTAGCCAATTAAACCCAATAATGTGAAAAAGATGTATACACCACCACCAAGCAGAATTTATCCCAGGTATGCAAGGCTGGTTCAACATTTGAAAATCAATTCGATATAATCGATCACATCAATAAGACAAAGAAGAAAAATCACATGATCATATCAATAGATGCAGTAAAAGCATTAGTTTTTTTTTTTATTATGCTTTAAGTTTTAGGGTACATGAGCACAACGTGCAGGTTTGTTACATATGTATACATGTGCCATGTTGGTGTGCTGCACCCATTAACTAATCATTTAATATTAGGTATATCTCCTAATGCTATCCCTCCCCTCTCCCCTCACCCCACAACAGGTCCCGGTGTGTGATGTTCCCCTTCTTGTGTCCATGTGTTCTCATTGTTCAATTCCCACCTATGAGTGAGAACATGTGGTGTTTGGTTTTTTGTCCGTGCGATAGTTTACTGAGAATGACGGTTTCCAGCTTCATCCATGTCCTTACAAAGGACATGAACTCATCATTTTTTATGGCTGCATAGTATTCCATGGGGTATATGTGCCACATTTTCTTAATCCAGTCTATCATTGTTGGACATTTGGCTTGGTTCCAAGTCTTTGCTATTGTGAATAGTGCTGCAATAAACATACGTGTGCGCATGTGTCCTTATAGCAGCATGTTTTATAATCCTTTGGGTATATACCCAGTAATGGGATGGCTGGGTCAAATGGTATTTCTAGTTCTAGATCCCTGAGGAATCGCCACACTGACTTCCACAATGGTTGAACTAGTTTACAGTCCCACCAACAGGTAAAAGTGTTCCTATTTCTGCACATCCTCTCCAGCACCTGTTGTTTCCTGACTTTTTAATGATCGCCATTCTAACTGGTGTGAGATGGTATCTCATTGTGGTTTTGGTTTGCATTTCTCTGATGGCCAGTGATGATGAGCATTTTTTCATGTGTCTTTTGGCTGCATAAATGTCTTCTTTTGAGAAGTGTCTGTTCATATCCTTTGCCCACTTGTTGATGGAGCTGTTTGTTTTTTTCTTGTAAATTTGTTGGAGTTCATTGTAGATTCTGGATATTAGCCCTTTGTCAGATGAGTAGATTGCAAAAATTTTCTCCCATGTTGTAGGTTGCCTGTTCACTCTGATGGTAGTTTCTTTTGCTGTGCAGAAGCTCTTTAGTTTAATTAGATCCCATTTGTCAATTTTGGCTTCTGTTGCCATTGCTTTTGGTGTTTTAGACATGAAGTCCTTGCGCATGCCTATGTCCTGAATGGTATTGCCTAGGTTTTCTTCTAGAGTTTTTATGGTTTTAGGTCTAACATTTAAGTCTTTAATCCATCTTGAATTAATTTTTGTATAAGGTGTAAGGAAGGGATCCAGTTTCAGCTTTCTACATATGGCTAGCCAGTTTTCCCAGCACCATTTATTAAATAGGAAATCCTTTCCCCACTTCTTGTTTTTGTCAGGTTTGTCAAAGATCAGATAGTTGTAGATATGCAGCATTATTTATGAGGCCTCTGTTCTGTTCCATTGGTCTATATCTCTGTTTTGGTACCAGTACCATGCTGTTTTGGTTACTGTAGCCTTGTAGTATAGTTTGAAGTCAGGTAGTGTGATGCCTCCAGCTTTGTTCTTTTGGCTTAGGATTGACTTGGCAATGCGGGCTCTTTTTTGGTTCCATATGAACTTTAAAGTAGTTTTTTCCAATTCTGTGAAGAAAGTCATTGGTAGACTGAAGGGGATGACATTGAATCTATAAATTACCTTGGGCAGTATGGCCATTTTCACAATATTGATTCTTCCTACCCATGAGCATGGAATGTTCTTCCATTTGTTTGTGTCCTCTTTTATTTCATTGAGAAGTGATTTGTAGTTCTCCTTGAAGAGGTCCTCTACGTCCCTTGTAAGTTGGATTCCTAGGTATCTTATTCTCTTTGAAGCAATTGTGAATGGGAGTTCACTCATGATTTGGCTCTCTGTTTGTCTGTTGTTGGTGTATAAGAATGCTTGTGATTTTTGTACATTGATTTTGTATCCTGAGAGTTTGCTGAAGTTGCCTATCAGCTTAAGGAGATTTTGGGCTGAGATGATGGGGTTTTCTAGATATACAATCATGTCATCTGCAAACAGGGACAATTTGACTTCCTTTTTTCCTAATTGAATACCCTTTATTGCCTTCTCCTGCCTGATTGCCCTGGCCAGAACTTCCAACACTATGTTGAATAGGAGTGGTGAGAAAGGGCATCCCTGTCTTGTGCCAGTTTTCAAAGGGAATGCTTCCAGTTTTTGCCCATTCAGTATGATATTGGCTGTGGGTTTGTCATAGATAGCTCTTATTATTTTGAGATATGTCCCATCAATACCTAGTTTATTGAGAGTTTTTAGCATGAAAGGCTGTTGAGTTTTCTCGCAGGCCTTTTCTGCATCTATTGAGATAATCATGTGGTTTTTGTCATTGATTCTGTTTATATGCTGGATTACATTTATCGATTTGCATATGTTGAACCAGCCTTGCATCCCAGGGATGAAGCCCACTTGATCATGGTGGATAAGCTTTTTGATGTGCTGCTGGATTCGGCTTGCCAATATCTTATTGAGGATTTTTGCATTGATGTTCATCAGGGATATTGGTCTAAAATTCTCTTTTTTGGTTGTGTCTCTGCCAGGCTTTTGTATCAGGATGATGCTGGCCTCATAAAATGAGTCAGGGAGGATTCCCTCTTTTTCTATTGATTGGAATAGTTTCAGAAGGAATGGTATCAGGTCCTCCTTGTACCTCTGGTAGAATTCGGCTGTGAATCCATCTGGTCCTGGACTTTTTTTGGTTGGTAAGCTATTAATTATTGCCTCAATTTCAGAGCCTGTTATTGGCCTATTCAGAGATTCAACTTCTTCCTGGTTTAGTCTTGGTAGGGTGTATGTGTCGAGGAATTTATCCATTTCTTCTAGATTTTCTACTTTATTTGCATAGAGTTGTTTATAGTATTCTCTGATGGTAGTTTGTATTTCTGTGGGATCGTGGTGATATCCCCTTTATCATTTTTTATTGCATCTATTTGATTCTTCTCTCTTTTCTTCTTTATTAGTCTTGCTAGCAGTCTATCAATTTTGTTGATCTTTTCAAAAATCCAGCTCCTGGATTCATTGATTTTTTGAAGGATTTTTTGTGTCTCTATTTCCTTCAGTTCTGTTCTGATCTTAGTTATTTCTTGCCTTCTGCTAGCTTTTGAATGTGTTTACTCTTGCTTCTCTAGTTCTTTTAATTGTGATGTTAGGGTGTCAATTTTAGATCTTTCCTGCTTTCTCTTGTGGGCATTTAGTGCTATAAATTTCCCTCTACACACTGCTCTGAATGTGTCCCAGAGATTCTGGTATGTTGTTTCTTTGTTCTCATTGGTTTCAAAGAACATCTTTATTTCTGCCTTCATTTCATTATGTACCCAGTAGTCATTCAGGAGCAGGTTGTTCAGTTTCCATGTAGTTGTGTGGTTTTGAGTGAGTTTCTTAATCCTGAGTTCTAGTTTGATTGCACTGTGGTCTGAGAGACAGTTTGTTATAATTTCTGTTCTTTTACATTTGCTGAGGAGTGCATTACTTCCAACTGTGTGGTGAATTTTGGAATAGATGTGGTGTGGTGCTGAAAAGAATGTATATTCTGTTGACTTGGGGTGGAGAGTTCTGTAGATGTCTATTAGGTCCGCTTGGTACAGAGCTGAGTTCAGTTCCTGGATATCCTTGTTAACTTTCTGTCTCGTTGATCTGTCTAATGTTGACAGTGGGGTGTTAAAGTCTTCCATTATTATTGTGTGGAAGTCTAAGTCTCTTTGTAGGTCACTAAGGACTTGCTTTACGAATCTGGGTGCTCCTGTATTGAGTGCATATATATTTAGGATAGTTAGCTCTTCTTGTTGAATTGATCCCTTTACCATTATGGAATGGCCTTCTTTGTCTCTTTTGATCTTTGTTGGTTTAAAGTCTGTTTTATCCGAGACTAGGATTGCAACCCCTGCCTTTTTTTGTTTTCCATTTGCTTGGTAGATCTTCCTCCATCCCTTTATTTTGAGCCTATGTGTGTCTCTGCATGTGAGATGGGTCTCCTGAATACAGCACACTGATGGGTCTTGACTCTTTATCCAATTTGCCAGTCTGTGTCTTTTAATTGGAGCATTTAGCCCATTTACATTTAAGGTTAATATTGTTATGTGTGACTTTGATCCTGTCATTGTGATGTTAGCTGGTTATTTTGCTCGTTAGTTGATGCGGTTTCTTCCTAGCCTCAATGGTCTTTACAATTTGGCATGTTTTTGCAGTGTCTGGTACTGGTTGTTCCTTTCCATGTTTAATGCTTCCTTCAGGAGCTCTTGTAGGGCAGGCCTGGTGGTGACAAAATCTCTCAGCATTTGCTTGTCTGTAAAGTATTTTATTTCTCCTTCACTTATGAAGCTTAGTTTAGCTGGATATGAAATTCTGGGTTGTAAATTCTTTTCTTTAAGAATGTTGAATATTGGCCCCCACTCTCTTCTGGCTTGTAGAGTTTCTGCCAAGAGATCAGCTGTTAGTCTGATGGACTTCCCTTTGTGGGTAACCCGACCTTTCTCTCCTGCTGCCCTTAACATTTTTTCCTTCATTTCAACTTTGGTGAATCTGACAATTATGTGTGTCTTGGAGTTGCTCTTCTCGAAGAGTATCTCTGTGGTGTTCTCTGTATTTCCTGAATTTGAATGTTGTCCTGCCTTGCTAGATTGGGGAAGTTCTCCTGGATAGTATCCTGCAGAGTGTTTTCCAACTTGGTTCCATTCTCCCCGTCACTTTCAGGTACACCAATCAGACGTAGATTTGGTCTTTTCACATAGTCCCATATTTCTTGGAGGCTTTGTTCGTTTCTTTTTATTCTTTTTTCTCTAAACTTCTCTTCTCGCTTCATTTCATTCATTTGATCTTCCATCACTGATACCCTTTCTTTCAGTTGATCGAATCAGCTACTGAGGCTTGTGCATTTGTCACGTAGTTCTTGTGCCTTGGTTTTCAGCTCCAACAGGTCCTTTAAGGACTTCTCTGCATTGATTATTGTAGTTAGCCGTTCGTCTAATTTTTTTTCAAGGTTTTTAACTTCTTTGCCATGGGTTCAAACTTCCTCCTTTAGCTCGGAGTAGTTTGATCATGTGAAGCCTTCTTCTCTCAACTCGTCAAAGTCATTCTCCATCCAGCTTTGTTCCATTGCTGATGAGGAGTTGCGTTCCTTTGGAAGAGAGGTGCTCTGATTTTTAGAGTTTCTAGTTTTTCTGCTCTGTTTTTTCCCCAACTTTGTGGTTTTACCTTCCTTTGGTCTTTGATGATGGTAACAAACAGAGGGGGTTTTGGTGTGGATGTCCTTTCTGTTTGTTATTTTTCCTTCTAACAGTCAGGACACTCAGCTGCAGGTCTTTTGGAGTTTGCTGGAGGTCCACTCCAGACCCTGTTTGCCTGGGTATCAGCAGCGGAGGCTGCAGAACAGCAGATATTGGTGAACAGCAAATGTTGCTGCCTGATCGTTGCTCTGGAAGTTTTGTCTCAGAGGAGTACCCGGCCGTGTGAGGTGTCAGTTTGCCCCTACTGGGGGGTGCCTCCCAGTTAGGCTACTTGGGGGTCAGGGACCCACTTGAGGAGGCAGTCTGTCTGTTCTCAGATCTCCAGTTGCATGCTGGGAGAACCACTACTGTCTTCAAAGCTGTCAGACAGGGACATTTAAGTCTGCAGAGGTTGCTGCTGCCTTTTGTTCGGCTATGTCCTGCCCCCAGAGGTGGAGTCTACAGATGGAGGCAGGCCTCCTTGAGCTGTGGTGGGCTCCACCCAGTTCGAGCTTCCTGACCGCTTTGTTTACCTACTCAAGCCTCGGCAATGGTGGACACCCATCCCCCAGCCTTGCTGCCGCCTTGCAGTTTGATCTCAGACTGCTGTGCTAGCAATGAGTGAAGCTCCATGAGCATAGGACCCTCTGAGCCATGCACGGGATATAATCTCCTGGTGTGCCATTTCCTAAGACCGTTGGAAGAGCACAGTATTAGGGTGGGAGTGACCCAATTTTCCAGGTGCCGTCTGTCACCCCTTTCTTTGACTAGGAAAGGGTACTCTCTGACCCCTTGTGCTTCCCGGCTCACGCTCAGTGCACTGCTGCTTCAGCTCACGCTCAGTGTGCTGCACCCACTGTCCTGCACCCACTGTCTGACACTCCCCAGTGAGATGAACCTGGTACCTCGGTTGGAAATGCAGAAATTACCGGTCTTCTGTGTCGTTCACGCTAGGAGCTGTAGACTGGAGGTATTCCTATTCGGCCATCTTGGCTCCACCCCCCTAAAATCTCAGTAAAAGCATTTGACAAATGCTTTTCATGATAAAAACTCTCACTAAACTAGGAACAGAGAGGAACTTTCTCAACTTGATAAAGAATATCTGCAGAAACCTACAGCTAACATCATACTTAATAGTAAAAAACTAGAAGTTTTCCCACTAAGTTCAGGAACAAGGCAAGGGTAACTCCTCTCACCACTCCTTGTCAACATCATACTGGAAGCCCTAGCCAATGCAATAAGACAAGAAAAGGAAATTAAGATATGCTGATTGGGAAGTAAGAAATAAAACTATATTTATAGATGACATTATTGTCTATAGTTAAAACCCAAAATGCTCAACAAAAAACTCCTGGAACTAACAAGCAATTATAGTGAAGTTCCAAGGCACAGGGTTAATATATAATACAAAAGTAAATCAGTTCCCTATATACCAGCAATAAACAAGTGGAATTTGAAATTAAAAATACAATACTACTTATATTAGCACCCCCCAAAATGAAATACTTAGGTATGAAACTAACAAAATATGTATAACTTCTATATGAGGAAAACTATTAAAAGAATTTAAAGAACTAAGTAAATGGAGCGATATTCTATGCTCATGGATAGGAACACTCAATATTGTTATGATGTCAGTTTTTCCCAACTTGATCTACAGATTCAATGCAATCACAATCAAGATTCTAGGAAGTTATTCTGTATTTTTTGACAGACTGATTCTAACATTTATAGAGAGAAGCAAAAGATCCAAGGTAGCCAACACAATATTAAAAGAGAAGAACAAAGTTGGAGAACTGACACTAACCAACTTCAAGACTCGTTGTAAAGCTGCAGCAACCAACACAGTGTGGTATTGGTGGAAGAATAAATGAACAGACCAATGGAGCAGAATAGAGAGCCCAGAAATAGACCCACATAGATATATTAATAGTAAACTGATCTTTGACAAAGGAGAAAAGGCAATACAAATATAGGGAGAAAAGATAAGGTTTTCAACAAATAATGCTGGAAGAACTGGATACTCATATACAAAATAAATAAATAAATAAATAAATTCAGACACAGACCTTAAACCCTTCACAAAAACTAACTCAAAATGAATCACAGAGCTAAATACAAAATGCAAAACTATAAAATTCCTAAAAATGTGTAGGAAGAAATCAAGATAACCTTAGGTTTGGCAATGGCTTTTTCGATTTGGAGAGCTGTAATGCAAAGTGTGGACTCTGGGCAATAATGATGCATTAATTTAAGTTTGTCAGTTTAACAAATGTACCACTCTGGTGAAAGACGTTGATAATAAGGGAGGTTATGCCTGTATGGGGAAGGGAGTATTTGGGAATCTTCCATACCTTCCACTCAGTTTTTCTGTTAATCTTTAGCTGCTCTTAAAATAGTTTAATTTTTAAAAATTTAAACACCACTGTTCCATAACCAGAGATACAATCCAAGAAAGAAAGAATTGATAAGCTAGAATGTATTAAAATTAAAAATTTCTGCTCTGTGAATGATACTGTCAAGAAAATGAAAAATAAGCCAGAGGCTGGGAAAAAATATTTGCAAAAGACATCTAAGAAAAGGCTGTTCTCCAAAACATTCAAAGAACCCTTAAAACTCAACAATAAGAAAATGAACAGCCCAATTTAAAAGTTGGCTAAAGACTTACACAGACACCTCACCAAAGAAGCTGTACAAATGGAAATAAGTATATGAAAAGCTGCTCCCCATGACATATTATCCCAATTAAAAAATCCCAATTAAAACAACAGTGCAATGTCACCATATACCTATTAGTGTGGCCAAAATCCAGAACACTGAAACACCAAATGCTGGTGAGGATGTGGAGCAATGGGAACTTTCATACATTGCTGGCAGGAATGCAAAATGGTATAGCCACTTTGGAAAACAGTTTAGCAGTTTCTTATAAAACTCAACATACTCTTAGCATACAATTCAGCAATCATGCTCCTTGGTATTTATACAAAGGAGTTGAAAACTTGTGTCCACACAAAAACCTGCCCATGGATGTTCATAGCCAGTTTATTCATAGTTGCCAAAACTTGAAAGCAACCAAGATGGTTTTCAATAGGTGAAAAGACAAACTGTGACACATACAGACAAGGGATTATTATTCAATGTTAAAAAGAAATGAACTATGAAGCCATGAAAAGACATGGAAGAAGCTTAAGTTCATATGTAAGTGAAATAAGCCAATATGAAAAGGCTACATACTGTATGATTTCACTTATATGATGTTCTACATAAGGCAAAACTATGGAGACAGTAAAAAATCAGTGGTTGCCAGGTGTTAAGCTACAGAAAGGGGTGTATAGGTGGAGTACACAGGAATTTTATGGCAGTAAAAATACTCTGTATGATATTATAATGATAAATATATGTCATTATACATTTGTCCACGCCCATAGAATGTATGGAGAGAGCCCTGATGTAAACTGTGGGCTCTGGGCAATAATGATGCATTAATGTAGATTTGTCAACTTAACAGATGTACCACTCTGGTGGAGGATGTTGATAATGGGTGAGGTTATACACGTGTGGAGAACCTCTGTAACTTCCACTAAATTTTTCTATAAATCTTAAACTGCTCTTAAAAATAAAGTCTAGTTTTAAAATATTTAAAAGTCATTATTCTATAACCCAAGCTTAATACCCAATGATTGAGTGGAATACATGAGGCTGCCAGGAACCAATTATATCAACTGGCAGCAAAGTTGCTCCAGTTACTGCAACTGATATTTGCCTACCTAGGCAATATTTAGTTAGGCTCAACATGAACTGCCACTTTTAACCCCCTAGATATTTACTGATCAAAGGAGTCTACTAAGGAGTACTAGCAGTAGCAGGCACCATAGTACACAGTTGGTCTGTCATACATGCTTTTAAAAAATATGGCATTGGCTAAAAACATGATGACGAGCACAATGGAGTAAAATGAACACATAAAATACTATTAGATAAATTTGAATCTCACATTAAAAAATCAAGATTCCAACTAGCAGCAATTAATTCTTCCCACAAGTCATTATTTATGGTTTCCAGAAGTTCATTTTAAAATCAACTACCTATATCTATATATCTACATATCTGTCTAGCAATATATACATATTGGCATGGGTGGCTGTCTATAAAGTGTTCTGAAGAGTAACTCATTTCATAGTCATGGACAAAGAATGTTCTAATGATGAAATATGAAAATAAATTAGTATGGCAAAATTAATAAAACAAAATAAACCACCCCATATCTTGCATTTCAGTGGAATCTTAATATGTGTGTATTTTTATTTGTATATGACAAATGTATTTGAATGATACCCATGCAGTTGATACTAGGAGTAAAATGGGATATGCATAGAAAGCTATGGAGTGAGAAATTATTAAATGCTGTATTATAAACAATACATTAAAACTGTATTACTTCAAGCATGGGAAAAGGACTCCCTATTCAATAAATTGGGTGGTGATAACTGGCTAGCCATATGCAGAAGAATGAAACTGGACCCCTAGTCCTCACCATAAATAAAAATTAACTCAAAATGGATTAAAGATTTAAATGTAAGACCTCACACTATAAAAATCCTAGTAGACAACCTAGGAAGTACCCTTCTCAACATAAGCCTTGGCAAAGAATTTGTGGCTAAGTCCCCAGAATCAATTGCAACAAAAATAAAAATTGACAAGTGGGGCCTAATTAGACTAAAGAGCTTCTGCACAGCAAAAGAAATTGTCAACAGAGTAAACAGACAGCCTACACAATGGGAGAAAATATTTGCAAACTATGCGCCTGACAGAAGTCTAAAATCCAGAATCTACTAGGAGGTTAAACAAATCAATAAGCAAAACGCAAAAAAAATTTAATTAAAAAATGGGCAAAGGACATGAATAGATACTTCTCAAAAGAAGACACACAAGTGGCCAACAATCATATAAAAAAGGTCAACATCACTAATCATCAGAGAAATGCAAATCAAAACCACAACAAGACACCATCTCCCACCAGTCAGAATTGCTATTATTAAAAATTCAAAAACAACAGATCCTGGCAAGGCTGTAGACAAAAAGGAACACTAACATGCTGTTGGTAGGAATACAAACTAGTTCAGCCATTGTGGAAAGCAGTTTGGAGATTTCTCAACTTAAAATAGAACTATCATTCGACCCAGCAATCCCACTACTGGGTACATACCCAAAGGAAAATAATTCATTCTATCACAAAGACACATGCACCCGTATGTTCATTGCAGCACTATTCGCAATAACAAAGACATGGAATCAACCCAGGTGCCCATCAACAGTGGATTGGATAAAGAAAATGTGGTACCTATACACCATAGAATACTACACAGCCATAAAAAAGAATAAAATCATGTCCTCTGCAGCAACATGGATGGAACTGAAGGCCATTACCCTAAGTGAACTAGCACAAGAACAGAAAACCAAATACTGTATATTTTCACTTATAAGTGGGAGCTAAACGTTGAATACACACAAGTGTAAAGATAGGAACAATATGGTAGTATGATTTATAATTGTATACCTATGTAACAAACCTGCAAGTTGTGCACATGTACCCTAGAATTTAAAGTATAATAAAAAAAGTCCATTATTACAGCTATCAAGGCAAAATTTTAATGCCAGTTATTTCCAAATTAGAGACTACTTATAAACATAGAAGATATTAACCTTGAAAATGTTACTATCATTAGTAAAGATTAACACTATTTCATTTGGCTATGTTTAGATTCTAGAGTTCTCTCAATTTCCTGAAGTCCAAGTGGGTTACCAAGGTCCAACTGTATCAACAAGTAGCAAAGTTGCTCCAGTTACCATAAATCATCATTTTGCTATTTGACAACTTCAAGTTGAGCCTCATATGCAGGGCTAGCTCAGTACCTAGAACAAGCTCAAAATAGTGAACTCATAAGAAACATTAGTGATAACATGGAACAAAATATTTATAATCTGCAATACCATTATTAAAACTATGAGGGTTTGGCTATGGGATATTAGCAAGTTTTTCAGCTTCTAGAAACCCCATATAATCCTATAGTGAACGACCTAATGGAAGAACTTAGAAAGATTGTCAATTTCACCCATTTATGCTCACCATAATGCATTCCCTGAGGCTTAGAGCTTGAATTGAATGTAAATAAATGCATATTTATTTTGGCATGGATGCTCATGAAGTGATCTGGAAAGTAAATATGTACATATTGATAAGCTGCATATGTTACATATTTTTATATGAAAAAATAAACCAACCCTTACACCACAGATATTTCAGTATCACATGGATTTTGTCCTGACAAATGTTGAAAGATATCCACCAGGAATATATCACTGGTTAAAAATGGAATGGTATGTGGAAGCTATATGTAGTTATGTAGTGGGAGATTATTAAGTATCTCATTATAAATTATTTTCTTATTTCAATGGTTATGTTAAAATTACTATTTTCTTTACAAGTCAACACAACAATTTTTCTACATACATGTTGTGACCCTTACCTTCATTATGTAGCAGCAACCCTAATCCTAATGATAATCAGAGACAATTATCTCTACTAGCTGAGTAACTCCTTTCTTTGCCTCCTGGTCCACCAAAATGAGGAGCTGAAACTGATCAAGAGGTAATTGTAGCTTCAGGTTTGGTAGAACTCTTAAAGTGCCCCCTGATGGAAGCATTTCTCCTTGAAAAGCAGAACCTCTAATTTAGCAGAGCCTGAGTATGTAGAAACAAAAAGCACAAATTCTATAAGTAGGTTACTGGATCAATTCCCAGACCTGTGGAGTCTAGTTATTAGAAACACAGCACTGCATATCAGTTATTAGTATATGAGTACATATACCTCATCCTGGAGGACAGTATTCCAACTCTGCAAGGTATTATCCTCTATCTGGTGCCTTAGCTGAGCCATTAACAGGCCATTCAATTGATTTATTGGATCACCTGGTGCTAAGTTATATGTTAAATTATAGGATCAGTGGATCCTATGATTAGGTTCACATGGCCACACTTCCTTCCGTGTAAAATGGGTCCTTTCATCTAAGACAATGTTATGGAGTATCCCTGTCACAAATCAGGCATTTTGTAAGCTTCAAATTATGATGCCAACAGAAATATTGAGGGCAGGGAAAGGAAACTAAACCCATATATGGAGAAAGTATCAATGCTGTTAAGGACAAATCACTGCATTTTTCATGGTAGGAAGGTCTGAAGTAATCAACCTGCCATCAAGATGCTGGATGGCCTTGGTGAGTAGTCCATGCTTTCCAGCCCATGTATAGTCTCCATTCTTACCATTGTGGCTTTTCCACTCCTAGGCTCATTGTGCAAACACTGGAGTAGCCAAGGACAGAGGCTGGCTGACGTGTGTAGGACAAGTCAGAGATAAGGTTGTGCAATTGTGATTTGGAGTGCTGGATGTGCCTGCCACACCCATACTCAAAGGTGTACACCACTAAATGGTGTTACCATAAATTCCTTGATACAATGTAGAGGAAGTAAGCCAAAGAATTAGAAAGATAAGAATGGCGAAATGGGTTTATCATGTATAACCCACTAACTTGCCAACTATGTCCCCCAAAAGGACCCAAATGACACTTTCTTCACCAAAAATTGAGAAATTATTGCAGAGGAGAGTACTATAATATCACTATAGCAGCTGCACTCTGGGAGGCTAGGTAACTGCTGCCACTGAAATAGGCTTCTGAATTTCAATGGGTATCATAGGATCCTGAACCAGTAGAGGACAAGTGACAGAACCTTTGCTGACCTTTTGCAGTGGCTAATTGATTATGGTAACTCTAAGACTAAAATAGATGGGCAGCATACTAAATTTTTATTTGGTCTGCATACCAAAAAAAAAATTAACTCAAGTCTGGTGAACAGAGGCATGACTTAGGTCACCACAATAGAAAGTCACAGGCTCTTTCACAGTTCCCAAACCTGGGCCATTTTAAAGCCCAGAGCCCACTGAATGAAGGGAAGGCCAATTACCCTGGAAGCAGGATCCTGTAATACTGCTATAAGTATATACAATAAATATTTCCCCTAGCCTATCAATCTGTGACTATTTAATGGGCCAAGTGTACACAGGAGAAGGGAAATAGCCAAACATTAAGGGTATCACTGGACACCGATTCTGAGCTGATGCAAATCTCTGCAGTTCAAGAACACATACTACCAAATCAAAGTAGAAATAGAGGCCACTCTACATAGTTCAAGAAGAAAGAAACTTAATAAAGGAATTTAGGTGCTTATAAAATTATTGTAATAGCTAGAGGGTGGAAATCAGGGCACTGCCACTGCATCATTAAATTCAAGGGAAGCCGCTACTGTTGCCACCCACAACTACTTCCTACACCCATGAAGCTAGGAACTAAACAATAGGATGCTAAACTGGCCTCTGTAATTGCCTTTACATACTCATAAAACTGGTGACCAGACTCTGGAATACTGAGTCCAGCCACAGCTGCCATTCTCTTATCCTTGACCTTGCCAGCAGCAATAGTAGCAGAAAGATGTCCTCCATCTCACTTCCACCTTACAAATATAAGACAAGTCTATCTAATTGACAGAAACTAATTTGCTATCAGAACCCGAACTATAATTAGAAGGGTAGAATGGAGGTTATGTTGGTTAATTCATAATATTTGCTACATTTATTAAGGGTTTATGTAACTCTATTCATAAATGCAATTAGTCTGTTTTTCTGAGTTATCTTTATCAGGTTTGTGTTAAGGTTATACTACTTTATAAGAATAATTGAATATCTGTGTATGTTTCTGTGTGTGCCTGGGTTAGTTTCTAGAGCATAGGAGATACCTATTGTTAGAAGTTGTTTAGGATATATTTAACAATCTTTTCCATTTGTTTTTATACTTAATTTTTTATTTTTTTAAAAAAAACAATTGTTTCATATCTGTTGACAAAAATAATAGAACAGGTCTTGGTAACAAACAACCCAAAAATCTCAGCATGTTCAATTGGCTCTGTAGGGCAGTTCTCCTCCAAATGGTGACTCACAAGCTAAGTTGCTTCAAGTTTTGGCACTGCTATCTCAATCCAAGACCTCATCTTTTTGCCACAAAAAAAGGAAGAGAGAACACAAAAGCAATTAAATGCTCCTGCCAAGTAGTGAATGTCATACTGGTCACGTGGCTCTAAAAGAGATGGTAAGTGTGATATTCTATATGCCCAGGAAGTAAACGAGAAATAGATATTGTTGAACACAGTTATCTCTATCATAGTCCACAAAATATTTGCTTCATTCTTCCCACAGGGAAAACTCACTCACCTTTTCTCCAAGGAAGACACCACAAACTCCATTCAGTCACAATTTAAAAGTCCAGAATCTCCAGGTGATTTACAATACTCTCCATCAGGTCAAGTTGTGATTCCCGTTGGTTCTGAGACCTATAAACTAAAAAGATAGGTAATCTGTCCCCCACTGACCCAATATGCAATGATGAAACAAGGATGGAGTAACCACGATGAACACTCTCATTCACAGAGGCAAATTGTAGCAGGCATTGTGAATATCTCTCATCCAGGGAGGTTAGAGATATTCATTTATTAAGTCTTGATTATTTTCTTTGTAGCAGTTCTCTTGTTCATTGTTCCCTGTGGACCCATGATTCACCCTCTTGGTAAGTTCTTCCTTTTCCATTATCTTCCTCAGCTGTAACTAAAGTGAGCATTATGGAATACGTCCTCTTGTGGGATATGTATTTCTCTTAGCCTGCTTCTTGCCTACAGAATTTTGATGGACTAAGGATTGTTTTAAGTCTGATGGCCTACATTGTGTCTGATGGCCTAAATTGTTTTAATTCTGGCAACCCAAAGATTATTTTAAGTCTTTGTCACAGGCTTTCTTAGTTTAGGCTCATGATTTAACAGTTCAATTGTCTCAAAAACTTAATAGGCTTGGTTTCAGTCAGCTCCATGTGTGAATAACCACACCAAGAATTCTTTTGCAGGCAAAGCTCTCAGATTTATAGCCCGTTTTTTCATTTGTTTGCTTTCTTGCCACCCATATCTCCCTCTACCTTCAATGTGGATTAACCCAAGACTGTTAGTCTTCTATGGGAAGACTATATGCTTAAGATAATCTTTGCCTCGAGTAGTTTTATTTAACTAAAAGGTTTATAGGGTGTCACACCGTTAGTCTAATTTTTTCCTAAAATCTCTCTAAATCTTTTCTTTTTTACAGTTTGAAGTTGAAACTCAGTTGATTTTCTCAAACATACAAGCTTTGAAGTTTCTGTACTCTCTATTCCCCTTTATTTGTGCATGCAAACCAGCTAATTCTTTCTGATCTCACCTCACTCTTGTACTGTCTTGCCAATCAAAGCCAGCAGCAATCAACAAGCACTACTATCACTCCTATTAACACTACTAACATTTTGTTTTCCAGGCTCTTTTCTACTAACATTTTTGTTTCACAATTTTTTCTTCTAGAGTTACAAGTTCTCTAATTTTATGTGTTGTGTTCATTGCAGGTGACAGTTATACCAAATTTTTGCCACTGCAAAATCCTGCCAAAAAACCACTTAGCCAATGTCACGTTTCAGGGATTTGTTAAAATACTCCACTTTCAGTATCAATTTCTGAATTAATCAGAATAGGCTAAGCTATGCTATGGTAACAAACAGTCCTATAATCTCAGTGGTTTAACACAACAAAAGCATGTTTCTGACTCATACAAGTTACACTGTGGATTGAGGCAACTCTCCTGAGTGTCTGCCCTCTAGATGGTGACTAGGTAATAAAGTTACTTCAAATTTAAAGCTCCAGCATCTCAACACAGGGCCTCCTCCACCGCTGCAACTAGGAAAGAGAGATGCTAAGAGAGTTTCACATTATCAATTAAATGTTGCAACCTGGAAACTAAATACATCATTTCTGTTAACAGACCTTTGGCCAGAACCAGTTATATGACTCTGACTAATTACAAAAGGGCTAGGAATTATAGCTTTCCAGCACCCGTTAAATGGAGGAGAACCAGATACTTGTTGAACTCCAGTATTTATACCTCACATACTACTGGATGTAGTATAGCTTGTAGTTAAAGAGTACACCTGGAGTCACAAACTAAATTTTAGCCCTAGCTCTTCCATTTGCTACGTGACAAATGGTTTAAACCCTGAGCCATGGTTTAAAGTGTGAGTAATAATATGCTTGCACAATGCTTAACACAGTTCCTGGCACACAAGAAACATTTAATTAATTATTTGAAACGATGTGTGGTACAGAAAAACATTGTGACTCGCTAAGCTGTGATCATGACCAGTGAGAAAGCTACTTCAGACAATCTTATAGACATCATGGCAGCACCACTTGTAACATATACATTATGACAGTTCTCAATCATTTACTAAGTCTTTAACAGACTGGAAAAATATTGACACTGTTATAGTCTCCATGGTAAATTAAAGTGAAGACTGTGATGATAGCAATGTGTTGTCAGGAAGAAAATTACTGTGACAGAGGCTATTTTATTTGCTAAAATGTCATAAATTTTGTGGAACAATGACCATTTTCTATAATCAGGACTTACTTCAAAATTACATGCTGAAATAGAAATCTGAAAAGGAAACACACAGGAAGAACAAGTAAATGACCCTGAAGAGCCTCTCAAAAGAGCTCTGTGTAACATCCTTTTATTTGGTTTCTGCAAATGCTATTACAAAACCTCCTGATAAGTAATTGTACCCTAAGCTATTACAAAACCTCCTGATAAGTAATTGTACCCTATCTTTATCTGTCATCAATGAAGATTTTTGAATAAATAAAATTTTATAATTTATGTTATTGAGTGATGGTTAGGTCCTTTTGCTGAAGGAAGTGTGTGTCACAAGTAAGTTTTTGTAAGAGAACTCCTAAATTAAATGTATTTATTATGTTTATGATCATAAATACCAAGGGCTTATGCAATGTGTTATTTTTTCTACTTTTATGTAATGTGTTTATTATAAGTTTAAAACATAATAAATGATAATGTTTCAAATATATTCTTCAACTGATATATCCATATTAAACAAAAGGTTTTCAAATTTGTGCATATTTCATTCTGTAATCGAATGTTCTTCCAGAATTATAAAATTAATATGCAATCACTGCAAGCAATGGAATGGAATAATATAATGATCTTTTTTTAAAAAGAAATAAAATTTCACATACACATAAACCTTGTCCTTCCTCAGCTCCAAACTCCAGATAACCTACTGTGTATTATTGTACACTTTTCTCAATATATTGTGTGTACATTTCACTTACCAATACATCATGAATATCCTTCTAGTAATTAATATAGCTATAACTCATTCTTTCTTTAATTGCTGAAGAAAATAGTCTATTATGAATGTAGCACAATTTATTCAAGCATCCAGCTATTGGTGTACATACAATTAGTTTCCGGTATTTTGCCATTATAGACAATGCTTCAAATAAGCATTCTTATGCTAATAGAGTACATCAATAAAACATATGCAGTTCTCATTGAGAGAGTAAGCGAAAATAAAAGGCAGTTACATTTCTCTTGGTACCAAATCTGGAATAACGTATTTTAAAAACCTGCTTATAGAGAATATCTTGGAAAGGAGCCTAGGTGTGGGGTCATAGGGCAACTAAATCTTACTTTACAGATTTCCCTACCATTTGTCTATCTAAAACATATACTATCCTTGTAGTCAGAAAAGTAAAAGAAGTAAACAATTTTGAAGCTCTGAAGAAATCATTCCTTCTGCAAGTGATTCACAAAGTAATGATGTAGATAGTATGGACATGGAAGGTTGTCAAATATGCTGTTTTTTAAAATGATTTTCAAATAGTTTATTTAAATTGTATGAATAGTGGGACACTTAGGAATCAATTTCCTAGGGGTGCCATAACAAAACAACACAAACTAAGTAGGTTAAAACAAGATAAATTTATTTTCTCACAATTATGAAAGCTAGAAGTCAAAAATCAAGGTGTTGGCAGGTCCATGCTCTCTCTGAAGGCTCTAGGGGGAGAATTCTTGCCTCTTCTGGCTTCTAGTGGTTGCTGGTCCCTGGCTGGCAGATACATGACTCCAAACCCTGCCTCAGTCTTCACATGGCTGTCTCCCGATACGTCTGTGTCTTCCCACGGCATTCTTCTCTCTTTCTCTCTATCTCTGTCTCTTCTTCCACTATTGGATTAGGGCCCACCCTAATTCAGTATGATCTCATCTTAAGCTGGATTACATCTGCAAATACCTGATTTTCACATAAGATCACATTCATAGGCAACAGAGATTAGGATTTCAACATATCATTTGTGGGGACACATTCAACTCACAACAAGCAGGATAAAAGTCTGGAAGTTTATAGACCTAAATGTTAACAACAAATGTTTCTGGGTGAAGAAATTACTGATAATATATATGTCCTCCTTTATAATTTTCAGCATCTTATTAGATTTTTTAAGGGACATTTATAAAATCAGAATAAAAATTGAAGCGGAAACTGGCTTATCCTATTTTGTTAAACACACACACGTGACTTACCTTTCGATGCGAATGGAATTCTCCATGGAGCTGGAGAGCAGAGTCCTGCATAGGTACTTGATGTCAAGAGTTGCCCGACTTGCTTAGAGTGTGTTTCTCTTTTCATCTCACTCTTTGGGTCACAGTATTATAATCAGAGAAAAAATAAGCTTAAAATGACATATCTCATTGTGTTGCACATCACAACCTGTCACATATGAACACATACACATACATCCTTGTCTTTAGTTAAGAATGGAATTTTCCCTGGCTAAACAGTGCAGCCCATAAATCCACTGTCTCTACTTGACCAAATACCCTGGGTGTATTTTCCTTGTCATCTACCTGTATAGATGACTAACTCTAGTCAGCAGCTGATACCCATATGTCTATGCTTTCCAAGGAGAGAGCTATGGATACAGACAGTCCTGCGTTCTGATTTAAGCTTCCCTACTTCCCAGCTGTGTGACCTGGGGCCCAAAAATGCCTGTTTCCTTTCCCTACTGTCAACATGGTGTTTGTTCTTTTTCTAATTTTTACATCCAAATAGGCAAAAACTCAATTCTCAGTACTATTTATATTTGAATTTACTTAATTGTTTTGTTTATTGTTTGTTTACCTAATCATTGGTCATTTCTATTTTGTTTGTGGATATGTCACTTCTACTCAAACTTTATTGGCCAAAGCTAGTCCATGGCAATACCCAAATCCAAGGGAGCTGGGAAGAGCAAGCCTACCATACACCTAGAGTAGAAACCAGAAATATTACACAAACAACATCGACTACCACAGATAGATTCCCAGAAGTGGAGTTGTTTGGTCAATGACAAGTATATTTTAATTTTTCATAAGTACAATTTTCAATATTCCAAAGGAATATAGTAGTCAAATTTTAGTAAAAATGTGCAAGAGTATTTCCAACAGCTTGATGGGTTTTTTTGTTTGTTTGTTTTGCTTTTTTACAAAATGAGCACACCCATGGAACCAACATCCAGATCCAGATCTAGAACATCATCCGCACCCCAGAAGCCTCCTCCATACTGCTCAGTCACTGGCATTATGATATAAAACACTATTTTGACTTTTATTACCATAGATGAGTTTTGACTATTTTTAAACTTTGTATAAATGGAATAATATGTGCATATTCTTTGTATCTAGCTTCTTTTGCTCAGTATTCTTTTTGTGAAATGTATCCTTGTTATTTGTAATTGTGGTTTACTCTTTTCCATTGTTGCTAAAATCCCATTTTATGAATATAACACGATTTATTCATTCTGTTGTTGGTGGACATTTGGGTTATTTACTGGTTTTGTCTATTACAATAATGTTGCTATCAATGTTCTCATGCATTTCTCTTGGTACACATATATAGGCATTTCTATTGTACTTATATACTTAGAATTGCTGGGTAACACCATAAGCTCTAAGACATACAGCCCATCAGTTTTCCAAAGAAGTTGTAACAATTAACATGCCCTCCAACAATGTATTAGAATTCTCACATTCCACATCATTGATGACACCTGTCTGCTTGCTTTTTTAAAAAATATTTAGCATTTGTGATGGATATATAGTATTACCAGATACTGATTTTAATTTATATTTACTCAAATAATAAAATCGAACACCTTTTTATTGTTGCCTTGACCATTTGGATATACTGTTTTTGATCTGGCTGTTCAAGACTTGTCATTTTAAAACAACAATTGGGTTGCTTTTTATTTATTGATTTATAGTTCTGTATGTATTCTGAATACAAGCCATTTCTCAGATATAAGTATTGCAAATATTTTTTCCACTCTGTGACTTGTCTTTTAACTCCAATAGTGTATTGATTTTAATTAAGTCAAATTTATTTTATTTTTGTTTAGAGTTAGTGCTTTTTGTGTCTTTTTAAAGGAATGCTTGACTACATCAAGACCATTAAGGCATTTTCCTATGTTATATCCAGTAACTTTTATTTGTTTCACCTTTGACATTTACCCTACAATTCATTTGGAATTAAATGTCGTATGCAGTTTGAAATAGGTGCAAAGTTTCTTTTGGATCCATTTGGATACCCAGTTGATCAAGATCTACTTATTAAAATGACCATTCTTTCCCCCACTGCATTGTTATGAATTCTTTGTCATAAAGAGAATTTGTATAGTCCTCTTTTTGGACTATTCTAGTCCATTGTGCCATTTTTCTATATTTATAACAATAATTTATTGGTTTAACTATTGTGGCTGTGTAAAATATCTTGATTTCTGTAAATCATTAAACTTTGTTTTTCTTCAATATTTTCAGTGCTGCTCTTGACATTTGCAATTCTATTTAAGATTTAGAATTCATTTGTCAATTTCCTTGAAAAATAACCCTACTGGAATTATTATTTTGAATCAGAGATCAAATTAGGAAAAAATAATATCTTTAAAATATAAAGTCTTCCAATTCACAATCAATGTATAATTCTCTATTTAAGTCTGTGTTAATTACTTTCAATGTTTTGAAGTTTTCTGTATAGAGATCTTGGACATATTTTGCTAATTTTAATCCTCAATATTTGATTATTCTGAAACTAGTGCAAATGGTATTGCTTTTCACTGTATTTTCTGCTTTCTACTAATATATAGAAATACAATTAATTTTTGTATACTGACCTTATATCTGGCAAACTTGCAAAATTTACTTATTACTTCTAAGTTATTTGTAAATATTTTTGAAATTTCTAAACATAATTATGTCATCTGTGAATAAGGAAAGATTTACATCTTCCTTTACAATCTTTGTAAAGTTCATTCATCTTTCTTACCTTATTTTACTGGCTAAAATATGCAGTAATTAGAAATGGCGATGCAGACAAGCAGGTCTATTTCTGATCTCAGGAGGAAAGCTTTCAATATTTCACCATTAATATGCCATGTATTGATGTATTGTAGTTTTTAAAGATTCTCTTTATCAAATTAAGAAACTTTCCTTCTATTCCTAGTTTTCTAAAATTGTTTCATATGAACGAGTGTTGAGTTTTATCAAAGGCTTTTTCTGCCTCTATTGTAATAATCATATATTCTTTTTTCTGTTAATGTGATGAATTATATTATTGCTTTATAAATGTTAAACTGTTCTTTCATTCCTGGAATAAATTCAACTTGGTTGTGATGTATTAACCTTATAAATCCCTGGATTCAATTTGCTAATATTTTATGTAAGATTTTTGCATCTATATTCACAAGAGATATTGGTCTATGGTTTTCCTTTCTTATAAGGTCCTTCATAGATTTTCAGTATCAAGGTTATAACAGCATCACAAAACAAGTATGGAAATGTGTTCCTCCCTCTTTTTCTAGTTTCTGGAAGAGTTCATGTAAGATTGGTATTATTTTTTCCCGTAAATATTGGGGAGTTTCACTATGAAAGCACCTGGATTCAGTATTTTCTTTGCAGGATGATATTTACTATGGAATCTATTTCATTAATGTCTATGAGATTATTTGGATTTTGTATATCTTCTTGAAATCAGTTTTGGTAAAATGTATTTCAAGTAATTTGTGCATTTTATGCAAATCATCAGATTTGTTGTTCATTATATCATCTCATCTTTTCAATATTTATAGATTCTGTACTAATGTCCCTTTTCCATTATTGATACTTATAGTTTATGCCTTCAGTTTTTCTTCATTGATATTAATACAGATTTATCAATTTAATTATTCTTTTCAAAAAACCAACTTTTGGCTTCGTTGATCTTCTTTATTGTCTCTGTTGTATTTCTTTGGTTTCAGCCCGTATTATTTCTCTCCTTTCTTGGAATTTAACTGGTTGTTTGTTTAACCCTTTTGATGTGAGTGTTTACATAATTATTTTTGCATTTCTTCTTTTCTAATACATGCATATAAGGTTTAAAGCTCTAAGTACAAGTTGTGATGTCATATTTTTATTGTAATTCAGCACAAAATATTTTATAATTTCCATTTTGAGTGCTCCTTTGACTTGCTTTATTTAGAAATATATTGCTTAATTTTCCAATATTTGGGGATTTCTACTATCTTTTTGATATTATTTCTGGCTTAATTCCACTGCAGACAAAGAACATATTCTGTGAATTCAGCCAATCAAAATTTATTGAGACTTGCTTTGTGGCCCAGCACATGGTCAGTTTTGATAAATAACCTACATACACTTGAATGTGCATTCTACATTTATTGCATGCAATGTTCTAAATATATTAGCTAGGACTTACCTGTTAGTCTTCTTATCCATTCTTCCACATCCACACTTTTCTTTATCTGCTTCTTTTACCAGTTACTGGAGGAGAGGTGCTAAAATTTTCAACCATGCTTATAGGTTTATCTATTTATATTTATATTTATATTTAGAGTTCTGTCAGTTTTCACTTTTTGTATTTTTGATCTACTTCATATATGCATACCAATTAAGTTTTAAAAAAACTTGTTAAATTGATCCTTTAATCATTGTGAAATGTCTCTCTAATATGTCTCATAATGTTTCCTGTCTTAAAGTCTAATTTGTCTGATATTACTATAAATACAGCAGCTTCACTTTGGTTCATGTTTGTATGGTATATCTTTTTTTAATACTTTCACTTTCAAATATTCTGTTTTATTTAAGGTATGTCTCTCATAAGCAGCACATAGTTGTAATTAGTATTTTTAGTATTAGTATTAGTCTGACAATCTTCATTTTTTAGTTGGAGTACTTAATCTATTCATATTTAATGTGATTCCTTGAATTCCTTTGCTTCCATCTACAATTTTACTATTTGCTTTCTATTTGCTCTCTCTTCTTTATTCCTTTTTTAACTTTACTCCCTTCTTTTTAATTAATCAAGTTGTTTTTTTATTTCATTTTAACACTCCTATACCTTGTCTGTGATATATAGTTTATTAATAGTTTAGTTACCACAATTACACCATTCCTTCTTGGCTTAATAAAATCTACCTTGAGGCTACAGAGAAAAGGGAACACTTATATACCATTAGTAGGAATGTAAATTAGTTCAGCCACTGTGGAAAGCAGTCTGGCGATTTCTCAAAGAACTTAAAACAGAACTACCATTTGACCCAGCAATCCGATTACTGGGTATATACCCAAAGAAAAATAAATAATTCTATCAAAAATACATATGCACTCATATGTTCATCATTGCACTATTCACAAGAGCAAAGACATAGAAGCAACCCAGGTGCCCACCAATGGTAGACTGGATAAAGAAAATGTGGTACATATACACCATGGAATACTACACAGCCATAAAAGAATGAAAGCATGTCCTTGGCAGCAACATGGTTGGAGCTGGAAGCCACAATCCTAAGTGAATTAATGCAGGAACAGAAAACAAAAATGGGAGTTAAATATTAAACACACATGGACATAAATATGGGAACAACAGACACCGGATTATTAGGGGGTGGAGGGTAGATGGGCTGAAAAACTACCTACCAGGTACTATGCTCACTACCTGGGTGATGGGATCCATACCTCAAACCTCAGCATCACACAGTATTCCCATGTAACAAACTATGTACCCCATGTATCTAAATTAAAAGTTAAAATTTTTTAAAATAAAAAATAAATGGTCACATTTCAATTAAAAAATAAATAAAAATAAAACCTACCTTAAGATAGTGCTTTTACTACTTCCCATATTAGGTAAGAACCTTAAAACACTTCAACTCCATTTATAGTCTCCTACCTTTTGTGCTGTAATCATGTATTTTAATTGCACATATATTTTAAACCCCAAAAGATATTATTGCTGTTGTTTTAAATAGCTAATATTCATATAGATTTACTCATATTAATCCTTTCTAGTGTTCTTTATTCCTTCTTGAATTGCTTTGCTTCCATCTACAATCACTCCCCTTTTGCCTAAATAACTTCCTTTAGTATTTCTTTTCGTGTACATCTTATAAATTCTCTCAATTTTTGTTTATCTTAAAACACATTTGATTCACTTTCATTTTGAAAGAATGTTTACTAGGTTGGCATTAATTTTTTTCCAGCACTTGAAGATGTCACAACATTGTCTTCTTTCACTATTCCTGCTGAAAAATTTATTTGTCAAGCTTATTGTTGCCCCTTTAAGGATAATGGACCTTTGATGTCTAGTTACTCTTAAAATTTTATATTTGTTTCTGATATCCATCAGCTTCACTTTGATGTACCCAAGTCTGGTTTTCTTTCTCACTACATTAGTTTTCGATTGTCATAACAAGTTTCTACAAATTTAGTGACTTGAAACAATGCAAGTGTATTGTCTTACAATTTCATAGGTCAGAAGCCCAGAAAATGTCCTACTGGGCTAAAATTAAGGTATCAGCGAGATAAGTTCCTTTCTGTAGACTCTAAGGGAAAATTCATTTCCTTGCTTATTCAGATTGCTAACAGGACTCAGTACTTTGCACTTGTATGACTGAATTCCCAGTTTTCTTGCTGGGTATAAGTATCAGCATTTCCTTCTTCTAGAGGTCACCTGCATTCCCTGACTCATGGCCCCTTTCTTCCTTCTTTAAAGCCAGCAATGGTTGATCAAATCCTTCTCATGCCACGTCTTTCCCTAATCAATACTGCTACCTTCCTTGTCCATGTTTAAGGGCACATCTTAACTAATCCAGGATAATCTCCTTATCTGAAAGTCATCTAATTAACAACCTTAATTCCATCTGAAACCTTAAATCCCTTTTGCTATGTAACAGAACATATTCACAGATTTTTTGAATTGGGGTCATTATGCTCCTTCACAGTTACATAGCCTTTCAAACATGTAGCTTGATGCCTTCCTCAATTTGTGGAAAATCCTCAGCAAGTATTTGTTTAAACATTGCTTTTGCCATTATCCTCAGCAAACTAATGCAGGAACAGAAAACCAAACACCGCATGTTCTCACTTATAAGTAGGATCTGAACAATGAGAACACATGAACACAGGGAGGGGAACAACACTCATTGGAGTCTGTCGGGGGAGGACAGTGTGGGGAGAGCATTAGGGAAAAGAGCTAATGCATGCTGGGCTTAATACCTAGGTGGAGAGTTTACCTGTGTAACAAACCTGCACATCCTGCACATGTACCCCGGAACTTAAAAAAAAAAAAAAAAACAATAAAATAATGTTTTAAAAAATTCAAAAGAAAAAATATATATATTGCTTTTGCCCTCTTTTCTCTCTCTTCTCTTACCGGATTCCAATTCTACATATGTCAGACCTTTTTATCATGTTGTCTATGTTTCTTATTCTCTTTTCTGTATCATTTTCATCATGTTATCTATGTTTCTTATTCTCTTTTCTGTCTCCTTCCATCTTTTTCTCTACTGATCTAGTCAAGGAGAAATTTCATGCAGAATGTTGATCACACTTCTCTAGCTGTGTCTTAATCTGCTCAGGCTGCTATGACAAATTGTTACAGGCTTGATGGCTTTAAAAAGAAATTTATTTCTCAAAGAGCTAGAGGCTGAGAAGTAGAAAATCAAGGTGCCAGTATGGTCAGGTCCTAGTGGAGGCCCTCTTTCTGGTTTACAGGCAGCCGTCTTCTTAGATCTCCACATAGTGGAGAGAGAAAGTATCTCTCTTATGTCTCTTACAAATCCACTATTCCCATTCATGAGGGCTCCACCTTCATGAATTAATGACCTGCCAAACACTCTGTCTTCTAATATTATCTTTTTGTGGGTTAGGATTTCAATATATGAATTTGGCAGCAACATAAACATTCAGTCCATAACAGCCTCCTTTTTTTCCCCCAGGGACCTTGGCCATTCGAGTCCCAGCCACTTGGTAGGTGTGACTTTCAGTTTTGGTCTTCCTGGCCCAGTAAGAGTGCTATAATCTCTAATTGCTGCTTTCTGTTTGGCCTTTATATCAAACACTCTGTGAATTGGGCAATTCTTCGAGGAGAGAAAGCAGCAGCAAATACAAAACTCATCTCAATGTTTTTCCCTTCACTATATCCTGTCCTGTCATGTCCTATCTGCCTTGGTTGGTCTCTAGTGTCTTCAAACAGCTTTGTAAAATATTTGTCAAGCATTTATAATTATTGTCAATAGTATAGCTAGTTTGATATTAGCTGCTCCATCCTAGCTGAAAGTAAAAGCTCGATGCATAATTTTCAAGCTATAATTTTTATATTCTAAAATATATCTTTGCCTTAGAGGCACCTCTAGAGGTTTATCTCTGCCTTAGAGGCACCTCTGGAGGGAAGAAAAGAGATGGCTTCTGGCTTTAACGTGATGTTTAGAGTTTGGATCAGTCCATAGTATGAAAGGAGAAAAAGCATGAAAGATCCATAAGCAGCCCAAGTGCCTTCCCTACAGTTTGGTTAACAAGTCCTTCTCCTTGTTACTCTCACCTCACTAAGGTCCAACCACTTGGAGATGAGACAAAATGGCTACCTCACAATAATCCATTATCACTCTTTTAAAATTTTCTGGCAATTTGGTCTATAATTTTTATTTTTATTTTATTTTATTTTATTTTATTTTATTTTATTTTATTTTATTTTATTTTTGAGATGGAGTCTCACTCTGTCACCCAGCCTGGAGTGCAGTGGCGTGATCTCGGCTCACTGCAAGCTCCACCTCCCAGGTTCACGCCATTCTCCTGCCTGAGTAGTATACATTATGAAACATCTTTTTACTGACTATTGCTCTTTAGGAATAGCTATTTTAACCCTGTAAATAGTGTTAACTTTCAAACAGGCCAGGTTCTAGACCTTCTAGGTACAGTATAATTCAAATCTCATAACAAAAATCTCATAACAACCTTGTGAGGTAGGTGATCCACTCCACTTTTAAAAGGAGGAAACAGGCCTAGAGAGTTTAGGTAACTTACACAAGGTGAAACAACTAGTACGTGGAATAATAAGAATTCATATTTGTACGAGTTGAATTAAAAGTTAGCTTTCCAGTTCTCATAGTGAAAATAGAGGCAAACTGTGGATAAAACACACAGATATGTTGTTGCCAATGCCTGTCTCCTGTGATCCAGTGAGGAATAAAGTGGAAGATTCTCAACTAAAGAGAAATTATGAGTTAAAATGTCTCAACATTCTTCAGAGTATAAAGTACACTGGTAGAGGAGAAGGATGGAAAAAATTATTTCAAGAGCCTAAGGGTACTCCCAAAGCAACCTAGCCATGCAGAAAATTGTGTCTAGTCAAAGAAGGAATAGTACATTTTAAAGTATGTGTCAGAGGTTATAATAGCGCCAACACAAACTAGTGATATGAATTGTTTCCAGGCTGTTTAAAAAAGTAAAACATTAGGCCTTCTATCTTATGAAGCCATCTAAGTCCTGATTTTTCTGAAAATTAGCAAACATTCAAGATTTAAGCTATCCAATCACCTGGAGGACCACCAGATATCCAGAGTCTGACCAACTTAATTACATCAAAGGTGGTCAGATATTCAGAGACTGGGTTGCGCAGGCATAGTAGTCCACCTTAAAAATCATATAGCTAAAAGCCAACCACACACTTTCATTTCAAAAATATTGTGCCTCAATTCAGAATGTTGTATCATAATCAACTTGCATCAACCAGCATTATATCTAAGCCCTACGGGTTTCATACATTTTAGGGGATAATCTCATGTGGTGATTAAAGGGGCAAAATCTCTTTACAATACCACATTTTTTTTGGCAGGGTCCCTACTAAAGGACAGGGCTCATTTCCAAATCACAGTAATTTTCAAACTAGTATTTTTTTTACAGACTGGAAAGGTAGCTGAATAAGACAGATTATTTTGCTCTTACATTATAAAGCCTGACCATAGGCAAGTGAGGGCTGGTATGCCGATATCATGAGGGCAACAAGTTATTCCGTTGTCTGATTACACCACAATTTATTTATTCAGACTTCCATTATGGACATTTGGGCTATTTCCAGTTAAGAGCTATTGTGAACATTCTTTTACACATCTATTAGTGCAGCTATTTGGGTTTCTTTTGGCCAATAGGTCTCACCTGGGAAGGGCTGATTTTCACAGTGATTGGGGAGTACAACTGACATTCAGAGGGTTAGGACCAGGGATGTTAAACACCCTAAAATGTCTGGTACTTTCCAGCACAAGGAAAAATCATTTCCCCATGAAATGTTAGTATCACCCTCCACTTTGACAAACACTATTCTTGGAGATACACACACACACACACACACACACACACACACACACTTCATGGATCATAGAGTGTGCATATGTTCAATTTAACCACTAGTTGAAACAATTTACATTCCCACTGGCGGTTTATTGGTCCATGCCCTTTTTATTGCCAATCTAACACATATATAATGATTCTTTATTTAATTGCTTTTGTCCCCTTGAAGTTCTTGGGGGATGATCTCTAGATGATGATGCTGAAACTATCCTTGCTGCAGATAAAGTGGAGCACTTTTTCCATGACTCCCAGGATCAATGTGACATCACTCAAGAGGTGTCACAGATGATAATGATGCCTCTGATGAAGAGGTTCAAGATCCTAATGAAGATGGCAAAGAACCAGATGAGTCAAATCAAGAAATAAGAAGATTTGCATTTCTCTGATGGCCAGTGATGGTGAGCATTTTTTCATGTGTTTTTTGGCTGCATAAATGTCTTCTTTTGAGAAGTGTCTGTTCATGTCCCTCGCCCACTTTTTGATGGGGTTGTTTTTTTCTTGTAAATTTGTTTGAGTTCATTGTAGATTCTGGATATTAGCCCTTTGTCAGATGAGTAGGTTGAAAAAATTGTTTCCCATTTTGTGGGTTGCCTGTTCACTCTGATGGTAGTTTCTTTTGCTGTGCAGAAGCTCTTTAGTTTAATTAGATCCCATTTGTCAATTTTGGCTTTTGTTGCCATTGCTTTTGGTGTTTTAGACATGAAGTCCTTGCCTGTGCCTATGTCCTGAATGGTAATGCCTAGGTTTCCTCAGGGATCTAGAACTAGAAATACCATTTGACCCAGCCATCCCATTACTGGGTATATACCCAAAGGACTATAAATCATGCTGCTATAAAGACACATGCACACGTATGTTTATTGCGGCACTATTCACAATAGCAAAGACTTGGAACCAACCCAAATGTCCAACAATGATAGACTGGATTAAGAAAATGTGGCACATATACACCATGGAATACTATGCAGCCATAAAAAATGATGAGTTCATATCCTTTGTAGGGACATGGATGAAATTGGAAACCATCATTCTCAGTAAACTATCGCAAGAACAAAAAACCAAACACCGCATATTCTCACTCATAGGTGGGAATTGAACAATGAGAACACATGGACACAGGAAGGGGAACATCACACTCTGGGGACTGTTGTGGGGTGGGGGGAGGGGGGAGGGATAGCATTGGGAGATATACCTAATGCTAGATGACGAGTTAGTGGGTGCAGCGCACCAGCATGTCACATGTATACATATGTAACTAACCTGCACATTGTGCACATGTACCCTAAAACTTAAAGTATAAAAAAAAAAAAGAAGTAAGAAGAGGAGAAGCAGGAGGAGGATAACCAAACAGGATCCAAACCAAGAGAATGCAATCCACAATAATCAGGGTATATGCACCCTTAAGGCTAATGTATATTGAGAATAGTCTAAATACCTCTATTATTTTACTTAGAACATTTTTTTTCTTGTTAGAGTTATGGTTTTTTAATTTTAAAAATGGACTTAAAATAATTTTGTTTTTTAAAGAAATGTGATAATATCCTTTTCTGTTACGTGTAGGATGCAGAAAATTCTCTAAAGTATGTTCACTCATTTTAAGATAGTTTGCTTCTGAAATCTTGCTGTCATGTAGCTATTTGGGGGGTATCCCATCTTTCTCTTAAATTAATATTTTCTACTGAAGAACCACCCCCCCCCATTAGATTAACACCCTTG
This sequence comes from Homo sapiens, assembly GCF_000001405.40. Classification (NCBI taxonomy): domain Eukaryota; kingdom Metazoa; phylum Chordata; class Mammalia; order Primates; family Hominidae; genus Homo; species Homo sapiens. The sequence goes on from NC_000023.11 coordinate 106,603,687, forward strand.
ACCTCTCCTCCCACCCTTTAATTGCTCCTCCCCACAGAAGGAATAATGAAACTGATGACTTTGGGGTAATGATCTCAGCACACACAGCTTAGCCTCATCCTCTGGTTTCTGTGATCTCCGCCGGCTGCCAATGATACATTCTGCTCTATTCTTTCAACTACATGCTGAAACTGGTGGGGCAAACTCTGCTCTTGTGAGGTAAAATGTAAGTTAGGAGGTACGTTGGGTTCAATTCATGTACACCAACTACACCATTTGCCTATTATATCTACTGAGAAAGTTGAATTTATAATTTTTAACAGGTCCTGAAAAAGAAATCTCCAGGCTCCAGTGGTTTCACTGGAGACCTCCGTCAAATTTTTTTTAGATAACAATTCTACACAATCTCTTCCAGAAAATAAAGGAGTGGAATTGCTTAATTCAGTTCATAAAGGCATTATTACCCTAATACAAAAACCAGACAGACAGTACAAAAAAAGAAAATTGGCCAGGCATGGTGACTCACGCCTGTAATTCCAGCACTTTGGGAGGCCAAGGCGGGCAGATCACCTGTGGTCAGGAGTTTAAGAGTAGCCTGGCCAACATGGTGAAACACTGTCTCTACCAAAAATACAAAAAATTAGCTGGGCATGGTGGCGGGCACTTGTAATCCCAGCTACTTGGGAGGCTGAGGCAGGAGAATCCCTTGAACCTGGGAGGTGGAGGTTGCAGTGAGCCAAGATTGCGCCATTGCACTCCAGCCTGAGCAACAAGAGCGAAACTCTGTCTCAAAAAAAAAAAAAAAAAAAGAAAAGAAAACGAAAAAAAAGAAAGAAAATTACAGACCAATTTTCTTCATAAATGTAGACATAAATCTTCTCAACAAAATATTAGCCACGCAAGTTCAGCAAGGTATAAAAATAATTATACATCATGACCAAGCAAAATGTATTCTAGGTATGCAAGACTTGTTCAATATTCCGAAGTCACCCAATGTAATCCACCATATCAATGAGCTAAATAAGAAAAATCACATGACCATACCAATTGATGCAGAAAATGCATTTGGTGAAATCTAAAATCCATTCATGATGCTTTATAAAATTACAACAAAATAAAAACAGAAGGTAACTATCTCAATTTGATAATGGGCATCTATAAAAACCGTACAGTTAACATCATGCTTAATGGTGAAAGACTGAATGCTTTCTTTCCAAGACTGGGAACAAGGTAAAGATGTCCACTCTCAGTACTGCTATTCAGCATTATACTGGAGATCCTAACCATCATAACAAGAAAAGAAATAAGAGTTATACAATTCAGAAAGGAATAAATAAAATTTTCCCTTTTTGCAGATGACATGGTGGTCTATGTAAAATATGCCAAAGAAGGTACCAAAAAATTCTAGAACTAATACATGAGTTCAGCAAGTTCGCAAGATACAATTTCGACATACAAAAATCAATTTATTTCTACATATTAACAATGAAGACACGGACACTGAAATTTAAAACACAGTATCATTTACAATTGCTCAAGAACTGAAATAGGTGTAAATCTCACAATACACGCACAAAACTTACATGTTAAAAACTATGAAATGCTGGTAAGAAAATCTAAGTAAACAAAGTTCATGCATTGAAAGGCTCAATGTAATAAAATAGTCAATCTCCCCAAATTTATACACAGGTTTAAAGCCATTACTATCAAAATCCTACCAAGATTTTTGTGGATATGGAGAAAATATGTCTATAATTTTTACAGAAAGGTAAATAAATTTGAATAGCTAAAATAAATTTGATAAAAGGAGAAAGGAGAAATCTAATTTTAAGACTTGACCACCTACAATAATAAAGACTGTGTGGTATTTCTGGAGGGATATACACATACATCAATGGAATAAAATTGAGAACCTGGAAATATCCTCACAAAAGAACTGGCCACTGATTTTTTGACAAAGGTGCAAAAGCAATTCATTGGTGGAAGTTTGGTCTTCAGCAAATGGTGCTGGAATAATTGGACATCCATGGGTAAGAAAATGAATCTTGACCAAAGTCTCCCATCTTATACAAAAGCAAACTCAAAATGGACCATGGACTTAAATGTAAAATGTAAAAGAATACAACTTCTAGGAAAAAAAAAAACAAAAAACAAAAAACAGAGATTATTTTTGAAATTTAGTGCAAGGCAAAGGGTTCTCAGACTTGATACTAAAAGGAAATATTAGATCCCACAAATAAGGGGTTGGGCGGAAATGGTGATAATTAATGCATACAAAAATATAGTTAGAAAGAATGGGCCAGGTACGGTGGCTCACGCCTGTAATCCCAGCTTTTTGGGAGGCCAAGGTGGGCAGATCACTCAAGCCCAGGAGTTCAAGACCAGCCTGGGCAACATGGCAAAACCCAGGTTCTACTAAAAATACAAAATTAGCCAGCACAGCAGCATGCATCTTTAATCCCAGCTACTCAGGCGGCTGAGGCAGGCGGAGAGCTTGAGCCCCGGAGGCGGAGGTTGCAGTGAGCCCAGATCGCTCCACTGCATTCCAGACTAGGCGACACAGTGAGACTTTGTCTCAAAAAAAAAAAAAAAGAAAAAAGAATGAACAAGATCTAGTATTTGATAGCACAACAGAGTGAATACAGTTAATAATAATTTAATTGTATATCTTAAAATAACTAAAAGAGCATAATTGGATTGTTTGTAACAGAAAGGATAAATGCTTGAGATGATGGACACCACATTTACCCTGATGTGATTATTATGCATTCCATGCCTGTATCAAAACATCTTATGTACCATATAAATATATACACCTACTATGTACCCACAAAAATTAAAAATTAAAATATATATATTAATAAATTGGACTTCATCAAAATTAAAAACTGAAAAACTTTTGCTCTGTGAAAGACACTGTTAAGAGGATAAAAAGACAAGCTACAGACTAGGAGAATATATTTGCAATATTTGACAAAATATTCCACTTCACACCCACAATGATGGCTATAATAATAAAAAAGAAAAAATAACAAGTGTTGGCAAGAATGTGGGAAAGTGGAAATTATACATTGTCAGTAGGAATGTAAAATGATGCAACCCTTTGTCATACAGTTTGGCAGTCTCTCAAAAAGTTAAACATAGACTTGTCATATGAGCCAGCAATTTCACTCTTAGGTAACTACAAAAGAGATTAGAAAATATATGTCCACACAAAATCTTATACACTAATATTCATAGCAGTTTTATTCATAATAGCCAAAAGTGGAAACAAACCAAATGTCCATCAGCTGACGAATGGATAAACATAATGTGGTGTATCCATACAATGAAATATTATTCAGTCATAAAAAGGAATGAAGTATACTACAACATGGATGAACCTTAAAATTATTACGCTAAGTGAAAGAAGTCAAGTACAATGTATGTTTCCATTTATATGAAATGTCCGGAATAGGCAGATCCATAGTGACAGAAATTGGATTAGCAGTTGCCAGTGGCCAGTTGGAATTGGAAATGGCTGCTAATGTGTATGGGGTTCCTTTATAGGATAATAAAATGTTCTAAAATTAGATTGTGGTCATGGTTGCACAAGTCTTTAAATATACTACAAACAACTGAATTTTCCACTTCAAATGGGTAAATTGTATGGTCTGTGAATTATATTTTAATAAGGCTGTTGTATAAAAACAAAAAAAAAACTAATAAAGACATCTTTAGAGAAATAGCTTATTTTGAACCAACTTCCAGTCCAGTTCTATTTCAAGTACAGCAACCCAGGGTAGACACTGGAGTTCAGATTTCCAAAATGTTATCAAATTTTAGCCATACATTTTAACAAACAAAATCTTGAAAGAAATAATATAAGCATTAAAGGGTGCTAGACACATCATGACAAATGAGGATGATAAGTGAGTATAAGAAGGACTAAGTTAATCTGTAGAATCCCAGGAGTTTACTGGCAATCCCACTTTCTCTAATAGTCAGAGAAAATAAAGACTTAATAAATTGAAAACAGCAAATCTACATTCTAAAATCCAAGTCTCTTACAGATATATAATATTAAGATTCGGAAGAAAATCTAACATGCTTAGGTCTTTATTAAAAATAGAAGTAGGATTTGGATGGAAGAAAGGAAAAGGGAACAACATCAATCAACCATTCATAGTATGTTTAATATGTGCTCAGGTTGAGCAAAGGCAGGGAACAAATATGAACATTTGCTTGAGATACTAAAGGGCAAAAGGAGTCTAGAACCACTTTAATGGTAAATCTGTGTTAAAGACTTCTGTTTACGTGCTTCAAATATATCAATCAAACCTCATTCGACATCTGATAGAAAGATAACATAGGAGCAACCTTGATTCCGATGAGCTATGGGGTATTATAAGCTATACAGATCTATCCTTGTATATAGCGGCAATTTAGTTAATAAAATCATCAAGAGCAGCCTTAAAAGGGAAAGATGTTGGAAAAGGGCAGCACTGCGCTGGAGGTTGTAGTGCTCTCGTTGCCAGGCAGCCACCCTCAGGCCCTCTCTTGTTACCGTGGTGATGTTTGGAGAGCTTACCTAAATACTCTTTGAGATAGCAGCCGAACTCTCCACATCCTTTTAGCACCAACTAGTCATGCCACTTCTTTTCCTTCCTCCCCCACAACTCCACCCACACTCTCATAATCTTATGAATTTGATGAACCTGTATGTGTACCTCCAATGTCCAAGGCTGGAGAATTATGCTAATTTGCCTATCTAGGCAAATGAATGAAAGGACTGTTAAGTGAATGTGATGATAGAAAAAAACAAGGTTCTTCAAACAAAAAAATTGAAATGTTTGGAAGATAATGCAGGATCTGTCCTACCTAACATCAGGGAAAGCCTTATGCTCTGCCACTTATCACACTGTTATCTTGTTCATGTTCATCCCCCTTTCTAGGCCTGAGTTTCTTCATTTATAATAAAAGATAGTTGAGCTATAGAAGTTGTTTTTAAACATTTTGGCCAAACCTATAGTAAGAAATACAGTTTACATCACAACCCAGTATGCACATATACATACATCAAATCTAACACAAAAATTTTACAAAGCAATTCTTACCCTTACTATGTGTGATGTACCCTGATATTTTCTGTGCTGTTATTTTTACGTATTTTTAATTGCTAGTTGTGACCCAATAAATTGACTTCATAGCCTCATTAATGTTTCACAATCCACAGTCTGAAGAACACAACTGTGGGCATCTAATGGCTCCCTATAGTTCTAGCATTCTATCATTTTATGTTATGTCTTTATCTTCCTTTTAGAATAATAGTAACAATAGCTAGTAATTATTGAGCTCTTACTATGTGCCAGGTATTGTTTTAAGCACTTTGCCCATATGAACTAACTTAATTTTTTCAACAACTATGACTACTTTTATTAGTTCAATTTTAAAGATGAAGAAAATCAATGTGGCTTATAGCTGCACCAAATTTAGTGGACAACCAAAATACATTTCATAATGTATTTAAGGTGTTTTGAATATCTTAGAACATTCCATTTTATAAAATTCTGTTTTGCCTACTTTTACCATTTTAAACCCTGGAAGGCACTGTAATAAACCTTCCAGATCTGAGAGGAGAAAAAGATCAATAACCTTAATAATACTCATTACTGGCTTTGAAGGTCATATCCTTTACTTTTTCTATTATTGTGAAATTGATCCTAAAACAGGTGCTTAGTAACGCCAAATCAGAGAGCATTCATACTTTCACAGGTGTGACCACTACTCAAGTAGGCAAATTAATTCTTGGGGAGCTGCACACTATCAGCAGATTGTCAGTAGAGCAATATAAGTCTCCAAATGTGTGCCCACAGTCACCATACATCGTTGTTAGTAGTAGTGTAAAACTAAACATTAGTGCTATTTCTTCCCAATTCCAGTAATTATCCAAATACTAAGCACCACTGCTAATATCCATCTTTCATGAATTAGCTGGAAGGACACAGAATGTGATGAGACAATACTATTAGTCATAAATTTCACTGAGCATATATAGTTTAGGGGCTGCTGATGGAATAGATTTGAAATATTTCAAACACATTCTCCTTTGATAAACAACAGAGATAGTCGACATTTAATGACCCCTACAGTAAATGCAATACAAATCCATAATTTCATTTATTCATTCAACAAAACTATTGAGTACCTACTATATGCTAGATACTTATTTTGCCACTGGAGATTCTGCAGTTTACATAACAAAGTACCTACACTCAGGCAACTTATTTTATGTTTGGTAAATTTGGATTTTTGTATATTGCATTTGTTTGTTTATGGAAAGCCACACTTGTATATTCCCTTTGGTAGAGAGGCACTGGGAATTATATGTTTTACTTATTTAAAATATTTGAGTGCCTTTTATGCATAGCAGTAGTGAAAGAACAAATCAGTTTCTGCTTTCGAAAAGTTTAAGATCTAGTTAATGCAGATCATAATCGGGTGTTCCAACTTGTAGCGACTTTGCTACCCCAGGGGACATTTGGCAATGTCTGGAGATATTTCTGGTTCTCACAACTGGAGGGGGAGGTGCTACAGGTATCTAATGGGTAGAGGCCAGAGATGCTGCTAAGCATCCTACAGTGCACAAGACAGCCCACAACAAAAAACTTTCTGGCCCAAAGAATCAAGAGTGCCCATGTTGAGAAACTCTGAGTTACGCATACATTAAGTTTTTTTTTTTTAACTGCAAGTATTAGATGATAAGTATCAAATGAGTGATACAAGGTGATACAGAGAAGAGAAAGATTATCCTAGACTGAATTGGTGAGGGGAGGCATCATGAAGGAAGTGGGGTTCAAGACTAAGTGTCATGTCACTCCTTTGCTCATAATAGAAGAAACCCTGCTACCTCTCTGACCTCACCTCCTACCACTCTCCCCCTCGCCCCTCCACTGCGGCTGATTGGCTTATGCATTTCCTTGAAAATATCAAGTATGCTTCTGTCTCATGGAATTTATTCTTCTTGTTTTCTCTGATTCAAGTGCCATTCCCCTAGATATCCACATAGCTCACTTCCTCACTTCCTGCACATCTCTGTTCTGTTCAGTCTCTTACTAGAGAACCTTTCTGTAATCATACTTTTTATAAAATATTAACTCCTGTTCCCTCCACTTTATTTCCCCTTACTATGTTTTTTGGTCTCCCTAGCAAGGCTATACCCTGCCCAGACCAGACACTCAAGAAATCTGTATAGAATGAGTAAATTAGTTAAGTATTAATAACGGCAGGGCTCTTTAGCCCAAGCAATGAGAAGAAACTTGAGGGAAGGACCCTGACTACAGTTATCCCCAGTGGCCTAAAACAGTGCCTACCTCATATAGAGACTTCATAAATAGTGAATAAAGAATGATAAAATAGAGAGCCAAAGGAAATTAGTATAAACAAAATCAGCTCATAACCATCTTAAAAAGTATTCTTAGAACAATTACTCCCTTCTATGTATACTGGATCTAAGTACATCTATTAAATATTTTATCCTTAATTTTTACTATTCTTATCAGCTTTTTCACTTTACATTCGTTCCTGATATATGCCTTGCATTAAACAAACAAACATTAAACAAAGTTTCTGAAATCTCTACCCTAGATGTATATTAGGCCAGGTATTATATTAAAACTAGCTGCATTTTAAGAAGTCTAATCTAAAGGCAGCCCTTTACAAGCCAGTTCTAGTTTTCTATTTTCATTTGCACTTAAACACTAATTCACCCACCCTACACTCAGGGAGCCACTACAGATAATTATGCTAATGCTAATCGCAATAGCAGCTAATGTTTACTGAGGACTTTTTGTGCTAGAGTCTGTCCTGGAGGCTCTGCATAAATTATCTGGTTTTGTTCATACTACAGGAAACCCATGTTATAACATTAACATATGTTAACCAACTCTAAATTACTTTCTGTTCCTGGCCCAAAGCCCAAACCCCCAAATCCCTGAGCTTTGACTCTGCACCCTGATTCTTGCCACTTTCTCTTTTCCCTTGCCTCTAGGCATCCTCCTTTCCAGGGGACCACAAGCGCTCTCCCCCTCCCTCTTTGAGAACCATGACAACCACCGATTCCCCCTCCCCTTCCCCTGTCATCCCTCCCCCAGACGGCAACCCGGCGGGCACAAGGTCGGACGACCTGCTACGTAACTCGCGCGTGTGACTGCCTAGTAACAGTGTCTCGAGTCGGAAGCGCTCGGAGCGAGGGGCGGGGTGGGAGAGCTGGCGCGCGCACGCGTAAAGTCTTTGCAGCCTCGCTACGGGGCGGAGTCTTGCCTGTCAGCAGGGGCAGAGTAGCGATCGTCGCCAAAGCGCGCGGTTTTATTTCTCTCCGCTTTGGACGGGGCAAACTAGCTTTTGGGAGTGAAGCGGGTACGCAGTTATCCAACAATGTCTGGTGAGTCAGGACAGCCTGAGGCTGGTCCCTCACATGCAGGGCTAGATTGGCCGAACCCTGAGAGGAATCGGGCTGGGGTCCCGGGAGGGGTGATCCGAAGAGCTGGTTCCCAAGGGCCCAGGTCCTGGATCCAAAAGGTTCTTGAGCAGATTATGGACTCACCTCGCCAGTGTGTCACCCCCTCGGAGGTGGTGCCTGTAACTGTGCTGGCCGTCCAGAGGTACCTGTTAGAGGATGAGCCACGCGACACGGTGCCCAAGCCTCCCCTTTATTGCTATGATGTGACGATCTCAGATGGGGTGTACCAGGAGAAGTGCTACCTGGACCCCAGCTTGAACTCTCTCGTATATCAAAATATTCTTAAAGTTGGCATTCAAATGAGAATTTCCAGGGTCTCATGTCTTTACAATGAGAAAAGGATAGGCCAGGGGATCCTGTGCATAGATAACGTCCACTGTGGGGAGACTTCAGACAGTATTTCTTTAGAAACTCCCTTCAGAAATAGAGCGCACCAGGAGAAACCAGAGAGGCCTTTAAGAGGCGGGAAGAGTCATTACCTGGCGCTGTGGAATAACGAAGATCCCTATGGAGATATCTGGTTAACAGACAAGCAACCTGAGGAACACAACTTTAGCGGTAAGTGTTTGGAAAGAACGGCAGAGGGTTTTAAAAAAAATAGTTTTCAGGAGCTTGCGTGAACGGGAAAGGAAATGAAAATGCTTTTGTATTGTTAATTACAAGCCAGGAGTGGTAGGTAGACAAGTTTTCTTAAATGACCAAGGGATGCTCAATGAAATTTGCACAGCCAGTGGTTTTTGTTGGTGTTTTTTGTTTGTTTGTTTCTTTGATTGCAAAAGTGGCCAATTCAGGAAGTGTGTTTGACTACATCTTAAAATTCAGTCTGGCAAACGTACTGATGTGGGAGTCAGTATTCCTCATACGTTCGTTACATGTTTGATTGTGGTGGAATTAATCTTAGTTTTATTCCCAATCCAGTTGTGGAAATAGTACGTTGTGTCGGTTGAAGAGCTTATAGATTTGAATTTAGCATAAAGGTTGTAAAAATTTGCGGGTTTGCATGTTTTAATCTTCATTCAAAAAGGATGCTCCGTGATGTATTCCTTAATACTTTACATTGATTGAAACGCCGTGTAACAGTTATGTAAATATCACCTTTTAACGGTGTGATTTTTATGGGAAGGCTTGACATTCTCATTTTCTTGTTTCTTATTACTCACCACAAAGAGTACTGATCTGGGAACTTCAATTTTTCTGTATCAGAAGTAGGAAGTTAGCTTGAAAACACTAGCTTGCCATCAGCAACTGCTCTAAAATACGTTTTTTTTCTCTAACAGATGAAATTAAGGGGAATGATAGTACTGTAGGCATGAACACGTTTGAAATGGGGAAAGAAATAAAATGCAAAAAATAAAATAAGAGAAAGTACTGGAAGGAGAAAGACTATAATTTTCTACATTACTGCTTTTCAGTCCCTTTTACAATGTTGTCACAATGCTAAATCACGGATAATCTTACTGTGACGTGTAAGAGCAACAAACTTGAAAGTAAAAGAATAACTAGCTCAAAAACCATGCAATTATAGTCACATCCAGTTGTAAGGAAAAAAGATGTTATAGAAATGTGTAGGTAAGGATATTTTAAATAACTAAATTTTAAAAAGCAAGATAGCTATTTCAGGGATGAAAAAATGGAGTGATTTTATCTCAAGTGTGAAATAAGGCAGTAGTGCATTACTACTCTAAATGTTGATCACTTTAATTTTTAGAATTGAATATGTAAATGAAAAACTGGTGCCCTACAAGAAAAGTTGAGGGGATTAATACTTTGTAAAATGTATTTTGTCGTAATATCTATTCATTCATTAAAACCATATTTATAATACAAAAGGCAATGTCTGTATGCCAAAATAAAACCCAATCTGTATATTTGAAAGTATATTGTGTTAGAAATATACCACCAAAGTATAGTAAAATGTTAGTGATAAAATCTAGGAAGTGGGCATATTGATGTTCACTGTAAAATTTATTCAGTTTTGCTATATGTTTCAAATTGTTAATAATAAAATATTAGGGAGAAGTGAAAGACCTCTTTCACCTTCCCTAGTGCCTTCACCTTTCTTCTAAAAATCTCAAATTGTCAGCAGTTTGTTGTGTATTTTTTTAAAAAAAAGGAATTAATGTCGCATTGTGTGATTTGCTATTTCCACTGAACACATCTCAGGCATCTTTCATGTACATCTGTACATACAATATTCCATAGCATGGGTGTGCCATAATTTCTATAATCATGCCCATGTGAATAGGTAATTTGTAGTTTTAGGCACTTATTAGTGTTTTAGTATTACATACAATGATAAGCATCATTAGAATGTACACATATTTTTGTTTACTATGTTCAAGCATTGCTGTTGAACGGCTTCCTCTGGCGAAATTGCTGGCTTAAAAGGTATTTAATTTTTTTAATTTTGTGGATATAGACAGATCATCTTCTGAAAAGGTTGTACTAATTTACATTTACCAACATACATATGAGAATGCCCATTTCCCCATATCTTACTATTTTTAAATACATCTTTTGACATTTTTCTAATTAATTTATAGGATTCCTTTGCTAATGGGTATTAAAATTTTGTCTGCTATATACTGCAAATTATTTTCTTTCATTCTGTTCTTTTTCTCTTAACTTTGTTTATGGCACACGTTTGTGCTTTTGAAACTTTTCATTAAAGTTTACCTTGTACACAGTAAAAAAAAAAGGTTTTAAAAATACAGCTTGATAAATTTTCACGTACATATACCTGTGTAACCATCACCCCCCTCCCTTTAAGATATAGAACATTTCTGTATCTTGTTACCCCAAAAGTCTCCCTCATGCCTCCTCCTGGTCAGTACCCTATCTGAAGGGTAACACATATTGTAACCTCAAATATAGCTTTTAAAAATAGAAGTTAGCCTGTGCCACACCCTCCTGCCTAAATCTCTCAGGTGGCTCCCATTGCATTTAGGCAGCAACCCAAACTCTACCGGGGTCTGGAAGGCAGGCCGTACTGCGGAGGATGGCGAACTTTCAGTAAAGAGCCAAACAGTAAATCTTTTTGTCTTTCCAGACATGATCTCTGTCACAACCATTCACTTTTGCCATTGTATATGGAAAGCAGCCACAAGCGGTATGTAAATGAATGGGTCTGGCCGTGTTGCAATAGAACTTCATTTACAAAAACAAGCAACAGGCAAGATTTGGCTTGTGGGCTGTATAATTTGCTGACCCCTGCCCTACAGAATCCCTTACTCACCTCTCGAATCTCTAACCCCCCTCCTCCACCATTTTGTTCTAGCAACCAGCCTTCTTTTTGATCCTCAAACCTCCAGTCTTTTTCCTGCACTTGCTTTTTCCTCTTTCTGGAAAGTTTCTTCCCATCTTCCAGTTTCAGCTCAAATAAAAACATTTTAAAAGTGCCTTTTAAATAAATATTTCCTCCCCCATTTATTCTTATTATACCACCTTGCAAATGATCTTCATAGAATCATAGCATTCTGAAATTATTTTCTTTAGCTGTTTTTCTTTCCTCTCTTACATTTTTATAAGATCCACAACTCTTTTTTTTTTTCATTTCTGTGGGCCATATCTTACAGCTAGAACAATGACTGGCACATAGTAGGCATTCAGTATTTGTTGAATAAAAGAATGAATGAAATAAATTGATGTTTTTACTAATGTTGAGCCACTTTTGAATTCCCACTTGGTCACGATTATTTTTACATCTGTCTAAGTGAATTTGGTCTACAGATTTGGTTTTTATTTTTGTTTTTTGCAGGGAGAGTACTTTTTCAATGCAATTTTTATATGGCGTTAATATTAGCCTAGTGGAATGAGTTGGAAAGCTTGCCCGTCTTTCTGTACTTACAGAAATTATATGTTCCTTAAAGACTTAGTAAAATTCCTCTCTAAAACTATCTGAACCTGTTGTCTTGGGCCTGGATTGGGGGTTGTGGGGGGATGCCTCTTTTTCAATTTCTTTTAGAAAAAGTGATTAAACCAATAATGCTTTTTCAAGAGCCCATTTCTGAGAGTTGGTAATTCACTAGGAAAACTCATTTCACCTAGATCTCAAAGTTGTACGTAGTAATCTATGTTTTTTGACCTATCTTGTCAATCATGACTCTTTTCACAATCCTCATGTTTGTGTGTTCACCTTTTCTTATGGTGAGCCTTGCCAGAAGTTTATTAGTCTTATTGTTGGTGTTTTTTAAGACACTTGGTTTTACTAATAACAAAATCTATAATGAGGAGATGTTTTCTACTTAATTTCTGCTATTATCTTTAATTTCTTTTACGTACTTCCTTTGTTCATATTTTTCTTGTACTACTTTCTTGAGTTAAATGCTTGGTTCATATATTTCCTTGTTTATTTCTTCCAAAAGCATTTAAAATTCTGAAATTTCCCATGGATATTGCTTAGGCTGCATCCCCCAGGTTTGGAAGTATAGAGATTTTATTGTTACTCGTTATTTATATTTTCTTATTTTATCTTGTTTTATTTTGTATTTATGCATTATTGAATTATTGTAATCACTTTTGAAATAATTACACTCCAACCCAATGGTTTTTCTTTAGTGTTTTCCATCTTTCAAATCCATTAAAAAAATGACAAAGCTGATTTAAACAACCATGTCGGAAACTAGATGTTGTGATAACTTAATGTGCATCAATTCATTTTGATTATATACTTTCATTACCGTCCTGTATTCTATTTAGCCTTTTGGAGTCTAAATTTCACTGATATTTTCACTTTTGGGGGTCTTCTCTGCCATTTCAAGTGATAATTTTACAGAGATGGTAATATCTTTAAACCCCTCTCTTTTATTTTCTTGGCTTGCAATTGGCATTTCTTTGTTTTTTTTGTGTGTGTGGGTTTTTTTTTTTTTTTTTTTTTTTTGACAGAGTCTCATTCTGTTTCCCAGGCTGGATCACTGGCGTGATCTCGGCTCACTGCAACCTTCGCCTCCCGGGTTCTCCAGCAGCGATTCTCCTGCTTCAGCCACCTGAGTAGCTGGGACTACAGGCACACCACCACACCTGGCTAACTTTTGTATTTTCAATAGAGACGGGGTTTCACCATGTTGGCCAGGCTGGTCTCAAACTCCTGACCTCAGGTGATCCACCCACCTCAGCTTCCCAAAGTGCTGGGATTACAGCCGTGAGCCACTGTGCCCGGCTCTTTTTTGCTTCTTTAATCTCTGAAAGTTCAGAAAAAGCTTATTTATTAGGTTTAAAGTTTATTATTATACCAGGTTTTTAAAAATGTAATTCACATATTCCAGATCCTTATTTTTAATCTACTTTATTTGCCCATTTCTCAGAGGAATATTGGCTTCTCTCTATGATGATAGTTGCATTTATTTCTCCTTATATTTCTAAAAGGTTTTGCTTTAGATGTTACTATAACGTGTGCAATTTCATAACTGATTAATGTATTATTGTTGAGTTTTACACTTTATCAATATGGAATTTGCCTCTTTGTACCTTTTGCCTTGAATTCTATTTTCCCTAATAGTAATGTTTGCCACTTCCACAGTCTTTTTGGTAGCATATTAGGACAATGATACTCAAATGTGAGTAGGCATGCATATCACCTCAAGAGTGCCAGTCAGAAAAATAACTTAAGTGCTTCCTTACTCTAAGAATTCACAAATAATATCAAGAAACACTGCAAAAAAATGGATGGGGCAAAAATGAGCAATGGGAATTGGAGACAAATAAGCATCCCGGTGCTAACAAGTTCAAATTACACTTACAAAAATCAGAGAAAAAAAATTTATGCAGAAAAAAAGATTTGGAAAAGGTTGCAAAGATAAAGAATACACCAAAACTTAAAGAAATTATTAAGGCAGTATGTTTCAAATGTTGAAGCAAAAAAGAAATGCCAATTGCATGCCATGAAAATAAAAGAGAGGGGTTTAAAGATATTACCGTCTCAGTAAAATTCTCACTTGAAATGTCAAAGAAGACCCCAAAAAGCTAAACAGAATACATGAAAGTCATGAAAGCATATAATCAAAATGAATTGATGCACAATAAGTTATCACAACATCTAGTTTCCAACATGATTGTTTAAATCAGTTTTGTCGTTTTTTTTAATGGATTTGAAAGACGGAAAACAGTAAAGAAAGGCCGTTAGGCTGGAGTGTAATTATTTAAAAAATGACTACAGTAATTCAGTAATGCAAAAATACAGAAATAAAACAAAATACAGATTGCTGACCACCATTCCCAGTGTATGATTCATTAGGTCTGGGGTAGGGCCCTAGAATTTACATTTCGAACATGTTCACTGATGGTAACAATGCTATTGGTACAGAGACCACACTTTGAGAACCACTGGCAAGCCGGTCACGGTGGCTCATGCCTGTAATCCTAGCATTTTGGGAGACCACGGCGAGCGGATTGCTTGAGTTCAGAGTCCATGTTGAGACCAGCCTAGGTCCAGACCAGCCTAGACCAGCCGAGGCAACATGGCGAAACCCCATCTTTAATAAAAATACCTTAGCCGGGGCATGAATTTGTGCCTGTAATCCCGGCTACTTGGTGCAGGGGTGGAGTCGGGGGAGCCTGAGTCCGGGAGGTTGAGGCTGCACTGAGCCTTGATCATGCCACTGCACTCCAGCCTGGACCAAAAGAGTGAGACCTTGTCTCAAAAAATAAAAAAAGAGAACCACTGGCCTTAGTGTATGCTTGTCCATCCCTTTATTTCCATTTTGTTTTAGGGTTGTCTCTTTTAAAAAGTATATAGCTAAGACTGCCTTTTGATCCAAACCAATTATTTTTCTTTTAAGAGATCAATTTAATTTATCTAAATTTAATGTGAATAATGGTGTTTGTACCTGTTCTTGAAATTCTACTTTATGTTTACCATATGCCACCTTATTTTTTTTTTTTACTTTTGCGGGATTAAAATTTTCTTTTTCTTCTAGTAGTTTGGAAATCATACATTGTATTTGTATTCTCCTAGTCTCCTAGTTGTTACTGAATGTTTTTTTAAAAAATTTTATGGGTACATAGTAGGTGTAGATATATATGGGGTACATGTATTAATGTTTTAACAAAATTATTTAAACTTACATTTCTGTTTCCGTCTCCAGAATTATTCAAAATATATAATACACCCCTACTGAATAAGAGAAGATATTTAGGACTCCACTTGATCATGGCACAGTTGTCTTTGTGCATGCTTCTAAATAAGTATTGTATTTAGGGTTTTTGCCATCATAACTGATTTTTGGTTTATAGTTTTCTTTCTTGTACTATTTCTGTTGGAATTTTTCAGGATTGTTCTAAGTTTATAAAGCAAAGTGGTACAATTTCTATACTTTATTAGGCTCTGGGACAATTTATAGCTCAGGGAAAGAGCTGTTCTTTGAAATTTGTTAGAATTTTCTTATAAAACAATGTGAACCTGCTGCCAGTTTTGGAAGCCATCATTCATAAACTTTTTTCATTTTCTTCCACGGTTAAGGACCTAGTTTGGTTTTCTTTTGCTTCTTATGGCAATAATGGTAATTCATATTTTTCTAAGAAATTATCTATTTCACTGATCTTTTCAAATTTATTGATATAAAATCATACATAATAATCTTTTAACAATTTTTATTTGTGTGTATATTTGTTTACATTCTGAGTATTACATTTTTGTTTTCTTTTTCATGATTAGACTTGCCAAAGATTTACCTTTTTATTAATTTTTCCAGAGAATTGAATTTATCAATTCTATTTTTTATTGTGGTATAGTGTTTTCTGATTCATTATTTTTAGCTTTAATTTTTATTCCTTCTGCATTCCTTAGATTTATTCTTCTGCTATGATTTTTACGGTATGGTCCAGGGACCTCTAGTGGTGCCCCAAGACATTTTCAGAGGATTCATGAGGTCAAAGCTATTTTCACAATACTAAGGCTTTACTTACCTTTTTTCACTCTTATGCTCTCGCAAGTGTACAGTGTAGTTTTCCAGGGGCTAAATGACGTGTGACATAAAAGCAAACTGAGTATCAAAGAAGATATGAATATCCACCTGTCATTTATTAAGCTAGATACTAACAAGATTTGCAGAAATGCAAAACAATGCCACGCTTCTCACTACATTATTTTTTGGTTTTGGAAAATATAGTCATTTTTCAAAAAAAATGTTATTTATAATTATACATATCAGTTTATTATTGCTATTTTTAATGAATTGATCATTTAAAAAATTCTTAGTCTACTTTATAGTACAGTAAAAAGCTCTTCAGGATGGGCACGGTGGCTCACGCTTGTAATCTCAGCACTTTGGGAGTCTGAGGCAGGCGGATCACTTGAGGTCAGGAGTTCGAGACCAGCCTGGCCAACATGGTGAAACCCCGTCTCTACTAAAAAATACAAAAGTTAGCCGGGCATTGTGGTGCATGCTTATAGTCCCAGCTACTCAGGAGGCTGAGGCAGGAGAATCACTTAAACCCGGGAGGTGGAGGTTGCAGTGACCTGAGATCACACCACAGCACTCCAGCCTGAGCAACAGAGTGAGACTCCATCTTAACAAAAGAAAAAAAAATAGCTCTTCAAGATCTTCAATAATTTTTAAGAATGTATAGGGATCCTGAGACCAAAACATTTTGAGAATCACTGTTCTATTGCATATTGAATAACCAGTTTATTTTCATTATTTCTTTTTTGATAATGAACACATTTATTACTATGAATTTACACAAATTCTTCATTGTCTGTAAACAGCCTCTAATTCTTTTTTAGATTTGAGAGATAAAATGTGTATTCCATGAAGTTTGTGAGTTAAAAACTCTAACTGGGAAAAATGTTAACCAGAAAGATGTCTGATTACAGCTAACTCTCTGGACCTAATTATAACAGAAACAGAGGCTCTTAGAACTCTGCTTTTACAAAACTATGTAGCTCTTGAATTTATTCCAGACAATAAAGGAGCTCTATGTGCCTTTATTGATCAAGAATGTTCCATGTACATCCCAGACAACTCAAAGCTGATCTGAGATTCGTCTGACGTTAAAATGAAATCACTTAATTATATCAGATCAAATGTTAGGACCTGTGATCCTGGGATAGTAATCTATTGGGAGAATCTGGAAGGAAAATTACAGAGTATCCTAATACTAAAAATTGTGTGTGTTTTATAGTATAGACATAATTATATAATACCACTTAATCCCTTATTAAAAAGAAATTACAAGTGTGATTTTTGTGTCAAAAATGTTGACTAGGTAAAAAATTATTTGAACAAAGCTAGAAATGAAGGGACCCTTAGCAAAAGAAATACTCGTACTAATGCAGATTCAAGTCTTAATAGTTGAAACTGTGGGCTGTGAGAGAGAAAAATGTGGAGACAATTGCAGGTGGAACCTCTCTTAATCCAAGGAAGAATACATCAGTATTACAAATTAATTCTTTAAGTTGATGAATAGCTTTTTAGCAGTTTTTGAACTTGCCAGCAAGCTTGCAGATAAAAACATTTCTAAGTAAATTATATGGCATATGAGAAGATAGTAAGTGCAATGTAGAAAAGTAAAGTGGAATGGAGGATAAGTAAAGGGGTCAGTTTTTAATAGGATGGTTAGGGATAATATCACTGAGAAGGTGATATTTGAGCAAAACTTGAAGAGAGGAGGGAGAAAGTCATTTGGATATATAAAGGGAAGACAGCAATTGCAAAGGTCCTGATACAGGGCCATGTCTGTCATGTTTGCGGGAGATAGAATTTATACATATGAAACTGAGGTGAAGGCAATACAAAAAATGTGTAATAAAACAATTCTATGGTTTTTTTTTTTTTTTTTTTGAGACAGGCTCTCAATTGCTCAGGCTGGAATGCAGTGGTGTGATCATGGTTCACTGCAGCCTGGCTGCAGTGAGCTCAGCTGCCTGGGCTCAGGTGATCCTCCCACTTCAGCCTCTTGAGTAGCTGGAGCTATAGGCACATGCCACCAGGCCCAGCTAATTTTTGTCTTTTTGGAGAGACATGGGGGTTTTGCCATGTTGCCCAGGCTGGTCTCAAACTCCTCGGCACAAGCAAGCTGATGGTCTTGCCCTCCTGAAGTGCTCAGATTATAGGCATTAGCCACTGCACCTGGCCCATTTCTATAAATTAAATATATAAGTGCTTAGTAATGGGAAAAATATTCCATGACATTGAGGTTTTTTTTTTCACAAAATATCTTAAGGGAGGTGAGTTTAAATCCAGGTTTTCCAGGAAGTTATTAAATGGTTTGGTAAGATGGAGGGCATTCTAGGTGGGACAATGTGTTGGTTAATATAGGTGTTTACCTATGTTCCAGGCACATAGTAAGCCCTATATATATTTCAGCTGTTAATATTAGGGATCAAATGTAGTTTATGAGAGGTAATAGACTTAGCTGGCAAGGTTTAGCTGGCAAGAAGGAGTCACTTTAGGTATGATCAAGCTACTATTTTTAACCATTAAAATAGATCTTTGAAGTTACCATTACATGTTAAACAGGATTTCTTTCCTCTTTTTTATATTCTAGATACCAAAATAATTTCCCTTTCTCATCTTGAAATGACCTGGACTAACAGAAGAAATTTTCCTGCATTGCTTGTGAGGATCTTACATAAATCAAAACTGCGATACTATGGAAAACCTGATAAAAAGATGATTGAACCATATCAGGTACAAGTAATAAGATATCATATGTTAATTTAAAAGTTATAAATTATAGCTTACACACCTCACTCCATAGTATGATAACCTGTTCGTTTAAATAACATTTCATAAGTTCAATGTAATAATTTTTAAATGTACGTAAATGTATATTATAAAGTATTTTTCTGCATAATTTATTGTACAAAAAGAAATTATTTCTGTATTGGTGCCCTTTATTTCCCTGATCCAGGTGGTCTCCTTCCCACCTTTTTATTTTCCTTCAACCTTTTCTTCTCACCTATGCTTTCTGTGCCAATATATAAACATACTCTAGTCTCCCATTTAAAAAAAGAAAAGAAAAGAATCTCCTTTGGCCTTATGACTCTTCTATTCCCTATCTTTCTCTTCAGGTAAGCTTCTTGAAGAAGTAGTCTACACTAGATGTTTTTACTTTCTTGCCTCCCATTTCTCAACACAGTTAGCTTGGCTTTTTTCCTTAGCTTATCATTCACTAGTAACTCTAATTGTCAAATCTGTGTGATACTTCTCTATTGTCTTGACTCTCTGTGCCATATAATGCTCATGAGCTCTACTTTCTTGATATGTTTGTGTTCTATTTTTTTCTTACTTAATATTATATTGTACTTTCCCATGATATCAAGAACTATTTTAGATGTTTCATTAAACTTTTATTATGAAAGTTATACATGCTTATTGTAGGGAATTTGGAAAATGTAGAAAGCTGTTTGAAGATCTTACCACTCAGAGAGAGCCACTGTTAACATGGTGTGTTTTATTCCCTTTCTTGTGTGTGTAAATCACATATATACACATATACAAGCATATCATATATATATATACATACACATATCTATGATATTTAATCATATATATCACATATATGTGCATATGTAGATGTATTATATATTTCATGTGAGTGTGTATATCATATATCACATTACATTATTTTACAAAATGGGAACCATATTGTGCATACAATTTTGTGTCGTTTAACATTTTCTTAAATATTTTCTCATATCACTAAAAATTCTTCATCCATAATACTTTACAGTTATATATTTTTAGCACATTCTATCATAAATTATTCAGTCATTCCCCGATAGTTTTTTGCCTTCTCATTGTTGCAATACTTTCCTCCCTGATTTTTTAACTCCGCTTATTTGTTGCCTTCCTACCTCTTTGTGCCTCCATCATTTCGCCCTTGCTTGCCTCTCCAGTCTCATCTCTTCCTGAGCTCTCTATGCTTCATACTAACCAAATTGCCCTACCTGGAATGTTCTAACAGTAACCAATTGTTTTCTACCTTTCATACCTCTGCTCACGTTGTTTCTTCTGCCTAGAATCCTCTTCCTCTCACTTCTCATCAGATTGGCAAAGCCATCTTTAAGATTCAGTTCAGTGCTTACCTCTGATTTAAGTCTTTCCATGTATACCCATATGCCTAGTCACTGGGAGAATCAACTACATGCTACTCAGGACCCCACTATATGCCCTTACATAGGTCTATCAGAGCATGCATAACCCAGTTACACATACCTGTTAATAGATTTGCTAATCTTACTCTACTGTGCGCTCCCTGACTGTAGGGAAGAAGTATCTAACAGTGCTTAAGAGTGCATGCCCTGTGGTCATATGAACTGAATTCAAGTTTCAGCTGTTTACCATTTCTTACCTTTATGATGTAGGGAAAATTATTTATCCTTTTAAAGCCTCAGTTTACTCATCTGTAAAATATGGATACTAATTGTACTTACCTTACAGGATTGATGTGAGGATTGAATTAGTAAAGGATTTACCTATGTTCCAGGCACATAGCAAGTCCTATATATATTTTAGCTATTATTATTAGGTACAATGTTTGATTCATCTCTGCATTCCAGGGCCTAACATAATCTCTGGAATATGGATTCAGTAAATGTTTAATGAATAAAGGAATGAATTACCCAAAATGTATATTCATCATTTAGAGAAAGGGTCTGAGAATATAACATCATTATTTAAGAAGAAATTAAGAATTAGAAAACACTTTACGGACTGCCTTTTAGGCCCAACTGAAGTTGTCTGTCACTGTATTTTAATACTGAGAAAAACTCCAAATACTTTCCACCTCAATACATTTCTCTATCTCTAATCTTTAGATGATCAATATTAGCAAAATTGACAACTGAATCATTATTAATAAATAATTAAAATTTAGATGTTATTTTCCATCACTCTAAATGATCACAAATAATATGCTATATATTATCTGTACAGATAAAAGTGACAAATATGTATGTGCTTTTACTCATTTTCTTTCTAGACCTTTTTGGAAGTTGCTGACAGTTCAGGCACAGTGTCAGTGATTATGTGGAATGCCCTGTGTCCTGAGTGGTATAAAAGTTTGCGGGTTGGTTTAGTTCTTCTGCTTCAAGACTATTCTGTTAAAAAGAGTTATCCATTCAGAATACAGCCTGTCCCCGTGGATCCACAGATCAAACTAATTTCTACAATGGGTTAAGTATTCCATGAATTTGTTGTCTTATCGCTGTTTTGTTTATATAAATTTGCAATGTACCATATTAGGAAAAAAGACCACAAAAATTACTGAAGCTGTTAGAACCTATGAAACCTTTAAATTTATTTGTCCATAAAATTTTCAAGCAATCACATAACCTAATAAATATACCTATTTATTATTTTATTTATTAAGAAAAATTATCTGAGACATTTATTGTTGATTGAAGAATGAGCTCCACTTGGATTGTACTTATTTTGTTTTATTTTATTTTTGGTCATATAATATTAAGTTAATAACGAATATATTTTGCACTTACTAGTAGGTGCTATCTAAAAAGAACTTCTGTTAACTTTTTGAAATAATTTCAGACTTACATAAAAGTTGAAAGAATGGTATAGAGAACTCCCATATACCCTTTACGCATATTCAACAATTACTAGCATTTACCTTTGCTTTATCATTATATATCTCTCTTCATACATATACATATCTTTACACACACACACACATACACACATATGTATGTATATATATTCCTTGTGATCCAGTAAGAGAAAGTGGCAGCCATCATACATACCCCTTTAAGCCTAAACACTTCATTAATATTTCAGTGTATATTTTCTAATAACAAGAGCATTCTATTACATAATCTGAGTACAATTACCAAAATCGGGAAATTTAAAATTGATACAATACTAATACCTAACCTATAGTCAGTATTCAAATTTTGCCAATTGCTGCAATCTTGAAAGGGCTTTTCCTAGTTAGTATTGGTATATTGACATCACAAATATTTTTGGACCATTAAGATTAATATATTAAATAATTGTTTTTAGATATGACCGTGATTTTTTCACTTTCATTTGTAAGAATTGTAGATTACATTGCTTAAGTTTAAATATTGTTTTTGGTTTATAATACCTTTATTCTGAACCTGAATTTCTGTGTATTCTAAATTCCCCAGCTAATCCATTAAGCTTAATTACTTAGAGAATATTCAGATAAAGGTAGCAGTTGTTCATTGTTTTCTTAAACTTGTGTTTATTTGCAAAAACCTTATATGATTATTTATTAAAATCTTAAGCGTTTTGCAGACATTGGTCAGATCTTGCTAGATGAAGAAGTTATTACCTAGGTAGTCTGGTACACACAGTCTATTACCTCATTAGTTTTTGCTATAGAAAGGTGAGGAACTAAACTGATAGAGATATTGTGACTTACTAAGAAAACACAGTAAAAGTTGGCAAGAGGACGCTGATTTACAGCATGCTACCTCTGCTATATAGAATTATAGGACCAGATTTTCATAATGGAAACTCTCTAAGGTATGAGAAATTATTTATGCTTTCAAGTAAGTAATTGCAGATACAGAAATTATTTTTATAAATGATAGCCTTGGTGATAATATATTTTAAATGTACCTTTTGGTCTTTAAAACAGTTTTACTTCTTAGTAATGTTAGCGTTGGTGATAATATATTTAAAATGTACCTTTTGGTCTTTAAAACAGTATTACTTCTTATTAATGTTAGCAGCAGTCTCTATTTTCTTCCTTATATTTTTGATAAGTAACAGGACTTTTGCCCTCTTTTTTTAGGAAGCAATAGACTATTTCTGTAAAGCACCAAGTAGTAAATATTTTAGGCTTTGCAGGCCATATGGTCTCTGTTTCAGCTTCTCAGCTCTGCCTTTGTAGACTGAAGGCAGCCATATGTATGTAAAGGAATGTATATGGCAATATTCCAATAAATATTTATTTACAAAAACTTGCAGCCATCTGCAGCCTGTAGTTTGCCTAGCCTACATGTGTAAGTGGATTACAACTCTGGCTGTATATTGAAATCACTTGGGGAGCTTTAAAGAGCCACTGGTGCCCCACCCTCAGAGATTCTGATTTAATTACTCTGAGAATGGGACCAAGGCATTGCTATGGGTTTAAATCTCCTCAGCTGATCCCAAAGGTACAGTCAAGGTTGGGAACTATGGCTTTATGATCTTTAAACATTACCTGCATGAAACTGACTAATGATCTTTTTATCCTAGCATTTTCTTTATTTTTAATTGACAAATAATAATAAAATATATTTATGGGGTCTAGTGTGATGTTTTGATCTGTGTATATACATTGTAGAAAGACTCAATCAACATATCCATCACCTTACCAAATTGTCACTTTTTGTGGTAAGGACATTAAGAATCTATTAGCAATTTTGAAATATATAATACATTATTATTAACTGTAGTCACCATCCAATGCGATAGATCCCTAAGACATTTCTGCAATCTGACTGAAATTTTGTACCCTTTGATCAACATCTTGTTTTTCCCTATCCCTCCCCACTCACTCCCCAGCCTCTGGTAACCATCTTTCTACTCTCTTTTTCTATGAGATTGACTTTTTTAGATTCTTGGAGAACATTATGCTAATTGAAATAAGCCAGGCACAGAAAGACAAATACTGTAAGATCTAACTCATAAGTGGAATCTACAAAGCTGATCCCATAGAAACAGAGTAGAAAGGTGACTATCTTTTTTATTGTTTTTATTTATTTATTTATTTATTTTTTGAGACAGAGTCTCACTTTGTCACCCAGGCTGGAGTGCAGTTGTGCAATCTCGGCTCACTGCAACCTCCACCTCCTGGGTTCCAGCGATTCTCCTGCCTCAGCCTCTCAAGTAGCTGGGATTACAGGCACACGCCATCAAGCCCAGCTAATTTTTGTTTTTTTAGTAGAGACGAGGTTTCACCATGTTGGCCAGGCTGTACTCGAACTCCTGACCTCAAATGATCTACCTGCCTCGGCCTCTCAAAATGCTAGGATTACACGTGTGAGCCACTGCACCTGGCTGGAAGGTGATTAGTTATCTTTTAAAGAGAAAAAAAAAGGCAGTTATGTAAATCATGTTAGGCACAGGAGATGCAAAAGTAAGTAATATACAGTCCTACTCTTAAAAATTAGTCTAATGGGGTGACAGCTATGTAAGATAAACAAATTAGAGTAAAATGAAAGACTAATGACAGTAAACCATATTAAAAATGTAATAGACAAAAAGGATAAGGAAATGAATAAAAATGTAATTGAAGAAAGAATGGACAGTAAAGTAGGAGAATGTGTTGCATGGGAGAAAGTGTTAAGCAGAGATTA
This sequence comes from Homo sapiens, assembly GCF_000001405.40. NCBI lineage: Eukaryota > Metazoa > Chordata > Mammalia > Primates > Hominidae > Homo > Homo sapiens. Next base: position 106,628,433 of record NC_000023.11, read on the forward strand.
GGAAAAATATCAGTGGAGTTTAAATGTTCTGAGCATTATAAATGAGAAACAGTATATAGTGGGAGGAGAGTTGGTCAGTAAAGGAATAAGGATTTGTGGTACCATCACTGCCTTCTAGGTGTTCATGTTGGAAGAGAAACTACTGGGGTCATTTATCTTGGTTTATTTTTCATATTTCCACACATAGTTCCAAGTTAGAACTAATATGTGAATTTTTTTTTTTTTTTTTGATACGGAGTCTTGCTATGTCACCCAGGCTGGAGTGGCGTGGTGCAAACTTGGCTCACTGCAACCTTCACCTCCTGGGTTCAAATGATTCTCCTGCCCGAGTAGCTGGGATTACAGGCGCCCACCACCATGCCAGGCTACTTTTTGTATTTTTAGTAGAGACAGGGTTTTGCCATATTGGCCGGACTGGTCTTGAACTCCTGACCTCAAGTGATCCACCCGCCTTGGTCTCCCGAAGTGCTGGTAATACAGGCGTGAGCCGCCGCGCCTAGCCAATGTAATTTTTTTAAAAGACTGAATAAATGGAAATCTATAAAGATGGAAATTCTATTGCAAAACAAAGGATATATTATTTGCTGGATGTGTATGGCTTTGTATATTGAATTTTGTACATTATTCTGTATACCTTTTACAAAATAGTACATAGCTGGCATACACAAATAATACACCCTTTAAAATCTTGAGATTTTTCAGACTGTATTACATAATGCATATTGATTGGATGATAGCAACAAGAATTTTTGATTTTGGCGGGCAGGGGCTATTTCTTTAATTCGGAACCCTAGCATTTTAGAGCTGGAAGGGACCTTGAATATAATTAAGTGATACTATGACAATGAAAGTACTTCGGAATATGCAAACTATGATGCAAGGTAATATTATGTAATACAACTTTGCTTGCTTATATATGAATAGACTGAAACTCATAAAGGTAAAGTGAATATTTCCTTTCACATGACTAGTAATAGGCAGAAATAGAAATAAAATATCTTCATCCTGGTTTAAGCCTTGTTTGCTACACAGAAAGTTCTTAGAAAAATGTAACTAACCAAGAAGAAAAAAGCCCAAATAGCTTTATAACTATTAAAGGAATTGAATCAGAGGTTTAAATTTTTCCCACAAAGAAAATATCAGGCATACATCATATTATAGAGAAATTCTACCAAACATTTAGGGAATATATCATTCTAAACCTATTCCAGAGACTAGACTAGAAAGTATATTCTCAAACTCATATTTTGCTTCCAATATAACCGTGATAATCAAAACCAAACAAGAATAGTATGAAGGAGAAAAATTATAGGTCAGCTTCAGCCACTAATATATAAACATATATATAGATATTCTGAATGGAATATTGGCAAACTGCATCATGTGTAAAAAAAAAATAAGTTCACATACTGTGACTAGGTTGCATTTTTCCTCAGCAATGCAAAATTGGTTTTACATATAAAAATCTGTGTCACCCGCCATTTTTACAAATTAGATAATGAGCATTTTAATAGATACACAAAAAGCTTTTATTAAAATTTTACAACTATTCATTAATTTAAAAAAGAAAATAGCAAGAGAAGGAAACTTCCTTAAACTAAGTAAGGGGGCTGAGCATGGTGGCTCATGCCTGTAATTCCAGCACTTTGGGAGGCCAAGGCAGGAAGATCACTTGAAGCCAGGAGTTTGAGACCAGCCTGTGCAACATAGTAAGACCCTGTCTCTACAAATAAAAAGAAAAAATTATCCAGTTGTGGTGGCATGCACCTGTAGTCCTAGCTACTCAGGAAGCTGAGGAGAAAGGATTGCTTGAGCCCAGGAGGTTGAGGCTTCAATGAGCCGTGATTGCACCACTGCATTCCAGCCTGAGCGACAGAGCAATACCAACAACAACTACAAAAAAACAAACAAACAAAAAAAAAAAAAAACACCTAATAATGGGTATTTACAAAATCAAAACCAAACGGCAAACACAATTCTTAATGGGTAAAAGTTAGATACATTCCTTTATAAAATGGGGAAAATGGATGTCTCCTATTATTACTATTTCTATTTAATGTTGTACTGGCTGTCCTAGCCAGTGTGAGAAGACAAAATGAATTAAAGGTATAAAGGTTTTAAAGAAAGGTGCAAGACTGTTACTACTCGCAAATTAAATTTTATACAGAGAAAAAATAACACAAAGTATTAAAAAAATAGGATTTATTATCCTTACCAAACTAATGCAGGAACAAAAAACCAAATACCACATGTTCTCACTTACAAGCAGGAGCTAAATGATGAGAACACAAAGAGGGGAACAGCACACACTGTGGCCTACTTGAAAGTGGAGGGTGGGAAGAGGGAGAGGATCAGAAAAAATAACTATCGAGTACTAGGCTTAGTACCTGGGTGACAAAATAATCTGTACAACAAACCCCCGTGACATGAGTTTACCTATATAACAAACCTGCACATATGCCCCTGAACCTAAAATAAAAGTTTTTAAAAATAAAAATTAAAAGTAATAAGATATTAGCAAAGCTACAAAAGAAGTCAACTGATTATGTATACTCCAATAATAAAGAGTTAGAAATTATAACTTGAAAACATCATTGACATTGTCAACAATAACTATAAGATGTCTAGAAATAAATGTAAGAGAAGATGTGTAAGACCTGTGTGGAGATGATTATGACACATTATTGGAAGACATTAAGAAAGCCTTAAATAAATAAGTAGAGATAAATAAACTGGGTAAAGATTGTATTTGCCACTACATAATCAATGAAGAATTAATATCCAACATATAAACAACTCTTGCAAATTTTTAAAAGACAATTCAACAATTCAATAGAACAATGGGCAAAAGACCAAGGCATTTCACAGAAGAGAATGCATATATGAACCATAAGTATATGAAATGTTGTTCAATATGATTAGTACTAAGGGAAATACAAAATAGGATCACAACAAATTGTCATATCACTAGATTGGCCAAAAGTACCAAATTTGACCATGTGCAGTGGCTCACACCTGAGACCTAAGTGCTCTGGGAGGCTGATTCTGGAGGAAGCCTTGAGGCCAGGAGTTCAAGATCAGCCTGGGCAACATAAGACCCCCCCATCTCTACCAAAAATTACAAAAATTAGCTGGACATGATGATTCTAGCTACTCAGGAGGCTAAGGCAGGAGGATTGCTTGAGCCCAGGAGTTCAAGGCTGCAGTGAGCCATGATTGTATGATTGTGCCACTACACTCCAGCCTGGGCAACAGAGTAAGGCCCTGTCAAAAAAAAAAAAAAAGAAAGAAGGAAAGAAAGAAGGAAGAAAGGAAGGAAGGGAGGGAGGGAGAGAGAGAGAAAGAAAGAAGAAAAGAAAGAGAAAGAAAGAAGAAAGAAAGAGAAAGAAAGAAAGAAAAGAAAGAAAGAAAAAAGAAAGAAAAAGAGAAAAGAAAGAAAGAAAGTTAGTTGACAATACCAAGGTTTGGAGAGGATGTGTATCAATGGGAATTTTTACACATTGCTGGTAGAAACACAAATAGGCTCATTACTTAAAATGATTAGGGATTATGCTATAGAGCTGAACATTTACATATCACATAATCCAGCATTTTTGCACCTACATATAATACCTTAGAAAAACAGTTGCCTGTGTGCACAGGGAGACACATACAAAAATTTTTAAACAACCCTATGTATAATAGTAAAAACCTGGAAATAATCCAGATGTCCATTAACACAATAATGGATAAATAAATTTTAGTTAATAAATTGTAGTATATTAACACACTGGAACATTATTCAGCTGTGGAAATGACAAGAAAACTGCTACATGCAGCTACATGGATGAATTTTATTAATATAATGTTGAGTGAAAAAAGTAGTCATAAAATGCAGAATATAATTTCACTCATATGAAGTTCAAAAACAAAGCCAAATAGGATTTTGTCTGGGCAAAGTGATAAAACCCTTTTTAAGTTAAAGAAATGATAGAACACAAAGTTCTCAAAGTGTGGTTAAACTTTTTAAACTGTGGTGGAGAGATAAGTGGATGTGATAATGGAGGTAGAAGAACACTGATAATAGTCTAGTTCTTGAGTTTAGTGGTGGGTTCAAAATGTTCAGTATACTATTTTGCTTTTTAATATATATTCATGTATATTCTTTGGTGTGTATTAAATAGCATATTAAAGTAATATATTTATTTTTCAGAAATCTGCCTGAATCTTCGAGATCCCCCAACAAATATAATTATCATTCCAGAAAAGCAGGTGAAACCAGAATGGAGACTGCCAAAGCTAAATCACCGATTTACCACAAGGTAAAATAGTTTCTTGTAAAATGTCTTAAATATTAATCTTCAGTCTTGGTTACTGAAAAACAATGCATTATAATTTGCTCAAAATCTACCCAGAATTAAGCTATAGCAATTATGTAGATATACATTTTCAAAATAATTGTAGAATGCTTTTTCACTGTTTAAAAATAAAATATTAATTTAGTGATTTTACCTTTTTAGGTCAGAACTGGATGATATGCCAGAAAATTGCATCTGTGATGTTATTGGCCTTTTAGTTTTTGTAGGAAGGGTCCAGCGGTCAAAAAAGAAAGGTAAGCTTTTAAAATTGAAAATCATAAAAAGTATTTCAGTGAATAATTTTGTGTTCATATGTATATAACAGTTACCTTCATTTATTTTAATATTCTATCCATATAGAAAACCGTGAAGATTTTTGGTCATATCGCTGGATTCACATTGCTGACGGTACTTCAGAACAACCATTTATAGTGGAACTGTTTTCAACATCGCAGCCAGAAATCTTTGAAAATATTTACCCAAGTAAGCGATTTTTAATATTTTTATATTATGTTTGGAAGTAGGAGAATTAACTTTAAAAATGTAGAGTAAACTGACTTACAGAAGTAGGGTGACATTGAGTTGGCAATTCAAGCAGTCTGACAGCATGTTTAAATCTTTTCTATATTAATATCGTTTTTTATAGACATTAACAACCCGTTGGTTGTCTGTTCAGAATTAACTTGGGATTGAAACCAGTTTTTCAGAAAACAGGTCCTCTTATCAATTCTCATTGTAAAAATTCCACGCATTAAAAAAATCCTTAAATTTCAATAAGACTAAAACATGGGCAGTCAATTCCCTTTTTATACATTTGGAAATTGATTAAGTAGACCACATTAAAGACATCGAAGACTTATATAGCATTAATTGGTAGAAGATTGGTGGACTATGTAATTACATAATAACAATGGTAAGTATGGTTCCGGTCGAATATTAAATTATTCAAGTAAGTTGGTAGTGTTATTTATACCGGCTGGTCAATATTTTACTTTGGCTTACTTTGGCATTGACTTTCTCCCCTGGATTCATTCAGATATAAAAGTATTTTTTCCACTAGTTTTATTTATTTGAAATTATTTTAGGTTTGTCCTATTACATATTACATATAACAGGCTAGTCTTCAGATCTATTATGATAAGGAAAAAAGTATAATACTTTTCAGCAGTTTCAATGAATATTTCCTTATTTAAATTTAGAATATAAAGCTATTGTAGTTAGGGGATGACATTTTATTTTTTTCCAAATAATTACATGAATAAACACTAATTGCTATCTGTGTTAAATGCTTGGCCAACATTGAAGAAACTCCCAATATTTACTACATATATGTGTGTGTGTTTGTATATATCTATCTATCTATCTGTATACATATATATATATTTGAGATGGAGTCTCACTCTGTCGCCCAGGCTAGAGTGCAGTGCACAATCTTGACTCACTGCAACCACTACCTCCCAGGTTCAAATGATTCTCTTGCCTCAGCCTCCTGAGTAGCTGGGACTATAGGAGCACACCACCATGCCTGGCTAATTTTTATATTTTCAGTAGAGACGGGGTTTCACCATGTTGGGCAGGCTAGTCTCGAACTCAACCTCAGGTGATCTGCCCACCTCAGCCTCCCAAAGTGCTGGGATTACAGGCGTGAGCCACTGCACCTGGCCTATATCTATTATTATTACTTTTTTAACCAGCAATAAGATAGACATTGTAGAACACCAAGAGACCTAGACACTATATATAGGGCTGTTCTGCTGCCCCTTTATTCTCTATACAAAACAGTATTATACACCTCTGCTTTGTTAGATTCTACCCTAGGCTTGTGAGATTAAATTTTAAAAATATATCTGAATAGAACCAAACCTCACCCCAATTTATGGGGGATGGAACAGAAAGAGAGTTTCGGCCAAACCAAGGCATGGACTTCCAAGGTGAGTGGGCTATTAACTCTGATATAACTTCTTTTAGGGCATAAGTAATTGGCAGTGATGACTTCTGGTGATAATCCTATTGCCTCAATTTAGGTGGGTTTTATTGCCAGCTTCCTTTTTGTTTGTTTGTAACCACTTTAAACAACAAGCTAACAAGAATTTTGGATAAAGATTTCTCGCAGGAACTTTGCCAAGCACGCATATTGTATTTCTTGTGATAATGTGAAATGTATCCTTCTAAGAAACGTATATTCGGATCTTGGTGAGATTTATTCTAGTATAATAGTTGACAACAGTCACAATTTGTTTTTATCTTTTGACCAAAAGTGAAGGAAAAAATCATTAAATTAATGGTGAGTATTAAGGGGGCTTCAGGCCCAAGAAGGGGAGCATGGCCAAAAGTCTTCAGGAATAATACCAAAATTCTTTGGTAGTATGACTTTTTTTTTCATAAGAAAAGTGAAGAACTAAGGGGAAGTAATGTTGTGTGTTTACCATGTACCAGATGCTTATAGATATTATCTCATTTTGTACTCTCAATTACCTTTTGAAGAGTTGATGTTGTTATAAATTTTCAGGTGAGAAAGCAAACTTCCAGAGGGGTTAAGTAATTTCCTGGATTTCATATAGCTAGGAAGTGTTAGATCTGACTCTCAGATTTTTAGTGGCCATGAATTTAGAATTAGAGGTTTCTTTATTTTTTTCTAAATTTATTTTATTGTTGTAAGAACACGTAACATGAGATCTACTGGCTTAACATATTTTAGAGGTTTCTTTAATATTCCTGTATCAACACCTTTAGCCATTAGTATTCATATGTTTGTAGTTTTTGAAATAATGGAAAAATTAAGATAATTCTTAATATAAATTAAGGTAATTCTTAGCATTTGAACAGATTTTCTTCATTTGCATTGCTACAGAATAAAGAACTTAGTAAATATGAGATGTAGCAAATGAATGTACAGTTGTGCTCTGGAGAAATTTTTATTCTCAAATGAGAAATTACTTTGTGTGATTATAAGAATTTACATTTATTTCTTCATTTCCTAGTTTGTAAAACCGTAAGTGTTTTGACATATAATGAGTTAAAATAAAAAATAATGTTGGATTAATGAAACTATAATAATTAGATAGCCTGTTAGGTAAAAACAATTGATAGTTGTTGAAAGTAGTTGAAATCTGAAGACATTATACTCTCATTTTTAGATATTCTTTTTAGTCTATAAAGTTAGCAAGGTGAAAAGAAAATAAACAGATGATATAAGCCCTGCCATTGGCCTTAAAATCTAATTAAGATAAATACATAAAAGATAAAAAACAGTTGCATAAGCAAATACCAGTCAATAATATATAAGCCCTATCTGGTGGAAGGAGTTAGAGTAATTCAGAGTTTAGTGTTAGTTAGGGTTAGTCAGTGGAAGTATCATGGAGAAACTAAGCTTTTTTTTCTCTGTTGGAAATCACTGTTCACACTCAGGTGTGGGCCCAGTTAAAATGACTTGCACTCTTTATCTGTGCAACAAACAAATGACTTTAGTTAGTTGCAGCTGTTGTACTTTCTTAAAAAAAAGGGGCCTCTCGCAAAAAGCAGAGTAGTGTTAAACCCTTATTGTTCCTAGTGTGGTCCCAGGACTGGCAGCACTAATAATTGCCTAGGAGATTATTAGAAATGCAGAATCTCAGGCCCCACCCTAGACCTACTGAATCTGAATTTGCATTTTAACATTGGTACCATGTGATTTCTTTGTGCATTAAAGTTTGAGAAGCATTGTGTTAGATCCTGATCTTGTTATGTCCTATTTGAAATGGAAAAGTAATTTCATAAGTGTTTTTGTTCTCTAGTGGCATATTTTGTGTGTACACAGTTGAAAGTTGTCAGAAATGACAATCAAGTACCTAAGCTGCTTTACCTCACCACTACAAATGAGAGTGGAGTGTTTATTACTGGTGAGTAATTTCTTTGTGTATATTATTAGAAATATATTTTCTCTTCCCTAGAATCCTTCAGTACATATTAACTTTTATATAATAACATTCAACTACAAGATAGCTTTATTTTGACTTCCTTTATTACTATAAGAGTGTTTTAGCAAAGAATTTTTGGCCTGTGAAATACGTTGCTTATGGATTACTTACGAATGAGGCAATGATTTTGTGACTCAGTGGAAAATTGCATTTATATCCTTCAGTCAACTTTAATTCCTGCTTGGCATAGAATGTAGATAATCATAAATTGCTTGATAGATTGAAGACCTGGTTAGGCCTGGTATCATAATATGGATTCTGTTAACAATATTTTAAAATTCTAAATGAAAACAAAACTGAGTGTCAAATTTTAGCCCCAAGATCTTATGTTTTATTTATATAACAAGAGAGGTCTCATTACTTGTCTGCAAGTATATTGTTTTTCCCTATTCCCTCCAATAATAGGATCAAAACATTAAAGAAAAACGTTTCCAAATGAGAGAGTGAGGAAGTAGTGTGGATTGGGTGTTTACCAGATTGTTACCATGTTGGTAATTAAGAAATTTGTTAAAAGAAGGGTCCTAGGAAAGGTGTAACATACATCTTTGTCAATGCATATCTTATTTTATAAATACTATCAGATGTGAATATGGCACTTTTAAGTATGCTTTAAGAACATAAATTTAAATGCTGAGCCATATTCATAGGAAGTTTCATTCATACATGATGCCATAATTTCAGGTTAATTCGTAGTTTAAAAATCGGTTATTTCAGAAGATGTCAACCATTTGGATGGTTAGAAAAATTCAAATTATTAGTTTTTCTTCTTCCTGTGATTTCTAGCATCTTATAGCTAGCTACAGTTTAGTCCACTTAAACTCTAATACACAGTGTGTCTGATTTTCTTCTTAGGATTTATTTACTGTCTTTGGATAATTATACATAGTGAATAAGTAAACTTGACTGTTTTTTTCTTGGTGATAAAAGAGGGATTGTTTTAATAGTAAACTGTTTTTACACAAAAATTTGCATACAGATTGTTACAGTGACATTTTTATTTCTCATTTTTTATGATTTACCCTTCCCGCGAGGAGGTCATAGAGGCCAGCCGTATACGTATGATGCCAAGGTAAAAAACTTTATTCAATGGATTAGAACAAAGTCTGATTCCGGGGAACAGAAGAATATGGTTATTGGTGGATATTACCCCTATCCACCAGTGCCAGAGACATTTTCCAAGTATAGTAGTTCTATTAAAGGTACTAATGTAATTGCCAGTCCTTCTAAATATGTTTATATTTTATATGTATGGCTTATGCTATTTCAATTAGTCATCTTTATTCTTTTCTTTTATGGGAGTGATCTAAAGTTTAGCAACATTCACCGATAATAGCTTTGTCTTAATGCAGATCTAAAAATATATGTCACGTATTTTCTATATAGTTTTCCCTATATCTCGCATGGTGCTCTAAAGATTAATACTTTGATTTTTATCAGACTGGAAGAAAAGAGAAAACACAGATGATAACCAACTGGAGATATAGGTTGAGTATTCCTAATCCAAAAATCCGAAATCTGAAATGTTCCAAAACCTGAAACTTCTTTTTTTTTTTTTGAGACGGAGTCTCGCTCTGTCGCCCAGGCTGGAGTGCAGTGGCGGGATCTCGGCTCACTGCAAGCTCCGCCTCCCGGGTTCACGCCATTCTCCTGCCTCAGCCTCCCATGTAGCTGGGACTACAGGCGCCCGCCACTACGCCCGGCTAATTTTTTGTATTTTTAGTAGAGACGGGGTTTCACCGTTTTAGCCGGGATGGTCTCGATCTCCTGACCTCGTGATCCGCCCGCCTCGGCCTCCCAAAGTGCTGGGATTACAGGCGTGAGCCACCGCGCCCGGCCTAACCTGAAACTTCTTGAGTACTGAAGTGACACTCAAAGAACTACTCATTGGAGCAGTTCAGATTTTGGAATTTTGCATTAGGGAAGCTGAACTGATAAGTATAATACAAATATTCCAAAATAAAGAAAATCAGAAATCTGAAATATTCTGGTCCAATGTATTTCAGAGAAGGGATGTTCAACCTATAAATATCTTTATTTAATGTCATTGAGATCACATCTGACCTTGGTGTAGATCTCAATTGCTATGATGTTATACAGAAAGACTAAAGATATCTAAAGGAGACACTGGGTAACTTGATATTCAGAGACTGACAACTGTATTATGCGACTCTTGTGGAATGATATATATTGTGTTTAACACAATTGAGTGCTATCTTTAAATATGAAATGATGCCAAAATAAATGAGATGCTGAATTTGGAATTGAAGTACTGATGAGAAGCCTACTATTAATATACTTTTTAGTAGAATTAATATATGACAGTTGAAAAGTTTAGCACAAGCATGTTCTTTTTTAAAAAGCTATGAGATAATTGCATGGTTTTGGAAAAAAAGAGAAACTTTAAAATGCGGACCTATCATCATCTAAATATTGGCATCCTCTTATACATCATAATGCTAGCAATATGTAATAGTGTTTGAAATAATTAAAATGTGTTTTTCTATGCAGTGGCTAGGCAACACTTTATAGTTTGAAATATAATATGTAAATTGCATTTAATATGCAAAATTTATTTTGCAAATGAGGGGTACAGAGTGGAAGCCTGTATTCAAATTTAACTGATAAAAGTATTTTGCCTATTTCACAAAATTATATAGAAGGATGCCAGATATAAACACAGTGTCTCACAGTTAATGTAGTAAGTTTATAATTTTGTGTTGTGAAATTACATTGCAAATCTAATTCTTATTTTTATCATTTCAGTTCTTTAAAACTTACAATTTTCTTGGACTTTTTTGCAGTTGAGTCGCTCTTGACAGCTATAAGTGAAGTCAGGAAGGAGATTGAAGACTTGCAGTATAGGGAACAAAAGCGCATTGCAATTCAGGGGATAATTACTGCTATAAAGTATATCCCCCATAGCAGTGCGACTGAAAGTGCCTCAGCATCAGAAACACTTCGGGTATGGTGCCAGAGAATTAATAGTATTTCTCTGAAAGCACTGTGATTATGATTGCAATTGGTACCTTTTACATTTTATTCAGAACTCACGTGTATTGACTCTTAATAATGTAAGCCTAAGAGAAAACATTAGGTTGGTGCAAAAGGCATTGTGGTTTTTGCCTATAAAAGTAATGGCAAAAACCGCAATTCCTTTTGCACCAACCTAATATTTTTACTTTTTTGTTTGTTTCCTTTTTGTGTCATTTATTTGGGGGCAGACTAGGCCAATAATGATTATAGCCTCTTGACATTTCCCAAGGCCCTCAAAACTTGGTATCCTGTTTTTGCATTCTGTGTAATTTGAGGCTATTGTGGGTGTTTTAAATTTCTAGGTGGTATCTATGACTATATTAATTTCCTACCTTTTGTCCAGGCCAGTACTACAGGAAAGCTTTCATAGGAAGTTTTCTCTATATCTGGCATAGTAGTCTTACCCAGGTTCTATAACTCTTCTAGAATAAATAGTTTAGTATTATAGAAGATGCCAGTTCTGGAATATTGGCACAATCAAGACAAGTTAATTTTTCCCATGAGTTTATCTTTTTAAACACTACGTCCAGGACTACTACTATTTATATGGAAATAAGTGTTTAATCCAGCTTTTCAGATAGTAGTATAAGAAGGACTTTTGTTTGTCTTCCTTTTAAAAAATATTTTAATAGCAGATGGATTAGATTCAATCATTTTCATAAAAGCACTGTTATGATTGAAGTTTTGCCAGAACTGTTGATTATGAAAAATGAATACACTAAAATTGTAGTCTTTTATGAGATTAATAATTGTGAATTAGCCTAAAGTGTTTTCTCTAAATTATTGGTTTTAGAATGCTAACAGACCCTCGACCTCTCAAGCAGCTAGAGTAGAAATTCAAGAAAGAAATGGTAAACGGCATCAAGATGATGAGCCTGTGAATTCTCAGTATTTCCAAACTACATCTACAAATTTAAGTCTGAGCAATAAAATAAGAATTCTTCAAGGCCCACACGCTAATCCGTAAGTCATTTGTATTAAGTATATGTAAAGTATATTTTTTCTTTTGGGTTATCTCTACCCTGTAAAATAAGCAATTATCGTAGAAGCTGTATTAATTTGTTAGGGCCCCCATAACAAAATACCACAACTGAGTGACTTAAACACTGAAATTTGTTGTCTCAGAGTTCTGGAGGATAGAGTTCAAGATCAAGGTGTCAACAGCATTGGTTCCCTCAGGGCTGCGAGAGAGAATCTGTTCAATGCCTCTCTCCTAGCCTCTTAGGGTGCTGGCAATCTTTGGCATTCCTTAACTTGTAGAAGCATCACCCCAATCTCTGCCTTCATATTCACATGGAGTTCTCTCTGTGTAATGTCTGTGTCCAAATTTCACCTTTTTCATAAGGATACCACTCATATTGGATTAGGGGACCACCCTAATCCAGTATGACGTCATCTTTATCAGTAACATCTGCTATGACCCTATTTCCAAATAAGGTCATATTCAGAAGTCCTGAGGGTTAGGACTTCATCATATGAATTTTGTGGGGACACAATTTAACCCATAAGTCTGCCCTCTGGTCCCACAAAATTCCTGTCCTTCTCATATGCAAAATAGGTTCACCTCATCACAACATCCCCAAAAGTCTTATCCCATAGCACCATCAATTCTAATCCAAAATCTCATCTAAATTTCATATGGATGTAATTCATCCATCCATGATCATGGTGATTTATCCTGGGGCAAAATTCTTCTGCATCTGTATACCTATAAAATCAAACAAGTTATCTGTCCAGAATACAGTGATGAGATAGGTATAGGATAGACACTCCCATTCTGAAAGAGAGAAATTGGAAAGAAAAGGGGGATCATGGGTCACAAGCAACTCCAAAACCTAGCAAGGCAAATAAATTGCATTAGATTTTAAGGCTTCAGAATTATTCTCTTCGCCACAGTCTTATGTCCTCTGGGCTCACTGGGGTAGCATCCCCACTTCTACAATCCTGGGTGATGGCCCCACACTCTGGAACCAAGGAAATGAACCCACCCTCTGGAATTGAAAAGGGAGCACTTGTCCTCTGAAACCAAGGAGGTAGTCTCACTCCCAAGGTCATTCTTCCATTTTCCTGAACAACAAGAACATTATAGCTTACATTTGCTTACCAGTTGTTTAAGCATGGGTCTTTACTACAAAACATTCATACATTATGAATTGTACATGATTGGAAGTTTTGGTTTCTTTAAAGTGTCAGGAAAGCCCAAACACTCATAAAGCAGAGTGCAGAATCACTTTAGATTTTAAGATTTTAAAAATTCCAATCTTTTAGAGTGTGCCCGGGTGCACAGCAGTTTTTGGTTGTGAATAAGTAATAGGTAAAATTTTTAATTTATTTTTTAAAATTGTTTAACTTTTAATTTTTGTGGGTACATTTAGTAGGTATATATATATTTATGGGGGTACATGAGATGTTTTGATACAAGCATACAATGTGAAATAAGAATGTCATGGAGAATGGGGTATCCATCCCATCAAGCATTTATCCTTTGTATTACAATCAAATTACACTCTTTTAGTTACATTTAAATGTACAATTAAGTTATTATGGACTATAGTCACTCTGATGTGCTATCAAGTAGTAGGTCTTATTCATTCTTTCTAGCTATTTATTTGTACCCGTTAAACGTCTTCACTTCCCCGCACCCCCCTGCTACCCTTCCCAGCTTCTGGTAACCGTCCTTCTAAACTCTACCTTTATGAGTTCACTTGTTTGATTTTTAGATCCCACAAATAGGTGAGAACATGGAATGTTTATCTTTCTATGCTTGGCTTATTTCACTTAACATAATGATCTCCAGTTCCATCCATGTTGTTGCAAATCACTGGATCTCATTTTTATGGCTAAATAGTACTCCATTGGGTATATGTATCACATTTTCTTTATCCACTCATCTGTTGATGGACATGTAGGTTGCTTCCAAATCTTAGCTATTATAAACAGTGCTGCAGCAACATAGGAGTGCAGATATCTCTTTGGTATACTGATTTCCTTTCTCCTGGGTGTATACCCAGCAGTGGAATTGCTGGATCACATTGTATTTCAATTTTCAGTTTCTTTGAGGAACCTCCAAACTGTTCTCCATAGTGGTTGTACTAATTTACATTCCCACCAACAACGTACAGAGTTCCTTTTCTCCACATCATCACCAGCATTTGTTATTGCCTGTATTTTGGATTTAAGCCGTTTTAACTGAGGTAAAATGGTATCTATCCACGGCTTTTTGAGGGTTTTTTTCATGAAGGGATGTTGAATTTTATCAAATTTTTTTTCAGCATCAAATGAAACGATTGTATGGTTTTGATTTGCATTTCTCTGATGATCAGTGATGTTGAGCACCTTTTCATGTGCCTGTTTGCCATTTGTATACCTTCTTTTGAGAAACGTCTATTCAAATCTTTTGCCCGCTTTTTATTGCATTATTAGATTTATTCCTATAAGTTGTTTGAGCTCCTTATACATTCTGGTTATTAATCGCTTGTCAGATGGGTAGTTTGCAAGTATTTCCTCCCATTCTGTGGGTTGTCTCTTCACTTTGTTGATTGTTTCCTTTGCTGTGCAGAAGCTTTTCACCTTGATGTCAATCTATTTGTCCATTTTTGCTTTGGTTGCCTGTTCTTGTGGGGTATTACTCAAGAAATTTTTGCCCAGACGAATGTCCTGTAGATTTTGCCCAATGTTTTCCTGTAGTAGTTTCATATCTCAATGTGTTAGATTTAGGTCTTTAATCCATTTTGAGTTGATTTTTGTATATGGCAAGAGATAGGGGTATAGTTTCATTCTTCTGAATATGGATATCCAGTTTTCCCAGCACCATTTATTGGAAAGACTGTCTTTACCCCAGTGTATGTTCTTGGCACCTTTGTTAAAAATGAGTTCACTTTAGGTGTGTGGATTTGTGTGTTGATCAATTGAAATGATCGTATGGTTTTGATCCTTTAATCTGTTGATATGATATATCACATTGATTTGCATATGTTGATTAGGATAGCTTTGGCTATTCTGGGTCTTTTGTGGGTCCATCTAAATTTTAGGATTGTTTTTTCTGTTTCTGTGAAGAATGTCATTGGTATTTTGGCAGGGATTGCATTGAATATGTAGATTGCTTTGGGCAGTATAGACATTGTAATAAATTGATTCTTCCAATACATGATCATACAGTATTTTTCCATTTTTGAATGTCCTCTTCAATTTCTTTCATCAGTGTTTTATAGCTTTCATTATAGACATCTTTCACTTGTTTGGTTATGTTCATTCCTAGGTATTTAATTTTATGTGTGGCTGTCGTAAATGGGATTACTTTTTTATTTCTTTTTCACATTTTTCACTTTTGGCATAGAGAAGTGCTTCTGATTTTTGTATGTTGATTTTGTATCCTGCAACTTTAGTGAGTTTACGAGTTCTAATAGTTTTCTTGTGGAGTCTTTAAGTTTTTCCAAATATAAAATCATATCCTCTGCAAACAAGGATTATTTGACTTCTTCCTTTCCAAGTTGGATGCCCTTTATTTCTTTCTCTTGTCTGATTGCTTTAGATAGGACTTCCAGTACTATGCTGAATAACAGGGGTGAAAGTGTGCATCCTTGTTGTCTTCCAGATCTGAGGAAAGGCTTTCAGTTTTTCCCCATTAAGTATGATACTAGTTGTGGGTCTTTCATATATGGTTTTTATTATGCTGAAGTACGTTCCTTCTATCCACAGCTTTTTGAGGGTTTTTATCATGAAGGGATATTGAATTTTATCAAATGTTTTTTCAACATCAATTGAAATGATTGTATGGTTTTGATCCTTTTTTCTGTTGATATGGTATATCACATTGATTTGCATATGTTGAACCATCTTGGCATCCCAGGGATAAATCTCCCTTGGTCATGATGAGAGATCATTCTAATATATTGTTGAATTTGGTTTGCTAGTATTTTGTTGAGGATTTTTGTATCAAAATTCTTCAGAGATATTGACCTGTAGTTTTCTTTTATGGATGTGTCTTTGTCTGGTTTTGTTATAAGGGTAATACTGGCCTTGCAGAATGGGTTTGGAAGTATTCCTTCCTCCTCCATTTTTTTGAATAGTTTGAGTAGGATTGATCTTAGCTCTTCTTGAAATGTTTGGTAGAATTCATCAGTGTAGCCATTGGATCCCAGGCTTTTCTTTACTGGGAGACTTTTTGTTACAACTTCCATCTCATTACTTGTTATTGGTCTGTTCAGGTTTTGGATTTCTTCCTGGTTCAATCTTGGTAGGTTGTATGTATCTACGAATTTGTTCATTTCTTCTAAATTTTCCATTTTATTGTCATATGGTTGTACATAGTAGCCACTAATGAACCTTTGAATTTCTGCAGTATCAGTTGTAAAAGCTCCTTTTTCATTTCTAATTTAATTTATTTGGATCCTCTCTCTTTTTTTCATGGTCTGGCTAAATGTAAGTTTTGTTTTACTTTTCAAGAAAGCAGCTTTTTGCTTCATTGATCTTTTGTATTGATTTTCTCATTTCAATTTTATTTATTTATGCTCTGATCTTGTTTTCTTCCACTACTTTGGGTTTGTTTTGCTCTTGCCTTTCTAATTCTTTAAGATGCATCATTAGGTTGCTTATTTGAAGTTTTTCTTCTTTTTTGTTGGAGGCACTTATAGCTGTAAACGTCCCTCTTACTACTGCTTTTGCTGTATCCCTTAGGTTTTGTTATGTTTTGTTTCTATTTTCATTTGTTTCGAGCAATTTTTCAATTTTCTTCTTAATTTCTTCATTGACACATTGGTAATTGAAGAATATGCTGTTTAATTTCTATGTATTTGTATAGTTTCCAAAATCATTCTTGTTACTAATTTCTAGTTTTACTCCATTGTGGACAGAAAAGGTGCTAGATATTATTTGTTTATTTGAATGTTTTAAGACTTGTTTTGTGACCTAACATATGATCTATCCTTGAGAATGATCCATGTGCTGAGGAAAAGAATGTGTATTCTGCAGCTGTTGGATTACATGTTCTGTAAATATCTATTAGATCCATTTGATCTACAGTGCAGATTAAGTCCAATATTTCTTTGTTGATTTTCTGTCTAGAAGATTTGTCCAGTGCTGAAAGTGGGGTGTTGAAGTCTCTAGCTATTATTGTATTGCGGCCTATCTGTCTCTTTAGCTCTAATAATATTTGGTTTATATATCTCGATGCTCCAGTGTTGGGTGCATACATATTTAAAATTGTTATATTGTCTTGCTGGATTGACTCCTTTATCATTATATAGTGATCTTCTTTGTCTCTTCTTATTGTTTTTGTCTCAAAATCGATTTTGTCTGATATAAAGATAGCTACTCCTTATTATTTTTGTCTCGAAATCGATTTTGTCTGATATAAAGATAGCTACTCCTACGGTTTTTTGGTTTCCATTGACATGGAATACCTTTTACCATCCTTTTATTTTCAGTTTACATGTATCTTTATAGGTAAAGTATGTTTCTCATAAGCAACAGATCAATGGATTTTGCTGCTATGGGATAAGACTTTTGGGGCTGTTGTGATGGGGTAAACCTATTTTGCATATGAGAAGGACAGGAATTTTGTGGGACCAGAGGGCAGACTTATGGGTTGAATTGTGTCCCCACGAAATTCATACAATGAAGTCCTAACCCTCAGGACTTCTGAATATGACCTTATTTGGAAATAGGGTCATAGCAGATGTAACTGATAAAGATGAGTTAATACTTTCATAGAGAGCTAAGTCTTGTGGAAGAGACAGACTTTTAAACCTGTAATTTCAATATGATATGGTGAATGCCATGATAGAAGTTTATTCACAGTACTGTAATAGCATATACAAGGGGCAGTTAGCCTTGGCAAGAGATCAAGGGAAGCTTCTTGTAGGAAATTATGCTGGAGCTAAATCCTGAAGGATGAGTAAGAGTTAACCAGGCAAATGAAAGGGGACATAGGATTGTTCCAGGCAGAAAGAAAAGCGTGAAGGTTTAAAGCACCATGGGACTAATAAAAAACTATGAAATGAAATTGGAAAGGCAGGCCAGATTGTTTCCCATAATTTTTGAACAAAGAAAATGTAAAAACTAGGCCATTGCACTTATTTCATTTTTACTTATTTATTTTTAATTTTTGTAAGTATATGTTAGGTGCATTCATGAAATGTTTTGATGCAGGCATACAATGCATAATAATCACATCATGGAGAATGGGGTATCCATCCCCTCAAGCATTTATCCTTCGTGTTACAAACAATTAAATTACACAGTCTTTTAGTTATTTTAAAATGTACAGTGAAGTTATTATGGACTATAGTCACCCTGTTGTGCTATCAAATAGTAGGTCTTATTCATTCTTTCTATATTTTTGTACCCATTAACCATCCATACCTCTCCCAAACTCCCCTACTCCCCTTCCCAGCCTCTGGTAACCATTCTTCTTCTACTCTCTATCTCCATGTGTTCAGTTGTTTTAATTTTTAGCTCCCACAAATAAGTGAGAACATGCAATGTTTATCTTTTATTGCCTATCTTATTTCCACTTAACACAATGATCTCCAGTTCTATCCATGTCATTGCAAATGACAGGATTTTAATCATTTTATGCCTGAATAGTGCTCCATTGTGTATATGTACCACATTTTCTTTATCCATTCATCTGTTGATGGACTCTTAGGTTGCTTCCAAACCTTAGCTATTGTAAAAGCTTCTGCAACAAACATGGAAGTGCAGCTATCTCTTTGATATACTGATTTTCTTTCTTTTGGGTATATACCAAGCAGGGGGGATGCTCGATTATATGGTAGCTCAATTTTTAATTTTTGTAGAAACCTCCAAACTGTCTTCATAGTGGATATACTAATTTACATTCCTACCAACATTATACAGAGTTTTCCCATTCTCCACATTCTTGTCAGCATTTGTTATTTGCCTGTCTTTTGGATTTAAGCCACTTTTACTGGGGTGAGATGATATCTCATTGTAGTTTTGATTTGGGTTTCTCTGATGATCAGTGATGTTGAGCACCTTTTCATATACCTGTTTGCCATTTATATGTCTTTTTTTGAGAAATGTCTGTTACAGAAATGTCATTTCTCATAAAAATGTCAAATCTTTTCCCCATTTTTCATCAAATTATTAGCTTTTTTCCTTTACAGTTTTATTTGAGCTCCTTGTGTATTCTGGTTATTAATCCCTTGTCAGATGAGTAGTTTGCAAATATTTTCTCCCATTCTGTGGGTTGTCTCTTCACTTTGATTATTTCTTTTGCTCTGCATGCACTAAATTTTAAATTTCTGTCATAAAGAATAAAAATATTATCTTCAGTTAATATTTAATAAAATTAATGCTCCCTTTTATGGAATAATCTTTAAAATTTAAATCTATTGCAGTATTTGAGTTGTTTTATATATGGATATTTTTCATAATTATTAGTGTATGTTAATGTATTATTCAACAAACTTAACCTGTATATTTTCTAAATTTATTGAATTAAAATAAATTCTGAATAGAACCAGTTGATTTGTTTTTCATTTGAGACTCTTTTTATAAGGATTGGTTATACTCTTCTTATCCTTTATAGAGTTGCTGTACCTCAACCAGGAGCTTCTGTACAAACAAAGGGAATTAAACCGGGCATGCCAAGCATCTTCAACCGTATGTTACTATTTGTTATTATTATTTATGAAAACTTTATGAAACATTATTCTATGAAGATTACTATTTAATTACTAAGCACAAGTAATACATGCTTAGAATGTATACTTTGCATATAGTAATATTAGCTTAGGTCACTGTCAAAAGTGTACTGATCAATTTGGTATCATCCCAAAAGTGAAAGTAATTTTAAACAAACTTATACTTACCAGTTTGTTTCATTAGTAATAGTATATCTCTTCAAATGTACTATTTTTAATAGAAGAATAAGTAGGAAGTTTAATTTTTAATTGACAACAAATATGGATAGCTCTTAAAAGTAAATTGTATCTTCTTTCTTTGCTATTGGGTTGGCTGATTTGAACTTTGGCCTCATTTCTGAAGTGATTTCGTAATACAATTTTTTCTGGTGGGGTGTCCGTAGAGTAGTTTGGTTTAAGTCAGATCTTATCAGGTATCATCTCTCTGGATTAGACTTTTTAGCACTTTATTTCCTTGCTTTGCTTTTGGTGTTATTTTGTTTTCATCCTCCACCTAGACAAAAGTGATACTGTCATTTTATTGAATACTACCTTGTTAAATTTGATGTCTCAACGAACCTTTCCAAAGTATTTAAATATGACTTTTGTTGATTGTTACATGATATAAAATTGGAGCATTGTGAACAAGTCCATTCTAAACATTTTAAATCTTTTTAGAAACATCTGTCCTTACCTATTAGATTTATGTGGGTTAGTTAATAATAGATTTTTATTCATTTCTCCTGTCATATTCTAGACTGATTATTCTCTATAAGGCTGAATACTTTGTCCAAAAGTTTCAATGAGCACTTTAGATGATTTCAGTAAAAAATATAATTTGCGGACTTATGGAGAAAAAGATTATTTTTCCCAGCTAAGCATAATTTGAATTAAAAAAATGTTCCTCAGGCAATGGATCTTGCCTGGACTCTAAATTCTAAAAATGAAGGAGAAAACCATAATTGTTCCCAGGTTTTGTGATTCTCTGTTTAATATCCAAGAAAGCAATTAAATTCTATTCTTCAGCTTGTCAGCTTGGTGATTAAACTTCATACAGATTTCTATATTAGCATCTGCTAAGATTATCCCATCTCTTTTACCTACAGAAGATAATATGGTACTTCTCACAATTATATAATAGTAGTACCAGCCATTTATTGAGCATTTATGTGTCAGGCACTGTGCTGAGCTTTATGGACACATTTTGTTTATCTCACAGGAAGTGGTTATTTGAAATTAATTTCAACTTTTCCTTCCTATTCCATGCTGTTTTGGAGAAAGCTCTTGTTCAGATGTAAGTTAATCATTCACTTGCTAACTAAAATTGAAAGATAGAATGGATTGAGTCTTAGGCTGCAGAAAGAAATAAATCCAAGAATAGCCTGACAGACCAGTAGCAAAAGGAGGGATTGCCTTATGGTAAATCTGGCCGATTGAAAACCCACAAAAGAAAAACATTATAATATAAGTATCTAATCAAGCTCTAAACAAGAATGAAAAATCACCAGGTGCCAGAAACAAAAAAGGAATTTAAATTTACTAGTGAGTAGGAACCAAAACTGAAAGTGTTCATGGACATCTCAGAACTAGATAGAGACCTTAATTTTCATGGGCTGAGAGGTATAATAACCACATGGGAAGGAGAGTCCAGACCACAGGCCTCCTACTTGTGAAGAAGTAAAACTAATGTAAAGTTGGAAGTTTGCAGAAGGGCAGAAAAATTGTGACCATGAATGTGGAGAGATATCAAAGAGCTTCCTGTATCTCCTGGGCAATGGGTAAGAAAAAGTCATCTGAGAGAAAGTGGAATCCCAGACCTGTGCAGCATGGAAGTATGGTTGCAGTTCACATGATTAAAATGGTGAGGCTACTGAACTAAGGAGTTAGCACTAATATCTGGTCCAAAATCAGTGAAATCAAGACCCTAAGGTCTAGACAAAGGCAGTTGTGAAACTTCCTAAAAGGGAGGTTTCTTGTAACCTAGGGTGCTTGGGATTCCCTTGGAAAACAATATCTACAGAAAATGGATTCATGGTGAAAAATTACAAGCTTCCAAAGGAAATGAGCTACTACTGAAAGGCAGTGTGATCAGATGTAACACATGGAAGAATTTATACCCCAGGAACTAGAAATACTAGGCCAATCAGAAAGAGGCTTTGAAACGTATGTTTATTATTTTTATAATTTTTTTATAGAGATAGTGTCTCACTATGTTTCCCAGGTTGATCTCAAACTCCTGGCCTCACGTGATCCTCCAGCCTCAGCCTTCCAAAGTGCTACAGGTGTGAGCCACCACATCCAGCTCTAAAATAAACACGTTTAAAAAGTTAAAGGAATAAATAAAAGTCAGTAGGTTGGAAACAGATCAATATGAAGAACTGACATATGTGAAAAAGGTATCCACACACACACTTATCGGTAGAGGATGAGTAGAATAATAGATAAATGCAGATGAAGAAATAATTTAGTGTATTTGGAGATACTGATGAAATCACACCAAAGAGTGGTAAAGAGTTTAGAAAGGTAAAATACAAGTTGAGAGACATAGTGGATAGGATGAGAAAGTCCAATTTATATCTAATAAAGGTTCAGGAGGACAGAACAGAGATAGTTAGGAAGAAGCAGTATTTGAAGAGGGTATTTTTTCAAAATTGTATATATATAAAAATGAATTATTAAATTGAAGGATCACAGTGAATTCTGAGTAGAATAAAAATAAACTGTATCTAGACATATGATATGTGATAAATCATACAGACCATGATAGTGAACCTGCAGAGCATCAAAGATAAACATCCTTAAAACTACCAGAGATAAAAAAAAGACAGATTTATCAACAAAGAAAACAAAATTAGACGGAAAAATTTCCCAAAAACAATAATGCTTTAGACAGTGAAATATCTTCAAAGTGTTGAGATAATTCCTAACCTGGAATTTTATGTCTACCTAAACAATCAAGCAAGAGTGACGGTGAAATAAAGATATTTTCAGATAGTCAGAGACTAAAAGAGTTATTACTTGTAGAGTCTCAATGAAAGAATTACTAAAGAATTCTGAGAGATGGAAAATCAAACCAAAAGGAAATATCAGAATGTAAGAAGCAATGGTAAGCAAAGAAGTTAGTAAAATATTGGTAAATATAAATAAATATATGCAGTAGAAATTAATAACTATGGTAACAAATTATTTCATGGGATTTGAAACAAAGTAGAATGAAAATACTATTTAAGGTGAAATGGATGGAAAGATGAGAATTAAAGCATTCTAAGATCATTGTATCTTTATGGAAAATAGAGATTTATATACTGCAGGCTTTGTAAATTTAAACATGTGAGTTAAAAATTTAAGATCAAGCTGAAAGAATAGGATAGAATGTGTAACTTCTGAAGCAGCACAGAAAAAAAGGGGAGGAATTATGAAAAATTTTTCAGGGCAGTAAAGGTAGAAAAAAGGGGGAAAAAGCAAAGAAAAAGCATGATTAAGATAAAACATGGGCTGGGCATGGTGGCTTATGTCTGTGATTCCTGCACTTGGGGAGTCTGAGACAGGAAGATTACTTGAGGCCAGGAGTTCAAGACTAGTCTGGGCAACATAATGGGACTCCATCTCTCTCTTTTTTTTTTAAGATAAAACACAAAATGATATAGCTGAGATAATTCTGAATTATCAACAATTTCAATAAATGTAAACATATTAAACTTTCGTATTCCAATCTTAAAAATTAATCCAGTTACATGCTACATATAAGAGACACACTTAAGCCTGGTGCAGTGGCATGCACCTATAGTCCTAGCTACTCAGGAAGCTGAGGCAGGAGGATCACTTGAGCCCAGGAGTTTGAGACTGTAGTGTGCTATGATTGTGTCTGTGAATAGCCACTGCACTTCAGCCTGGGCAACATAGTGAGAACCAATCTCAAAAGAAATTTTTTTTAAGAGAGAGACATACTTAAGCAAAATTATATAAAAAGTTGAAAATAAAGGAATGGCAAAATATATACCTGATATATACTAACCAAGAGAAAAGTGGTATAGCAATATTCATATGAAGTAAATAGAATTTAAGGTAAAAACTGTAAGTAAAGATAAATAGGGACGATATAGAATATATAGGATGATAAATGGACATTCCACTAAGAATACAGTAACAATCATGAATGTGTATAACATATAATATAATCTTAAAAAGGTAAATAACCTGGTGGATTTTAAGAGCAGTTGGTGCACATAACAGTCATGGTGCACTCCTCTTAAAATAATAGAACAAGGAGACAAAAACATCATTAAATGCACACACACACACACACACACACACACACGCCACTGAAAACCAGGATAAACGATATCTTAAAAGAAGCAAAAGAGAAAAGAAAAAAATACACATAAGTCACAAAGGATCAAAGACAAGCATGACAGCAGATGTCTCTTAAGAAATCATGTAATCACGGAGCATGCCTGTATTACCAGTGACTTGGGAGGCTGAGGCAGGAGAATCGCTTGAATTCAGGAGGCGGAGGTTGCAGTGAGCCAAAATTGCACCACTGCACTCTAGCCTGGGTGACAGAGTGAGATTCTGTCAAAAAAAAAAAAAAAAAACCTGTAAACTTAGAATTCTATACACAGTGACTATAACTTTTAAAAATAAAGGCAAAATAAAGACAAAAGCTGCAAAAGCTGCAAAAGCTGAGAGAATTCATCACCACGAGACCTACACAATGAAAAATATTAAAGGAATTCTTCAGGCAGAAAATGTATAGCACCTGATAGAAATTTTTATCTAAGTAAAGGAAGATAAAGCACTAGAATTAGTAAATAGGTGGGTAAAATAAAATATATTTTCTCATTTTTCTTTTAGATCAGAAATAATAAAAATATATTGTGGAGTTTATAGTTTATATAGAAGTAAAGTGTTATGAAAAAATAGCATGATGACTGGAGGGGATATGGAAATGCACTGTTCTAAAATTCTTACACTACATGCATGAAGATGCATAGCATCATTTGAAGGTAGATTGTAGTAAATGTTGTATATTGTAGACCTTGGAGAAAACACTAAAAAAAAGTGTAGCTAATCAATAGCAGGGCTTAATGGGATTATGTTTTATTTTATTTTATTTTATTTTATTTTATTTTATTTTATTTTATTATACTTTTAAGTTCTGGGATATATTTGCAGAACGTGCAGGTTTGTTACATAGGTATATACGTGCCGTGATGGTTTGCTGCACCCATCAACCCATCGTCTACATTAGGTATTTCTCCTAATACTATCCCTCCCCTAGCCCCCAACATGCCGACAGGCCCCAATGTGTGATGTTCTCCTCCCTGTGTCCATGTGTTCTCATTGTTCAACTCCCACTTGTTAGTGAGAACATGCAGTGTTTGGTTTTCTGTTCTTGTGTTAGTTTACTGAGAATGATGGTTTCCAGCTTCATCCATGTCCCTGAAAAGGACATGAACTCATCCTTTTTTATGGCTGCATAGTATTCCATGGTGTATATGTGCCACATTTTCTTTATCCAGTCTATCATTGTTGGACATTTGGAATGGTTCCAAGTCTTTGCTATTGTGAACAGTGCCTCAATAAACATAAGTGTGCATGTGTCTTTATAGTAGAATAATTTATAATCCTTTGAGTATATACCCAGTAATGGGATTGCTGGGTCAAATGGTATTTCTGGTTCTAGATCCTTGAGGAATCACCAAACTGTCTTCCACAATGGTTGAACTAATTTACACTCCCACCAACAGTGTAAAAGCATTCCTATTTCTCCACATCCTCTCCAGCATCTGTTGTTTCCTGACTATAATGATCACCATTCTAACTGGCATGAGATGGTATCTCATTATGGTTTTGATTTGCATTTCTCTAATGACTAGTGATGATGATTTTTTTTTCATATGTTTGTTGGCTGCATAAATATCTTCTTTTGAGAAGTGTCTGTTCATATCCTTCACCCACTTCTTGATGGGGTTGTTTATTTTTTTCTTGTAAATTTGTTTAAGTGACCAGTGGAACAGAACAGAGGCCTCAGAAATAACACCACACGTCTACAACCATCTGATCTTTGACAAACCTGACAAAAACAAGCAATGGGGAAAGGATTCCCTATTTAATAAATGGTGTTGGGAAAACTGGCTAGCCATGTGCAGAAAACTTAAACTGGACCCCTTCCTTACACCTTATACAAAAATTAACTCAAGATGGATTAGACTTAAACGTAAGACCTAAATCCATAAAAACCCTAGAAAAAAACCTAGGCAATATCACTCAGGACATAGGCATGGGCAAAGACTTAGGAATAAAACACCAAAAGCAATGGCAACAAAAGCCAAAATTGACAAATGGGATCTAATTAAACTAAAGAGCTTCTGCACAGCAAAAGAAACTATCATCAGAGTGAACAGGCAACCTACAGAATGGG
This sequence comes from Homo sapiens, assembly GCF_000001405.40. Lineage (NCBI taxonomy): Eukaryota > Metazoa > Chordata > Mammalia > Primates > Hominidae > Homo > Homo sapiens. Next base: position 106,654,831 of record NC_000023.11, read on the forward strand.
AGAAAATTTTTGCAATGTATCCATCTGACAAAAGGCTAATATCCAGAATCTATAAAGGGATTATTTTTTAAAACATTCAATCCAAGAGAAGGCAGGAAAAGAGAAAATTGATCTAAGGAATAGATGAGTCAAAGAGAAACAATAGAAAAGTAGCAAATTTAAGTCCTTCCATGGTTAATTGCAGGCGTACCTCAGAGATATTGTGGGTTTGGTGCCAAACCATTAGAATAAAGTGAAAATTGCAGTAGAGCAAATCACACAAATTTTTAGGTTTTTCAGTACATATAAAAGTTATGTTTACATTCTAATAAGTATGCAATATCATTATATCCAAAAATGTACATACCTGAATTTAAAAATACTGTATTGCTAATAAATGCTAACCATCATCTGAGCCTTAAGTGAGTCGTAGTCTTTTTGCTGGCGGAGGGTCTTGCCTTATGCTGATGGCTGTGGCAGTTTCTTTTTCTTTTTTTTTTTTAAGTTGTTATTAGCTTTATTTTTTTTTCAGGTTTTCTTTTTTTATTATACTTTAAGTTCTAGGGTACATGTGCACAATGTGCAGGTTTGTTACATATGTATACATGTGCCATGTTAGTGTGCTGCACCCATTAACTCGTCATTTACATTAGGTATATCTCCTAATGCTATCCCTCCCCCCACCGCCCACCCCATGACAGGCCCCAGTGCTTGATGTTCCCTACCCTGTGTCCAAGTGTTCTCATTGTTCAATTCCCACCTATGAGTGAGAACATGCGGTGTTTGGTTTTCTGCCCTTGGGATAGTTTGCTCAGAATGATGGTTTCCAGCTTCATCCATGTCCTTAAAAAGGACATGAACTCATCCTTTTTTATGGCTACATAGTATTCCATGGTGTATATGTGCCACATTTTCTTAATCCAGTCTATCATTGATGGACATTTGGGTTGGTTCCAAGTCTTTGCTATTGTGAATACTGCCACAGTAAACATACGTGTGCATGTGTCTTTATAGCAGCATGATTTATAATCCTTTGGGTATATACCTAGAAATGGGATGGCTGGGTCAAATGATATTTCTAGTTCTAGATCCCTGAGGAATCGGCTTTGGCAGTTTCCTAAAATAAGACAGCAATAAATTTTGCCACATCAGTTGACTTTTCCTTTCAGGAAAGATTTCTCTGTAGCATGTGATGCTGTTTGACAGCATTTTACCCAGAGTAGAACTTCTTTCAAAATTGGAGTCACTCCTTTCAAAAATTGACACTACTTTATCTATTATGCTAAGCTTATGTAATATTCTAAATTCTTTATTTTCATTTTAACAGTGTTCACGACATCTTCACCAGGAATAGATTCAATCTCAAAAAAACCACCTTTGTTCATTTGTAAGAAGCAACTCTTCGTCCATTCAAGTTTTATGATGAGATTGCAGCAATTTAGTAACATCTTCAGACTCCACTTCTAATTCTAGTTCTCCTGCCATTTCCACCACTTCTGCAGTTACTTCCTACCCTAAAGTGTTGAACACCTCAAAGTCATCTATGGGGTTTGGAATCAATTTCTTCTAAACTCCTGTTCATGTTGATATTTTGGCCTCCTTCCATAAATCACAAATACTTTAAATGGCATCTAGAATGGTGAATCCTTTCCAGAAGGTTTTCAAATTTCCAGGAGGTTTTCAGTTTTCACTTTTGCCCAGATCCATCAGAGGAATCACTATGGTAGCTATAGCCTTATGAAATGCATTTCTTAAGAATTAAGACTTGAAAGTCAGAATTACTCCTTGATCCATGGGCTTCTGAATGGTTTTGTGTTTGCAGGCACGAAAACAACATTGAACTCCTTGATGGAACTCCGTCAGAGCTCCTGGTCATCAGAGCTCCTGAGTGACCAGGTGCATTGTCAATAAGCAGTAATATTTTGAGGGGAATCTTTTTATCTGAGCAGTAGTTCTCAATAGTGGGCTTAAAATATTCAGTAAACCATACTATAAACAGATGTGCTGTCATTGAGGCTTTGTTCCATTTCTAGAGCACAGGCAGAGTAGATTTAGCATAATTCTTAAGGGCCCCAGGACTTTTGGAATGGTAAATGAGCATTGGTTTCAACTTAAAGTCATCAGCTGCATTAGCCCCTAAGAAGAGAGTCAGCCTGCCCGTTGAAGATTTAAAGCCAGGCATTGACTTTTCCTCTCTAACTATGAAAGTCTTAGATGGCATCTTCTTCCAATACAAAGCTATTTTATCTCCATTGAAAATCTGTTGTTCAGTGTAGCCACCTTCATCAGTTATCTTAGCTGGATTTTCTGAATAACTTGCAGCTTCTACATCAGAACTTGCTGCCTCACCTTGCACTTTTATGTTATGGAGATAGCTTCTTTCTTAAACCTCATGAACCAATCTCTGCTAGCTTCCAACTTTTCTTCTCCAGCTTCCTCACTTATCTTAGCCTTCATAGAATTGAAGAGAGTTAGGTTAGGGCCTTGCTAGGAATTAGGCTTTGGCCTTAGGGAATATTGTTGTGGCTAGCATGATATTCTATTCAGACCACCAAAACTTTCTTTAGATCAGCAATAAGGCTGTTTCAGTTTGTTATCATTCATGTGTTCACTAGAATAGCACTTTTACTTTCCTTCAAGAACTTTTACATTGCACTCTCAACTTGGCTAATTGTTTGGCTCAGAAGGCCTTAGTTTTCAGCCTATCTTGTTTTTTAACATGCCTTCCTCACTAAACTAAATTGTTTCTAGCTTTTGATTTGAAATGAGAGATGTGTGACTCTCCTTTCACTTGAACACTTAGAAAACATTATAAGGTTATTCATTGGCCTAATTTCAATATTATTTTGTCTTAGGGAGTAGGGAGACTTGAGGAAAAGAGGATAGACAGGGAAATGGCCAGTAATTGGGGCAGTTAGAACACACACAGTATTTTTCAATTAAGTTTGCTATCTCACATGGGTGTGGTTTGTGGCGCCTCAAAACAATTACAATAGTAGCATCAGAGATCAGTAATCACAGGTCACCATAATATATATAATAATTTAAAAGTTTGAAATATTGTGATAATTACCAAAACGTGACGCAGAGACACAAAATGAACATATGCTGTTTAAAAAATGTCACCAATAGACTTGCTCAACACAGGGTTCCCACAGACCTTCAATTTGCAAAAAAATGCAATATCTGTGAAGCACAATAAAGTGCATTAAAACAAGGTATGCCTTTATATTAAAATAAATAGCATAAATACCCCAAGTAAAAAGTGGAGATTATCATATTGGATACAAAAGTAAGACCCAACCATATACCATCTAAAAGAAAACCAATTTAAATGTAAAGATATGATATAAAAAGATGGAAAAGCACATACCATACAAAAGAAAACTTGAGTGTCTACACTTATATCAGAAAAGTAGATTTCTGATACAATCAACTATAACTGGATATTGATAAAAATTTAAAGTAGAGAAATGAGAAGAGTCAAGGATCCCTCAATTACCTACTCCTTGTCTCTTTTTGACAAACTCAGTATTCCAGCTGGAGTAGGCATTTGTATTAGGGAGAGACTCATGCACCTCCCCACTTTGTTAGAATAGATATGCTGCAACCACCATTTGAGAATAATTTGACAATACCTAATTTGTTGGGAATGTGTTACACTCTGTGACCTAGAAATTCCATTTATGTCTTTGGCCACATAGGAAGACACATTCCAAGATTTTCACTGGAAAATTATTTATAATAGGGAAAATTAAAAGCTAAATGTTAATTAACAGATGATTATAAATATAGCATATTAATATACTGTAATATTATATTGCAGTTTTAATGAATGAATTAGATCTATATGTGTCAACATGGTCACTAATGTATTCCCAGGTAGTTTCATGATAACTTTGGCTTTTTAGATGCTTGTAAATTCAAAAGTCATTCATTTTGTGAATACACAATTAATATGTTTGTGTGGTTTGTTTGTGCTTATATCTAGTAACTCAGACATACACTTGAAAAGTTAACAGTAACACAAGGCATTACAGGTAGCCTCTGACTTTCACTAGTCTTTAAAAAGTCCGTTATATACTTGCTAGCAAGAAGGAGAGGCAAAGAAAGTAGCTCCTTTCCCTCCCCCATGCCTCCATACATCCCATTACATTTTTTTTTTTTTTGAGACAGAGTCTTGCTATGTCATCCAGGCAGGAGTGCAATGGCACGATCATGGCTCACTGCAGCCTCGACCTCCCAGGCTCAAGCAATCCTCCCACCTCAGCTACCAAGTAGATGGAACCATAGGTGTGTGCCATAATGCCTGCTTATTTTATTACTATTACTATTATTATTATTATTACTTTGTAGAGACAGGGTCTCCCTATGTTACCTAAGCTGGTCTTGAACTCCCGGCCTCAAGCAGTCCTCCTGCCTCAGGCTCCTGAAGTGCTGGGATTACAGGCGTGAGCCTGCCTCTATCAACCTACCACTCTTATCCACGTAATGAAATGCTTGGAGTAGATTTAAAAAAAAAATTCACGATGCCTACGTACATACGTTTGAACTGCATTCTTTTTTTAACCTTACGACCTAAATGTAAATGTTCCTCATTAAAACATTGAACCAATCTCACCAGAAATAAGAGTAAAATAGATAATTGAAATAATAGAATGAAAATTATAATTGTAAAATATAAAAATATAATTTTGCTAAGTAATTAACCTATATTTTAGCTATGCATTAAGCTTAAAATATAACATGTTTCATATAGTAATTTTATTAATATTCAAAAAAAACTAGTTCATGATTTTCCATCTTATTTTTAGAAAAACCTGAGCTCTAGATATATTTTGTCTCTTTCCTATTTATTGTCTTTGATTTGTTACTATTCACAACCAATAACTGCCAATGTCTCCTGTATTGATTTCATACTGATTTGTATTACTTAATTATGAAGATACAATTGAGGTAGGTAATTGTAGTCCCCAGTTACTAAAATAAAAAAATAAAGCATGTTTCTTTAGAGGAATTTTTCATATAAACATTTGTACCTTGGCAGTCCTTAATATTAACACTCAAATAAGAAAATATGCATAGAAAATATTCTGGCTTTTTCCAAACAGATCAATCATATAATTGTTTTCTATAAGGTAGATGTAAATACTTAATTTTTAAAAATTAGAATAGCATATCACTTTTTCTTTTGCATGCTGTATTCTAAAATAAGTCAAGCAGGAATGTTTAATATGGGTTAGATCATTGCAATAGCTACTAATTGTTGTTCTGATTATGTACTTTTATTAGTTTGAGAAGAGATTTACTTCTAGAAGATACAAAAGATGAAGTCATTTCCCAATCATCAATTTAGTCCTACTAACTCTTTTTCTCAGCTTTGATTTATTCCTTTTGATCTTTTCGTGTGTGACTAAGTTTTTTATCCCTTTTGTTATCAATCATTATTATAGGAATTTGTGTGTTCATCAACTGAATTTTTAGTTTAAAAAACTCTTTTGTAGTATTGCAATATTTTAAATTCCTGGTAAGAAGTATGTGTTCAACTTCTTCATCTTCCCTTACAACTCAAACTAATACTTTACCTTGTAATACATTTTCAATAAGTCTCCAGCTAGGCTTAAGAAACCAAGCAAGTACTCTGGGAATATGTAATAAAGTCTGATAATCAGAAGTAGTATTTTAACCATACTGAAACCTTGCTATTGCAGCCACCTTCTGCCTCAGCAAGGTTTTTTATGCTAGGATAAGAATACCAGGACATAGGCAAGAAAGAAAGTCAGCAACTTTGGTAAACTCTTAAGCTGTCAGCCTATCTCAGCTAGCAGAACTGTTGTTCCAAAATCAATTTTTTTTTCTGATTTTACAGTGTTTCCGATTCTACCATGGTACATTATTTAATCAAAGTATTACTTGTACCAAATTCCTTAACACAATGTCTGGCACATAATAGGTGTTCTGTAATTGTTTGTTGAATGGATGAACGAATGTCATAATGTATACGTGTATTAGTCTGTTCTCACACTGCTATAAATGACTGCCTGAGACTGGGTAATTTACGAAGAAAAGAGGTTTAATTGGCTCACAGTTCCACATGGCTGGGGAGGCCTCAGGAAACCTACAATCATGCCAGGCACGTCTTATATGGTGGCAGGCAAGAGAGACAATGTGTGCAGGAAGAAATGTCAAACACTTATAAAACCATCAGATCTCGTGGGAACTATCTCATTTTCATGAGAACAGCATGGGAGAACCACCCCCATGATCCAATCACCTCTCACTAGGTCTCTCCCTCAACACCTGGGGACTCAAGATAAGTTTTGGGTAGGAATACAAAGCCTAACCATATCAATAAGGGATAAATTATATTCTGCATTAGAAACTTAATGTGTTAGATTTTAATCATACATAAATGATAATTTGATTTGATGATAGAGAACAACAAAAATTGAGGGGGTCTTTCATCTCAATTTCGTTCCCTTTTTGTTTTCCATAAAGGAGTGTCATATATAATAAATAAATGGCCCCTTTGTTTTTCGTTTTTGTTTTGTTTTTTTTTCTTGTTTTTTTTTTTTGGTTTTTTTGTTTTGTTTTGTTTTTTAGTGACAGGTCTCTCTATGTTAACTAGGCTGGTCTTGAACTCCTGGCTTCAAGTGATCCTCCTGCCTCAGCCTCCAAAAATGCTGAGATTACAGGCATGAGCCACCATGCCCAACCCCTAAATGGCCCCTCTGAAGGAGAGAAGTAATGAAGAAGGAGACTGTATTTGTTCAGTTTACTTTTAGCAGAGATTAACAAAAGTTTATTTTAGGCTCAAATTTCCACCAAGAGTGAGTGATCTCTAATCATGAATTTAATTTAATTTGAATTTGTCACTGAATATAAAAAGAACATATGTTTAAGAGCTTTTAGAACATTTAGAAAAAGTAGAAAGAACGTAATTACAAATCTACATAATTACAACAACAGAGAAAACAATGTCACTTTAGTATTTTACGGTAAAAGTTTATTTTGAAAGTGAATTTAGTTCCTCACTTTAATAAGAATTTTCTTTTGTATATTCATTTTATATTTTGTAGGTAGTGGTTTGATTTTTAATGTTACTTAAACTCTTCCTCATTAATGTGTGGTTTTTTTTTGCAGTGAATGACTTGATTTGATTAGTTTATAGATCAATTGTGTCTATCTCCTTGTGTCTTTAACAGGTCGAGCAAATATAAATGCTAATCTGCAAGGGAAAGCCAGAAAAACTATAAGTGATAGGTGGGAGAGTCAGCTGTGGAGAGAGAAAAAGTTTGGCTTAATAGATCACCTACACTACAGCCGTGTTTATCCTGAAAGTATTCCACGGAAATTTATGTTTGAACACAGAAAGTTTCTTAGTGACCAGTATAATTCTCAGCCTGCGAAATATGTACCACCAGAAGGAAGGCCCCCAAAACTTGATGATTTTAAGAGCGCCCGAAGCCTTGGACATTTTGAAGTAACCATACTAGGTAAGTTCACTGTTCTTTTTGCATATCATTAATTTAACATATTTTAAATATACCTACTATTTCGCTTTAAAAATTTAAGCCCCTCCCACAAAAACATTAAGCCCAAGGGAAGTTTTTGTTTGGCTCCAACAAAAGGAATGGAGCACCAATTATGGAATAAATGAAGCTCTAATTGTGTGCTTCTAAACATTGGCAAGTCCTTGGAAGGTATCTGGCGAGAGAAGAATGGGAGAACTAAGGGAATTTTCCTCATTCCTGACTATCAGTCAGCTTCTAAGGCAGCTTCTGTTCTCCCTTAGCCACCACTTTCTTGCCTATATTCTCTGCTTCTTCATTCATCGGAACCACTGAAGGGTAAAGTGTAAGTTAAAGAGGAGAAAGAATACTAATCAAAAGAAGCCCCTACCAAAAAAAAAAAAAAAGGAAGAAAAAAAGGTCTGTTTAGACCCTCAAGATAATAAAATAATCAAGTAACTGAGGTTGACTAGAAATAAGTTATTGAAAAAACTGCCCTTGTCTGATAAGAGAAAATAAGCTGATTTACCCAGGTTTTTCAAAATTGAGAGGTAGCTATGGAACTTACAGAAATTTAAAGAAGTCAAAACATTTTAAAACTTAGTTTTTTTTTTTTGTTTCGGAAAGATGAAAAATTTACACACAAAAAAATTCTAAAACAAAATCTTAGTTAAAATGACTCTCAGAGTCAAGCAAAACAATGCATTTGTATTTCACAGGAAGATCTTAGTACCAGGTCTTATTACCTTAAAATGAAGGAATGAGGAAAAAATTATTAGCAAATTAACTTAATGACCGAATAATGTAGTTCATGGATTTTTACATTTGTAGTACTGGACATCTTGGCCGGTTAGCTCAGTTGGTGAGAGCGTGGTGCTAACATTTGCAGTCCTTGGATGAATTGCCTTGACCTTTATCAAGATTCTCTTTTCCCTTTTATTCTCTCCCAATCCCTCTTCCCTACCTCCTCACATATAAATATGTACAGACATGTGAGTATGTATGTAATCTATGAAAAGTCTGAATTCTCACTGACTCCATTAGACAATCACAGACCTAAGTTTCAAATGCTTTTTCACTAGAATGTATTACTTGGTCTCTTCAAGTAGTTCATCAACTTTAGTTTTGTATCTAGGGAACAAAAATTATAGCAAAATTTCCCATCCATCAAAAAAATAATAATCATGGATAATAGATACAAAAATTTAGAAATAATGCGTAAGACCTACAATTTTGTAGCAGAATAAGGTGACTATGGTCAATAATAATTTAATTGTACATTTTAAAATAACTAAAAGAGTATAATTGCATCATTTGTAACTCAAAGGATAAATGCTTGAGGAGATGGATACCCCATTTACCCTGATGTGATTTTTACATATTGCATGCCTATATCAAAATATCTCATGTACCCCATAAATATATACACTTATATACCCACAACATTAAAAATTAAAAAGGTAACCATGGAAATGATGAGTTCATCTAGAAACATAGAACTTGAATTTTTTTCTTACTTTTAACATGTTAGTGCTCTATTAAAACAGCTTGACTAAGACTTCTCAGCTGTATTACATGTAATTATAAATTTGTGTAGCTTTGGCTATGAGTCAGCTAAGAGCAGGAATCAAATGTGAAGAAGGAAATTTCATCATTCCTCCCACTAGCTTTAATCCATGTTAGAAGTATGCTGTTTCTATATAAATTTTATATCCTACATTTTTCCAAGTATGGTTTACATAGTTAAAAGACAGTGGAAAATAAGCCATTTATGAATGAAACAAAACAGAACATTTTAAAGGAAGCGCAAAAGTAGGTATTACTAGGTACTTGCAAATAACCAAATTTCTACCATTGGCAATAATTTTCTGTGCTTTCTGGCAGGAAGGGAGAAGGGTTTTTTTTTTTTCAATTGTTATTGTTTTTTTTCTGATGAGATATTTAATTTTAAAACCAAACAAACCTTGGATATCTTCTAGTCTTACCCTTGGCTAGGTAAAAGCCAGGCCATGATTATAAATCAGATCTCCTGATTCTCTAAACGTATCATCTGTTGCAGAGAAAACAATTACATAGAGGAACCCTGCTATTTTTTCTCTCAAACAAAATTCAAGTCCGAATTAACTGTATGAAACTTCAACTGTAGTTTTTTTAAAAAGTTATGTAAATGATCTTCAGATAGTTGCTTCGTGCATCAACATTTTAATATACCTAATCAGTATAATCATTAGTCATACCTTAATAAAGCATTTCTATAAAGGAATATATTTTCACTTTATTATTATATAATCCAAGTACTTCACGCTCTAATAGTTTAACTTAATGGAGGGATAAAACCTAGAGGGCTGGGATAAATGGTACTGGATCCAGTGATTCTCATACAGTCTCGGTGGGAGGGGGTAGCTTATCAAAGTCATCTACAAGAGGCCTATTCCTACTTCTTAGAATTCTGATACACACTAGAGAAGCAGCCCATTCAGTCTACTCCATTCATAAGAGAGACTTATTGCCACAGAGATAATTCCACTGCCAAGAACACATCCTGTCCATCAGGTGTAAAGGAGTAGATTAAAGGTTGAAAACTCTATGCTTTAAGTAGTACTTGAAGTATACATTGTCTATACTTCAAGTACTATCTGTATTCATATCTTCATTCATTCAGGTACTATCTACATCTATACTTCAAGTACTACTTAGAATGAGAGCTGAATATCGGATGTGACAGTGCTGAATTTGTCATATCTTTTAGAAAAGTATGAACCCAAGTTGTATTATAAGACCAGACAAATGGTTCATATATATTTTAAGCATGGACATGAGCAATAAACTCAGAAGAGAGGAATAAATCTCTTATTACTGTGCTATTTGTTGAAAGGTAGAATCCCAAAACTGAAAGATGACTTTAAGTGTATCTTATACAAGGTGGCACACTTGGTCAGTAAAGGGCCAAGTAGTAAATGTTTGAGGTTTTACAGGCCATACAATTTCTTTTGCAACTACTCAGCTCTGCTGTATTAATGTGAAAGCAACCATTGACAATATGCAAATGAATGCACATGGCTGTTTGAAAAAAACTTTATGTACACTAAAATTTGAATTTCATATTTTCATGTATCATAAAATATTGTTCTTTTGATTTTTTTAACTATTTAAAAATGTGAAAGCTATTCTTAGCTCATGGAATGTACAAAACCAGGGGCAGGCTGAATTTCCACCCCCTCCCCCAACCCCCCGGTCATAGTTTACCCTGTTCTAGACCCCTGTTCTTAGTTGAGACTGCCTAAACCAATTCAGGCAGATAAATCTGTATGATGTTTAAGGTTCTCCAAGCATGAAGATTGTCTAATTTAGTGATACTATCTTCTAGTGGTTTATTATACCTCTGCAATATCTTGCAAGTCTCTAGAAGACCTCGTAATTTTGAAGTGCCTTATTCCTGGAGCCAAAAATGTTATTTGGACCACAACTCTGTTACTTGGTCATTACCTCTGACTGGAAGGGTGAATTGTTATTGAAAACATTGAATAGAATTATTAGTCTTCCTTCTTTCCCACAGTCCTAATGGCTCTCAGCAACCACCAGCTTGGTACCATGGCAATGTCAGAAACCTATCCTAGAAGCACTGGTTCTTGCCTTTAAATTCTTGCTGGGCCATCTCACTTGCCTCAAATCAATAGATTATAACCATTAAAACCTCAGCTCATTGCCTACCATGTAAGATCACACACTTTAAATAGAATATATTGAGATGAAGTAACGAACTAGATTTTCAGTGCCCTTAGCCCAAGTACAAAATGTAAAATCTGTTGGTCAGTCTTTCCCAATTTTAAGAATTATTTTTCACCTGAAATATAAGAACACACCTTTCAAAAGTTTTAATTGAACTTACAGATCATTAAGATACACAATAGTGTATCATTGGCTCTACTAACACTAATTTGGTTACCCATGAAATCTGATGAGTCAATCAAAGTTTAAAAGTCATCTCCTCAATTTTCATTTGACTTAGATAATTAGGAACATAATCCAGCCAGCCTTTCCAAGTCTCTGAAGGCTGCCTATTTGTCTTTTAAAAGTCAAAAGATATAAACCCCAATAATAGCATTAATTGGTAAGGGAATCAACATTGAGGGAACCCAGTGCTACTCAGCTAATCTTTCAAAAAGGCTTTCAGCAAGGAAGGTAGCATACCCCAGAAGTAGAAATAATTGATCCTGAGCCCACAGGCTAATACCAAGGAGGGAAAGAATTATATTGGTCTACTTGGCTGCTTTAATAAAAGAAAATATAAAGATGAGTAAAGCCTTATTATTTCAGCGTATCTATAGTATATTAAATTACCTTGATATCACAGTTAATGTTATTAAAATTTGAAATTATCTTTTAAATGCATTTTACGGTAAAGGAAAAGAACAAACCATATGACAAATTTTTCCAAAAAATACTTTGACAAAAAAATCTAGAAAAGATTATTTTAACAGCTCTCCTTACATCATAGCCATTTTTCTTGGGGTTTGTACAGGATATTTGTGTTCATTTCTTGGTAATGGGAATATGGATGAACTTATATTTGAATGCTCTTGCACAAATGTCTTAAATTCTATTATTGAAAAATTATAGGTAAAATGCACACATGTGTATTTATTTACTCAATTTAAGAAATATTTACTGGGCAGCTACTGTGTGCCTAGCACTCTTCTAAGTGCTGAAGTCACATTAGTGAACACAACAGATAAAAACCCTGCCCTATGAGAGCTTGTAGTAGAGTGAGATGGTGATAAGTGCTAAGAAAAACAGGTGCTGGAAAGTGTTGTAGTAGGAAAGGGTTAAATTTTAAATAGCAGAGGTCTCCTGGAGAAAGGAACATTTCAGAAACTTGGGGGAGATGTAGTTATCTGGGGAAAAACCATTCTAGGCACAGAGGCAGCAAGCACAAAAGCCCTGAGGCCTATTGACTTAAACGTTTGTACTTTGAACTCTAGTGGTTTGTTTGTTTGTTTGTTTGTTTGTTTTTGAGACAGGTTACCACTCTGTTGCCCAGGCTGGAGTACAGTGCTACAATCTTGGCTCACTGCAACCTCCACCTCCCGGGCTCAAGCAATCCTCCCACCTCTGCCTCCCAAGTAGCTGGGACCACAGGCGCACACCACCACACCCAGTTATTATTTTTATTATTGTATTTTTGGTAGAGACAGGGTTTCACCATGTTACCCAGGCTGGTCTCGAACTCCTGGACTCAAGCAATCCACCCACCTCGGCCTCCCAAAGTGCTGGAATTACAGGCATGAGCCACCACACCCGACCAGAACTCTAGTTTTAATCAAACAGCTCAGTAAAAAATTCACTGATAATGCTGAAGCTCTACTCCCAATATTTTATAATGTAGAAAGCAACTCAAAATAATATCAATAACACACTAATATGTCTACTTTCTTGAAAATATCAGGATTTCCAAATTCTGATAGTTTCTCAGTTTTAAGGCATCCTTCCTTTTTTGTTTGCAAGTTGGAACGGTCAATGGTAAATTTAATGCAGTGTTTTCTTTTTATTAAAAAATAAAATTAATGATATATATCTAAGTTAAATTTAGTCTTAGAATCAAGGATATAAGATACCAGCATGTGCACATTCATATGAGTCTTGCAGCATTGCTAGGAGTTGTGACGTGGCTATGCTTCTTATAATACTGAATTAGAATTCTTGGAAAATTCTAGATAACATGATTATTTCAATTTATGGCTACCAAATTTTAGTAATCCTTAGAAAGCGCTAAGTGGCCTTTAGCTGTATGTTAAGTTAAATATATGAGATTTAATGTCATTTCCCCATAAAAAGCAAAGAACTTGCATTTCTGGATTGATTTGCAGCTTAACGAGAAGGATTTGGTTACCCATCATTGGCCCATACTCAGTACTTAGGAATCACTATAAGGGATGAATCAGAGAGATATTAAGGTCATAGAATCTAGCTGACTAAATATCTGGGAAAGACCGAAAAGGAGGAGTTAAGGATAACTCTCAGGTTTCTGATTTGGGTCACTAAATAGAATTCATAGTTTTGAAGCTGTGCTCTGTGTGTTTGTTTACGCTTACTCTAGCCAAGATGGTCTTTTACTCTGGTCTACACCTTTGGCTTGTGCTATTCCCTGCCATGCCTAAAATGCCCTCTTCTCTGTTTATTTAAATGCTATTCATCCTTTAGTACATAGCTAGAATTCTTTTCTTCCTCTAGGAAGTCTTTTTTATCTACCCCAACTGACATTGACCCACATAAAAAGATGACAGCCAAAGGTCAGGATTCACTTTAGTTCTTCCCTCTTAGCCCTTTTTCTAGCACAACCTTTTATGGCCCTGATGGTGAGTGTGCGAACCTTGTCTTGTATATTTGAGGACGGATGAGATCTAGCTACTATATCATCCCTGACCTTGCATTAGTCAGATATCTTTGAGTCCAAATGGCAATAAGGGAACGAATAGTCATCTCCAAACTCCCCTGCCCCGGAATAGCACCTGTCCTAAATGACCAAGGAAACACTCTACATGTCATTTGTGTGACCATGCTGTCCTTTGGATAGTAAGATTCCAATCTTCCATCAGTAGGGGAAACCTTTTGAACTGTTATTTCCAGCAGTGGTGAAAGGTTGCACTGGAGTGTCTACTCTTTCAACAAATACCATGTATTCATAAATTGCAATACTAGGAGTTTAGTCTCCAGTTTTCAAACACAGGTTTTTTCAGATCTAAAGCTATCTGGAACATGTTGGGATCAAACCAGCAAACTCGGCATCAGCACCACATGCTAACCCACTGAACTTTTAATAATGTGTGAACTTTCTTTAACAGGTCTGAACCATGAGATAGCAATCGATGTTGCTTTCCTACCCATGTATTGTCCAGAAGATATTCGAACATCTCAAATAGACACACTGTTGACCTCCATGAATTACAGCTGTGCATATCCACAGGACACAACTGGAAATGACCGATTGCCAGGTCCAAGAGCGGTTGCAGGTAAAACAATCTCAGTGTTCTTTTCACTCAGAAAAAAAAAAAATTATAAACAGCCCTAGCCTTAAGATTTTATTATGTAAACAGTTTTAGCCTTAAAATTTAGTGTAGTTTTAATTAAAGGGTTATTTGGTAAATGTTCCCCAAGACTTATAAATGAGAATATGTCTTTTAAATAAATTGAATAGCTGTTTCTACTCTAGGCTAGCATTAAGAATATTATCTTATAATACAATACAATTCCAAGTATAATTATTTCATCAGACATAAGTGGTATGCACATGGAACAGTACAAATTCTACTCTTTTCTTCCTTTTTCTCAGGCGACACAATTTGTCCTTTCACCTTGTAATTGCCTGAAATTACAATAACTCTATAGTATAATACAGTAAAATTATTCTCTCTTATAAATGTTTAGTTATTCCAGTGCTATGCAATAAATTTCTTGAGAACTGCTAGGAGCATATGTATTCCCAATAGTGAAACTCTTCAACCAGCTAATTGTTTAGGTTGCTGCATAATATACTGAACTCTAAATTGTCTCTATGTACCTATAAAATTATCTGTCCAATTATAATTACCCCATTCACGTTTTTCTGTTATTTCTAATTCCTAATCATGTGGTAAAGTTTCTAGCAGTTTTCATTGAGCTTATCAGGATATTACATTTAAAATGGCTTTTAAGAAAGGCCTTATTATCTTGGGATTTTGTGGTGGGTCTTTCTAAGCTGATGAAACTCTTGAGTGTATGTTGTTTTTGAACAAGTCTTATGAGCTGTGCCTGATGACAAAGTAATTTGGGGCAGTAACAGTTGCTGCAAATTGAACTTGGGTACCTAATTTTATAAGAGATGATTTTTTTTTTATTTTTCCCACAGTCCATTTTAGAGATGATATACACTTGCCGTATTACTTTCTACATTGGAGCTCCTTAGACTTTCAGTAATTTCACATTTCTTAATTAGTGCCCTAACATGCAGCTTAAATATTTGTGCACTCATGTATGCTCATGTTTCATATAATATCCACTTATGTTACATGTCTTCTGCTGTATGTCTACACTACTATTGATATAAAATACCAGTTCAGTGTTCTCAGCTAATTGTTTAGTGCTAGTGCCAGTATTCTTCCAGTAGTCACTAACATGGTCATATGAAATATACCTGGTACCCTTCTGACAACGCAGGTAATATTTGAAATGTGAAGGACAAGAATCACTAGGGAAGACAAATTAATTGGTAATCACAAACAAAGTGGTTCATTTTGAGAGGAATACCATGTTTTTCATGACATAGCATTAATAATAATATGTATAATATAATAATAATAATAATAATAGTGTTCATTTAACTCTGTACCAAGCACTGTGCCTGGGCATTTTATATGGTACAGCTAATCCTAATAAGAATCTCACAAAGTGAACCTTATTATCCCCTATTTATAGATAACTAGACTGAAAATCAGAGAGATTCACTAGCATGAGTAAGCTAGATTTTGAAACCTGATCCGATTCCAAACTTTTTCTTTCCTTTCATGATTCTCAACTGAAAGATAAAAATAGTTACAAAATGATATAATGCAGTGTCTCATGGTATAATACTAGTGTCATCTTTCAAACATTCTTTATAGTTTCTTTTTTATTACAAAAGCTATACACATTAATAATTTAAAAATTCAAATAGTACACAAAGGTACCAGGTAAAAATGAAAGCTCCCCTCCTTGCCTTCCCAGGTCCAGCCCTTTCCACCAACTCACTCACCTATTCTCAGGAGATAACCAGTATTATTTGAACTCTTTAAGAAATGATTTTTGCTTATGAAAGTATGTATTCTATTGCTCTCTCTCTTTCTCGAATAAATACACAAAAATGGAATTAGTAAACATATGGTTCTATATCCAGCTTTTTCCCTTTGACAGTATGTCTTTGACATATTTCATATTAGTATATAGAAAGCTACCTCATTCTTTTTAATAACTACAAAGTATTCCACTGTGTGGATGTGCCAAAATTTATTTGACCAGTCTCCTACTGGTAGACATTTAGATTGTTTCTAAATGTTTTTGCTATTAACAAACAGTACTGCATGAATATCCATTATGTGTTGTGTGTGTGTCAATAAAATCTTTACACTTGTTTCACTTAAGATAATGACCTCCAGTTCCACCCATGTTCCTGGAAAAGACATAATTTCATTCTTTTTATGGCTAAATAGTATTCCACAGGGCATACTTATACAAGAGATATGTAACTTTGGTAGATACTGTCAAATGGTTCTCTAAAATGGTGATGCTAATTTACACTAGAACCAAAAGCAAGAGTGCCACTTTACTCATGCCCTTGTAAAAACTAGATATTATTGGTCTTACTAATCTATGGTGGATAGATAAGCAAAAATATATATTATTATTTTGATTTGCATTTATCAATTTCTGAGCTTTAAAATCTTAATACATTTCTTGGCCATTTATATGTTTTTTCTTTCTATGCTGGTTTTACCTTTCATTTGTCTCTATTTTTTCTTAATAATTTGTAAGTTCTCTTTGCATATTAAAGAAATTAACCTTTTATCATGTGTTACAAAGATTTTTACCCAGTTTGACATTGTTTCAATGGGATGTTTGTTTTGGTTGTTTAAGTAATTTTACTCATATGTACTCAAATACACTAGACTTTTTATCTTGTAGCTGCTGGTTTTATGTCATACTCAGGCATCACTCAGGTCAAGACTACATTTTTTTGAATTCACTGTCTTTTTCCAGCACTTTTAGAGCTTCACCCATATATACTGATATATTTTTATTGCGATAAAACATACAGGTCAAAATTTACTATTTTAACCATTTTATATGTACTATTCAATGACACTAAGTACATTTACAATGTTGTGCAACCATCACCACTATTCATTTCCAAAACGTTTTCATCATCCCAAACAGAAACTCTGCACCCATTGAACAGTAACTCCCCATTCTCCCCTCTCCCAATCCCTGGGTAACAGCTATTCCACTTTCTGTCTCTAGAAATTTGCCTGTTTTTCATTCCTTTTTGTGGCTATGGCTGAGTGATGGTCTTGGACAAGATCCAGGAGAATTCTCTGAACTACCAGGAAGAAACTCTTGTTTTCTTCCCTTATTTTCTCCCAAAGATACTCTCTCTCTCTCTCTCTCTCTATTCTGAGCCACTTGAAGCTGAGGCTGGAGTGACACAAGCTGCCCTGTAGCCACCACTATGACTGCACTGGGTCAGACCTGAAGCCAGCACCACTCTGAGTCTGGCCCAAGGCCTGCTGTAACCACTCCCTGGCTACCACCTATGTTCGCCTTATGCCCTAGGGCTCTATAGTCAGGCGGTGGCAAAGCCAGACAGGCCTGTGACCTTCCCTTCAGTGCAGCTAGTTCCTCCAGTCCACAAGCAGGTCCAGACGTGCCATCCAGGAGCCAGTGACTAGAGTCAAAAATCTTAGACGTCTACCTGGTATTGTATTGCACTGTAGGTGAGCTGGCTTTCAAACAATACACAGTCCCTCCCCCTCTTTGCTTCCCTTTCCAAAGGCAGGAGGGACCTCATCCATGGCTATCAGCACCACAGGCCTATGGGGAGCACTGCCAGACCTCCACCAATGTTTGCTTAAGACCTATGGGCTCTTCAGTCAGCTTGCGGTGAATGCTGCCTGGCCTGGCACTCACCCTTCAGGGCAGTGGGCTCCCCTCTGGCCCAGGGCAGGTCCAGAAATACCATCTAAGAGCCAAGTCCTGGAATCGGGAACCCCAAGTGCCCACTTGTTGCTCTACCTCCCTGTGGCTGCGCTGGTATCTAACATGCAAGACAAAGTCCCCTTTTCCCTCTGCTTTTCGCAAGTAAATGGAGTCTCACCCCAAAGCCACCACAGCTGAGAATGTGCTGAGTCTTACCTGAAGCCAGCCAGTCTCAGAGTCTCACCCAAGATCCTTGACATAGTACCTGAGGTATCACTGCGGGTTATTCAGGGCCCAAGGGCTCTTCAGTTAGCAGGTGATGAATACTGCCAGGATTGGATCCTTTCCTTCAAGGCACTGGGTTCCCTCCTGGCCTAGAGTGTGTCTAGAAATAACATCTGGGAGCTAAGGCCCGAAACGATGTCTTCACGACTGACTGGTGCCCTATCCTGCTATGCCCTATCTTGCTGTGTCTTCTTTGGAGAAATATCTATTCAAATGCTTTGCCCATTTCTTCCCTCTCCTCTCCTCAAGCAGAAGGAAGGGGCCTCTTTGGGAGCCATGGGCTGTGCAGCCTGGGGTTAAGGGAGGGGTGATGCCAGCACTTCCTTAGACACGCTGGCTGATGTCTCAGTAGGTTGTGTCTCCCCCCCATCCCCCCCCACACACACACACCGCCCCTGGTACACTGTCTCTGAGTCCAGTTCAGCACTAGGACTCTCCTAGGAGCTGCAGTCCTTGTAGCCTAGACTGCCTTTCCAGTTTATTTAGGACCTCAGAGCACTTTAGCTCATGGTGGTGAGGCTTGTGGACTGCTGGGATTAGTGATTCCTTTCTAGCTAGTGCTGGTTTCAATGCTCCATCCATGAGCAGGCATCAGCTGAATTTGGTCCACTTTTGCTTTCTGCTGTAACAAGGGCAGCACTGAGTTCAATGCCTCACAATTGCTGGATCTCCCTCTCCCCAGGGCACAGAAATGCTCTCTGTACCCTGCCATGGCTGCACCGGGGTGGGGGGTGGTATTGGTGATTCAGGAGTGTTTTTTCTACCTCTTCAGTGCCTCTTTCAGTGTTATGAAGTTAAAACCAGGTACTGTGAGTGCTCACCCGACTTTTGATTCACATGAAGGTGTTTTGTGTGTGTGTGTGTGTGTAGATAGTTGTTAAATTAATGTCCTTGCCAGGGGAGGGGTGGGAGACGATTGGTGGAGCCTTCTATTCCGCCCTCCTGCTCTGCCTCCAATCCCTCAACTTGATCTCATTTCCTTTGGATACATACCCAGTAGTGGAATTGCTGGATTAAACGGTTATTCTATGTTTCACTTTTTGAGGAACTGCCAAGCTTTCTCATAGCAGCTGCACTATTTTACATTCCCACCAGCAATGCATGAGGATTCCAGTTTCTCTACTTCTTCACCAGCACTTGTTTTCTGTTTTGTTTTGTTGTTGTTGTTGTTTTAACAACAGCGATCCTAATGGATGTGAAGTGGTATCTCATTGTGGTTTTGATTTGTTTTTCCCTGATTACAAATGATGTGTTAAGCATCTTTTCATGTGCTTGCTGCCCATTCGTATGTCTTCTTTGGAGAAATATCTACTCAAATGCTTTGCCCATTTCTGAATTTGATTTGGGTGATGTTGATATGGCTTCATCTTTACAACTTAAAATTTTAATCCATTTGGAATTTATTTTTGTGTAAAGAATGAGATAGGGATCTTTGGCCAGGCGCGGTGGCTCACGCCTGTACTCCCAGCACTTTGGGAGGCCAAGGCGGGCGGATCACGAGGTTAAGAGATCGAGACCATCCTGGCCAACATGGTGAAACCCCGTCTCTACTAAAAATACAAAAATTAGCCAGACGTGGTGGTGCACGCCTGTAGTCCCAGCTACTCAGGAGGCTGAGGGAGGAGAATTGCTTGAACCCGGGAGGTGGAGGTTGCAGTGAGCCGAGATCTCACCACTGCACTCCAGCCTGGCAACAGAGCGAGACTCCATCTCAAAAAAAAAAAAAAGAGTGAGATAGAGATCCAGCTTCATATTTTTTTCCAAATAGCCATTTATCCCAAGTCATTTATTGAATACTGATTACTGATATGATATCCTACTTGGTGTCATCTTTAACTTTGAAGTCCAAGGATATCATTTTGGAAGTACAGCATGGTATGGAAATGTTTTAACACATCTAAGAAAACAATTTTATTATTCTCTAGGTAATCAAGGTTTCCCTTATTAGTTTCAGAGACAGGAATACCACACTGTATTACAATATCTATAGGACTATGCTCAATTACAAAGCAACTCTAAAGTCACAGACACTTTAACTCAAGAAGTTTATTTCTTGCTCAAGTCTGATGCAATCAGTCATCAGCTCTCTTCCCAACAGCAATTCACGAATCCAGTCTGCTTCCATCTTGTTGCTGCCTAAGCAGGAAAAAATGGCTTCTAGGGTCGTCAAGGCAGAGGAAGAAAGATGAAGGAGATGCTGGCTTTTAATTATGCTGGACCAGAATTGACACATTACTTCTACTTGCATTCTCATTTGCAAGAACTAAGTTACATGATCCCAGCCTAGCTACAAGGGAAGCCAGGACACTGTTTTTTCCTGTGACCAAAGAGAGGAAATGGAGTGGAGAACACATAGTGTTGCCTTTGTCACACTTAACTTATGCATTTGTAAGCTTCCTAAAAATGTATAATTTTTGTAATTCTAGCAATTTAAAATGAACCGAAGAGTAGCTCGTTTTATTAGGTAAAATCTATAGTCCTTTTTAAAGAATTTTTATGATATAAATACTATCCTAATTTCATAATAGGTTTCCTTAAGTAAAGATTATCACTGCTAATATTTAATGAGTGTTTGCTGTGTGTCAACTACCATTCTAAATGCTTTATGTGTATTCAATCCTCAAAATACCCTATGATGTAGGTACTAGATAAGCAAATTGAGGCATAGAGAAGTTGTCATTTGTTCAAAGCATTACACAACTAGGCAGAATTACCTGAACAGCTGAACAGAAGACTTATTTATATTTTATGTTGTGGATAGAAGTAAGTCATTGTTCATAAAAGTCAAAATACGATAACAATTAGAATTATCTGTTATCATCAGATCTCAAGATCTTGAAATCTTTCCAAAGCATCTGGATTAAAGTCCACCCCACTCAAGGCAAAAGAAAATTATATAGTACTACCAGTTGTAATCATTATGATTTAGTGAACTTATACAATTTTAAATCATTAATTAGATCTTTTGATAAGTCTAGCAGAGATGGATTTACTGTGACGCTAATGTAGCCTAAATTTGCACAAATCCCTTCTAAAACCCATTTGGCATTCTTACGTATTTTGTATTTTTTCATTAAAAAGTGCCCCCAAATAGTATACCCTTGGGGTCCCACAAAACCTGGATCTACTACTATATTTTAGCACAGTTTTGTAGAGATGTAGCTCTAGCATAAAAGATTAAAAGCATATGCCTTCATGCCAGCTTGTCTGGATAAGAATCACCATGTGACTTTGCTTGTTACTTAACCTCTAATTGTTTTCATTTTCTTATATTGAAAATAAAGTATTTTTATGCGTAGCCACTAAAGTCTGTGATGCATTATCTTAGCAGTAGTCAGCTAGTGTTTTGACAGTTTCCTTAAACACCTGGAGCCCAGAAATGAAAAAGAAAAAATATATTCTCCCAGTTTTTGTAAATTGACCTGGAGTGGTGGCACTCCTTCGACACTTAGCCAGGCCATTTACAATTCTGCCTTAGCCTTCACTTCCTGCTTGCTCAGAGCATGAAGGTCAGCCACAGATGAGTGATTAGAGTCTTCTCAGCCTTTTTCTGACCATATGTCTGCCCTGGGTATGCATGTGGCCTTCTTGATTCCCCGTTGTACAAAGGAGTTTTTAAAGCCCACTTTACACCACATATATCTTTTCTCAGCTTCTTCCTGCCCAGGATTTTTTGGTTTGCTTCTTGCTTGTCCCAACTTTATAACCTGCCCAGCTGCACTGGCTACTATTTTTGTCTTTAAATGCGTTCAGCAATGCCACCACCAGAAAAGCCATCCCAGCTGTGGGAATGCTCCAAACTGGGTAAAACAAAAGTAAACCCTTGCATCTTCCTTGAGGGAGCTACTGTAAAGATGAGAACACACAACCACATCTTTGAGAATAAGGTCTGCATTGCTCCCTTTGGTACTAGCAACCTGCACCAGAAGTGCAAGCAGCCATCTTCATGACTGCCCCTTATCTGCGGAGTGAGGAGTGATAGGCAGGCAATTTAAAATACCACAGCACACTCTACCCACCGTGTAGCAGTTTATTTCTTTATTAATTTTTCCCTAGTTGCTCTAAGTTTTTGTCTAGATTCTAGAGTTCTGCAAAAGTTGATTCTAAGAGTTTTTGTCAGCTTATAAGATGCTTTATAGAAGGACAGGGCCCTGGAACTCGTTACTCTGCCATGTCACTCACCTGATCCATTTTTTTTTTTTTTTTCTGAGAAGCGAATTGTCTTACTGGAGACCTGATACATTTTTCACAGAGTTTCTCAAGAGTATCCAAAGATAAGTTTTAATTAATAAAGCCACTTTAAAGGAAATACACTTTAAAAGATGCATCAGTTACACATATACACATATGTATACATATATTTATGCGGTAAAATATATAAGGCAAATACAGTTTTGCTTTATGGCTTATAGTTTTACAAAAATATTGATAATTGAATTTCAAAATAGAAAACTTTATCTTTGCATTCCTTTGAAGTATACCAATAAGCTATTTATTTGGAACCTTACAAATGACCTTGAAGATATCTGGATTTATTTTGCTCCACCAAGAACAAAACAAAAACCCGAAAACTAAATGTGGCTTTTGAATACCAGTTCATGCCATGGCAGTTTTGGTGTATCTGTTTGATATGTTCACCTTTATCTGCAGAAGTTGCCATATAATTTTGGTAAATGCATGTAATAAATTGGAGGGAAGAGGGAGAGGATGGGGCACAGTGTTAATATTATAAGAAAAAAATTAACAGCTTATGTGATACTAAAGTCAAGTAAATATTTAACTATTTTACAGTACTTACCATCTGCTTTTTACTTTTAGGTGATATTATAAAAGCAGCAACTGAACTGGATAGAGTGCATATCGTCGGTATCTTGGATATCTGTAATTTGGGTAATAATAAAGTGGAAGTCTATTTGCACAAGATTTATAGTCCAGAGAATACTTCTTAAAAGTTAGCAAATGAAATTATTACAGATTATACGAGTGTACTGCTTTAAAGATATTCCATCATTTTGCTGGTAATTTCAGTAACTGTTTTCAGCAAGAATATTACATGAGCTCTAAAGTTATTAAGCAGTTTTATGTTCGTTTTGTGTTTAGGGAGCTTTTTAAAACACTTCATTTCAGATTCATTATTGAAAAAGGTCATCAAAATAATTTTTGTGTATAAGGGAATTTACCTTGCTTACCTTACTAGTATGACTATTATCTTGACTTCTGGTAATTTATGTTCACTATTCCATTTGTGAAGTGTACTTTCATTCTAAAGCCTCAGTATAAGGCATCCTAACTTACAAGAGTAACTTTCCATGGACATTTAACATCCTTCCAATTTTATTCACATATAATGGGAAATTTTGAATTGCCAGTTTGAAGACTGTTCTCCTAAAGTGTTCAACCTGCACTTCTTACAACCAAGGTAGTTTGTATCATTTTCAAAAGTACACATTATTAGGGTCTAGTTGCCCCTGGTCCTTAGCTTGCTCAGCTGCAAAATAAGCGTGCTAAATTAAATTGTCTTAAGGTTTTTCCACTTCATTTTGTGACTTTGTGTGGTTCGAATTTCTCAGTATTTTAACCAGTGTGTTGATGTTAAAGTCAAAGGCTGCAGTATGTCTATATTCTTGCTGTACTCATTGGTAGTTTCAGTATATGTAATGTGAGTTTAAATAGTGAAATTGTATCTCATATTAACATTTCAAATGCTCATATTGAAAATGGAAAATAGTAAACACGGGAATTGATTTTATTCTGGTTGTCTATAATACTTCATTTTAAATGTAAATGGCCACTCTGCATTTGCAAGGCCCGGTGGTTGACATCTGTGTGGTTTGTTAGATGAGACAAAATGACCATTAAATGAGTTTATAGATTATTCTGTATCAAGATAAATCTGATTCCAGTTAAGCTATAAACTTGTGGGATTTTCTTGTAGCCCTATAGTTCTGTGACTTCATTTGCTATACGCTTTAAATGTGTTGAGCAGCCTATGAACCTAAAGACATACTGCAGTTTGTTCATAAATGTATTCAGTCTTTTATTCTTTATAATTGTGTGTAAATGTTAACTAAACAGTGGATTCCTCTCGTGTTACAGTTTTGAGTGAATTATTAAAGAAGTTAAAATGCAATAACTTTTTGGTCTCCTGTCTCATTTTGAATGAATTTGATGTGTTTCCTTCATATTTTTGGCCTAAATATATACTTACTAAATGAGCCAAGATGATTCTTCCATATGGGTTTAAAGACTGTTGTCAAAACAAATCTGAACTATATTAGCTTTTTGAAAAATTATATGCACATTTTCAGTGAAAATCAAGCAATATCCCTAAAAGAACTCAAGTAACTCTGATGTTATTCTAAGGTTATTGTACCTGACTTCTAGTAGCTTGAGACCTAGAAGTTGCCCCTAACAAGGTTTTAATATCTATTTTGTAGATGGGGAACTGAAAAAGACTAAATGACTTAATGTAAATTAGTAAAGACAATTTAATGGTAAGGTCAAGCTTATATTCCAAAGTCTATTTCTTTAAACTCTAATTAGAGCAAAAAGTAAAATGTTTGAGGCTGGGTGTGGTGGTTCACGCCTGTAATCCCAGCACTTTGGGAGGCCAAGATGAGTGGATTGCTTGAGCTTAAGAGCTCGAGACCAGCCTGGGCAACATGGTAAGACCCCTGCATCTAAAAAAATAGAAAAAGTAAAATGTTTAAATAATAATACAATTTCTATTAGTATATTAGATCACTACACAATAAATTCTATGTCTTGGGGCTCATGAAATAATGAGCTAAATCATTGCAGCTTATATTCAAATCTTCGAGTGTCCACTCCATGCCTAGCACTGGGCTAGCACTAGGAACACAATACAATACAAACAAAAATAAACAAGGCCCCTATTCTCATGGAACTTAAAAGTCTCATGGAGGAGAAACACATCCAAATAATTGCACAAATAAGTGAGACAAATGTGTCAATGGAAACATGTGATTTATATTAGAGCTTTTTAACAAAGTGGGGGGCACTAGGAAAGTTTTTCCTGAGGAAGTAAACTTGAGGTATAAAGGACATGCAGCAAAAGGTGTGTTTGAGAATTGAATAAGGACTGATATGGCTGGAGTGCAGAAAGTGAGATACAAGATGAGACAGGCAAATAGACAAGAGCTCTTACAGACTATGCCGTCTTATAGGCTATGGCAAAGACTTTAGAAGTTTGTATCTTTAAAGCACTGGGAAGCCACTGAAAGATTTGTGGCTAGTATATGCCATGATTCAATTCCTGTTTTAGAATGGTCACTGTCTGCTGGAAGGAGAACGGATTATAAGGAGATTGGCAGAGACTGCTATAATAGATGTACCCTAATACCTGTTCTCTTCTTCTATAGTAATAGATCTCCCAATATTTATCTGGGAACAAAGCTACCTAGAATAAAGAATACCTTGCTCTGCTTCCTTTGTAGCTAAGTAGGCCCTATGACCAAGTCCTGACCAATGGGAGTGAGCATATGTGATATGTACAATTTTGGAACCATTCCCTCAAAGGTTAAGAGGGAATGTTTTATTTCCGTCCACCCTCCACTTCCTGCTAGCTATAAAGTGAGCATAGTCATGAGACATTGTGGATCACGCAGAGAAGAGCAACACCCTAGGGATGGCAGAGCAACCAGCTATTAGGAGCCAAGGTCCTGTCATTGTGGAGCTGCCATACCAGCTTTGCACACTGCTTACCACAGTTTTGGCTGTTACATGAGACAAAAAATAAAATTCTGTTTTCTTTAAGTCACTATTATTTTGAGTATCTGAACAGAAGTTAAACCTGTATTCTACAAATGTAGGAGGCAAAGGTGAAAGCAAGGAGACCAGCTAGGTAACAAATAATATTGAGAGAGGTAGATATATTCAATATAAATTTTAAAGGTAACATTAAAATGCAGATTTTGTTACAGTTAAAATATAGATTTTTAAATGTAATAAGTACTTTCATTCAGGTACTTAATATTAAGTACAAGTAGTTGAAAAGGTCTAGTAATGTTAAATTTTGACAGCAATATATAGTAGTGGTTCTAAAACTTAGCTTCATATTGGTATCACCTAGAAAGCTTCATAATTACTGTGCCTGAGATGCACCTCTAATTGGGGTGTGGCCTGGGCACTGGAGTAGCTAAAAGGTCCCCAGGTGATTTTAATGTGCAAATAACTTTGCAAATCATTGGTATATAGTACTGTTTCAAGCATTTGTTAGTTTTATTAGAGCTCAAGTGTCACACAATGCTTTAAACTCACCTCCTATTTAGGCTCTGTAATTTCATGTACTATTAATGCAGCTTTATTATGAATTGTGCTGCTGGGAAGGAAAACATTAGAAATTGGTAATTTGTAAACAACTTTTTCACAGAGCTCTAGTGCGTTTCATTTGGAAAAGGCCTTATAGATAAATCCTAGTCTAACCTTGTTTATTGTGCAAATGAAGTAAAGGGCCCAGAGAGATTTTTATTTTCCCAAGGATGTGATACTAGTTATTGCAGAGTTGGCACTTGTGGAAAGTTTTGGGTTGTGAGATGCTCCATAAATGTTCAGAGTACCACTTAAAGTAAAAGTAAACATCAAACATTTATAGATTGGAAGTTGAGGCACAATGAGTTTAAAATGAAATGGCAGCAACTTATTTGTCAAAACCAGAACTAGATCCAGTTACTATACATCATGTAGAAGTTGTATGATCTAAAGTTCTTAAACTTGAAAGTGCATAGAAATTACCTGGAGAGCTTATTTAAAAAGCAAGTTCCTAGGTTTCCCCTCAGATTTTGATTCAAGATGATGGAGGGTGGGACCCAAGAACCTTCATTTTAGTAAGCTTCCAAGGGATCCTAATGTAGGTGTTCCACAGACAAACTAAAAACACTGAATAAGCACTTAGACCATTCACCTTCCAGCAAATTATCTTGAGTTAAAAAAAAAGAAAGAAAATTGTATTGATGGGTATTTATTATTTTAGGACTAATTCTACTCAACTGCAAATTTTTAAAAACAATTTAAAATTGTATTTGCAAGTTATGACTCTCTGAAAACCATAAAAGGAAAATGTAAAAGCACTTATGTGCATTATATATGACGATGGTTACCATAACGTCATGTACTTCAGGCGGAAGCAGAGCAAGATGGTCAAAAAGAAGATTCCACCAATT
Organism: Homo sapiens; assembly: GCF_000001405.40. Lineage (NCBI taxonomy): Eukaryota > Metazoa > Chordata > Mammalia > Primates > Hominidae > Homo > Homo sapiens. Next base: position 106,682,492 of record NC_000023.11, read on the forward strand.
GTACGCACAACAGTAACACAAAATTGAACAACTATCCACACAAAAACACCTTTATAGGAACAAAAAATCAGGCGAGTGATCACAGTACCTGGTTTTAACATATTAAGGAAGGAGGCACTGAAGAGGGTAGAAAAGACAGTCTTGAATTGCCTACACCACCCATCCACCAGCAGCAACCACGTAGTGTGGACAGAGAATCTGTGTGCATGGGGGAGGGAGAGTGCAGTGATTGTGGGACTTTGCATCGGAACTCAGTGCTGCCCTGTCACAGAAGAAAGCAACACAGGGCAGAATTCAGCCAGTGCTCACAGAGGGAGCATTTAGAACAGCCCTAGCCAGGGGGAATCCTCCATCCCAGTGGTAGGAACCTGAGTTCCAGCAAGCCCCACCACCACAGGCTGAAGTTCTCTGGGGTCCTAAATAAATGAAAGGCAGTCTACACCACAAGGACTGCAATTCCTGGGCAAGCAACAGTGCTGTGCAGGGCTCACAGGCAGTGAGACACTGGCTAAGGCAGCCAAGGGAGTGCTTGCATCACCCCTCCCCCAACCTTAGGCAGTGCAGCTTACAGCTCCAGGAGAGACTCCTTCCTTCTGCTTAAGGAGAGGAGAGGGGAGACTAAAGAGGACTTTGTCTTGCAACTTGGATACTAGTTCAGTCAAAGTAGGATAAGGCACTGGGCAGAGTGCTGAGGCTTCCATTCCAGGTCTCAGCTACCAGATGACATTTCTAGACACACCCTGGGCCAGACGATAACCTGCTGCCTAGAAGGGAAAGACACTGTGCTAGCAGGATTTATCACCTGCTGACTAAAGAGGTCTTGGGTCCTGAATAATCAGCAGTGGTAGCCAGGCAGTACTCACTGTGGGCCATGGGTGAGACTCAGAGACATGCTGGCTTCAGGTGTGACCCAGCACATTCCCAGCTGTGGTGGCTACAGGGAGAGACTCTTTCTGCTTGAGGAAAGGAGAGGGAAGAGTAAAGGGACTTTGTCTTGCAGCTTGGGCACCAGCTCAGCCACATTGGGGTAGAGCACCAAGCAGGCTTCTAGAGTTCCTGATACCAGGCCTTTGCTCCTGGATGGTATTTCTGGACCTTCCCTGGGTCAGAGGGGAGCCAGTGCCCTTAAGGGAGAGACCCAGACCTGGAAGCATTCACCACAGGCTGACAGAAGAACCCTTGGCAGTTAAACATCAGCGGTAGCCAGGCAGTACTTGCCACAGCCTGGGGTGGTGATGGCCACAGGAAAAAATTCCTCCACTTGAGAGAAGTGGAGGAAAGGGTAGAAAAGATTTGGTCTTGCAACTTGGGTACCACATCAGCTTCAGTAGAATAGAGTACTGGGTAGATTCCTAAGGTCCCAATCCCAGCCCTTGGCTCCTGGATAGCATCTCTGGACCCTCCCAGGATTGGGTGAGGAACTTGCCACCCTGAAGGGAAGGACATAAGCCTGGTTGCATTTGCCACTTGTTAATTGTAAAGCCGTAGGGCCTTGAGTAAACATAGGTGGCCGCCAGGAATGGTCACCATGGGTCTTGGGCAAAACCCAGTGCTGTTTGCTTCAGATCTGACCCAGCACATTTCCAATGGTGGTGGGAACAGGGGTACTTGTATCAACCCTCACTCAGCTCTAGGAGGTTCAGCACAGAGAGAGAGATTCTGTTTGTTTGGGAGAAAGTAAGGGAAGACAACAAGAGTCTCTGCCTGGTAATCCAGGGAATTCTTTTAGATCTTACCCAAGACCACCAAGGCGGTAACTCTGTGTGTCTACAAGAGACACAGAATTACTGGGTTTGGAGTGCCCCGTAATGAAGATATGGCTGCAGGGACCAAAGACTTACACCACAATACCTAAGTCCCTTTAAAGACTTGGCAAGCTTCCTTAAGCAGGATGCGTACAAACAAGCCCAGACAGTAAAGACTGCAATAAGTACCTATCCCTTCAATTTCCAAAGTCCACAAGCATCAACGCCATCCAAGCAAACATTACCTCACCAAATGAACTAAACAAGGCACCAGTGACCAATCCTGAAGAGACAGATATATGTGATATTTCAGGCAAAGAAGTCAAATGAGCTGTTTTGAGGAAGCTCAAAGAAATTCAAAGTAACATGGAGAAGGATTTCAGAATCCTATCAGATAAATTTAACAAAGAGATTGAAATAATTTTAAAAGAAGCTGAAATTCTGGAGCTAAGAAATGCAAATGACATACTGAAGGATGCATCAGAGTCTCTCAACAACAACAAAAAGATCAAGCAGAAGAAAGAATTAGTGAGCTTGAAGACAGCCTATATGAAAATACAAAGAGAAGATAAAAGAAAAAAAGAATAAAAAAGAGTGAAACACACCTACAAGATCTAGAAAATAGCATCAGAAGGGCAAATCTAAGAGTTATAGGTCTTAAAAAGGAAGTAGAGAGATCAGGGTGGAAAGTTTATTCAAAGGAATAATAATAGAGAACTTCCCAAACCTAGAGAAAGATAGGAATATTCAAGTACAAGAAAATTATAGAACACCAACCAGATTTAACCCAAAGAAGACTACCTCAACGCATTAAGTAATAAATTTCCAAAGGTCAAGGATAAAGAAAGGATCCTACAAGCAGTAAGAGAAAATAAACAACTAACATACCAAGGAGCTCCAATATGCCTGGCAGCAAACTTTTCAGTGGAAACCTTACAAGCCAGGAGAGAGTAGCATGACATATTTAAAGTACTGAAGGAAAGAAACTTTCATCCTAGAATAGACTATCCAGATAAAATATTCTTAAAACATGAAGGAGAAATAAAGACTTTCCCAAACAAACGGAAGCTGAGGGACTTCATTGACACCAGACCTGTCCTGTGAAAAATGCTACAGGGAGTTCTTCAATCCAAAAGAAAAGGATGTTAATGAGTCATAAGAAATCATCTGAAGAGACAAAACTCACTGGTAATAGTAAGTACACAGAAAAACACAAAATATTATAACACTGTATTTGTGGTATCTAAACTACATATATCTTGAGTAGAAAGACTAAGAGATGAACCTACCAAAAATAAAAACTACAACAACTTTTCAAGAAATAGATAGTATAATAAAATATAAATAGAAAAAACAAAAAGTTAAAACATGGGAGGATGAAGTTAAAGTATAGAGTTTTATCAGTTTTCTCTTTGCTTGTTTGTTTGTTTATTTATGCAATCAGTGTTAAGTAGTTATCAGTTTAAAATAATTAGTTATAAAATATCATTTGCAAGCCTCGTGGCAACCTCAAATTAAAAAACCTACAACAAGTACACAAAAAATAAAAATCAAGAAGTCATAACACCAGAGAAAATCACCTTTACTAAAGGGAACACAGCAATGAAGGAAAGAAGGAAGAGAAGACCACAAAACAACCAGAAAACAAATAACTAAGTGTCAAGAGTAAGCCCTTAATTATCAATAATAAGATTGAATATAAATGAACTGAACTTTCCAATCAAGAGATAGACAATGGCTGAATGGATGAAACAAAAAACAAGACCCGATTATCTGCTATCTATGAAAAACACACTTTACCTCTAAAGACACATGTAGACTGAAAATAAAGGGATAGAAAAATATATTCCCTGCCAAAGGAAACCCAAAAAAGAGCAGGAGTAGCTATCCTTACATTAGACAAAATATATTTCAAGACAAAAATTGTAAGAAGAGACAGAGATCATTACATAATGATAAAGGGGTCAATTCAGAAAGAGGATATAACAATTGTAAATGTATATGCACCCAACACTAGAGTATCTAGATATATAAAATAAATATTATTAGAGCTAAAGACAGAAAGACCTCAAAAAATAATAGCTAGAGGCTTCAACACCCTACATTCAGCATTAGACAGATCTTCCAGGCAGAAAATCAACAAAGAAACATTGAACTTAATCTGCACTATAGACCAAATGGACCTAATAGATACTTACAGGACATTTCATCCAATGGCTGCAGAATACACATTCTTCTCCTCACCACGTGGATCGTTCTCAATGATAGACCATATATTAGTCCACAAAACAAGTTTTTAAAATTCAAAAAATAATGAAATTATATCAAATATATTTTCTGCCCACAATAGAATAAAACTAGATATCAGTAACAAGAGGAATTTTTGAAACTATACAATCATATAGAAATTAAATAATATGCTCCTGAATGACCCATGGGTCAATGAAGAAACTGAGAACAAAACGAAAAATGTATTGAAACAAATGATAATAGAAATACAACATATCAAAATGTATCATATACAGCAAAAGCAGTGCTAAGAGGAAAGTTTATAGCAGTAAGCACCTACATTTTAAAAGTAGGAAAACTTCAAATAAACAACCTAACAATACATCTTAAAGAACTAGAAAAGCAAGAGCAAACAAAATCTGAAATTGGTACAGAAAAGTAATAAAGATCAGAGCAGAAATAAATGAAAATGAAATTTACAGAAATACGAAACATCAATGAAACAAAAACTCGTTTTTTTCAAAAGATAAATAAAATTGACAAATCTTTAGCTAAACTAGCTAAGAAAAAAAGAGGGAAGATACAAATAAATAAAATCAGAGGTGAAAATAGGAAACATTTCAACTGATACTACAGAAATTTGAAGGATCATTTAAGGCTGCTATGAGCAATTATATGCCAATAAATTGGAAAACTTAGAAGAAATGGCTAAATTCCTAGACTTATACGACCTTCCAACATTGAACAATGAAGAAATCCAAAACCTTAACAGGCCAATAACAAGTAACGAGACCTAAGCCATAATAAAAATTTTCCCAGTAAAGGAAAACAGGAGACCAAATGGTTTCACTGCTGAGTTCTACCAAATATTTAAGAAGAACTAATACCAATTCTACTCAAACTATTCCATAAAACAGAGAAAGAGGGAATACTTCCAAACTCCTATGAGGTCAGTATTAACTTGATACCAAAACCAGGGAAAGATAAATCAACAAAAAGAAAACTACAGGTCAATATCCCTGATATATATTGATGCAAAAATCCTCAACAAAATACTAGCAAACCAAATTTAACAACACATTAAAAAGTTCACTCATCATGACTAAGAGGGATTTATCCCAAGGATGCAAGGATGGCTCAACACACAAAAGTCAATCAATGTGATACATCATATCAACAGAATAAAGGACAAAAACCACATGATCATTTCAATTGATGCTGAAAAACATTATGATAAAGTTCACATCGCTTCATGATAAAAACCCTCAGAGAACTGCATATAGAAAGAACATACCTCAACACAATAAAAGCTATATATAACAGACCCATTGCAAGTATCATGTTGAATGGGGAAAAACTGAAAGTATTTCCTCTAAGATCTGGAACATGACAAGGATGCCCACTTTCACCATTATTCAACATTGTACTGAGAATCCTACCTAAAACAATCAGACAAGAGAAAGAAATAAAGGGCATTTAAATTGGCAAGGAAAAAGTCAAATTATCCTTCTTTGCTGATGATATGATCTTGTAGTAGGAAAATCTAAAGATTCCACCGAAAACTACTAGAACAGATAAATAAATTCAGTAACGTTGCAGGATACAAAATCAACATAAAAAAGTTAGTAGCATTTCTATATGCTGATAGCAAACAATCTGAAAAGGAGACCAAAAAATTTATTCCACTTAGCAAAGCTAAAAACAAAATAAAATACAGAGGAGTAAACTTAATCAAAGAAATAAAATACCTCTAAAATGAAAACTATAAAACATTGACTCAAGAAATTGAAGAGGCCAAAAAAAAAGAAAAGATAGTCCATGTTTATGGATTGGAAGAACCAATATTGTTAAAATGTCCACAATACCCAAAGCGATCTATGGGATTCAACACAATCCCTACTAAAATACCAATGACATTCTTCACAAAGAGAAAATGAAAATTCCTAATATTTATATAAAACCCCACAAGATTCAGAATAGCCAAAGTGATCATGAACAAAAAGAACAAAACTGGCGGAATCACATTACCTGACTTCAAATTGTACTACACAGCTATAGTATCCAGAACAGCATGGCACTGGTATGAAAACAGACACAGAGACCAAAGGAACAGAATAGACAAACCAGAAATAAATCCATACATCTAAAGTGAACTCATTTTCAACAAATATGCCAAGAACCTACATTGGGGAATGGACAGTCTCTTCAATAAATGGTGATGGGAAAACTGGATATCCATACGCAGAGGAATAAAACTAGACCCTATCTCTCACCATATACAAAAATCAAATCAAAATCAATTAAAGACTTAAATCTAAGACTTCAAACTCTGAAACTACTGCAAGAAAACATTGGGGAAACTCTCCAGGTCATTGGACAGGGCAAAGATTTCTTCAGTAATACTCTACAAGCACAGGCAATCAAATAAAAAATGGACAAATGAGTTCACATCAAGTTAAAAAGCTTCTGCACAGCAAAGGAAGCAATCAACAAAGTGAAGAGACAATTCACAAAATGGGAGAAAATATTTGCAAACTATTCATCTATAAACTAGGGATTAATAACCAAAATATATAAGGAACACAAGCAACTTACAGGACAAAATCTAATAATCCAATCAAAATGGGCAAAAGATCTGATAAAAGATTTCTCAAAAGAAGACATACAAATGGCAAGCAGATTCACGAAAATGTGCTCAACATCACTGATCATCAGAGAAATACAAAACAAAGCTACAATGAGATATCATCTTACCCCAGTTAAAATGGCTTTTATCCAAAAGACAGGCAATAATTAATACTGATGAGGATGTGGAGAAAAGAGAACTTTCATATAATGTTGGTAGAAATGTAAACTGATACAACTACTATAGAGAACAGTTTGGAGGTTACTCAAAAAACTAAACTAGAACTGCCATAAGATCCAGCAATCCCACTGTTAGGTCTACATACAAAAGAAAGGAACTCAACATATCGAAGATATATCTATACCCCTATGTTTATTGCAGCACTATTCACAATAACCATGATTTGGAATCAACTTAAGCGTCCATCAACAGACGAATGAATAAAGAAAATGTGGTATATGTACATAATAGAGCACTATTTGGCCATAAAAAAGAATAAGATTCTGTCATTTGCAACAACATAGGTAGAACTGGAGATCATCATGTTAAGTGAAATAAGCCAGGCACAGAAAGACAAACTTTGCATGTTCTCACTTATTTGTGGAAGATAAAAATTAAAACAATTGAATTCATGGATATAGAAAGATAAAGGTTGGTTACAAGGCCTGCAAGAGTAGTGCAGAGGGAAGAAGCAGGGATGGTTGTTGGGTACAAAAATATAGTTAGATAGAATGAATAAGATCTAGTATTTGATAGCACAACAGAGGAACAATTTGTTGTACATTTACAAATAACCAGAAGAGTATAATTGGATTGTTTATAACACAAAGTGAAGATAAATGCTTGAGGTGATGGATATCCCATTTGCCCTGATGTGATTTTTACACATTGCATGCCTGTATTCAAATATCTCATGTTCCCCATGAATACACCTACCCACACACAAAAATTTTATTTTCAAGTTTAAGTTATGTACTTCAACCTCCAGTGCAATGTAACATAATAGCTTAGGAATGTTCTCTTATTACACCAACACTGGCACAAGATGTTATGGGAAAGTTGTCATTGTTTAAAATTTATTTTATTTGTATTTTTTTAAAATATATATATAGAGAGACGGGGTTTTGTCTTGTTGCCCAGGCTGGTCTCGAACTCCTGAGCTCAAGCAATCCGCCAGCCTCAGCCTCCCAAAGTGCTGGGATTACAGGCATGAGCCACTGCACCCATCCAAGTTGTCCTTTTTTCAGAACTTAATGATTTAACTTGTGCAAAAATATGTCAAGATTTGAAACTAGTATGTTCAGATTATTTAACAGGGAGCCAGTGGTAAAGGCCTGGGTGTGTCTTCCTACCTTTCTCCTTGTTTGTGCATACAATTACACTTCTTTGTAAAGATGCAAAGAAGGCTTGGTTTTATTACCAAAAGAAAGTCATAGTATGCATATTATTCTTTAATTTGCTTTGCTTTCCATGGGTATAAGATCTTTAATAACATGTAATAAAATACCTTTGGGGCATTTGCTACAAATATTTCCCCAATGTATCACTGCCTATTTAAAATAGTTCAATATTGTTGAGTGAGCAAATGTTCCACTTTAATTTTTTCCACTGATATGACAGTCTTTTCCCTTTCACAAGGTTTAATAAATACCCAGGTCTGTGTCTGCTGGTTTTAAAAAATTCTTAATTTTTCAAAAAACATTATTACTTAATCCAACTGTAATTTATTTGGGTGTTTTGTGAGGAGGAAATGAGGAGCAAACTGATTATTTTCCTTCTTTAACTGACTAGCCAATTGTCCCATCACCATTTATTGAATGGTGCCTTCTTGGGTTGTTTTGTTTTGTCTTGTTTTGTTTTTTGAGACAGAGTCACTCTGTCACCCAGGCTGAAGTGCAGTGGTGCAATCTCAGCTCACTGCATCCTCGACCTCCCAGGCTCAAGCAATCCTCCTGCCTCAGCCTCCCGAGTAGCTGGGACCACAGATGCACACCGCCACACCAGCTATTTTTTTTTTGATAGAGATGGGGTTTCATCATGTTGCCCAGTGTGGTCTCAAACTCTAGGGCTCAAGCAATCTGCACGCCTCTACCTCCCAAAATGCTGAGATTACAGGCATGAGCCACTGTGCCTGGCCTTTTTGTATTTTTTATTGATAGATTATAGTTGTGCATATTTATGGGGTACATGTGACATTTTGACACATGCAATGTATATCGATAAAATCAGGGTAATTGGGATATCCATCACCTCAAACATTTATCTTTTCTTTGTGTTGGGATCATTACAATTCTTCTCTTCTAACTGTTTTTGAAATATACCATACACTGTTGCTAACTATATTCACCCTTCTGTACTATCGAATACTAGAACTTCTTCCTTCTAGCTAACTGTATTCTTGTACCCATTAACCAACTTCTCTTCATCCCTCCCTCCTCCTTCCCTTCCCAGCCTCTGGTAACTACCCTGGAGACATGGGAGGAGAAATGAGGCAGGAGAGCTTTTCCTTAGTGTATTTTTATCCTGAATTGTTTCCTGAATACGTAAAATGTGTTAAGATTTTTTAAATGTTCAAAACTTCAACCTATTAAATCCACTGAAAAAAACTGTTAGGATATAATCTTAAACACAGAAAAAGTTATTATAACAAAATGATAATAGCAAAAATATTATTTAAAATTTTGACCAAACAAAAATGGAATGACTAAGTAAACCGAGGTATTTCCATTAATGGAATATCATTTATCCAACAAAGCATTGTCTACAAAGATTATAAGATAAAATATATAATGACTGAGATATTAAATGAAAAACTAATTTAAAAATATATAAATATGATCATGTAACTAAGAAAAAATCCCTACACAAAATAATGAAAAGAAATCTTAAGATAAACAAAGAAATATTATTTTTTAAAATTTGACTTCTAATGGATTTAGGTAACTTCTCATTAATCTGCTTTTAAAGTTTTTCATGAGAAGATTTTTTAAGGAGTAATTTAATTGGCAGAAAAGGATAGATCAAATTTCTGGGATTTTACTAATTATTTAAATGTTGAATGTTGATGTTGAATTTATCACAAAAGACTGTCCATCAGCAATCTCTAAGCTAATGGTTTTGACAACATTTATAATAACAATAATAACATTTCTGTTTTTAGTCTGATAATTTTCTCTGGTGAATACAGGCTTTATTGTGATCCTAAAAACACATCAAAATGATAGGGCTAGTAGCAAAATAATGAACTATTTGTGTTTACTCTTAAATTGACCATAAGCTAATACACAAGACCTTTAATCTTTTCAGTTCAATTATATGAATTATTAGGCTGTTACTAGGTGTATGATGCTAGTAGTACCAGGTACTATGGGAGGGTACGCTAATGAGTAATTGGCAGCTATGATATGATAGCAAGGTTCATATTTGTATTATACATCTGCTGGGATTTATTCAGCAGGTTCTGCTGCTGATTCCCTGAACTCCTTCCCTCTGCTGAGTGGTGTGAACTGTTAATTCTCACCTGCAGGGTCCACTCCAACACTGATATTTCAGATGTTTAAAAGCGGACAAGAAGTAGGGAGAAGAAACAGCTTCATTGACCACCTCCATCAACAACGTCTCCTATTTTTTTATTTTCGGTTGTCCTGTCCCCTTGACTCTAGTAAACCTTCCTGATTCCAGATTACCTGACTTGGACCTTGGACTACCATTGTCCCTACCTTCCTTTTGACCTGGTAGCTTTTTGCTTCCCTGGAAGCCTGATGCCTGTTTGTCTAGTTTGCTGACTCTTGGCCCAGTCAGACTCCTGATATCTCTGTTTGTCTTGTTCGTTCATCTATTCCTTCATCAGCCCTTGGCACACATTGCAATCTCCCCATCCCAGCAATTTTCACAGACCAGTTGACCCCGTAGCGTATGTGTCCTAATGCTCTTAGTGTCCAGTGTGCTCCTGAATAAAAACAGAGCTTGAACTAAAGGAAGCAATGAAACAAATAAAGTTGTCTATACATCTGGGAGAACTAAAAATTTAAAAATGTAAATGTTAAAAATTAAACCTTCAACAACCTTTTTTAGAGTATAACACATGGGGCACAAAAATTAATGGAATGCAGCAACTTGCAGGTATCAATCAATCAACAAATATTTGAGTGCCTGCCATGGGCAAGGCACTATACTTGAAAGGAAAGGAATTCTAGCTACTGAAATATGTTTGTTTTCCAACGAATAAACAAGGTAACAGAGGATATCCCTTGGGGAGCCTGCTAAGAAAACACACACACACACACACACACACACACACACACACACAGAGAGAGAGAGAGAGAGAGAGAGAGAAATTAGAAGAGAAAAAAGCAATAAAATTCATTCTACTAATGCCATAGCAATTAAACTCATGGATCTTAACTTACTCCAGGCTGAACTGGTTGATAGCATATTTCAGCAGGGCTTGGCAAACCAGTTTAGTGTTTTAGATATTCTGAGAGAGGTAACTTTCAGCCTTGTCACGTGGGATTCCCCAGAGTCCAGTTCCTCTTTCCAATCCACTCCATGTTTATGAAAGTGCATTAGTTGGAACAGTAAGAAGAAAAAAAAATGTACTGCAGGAAGTCATCCAATCCTAATAAGTTGACATGTAGAATAAAGTTGATGGTGTTATTTATTACTAAGGTAGTCCTGGTTAAGGGTTACCTGTGTGTACAGCTGGAGGAGGGGCAAGCAAAGGGGAATGTAGATAACTAAAGTGAAATAGAGCTGATGTATCCAGAGGTTATGTTGCTAGAGGTGAGATCAGTTACCTACGTGCAACTGAAATTTCAAACTTCTGTTCAGCAGGGACGTGAGTGGACAATGGTGACTGATAGTTGGAAATATCAGCAAACATCTTAAATTTTATACTCAAATGAATGAGCAATGAACCAGGAGAATAGGTCCAGTTTTTTTTGGCTCCTTGTAATTTTTACCTTTTTACTTAAAATTACAGCATCTTTTTCAATGAGTGCCTATGTGACTGTGACTTATTACAATGAAACCAGCAACTACACTGCAATAGAGACATGTGAATGTGGCGTTTATGGATTAGCTTCACCAGTGGCTAATGCTATGGGAGTGGTAGGCATCCCTAAGAACAATAACTACCAAGCTTGTGACCACAACACTGAGTTTAGTAATACTAAGAAGCCCTGGATTGCGCTGATAGAAAGAGGTAATTGTACATTTTCAGAAAAAATTCAAACAGCGGGCAGAAGAAATGCTGATGCTGTTGTGATTTACAATGCTCCAGAGACTGGCAATCAGACGATACAGATGGCAAATTTTGGTAAGTAATAATTGATTCACAAAGAGAGTTAATGTCCGTTTATCTTAGAATGGTATTTCCATCTAGAACTGGTCTAGGATCTGGCAACAAGGTTGTAAAATAATTTTACTTTAAATTTTCTTGCCTGGCACAACTTGTAATTACTTTATTATTATTTAATATTTTTAATTAATTTGTTCCAAAGACAGTAGCAATTCATGAAGTGATTCCTATTTTCTTTCATGTTTTCTTAGCAATATAAGTTTCCTCAGTGGGCATTATATCGTGAGTTGCTTTTTAATAAACTGTGCCTTTACCTCTAAACATTAAAAAATTTAATTTCATTATTAATTTGCACTTCTCAGTTTGATTTATTTTCTCCTGCAAAAGGGATTGTATGTTTTCAAGTTTGTGAAACTGCAAAACAGTTTCATTATGCTTAAATAATAGCATATTATAAGTGTGTAAAATGTTATAGAAATGAGAACTTGACTCTACTGTATGCTTGTAAGATTTGAATCTTTTTGCGGGACTGATACAAACGAATCTGCAAAAACGTGATATTACCCATTGAAAAGTGTATGGCAGAAATAGGATAACACTGTAATTAACAAAGAAAATAAAGATTTCCCTTAGAAATATTTACTAATGGCTTCTTAAGTAAATAGAAACTTCTAATTTATTAACTTTTTAAAGGAGTTACTTCTGAAAATCACTGGTTTTTATTTATTTAAAAAAACAGTTTCCAAGTAAATAGATTTTTAAACCAATGAAGAAGTAAACTTCTGAACCCCATTTTGTTCACTGTGGATAGGTATGTGTGTTTTTATCAGACTTGGTCTAAAAAAAAAAAGGAATAATTTCAATCAAGGCAAGCGCTGACAGTAAATGAATACAAAATTTTGATAATTGGTGTTATTGCCAAATTTGGCCTCTAAGAAAATTAATGCAAATTAAATTAAACAGATTTTAGAATTATGAAAAGGAGAAAATCAAACTTATGTTAAGAATAGTATGGTGCTTGGAATGTTCCAAGTTGTACACATACAATATCACTGTTTGGTACTAATATTTGAAAACCAAACTGCTTATTTCGCTAAGCATCAAAAAAACAAGTAAGATGAACTTCAGCAGTACAAAATTATTGTAGATGTAACAAAACTCCATGTGCTACCTTTTGTGACACATCCTGGACACTGCAAGAGCTCAGACATTCACATTTTATATTATTTTCTAGCTAAGAGCATTTCATAAGCATTCCCTGCCTGTTCCTGTGTTTTTACGAGTGACTTTCATTTTTGTAGAAAGAAACTAATGCCATTTTCTGATAAAACTTAGGAATTAAATCTGTTCTAAGGAACCAACTTGCTATACATTTAAACTTAGAGATCCTGAATACTCTGGGTTTCCTTTTGCATGAACACATTCTACTTATTCACTCTCCTGCTATTTTTGAAATACAAACAGTATCAAACTAAATAGTAGTCCTGTTTTCAAAACTTTCTTTGCAACCTGTATTAGGGACCAATATCTAGTAGAATGTAGGTACCCTGCCAGTAAATTTGAAATATTTACCAAAGATCACTCACAGTAAATCTCTCCAAAAGAAACATGTGCATAATCATTTGAATATGTGACTCTGAACAGAGTTTTAAAAAGGAGGCAGTTAGACTTATCATTCAATATATACCTCCAATATAACCAAAGACACATGATCAAAAATATTTTAAAGCTACAGTATTGCACCTATTTTAAAATAAACACATTGAAAAAGATAGCATAATGATCATAACTGTGATAGTTAACATTTACTGGCATTTACTATATTTCAGGCACTGTTATAGTGTGTTTATTTAATGAACATTGTTTTTTAACATATGATGATATCAACCCCAAAGAATTAAAACTAAATTTGGAATTTTGCCCTTTTAAGACCTGCCAAATAGTGTGCCATTGGATTTTTTCCTTCCTAGAAATTTCCTTTATATAAAAACTATTCAGTGATGCAGCTGACAAACATAAGGAATCAAGTGTGGATATGAAAACTAGATGACCAGACACTAGATCATTAAAGACTGTCATTATTTTATGCCAACATTTTGTTTGTTGTTGCTGTCTTTTCACTCGTGTTTTGTTTTGTTTTGACACAGAGGATGGGGGAAATCCTCCTACAATAAAGCTCACGATTTCACCTTCTGTCATCTCATCTTGTATTACCCCCTAAAAACCACCTTTTCAGAAAATCACACTGTAGCCCCCTCAGGCCCTTGTACTCTTCTACTCTTCTCTGGCTCCCCCTACCTCTTCATTCCTTCAGTCCCATTATCCTGTACTAGGTCTTACTAAGCACTTCCACAATGTTGTGTCTCTCTGCTTCTTTCTAATGTCAGTGCTCTCCAGCCAAAGACCGCTAGCAACAGACCTGTAGTTTAAAAAGGTAGATTTATTACTTGTTGCAGCAATTGGAAGAGCACACACCATGGAAAACCACAGGGCATCCTACTAAGAGGGTGTTAAAAAGGACTTGCAGGATTTGGGCTTGCTTATGTGTTTTGGGGGAGAGTTGAAGGAAGATGACTGTTAACCAACCATTCTAGTTTGCTTGAGATTGAAGGTTTCTTGGGATATGGGACTCTTAATGTTAAACCAGGAAATTCCTGGGAAAATTGTGACAAGTTGGCCACCCTAGCTGGCTTTGTTCTGAACTTGGAGGCTGCCAGTAAGTTGTAATTCTGTGTTTAGGTTTCTAAATAAACCTTTTTTGTAAGTGGGGAAGACTAGCCCATGGCTAAAGCTGTAATTGGTAAAGAAGCAATAGTTACCCTTATTAGCCAGAATAGAGAGATATTTGGTAGTTACCCTTATTAGCCAGAATAGAGAAATATTTGGTAGTTTTTGTGGCGAGGACACTGTCCATATTTTGTCTGTGTTCAGACCTGATTATGGAGTGGTCTTTTTTGTTTGTTTGTTTTGATCCATCATAGTCACAGATTGACCTTCTCTAATGTTGATGTTCTGTGAGATGGTTTATATTCAACAAGAAAATGTCAAGGCTTAATTGAGAGTGCCAGGCTAGGTCCTAAATATCAGGGGCAACTTGTCTCTTTCTCACTGAAAATCTACTTCACCCACCCTCGTACTGTTGTGCAAATATATTCTCTTCCCCCATGTCCTTTCACATTTCTGTGCCTCCGCATCCCTTATAGGTTGCCTTCAAGGGACCTGATAAGTCTAAGGGATGCTTCCACACTCCTTGCCTCACATGGTTTCATGATTTAAATACAGAATGTCCTTACTCTTGAGTCCAGTCTATTTACAGCCTCCCTACTAAGAGTGTTATTTTTCTGAAGGGGATAATTTCAGTTTGAGAATAGCTTCCACTGAGGAAGAATAGTGTATAGCCTAATAATTGGAGGTAAACTTCTAACTCAGTTTCCCATTGTGCTGTGTCCAGTATCAGTTTCCTAATTTGCTCTTGGAGTTCTCCTTTGGGTTATATTCTGCATTGGTGAGTATATCTCTATCTATCTACACACAAACATATATGTATATATACATATATTTTCATATTCTAGCTTACCAGAAGGAATAATGGGATTTTGACTCGGCATTTTGATGAGGTGGGAAATAAAAGGATATGTTTACCATGTTCTTAAGTAAGTATGTAACTTCCTAACAATCTTTTCCGAGCACTGCAGACATGGCCTTTCAGTTCTATTCTAGAGATGCAAGAAAATTCAGGACTCCTGAGTTATTCAAGCAGAAGACGCGTAACATGTTAAGTACTTGCTTGCTGAGCAGACAGCTTTGGAAGTTAAATATGTTATTTTTAGGTAAAATGTCTTAAGAAATGCTTAGATTTGGATGTAGTTTATATCAGCAAGGTCAGTAATTTGGGAGGGATAAAATGGTTTTTACGTTTTATCATTTCAGCTGTGTCCAACGAAGTGGATTAGAGTCAAGTGTGCGGCATTCAGAATCTCCAAAACTCAACCAATTCCAGAGTAGTGAAGTGCATGAAAAGGAAGGGTTTAATTATAGCAGCAAACTCACATGCTTTATAAAAATGTTTTTCTAGAAGTAAAAGGGGAAATAAAAGCATGGTATATAAATGAAGTGAGAAGATGACAAAAAACTTCGGTAAAACTAACTCAGATATGTACATAAAGAAGAGCTTAATTCAAGAAAACTAATCAGTTGCATTTCAAATGAGCCTCAAATCTGTCTAATTCTGTGCATCTCCAAGACACCACTCACTCTATCTTAGACCTCTACAACAGCTTTCCAGTTGATTTCCCTGCCACTCTTTTCCCCTTCCAAGCCCAATCTCCAGACTGTAAGCCAAAGTGGCTTTTTAGAGAAAATAAATCTCATTCTGTTTAAAATCCTTCCGTGGCTTCCCATGACACTCAGGGTAAATTCAAACTTCTTTCCAAGACTTTATCCAGCTCTGAATCATCTGGCCTACTGCTGTGACCTCATTTCCTCTCACTCCCTCCTCTTCTACTCACTGAACTCTTGCCACACGGGACTCCTTTCAGTGCCTCAATTCCACTAAACATTTCCTTGCCAGACAGCCTGAAAGTAACCCCTGATGCCTTCCTCATCCTCGCTCCCACATCTCATTAAACATAAAGTTCTCTTGATCCTACCTCCAAGCATTTCTTAAGTCCATTCACTTTTTCACCTCTGCTGCCTCCATCCAAGCCCAGGCCAAAATCATCTCTCACCTGGACCACTGCAATAGCTTCTTAAGTGTTCTCTCTTGCTATTCTCGCCCCTCTGTAGCACATAGCAGCCAGAGTGATCCTGTGGAAAATGTAATTCCACCCCAGTTAGAATAAAATCCAGGCCTTGAGCCTAGGCCTACAAGGTTTGATGCTAATCATGTACAATCAGACCTTATCCTATGCCCTTCTGCCCTGCATTACCATGCCTCAGCGACTCTGGTTTTCTCTCTGTTTTTTAACAAAGAGAAATAAGCGCAAGCTTTTGTACTTGCTGCCTCCTCTGCCTGAGTCACTTCTCCTTCATTTTTTTTTCACATAACACTGCCTCCAAAATATAACCATGTCTATCTACTACCACTAGTCTAGTACAGGCTACCGCCAGCTCTCGCACTGACTACTGCAAATAGCCTCCAAACTGGGCTCCCTGCTTCTACTCAACCTACCCCATATATTCTCTACACAGAAGCCAGAGTGATCAAAACATATAGGTCGATCACATCACTCCTCTTCTCAGAACTCCCCAGTGACTTTCCATTGTTCTTCAAATAAAGTCTAAATTTTATCAGGCCTAAAAGGAGTTGCATGATCTGGCCTCTGCCTATCTCTCCAACCTAACAGTCTACTCTTTCCCTCTCCCTCACAATGCTTCAACCACTCTGATCTTCGGACATTTTCTCCAACACGTGAAGCTTTTCCTGCGTGGGACACTTTTTACTTGCTTTGCTCTCTCTCACCACCATCGTTATCACACATAACAGGTACTCCATATACCAGTTTAAATGTTTCTTCTAACGGGTCTCCCTTGACCTTATACATATTATTTTCTATCAAAACCTTCAGGTCGTTCTTGTTAAAATTTATTTTAATGTATATTTTCTTTTTTAATTTATTTTTTAAATTTATTTATTTAATTTTTTTTTTTTGATACGGGTCTTGCTGTGTCACCCAGGCTGGAGTGCAGTGACACAAACAAAGTTCACTGAAGTCTCGAACTCCCTGGGCTCAAGCAATCCTCCTGTCTCAGCCTCCCAAGTAGCTGGGACCACAGGCCTGTGTTATCACACCAGGCAATTTTATTTTATTTTTTTAGAGACAGGGGTCTCACTGTGTTGCCCAGGCTGATCTTGAACTCCTAGTCTCAAGTAATCCTTCTGCCTCGACATCCCAAAGTGCTGGGATTATAGTCGTGAGCCGTCGCACTTGGCCTAATTATTTTCTTACTTGTTTATTATTTGTTTCTCCCACTAGATTGTAAGTTCCAGGAAGACAGAGACCACGTCTGTCATGTTTGCCATTGTATCCATTGTACAGAGCATAGTGCATGGTCTTCACTATTTGCTCAATGAATAAAAGTTTAAGAAGCTACAAAACAATTCTCTTTTATATGTGAAAAGATGGACAAGTTGAAATGAAGTTTGGTAAATTTGGCAAACTATTGTATTTTTTAAATTGTTTTTATTTTTACTGATACAAGTAATAAATGAGTAGTTTCTCCTATAAAAAACACTAACAATATAACTAAAGTCTCCCCTTGACTACCACCCCCAATTCCAGCACCTTTTCAAGAGATAACTATTGCTATTCATTCAGTATGTAACCTTTCAGACTTTTTCTATTCATTTTTGCATATATACGTACAGAAAACACGTAGTCAATTTGTGTTTTATTTTTAATATTAACAAAGTTATTCTGTAGCTTGCTTTAGCTACTCAACAATAGGAACTGGAGTTATGTTCATGTCAGTAAATTTGTATTTAAATCAAATTCATTCTTTTAACTATTGCATTATATTAATATTGCACACACACACATAATTTATTTAACCAGTCCCCTAGCAATGGACATTTGGGTTGTTTTCAGTGCTGCTCTTTTACAAACAATACTTCAGTTAACATAATTATTGCTGATACATAAGAAAGCTATTGATATTGATCTTGTATCACTATTGTTGACCTTGCATCTGACCACCTTGTTGAACTCCTATTAATTTTATTAATTCATCCATTGATTCTCTTGAATTTTCAAGATAAGTGATCATTTTCTCTAGAAAGTTTTGCTTCTTCTTTTATTTTAATTCTACCTCTTAATTTTTCCAATGGTCTTATTCCATTGTCTAGGGCTACAATAGTGATAACAGTATACATCCTTGACTTGTTCTTGACTTTACTAAAAAGTGCTCCCACCGTTCTATCATTGAGTATGTTATTTGATAGAAGCTTCTGGGAGATAGTCTTTATCAAGGTTCAGGACTTCAGTAAGATTTTTTAATTTTGTTATTCTTATGGCTTAACTAGAATATGAATATATATGTATATATGCATATATGTTTGTGTGTCGATAGATACAGATAGAGTCACCATGTAGGATATGCCCAAAAGGGAAATCCAATAGTTTACTGTTAGCTTGGGAGAAATAATAAGGTGGTATACAGAAACAATAGATGATCTCCATAAATTAGGTATGGAAAGAAGAAACAATAGGTAAAAGGGACAATTTTGGGTTATTTTCCAAATACAATTTTATTAGTGCCCTGGATAAAACAATTGAAAAAGAAATTTCATTGTGACTCCGAGTTGAGTGTCAAGTTGTAAGACACAAACAAACAGTAAAAGCATCTTGACAAGTTAGGAAAATTATTTATTAAAAACAAGATGAAGTACCATGGTGAATAGTAAAGAATAATAAATGTAGAGACAGATATAAAATAGAAATATATGGGCAAAAAAGACAGGTTTCTAAGCAAAATATTTGACAACTACATTGTACCACAAGTCAACTAAAGAATGACACAGTTATTTAAAAAATTGACATGATTATGGGATGTATTAGTAAGTATATAACATGTTACGCCTGGAAAATAACTCAGCTATGCTTGGAATTCATGAATCTCTGAAACATCATAAGCTTTTTTTTTTACCTGACTTACAATAACAAATTATTTTAGTACCTCTTTTATGCTTTCACACAAATGCCCAGGTGCCCCCCTCCCCTGGGTACAGGCACATACAAACATAATTGCATAAAAATGTATGTTTATAAGGAAATCAAGATATAGTACCTCTGGGCACCAGTTTCCGGATAAAAACAAAATGAGTAAATTTACTGTGAGCCCTTTCAAGTACATTTCATCTCCCTTTTCTCCATTTTAAAATCAAAGAACATTTTGAAAGCATCTAAACATGTGCCATTTGTTCATTAACATATCCTTTGCTTAACTCTTGGCCTCTTCCTCCTAAATTTTTAATGTTTCATTTATTATGTTATGATTTGCTGCTCAGACATAGATTTCCCCCAGAATTACTTGCAATTATTAGAAAAGAGTGTGTGTGTAAATACACACAGAACAATGCCTGAGCCTATATAAAGTAGGCTACTTCCTCTTAAGTACTCTCTGTCGCTCTCATTTCAGCAGTCCTCAGTTCATAAGTGCTCTTACCCCAGCTACCTCTCTTCCTTCATTCGAAGAGTACATTCCCTAGGCAGCAAGGACATCATATAAACAAATTATATCTGTTTCTGTCTAAACTTGCAAGTTTTATGTGCTACTTATTTAGAAAATTGTTCGATATTCAGGTGCTATTTTGATAAAGTTGGGGGAAAGATTTACTTGTTGCACCTAGAAACAACATGCCTTAAAAGAAAAACAAAACAGATTTCTTACTGGTGATATCAGGACCTTTGACAGAACAGTGGAAGAGTGAATTCCAGGAGATGATGTTTCAGAGTGTCCCTCATCACATCATGCAAGCAACAACCTGTTCCACCTATGCTCAGGACATGCTTTGAGCACACAAATATTCAACAGTATAGTAATGTTAATAGTCATGTAAATATTTAACAATATAGTAATGTTAACTGTAACTTTTTAGAGTTTTAGATGTATATCATATTTTTGCCTAAATTTTTAATGACATATATTCTCAGCATGACCTAGCTAATGACCTCAATATGCAATGATAGTAACACAATGTAGTTAAGTGAATTCGTCTCTAGCAATAATCAATACATTGACATCTCCCCCGTGGAAAGAACAAAGAGAAATGAAAATTTCCTTAATAATTCACTTGCTTTCCATTTATATTTTAAATGACTGTCTCAGCATCATTTCTCATGATAAATTGGAACTCTTTATTTCTTTCAGTAATGTACCTGTTAAAGTATCTGTTTTTCCTTCCCCTTTATGAAGGCAGTTGTTAATTGTAAGTACTCTGTTAACTATGTGCCGAGCATTCTTCTCAGTGTAATCATCCCAACAACTGCTATGAGGTACATAGTGTCAGTATCTCCATTTTATATATAAGAAAACTGAGACACAGAGAGATTGGTTAAATTCGCCATGGTCATACAGCTAGTACGTTTCAAAGCTGAGATTTGAAACCTAATATCCTAATAATTAAGAGTCTGTGCTCTTAATCAGTACACAATACTACCTCTCCAGTGAGCATATACTATGGAAGGCACTGTAAAAAATGGTACAAAAATATCATCATTGCCCTCAAGGAGGGAAATGTAGTCAGGGGACTAATATTTACGCAAGTCATAAAAGGCAGACTAGAAATGTTAAGGTTATTAGAACTGAAGCAATTAAGAAATTGTAAAGGTCAGAGTGTTGGAAGGGTCATCAACATAGAAGGTGATAGCAGAGAAGTCAAAGACCAGTACCGGGAATATGAAAGTGAGAGAGTTATAGGATAACCAGTCAGAAAGTGGGATATTTCTGTTAGGATTTTGGAGGTTTAGCAGATTAGGATGCTGATAATATACAGAGTATGGCCATGGCAGTGGGGTCAATAAAGTGGAATGGCAACAAAAATTCCTGAAGTTAAACCACACTGAGGACAGAATGTTGGGTGATGGAAAGATTTGAGGGTGAAAAGGATGGCTGTGATCCAAATGATAATGTCTTCGATAAATGTGTGAAAATTACTGGGAGGTTGGTCCATGGCCAAGCAGAGAGGAAGGTAATAGAGGTTATTAAAACCAAATGCTGTTGAGTCTCCAAGAAGCAGATTTTGATTCATAAGAGTGGGGGAGTAGGCCGGGCGCGGTGGCTCACGCCTGTAATCCCAGCACTTTGGGGGGCCAAGAAGGGCAGATCACGAGGTCAGGAGATCAAAACCATCCTAGCTAATACGGTGAAACCCCGTCTCTACTAAAAAATACAAAAAAGCCAGGCGTGGTGGCTGGCGCCTGTAGTCCCAGCTACTCGGGAGGCTGAGGTAGGAGAATGGCGTGAACCCGGGAGGCGGAGCTTGCAGTGAGCTGAGATCGCGCCACGCACTCCAGCCTGGGCGACAGAGCGAGACTCTGTCTCAGAAAAAAAAAAAAAAAAAAAAAGAGCTGGGGAGTAGTCTGGAAACAACAATGTGGGAGTGAAGAGACTCCTATTCCTTGAAATATGTGGGGCACGAACAGATGAGCTGCCTTACTGAAAATATCTGAAGGAGAAGTCGTGTCCTCATGATAAGACGGGTTTTGGTTGAGTCAGGAAGCACAGGGAACCCACAGTGAAGAGAAGATGAGGAAAGTATACAAGTTAAACATCTGTCATGTAACCAGAGATCTAGAAGACACATGGAAACTTTTAGGAGAGGAGAAGTAGAAGAAAGTAATGAGTAGTACAGAGAGAGGAGCACAGAAGTGAATAGTAAACAAATTAGCTTCCATTTGGGAAACTAGCTAAGGATGGAATGAATGTGATACCAGGTGGCAATAATGTAAAGATTAGAAACAAAATTCTGGAGTAAATTTGTCTCAGGCAAGTATGGTACTTGGTTTATCAATGTAAAGGGCTGGCATTGTATATGAAATGTAAGAGCATTATTCACAAGGGAGCAGCCACTCTTGAAGGAGCTGGCAAGGGCAGAGCTGAACAGATTAGAGGTGAAAATGTGAATAAATTTAAATCACAAGGGTTTGTTCCTAGAGCTATGATTGTAGATCACAGGGATGGAGAAGCATGTCAATGTTTGGGCAGGGAGGTAGGGTACGGTGGAGGGTAACAAGTGCTAAATGACCTGAATATAAAACTAACCCGCCCTAGGTTTCCAAATGGAACTGCTTTATAGTCTTAATCCAGGTACAAGTTGGTCCTTGACTTGAGTGTCACCTGGGTATCTGGAGGATGTTGCATAAAAATAGGAAATCATTATAAGAAACAAGCACATGAAAAATTATTTGGGGCTCTTTTAATAAATCAAATGGCTGGAAAATGATCTGTTTGTTATGACTAATGCTAATTACCTATCTGCATTGAGGAGATTAGGATTTTAGTAAAAACTGGTAGAAACTTAGTCAAGGCCTTAGGATGTCAAAATTGCAATCATTAAATGCCCGGATACCCTGCATTCCAGAATTGAATTAAATCCAATCAACATTTACTTATGTATATTTTTAGCTTTTAAATGGAATTGTAAATTGAGTTCTTTTCCTCAAAGCAGTCAATTCAGCAGAGGAAGAGAAGTGTACAATCAGTCAAATAGGATGTTTGATATTGTTTTAGCTCTAAAAATGTCAGCATGGACCGAATAACCATTTTTCAGAAATAATTTTTCAACTGATTTTTTTAGCCTCATATAGGATGCAGCCAGCATCTAAATGCTCAGTTAACTTATGTATAGCAAGATTAGCTGCAGTTGGAGGCCACAGTAGTTACATCTGAGAAATGTAGTACCATTTCAACCATACACACAGGCAAATGCTCTTAGAAAATTAGTTTTCTCAAAAAGCCAGGATATGCAAAATGACCATATTTACCAAAGGGCTTTGTGAGGACTCCTTGGAGCAGAACTCAGAGAGAGGTGGGTAAATCACATGTTGGTTAGAAGAAGGAGTGTGATTTGATTGTTTCACAAGGAATACATCTTTCTCACCTGAAAGCTGCTGTTCATTACCTCAATAAGGGCAGCTTAAAGGCTTAAAGAAGGCCTACAGAGAAATACTAGGCCTCTAACCTGATGCATTACCACATGATACCTCCACGACATGGGAGACCAAGGGATGAAGAGAAACCCTAGGGTATGAACCCCTGGGTTGCTATTAATTCTTGTTTACTTGTCCATAGCCTTGGCCAAGGGTAGCTTTGCAGTGTGGCTAGGAGGAAATCTCTTAGGGAGAGCAAGTTCTGGCTGACAATTGGATTTTCCAAATTGGGAATAAAAGAAGGCAAAACTGTGATTTTTGTAAATCTAAAAAACAATGTGGATTTGTTTATACACATTTTATTTGTATCATTTCATGTTAAACCTCAAATAAATGCTTCCTTATGTGAAAAAAAAACAAAAAAAAACAAGGGTTTACTTATTCACTCAACAAATGTTTACTGAGAGCCAAATATTTGTCCTCCCAAGTTTTACATTTCATAGTTCTATCTCTGAAACTTCAAGCATGCATGGCTTCTACCAGAAGCAGTGAGATGTAGTAGTGATTCAAAGCATGGGCTTTGTAGGGGGATAGACCTGGGTTTGAATCCCAGATCTACTGTTTGTTTTCTAGCTGTGTGATCTTGGTCTAGTTACTTAAACACTCTGAATTTCAGTCTTCTTATCTCAGTCATCTCATCTGTAAAATGGGAATACTAGCAATACTACTTTAAACGGCGAAAGATGTATAGGATCTGAAAAGAAATAAGAGTATGTGGTACTACTTTATATAGGGTGGTTGTAAGGATTAAATTACATAATGCATATAAAGAAGGCACTTTGCACAATGTCTATTCTATAGTAGACAGTAAAAACTACGGTAGTAGCAAGATGATGCTCATGAAGTCATCCTTGTTTTCAGTTCACTCTCCCTCTTCTTCACCTGTCTGTGTCTCTTTCCCACTTTAAACTCTTGGGCAAAAATGTTTGTCCTACAAGAAGTCTTTTTTGGCTAACAGTTTATCCTGATATTTCCTTTACTTGGCACCTATTCAAAATTTACATACATAGTTCGGGTCATGCTAATTTTGCCTTTTTGCCTATTTTTATGTATTCTTATGTATTCATTTGTATAATTCCTGAATTCCTAACTATTATAGACTAATAGATTCATAGCTTAAACATTAAAAAATACATAATTTCCATGTACTTCAGAAATCCCTTAAACTAAAACCCTGTCCAGTGGTCATTCACTTACTACTTGAGCACTGTCAGGGACAGAGAGTTCATCATCTCACAAGGCATTTCAGTTCATTGCTGAACAGCTCAAGTTTTTAGAAAGTTATTGTTCAAACTATGCCAAAATGTGCCTTCCTCTAACTTTCACACATTTTTCCTTGTTGTGCTTTCCTGAGCAATATAGGACATATTTTAAGTTGTCTTCTATTTACTTTATATCATCCAGTCAATTACCAATCAGTGGTATTGACATGTTGGCTTTTTTTCTTAACTAATGTTAGAATTTCAATGTTTTTACCACTAAAATAATTATAAATAAATTATTTTTTAAATTTTCTTTTGGTGGGATGGGATATACTCCATCTACTTTTTGAGGATGACTTTACTTTTGTGTCTTGGAGAAGGATTTGGGGGCCAGTCACCTGTGTGATGTGCGGTTTTTTGTGTCTCAGGAGTCCCCCTCCCCAACAATATTCTCCTCCCTATTAGCATGCTGTCTAAAATTTCATCCTTCATTAAAACAGCATTCTTTCAGGTTTTAAAAGCTGTAGGGTCTTTGAGTCCTTGTTAAAAAGGCAAATGGTCCCAGGAAAAAAAAAACACCAACTGAAAAGTACTACTGATAACTTAGCAGGGATTAATTCATTGATGGCAACCTGAGTGTAAAACAGCAGATTGATTGAGGTATGATCTGGAAGCAGTACAACACTGACGGAGATCCAGGGACTTTGTTTCATTCATCTCAGTATAGCACAGTGACTGATTCATATCAGGCCCTCATTGATGAATGAATAAATGAGTGTATGAAAATGAATGAATGAGGCTGGAAAAGTGAGCATCTATCCCCCCAGTCAAATATTTCCTACTTCATAATCTTATCTAGAACCATTTAAGTGTGATAACACCAGAAAGATTGGGGTTCCTCGGCTTGATGACACCATGCTGACTCTTAACAGAGTGTTCTTTTAATCTCTGTCTGCTCTCCCCACAGCTATTTGATGTCTCATCTTTAGCTGGCAGTTGGAGACATGACTTCTTTGTAGGCTGTTTCTATATAAAGCTCTGGCAGTAGGAACTGCCTAGGTTACCAACAGTGATTCACACAGCTACATAAAGTGCTTACACCCACACAGGGTTATGGAGTGAAGGAAACAGATTCCAGTTCAGATCTTGTTTCACTGCACGATATTGTGGAATTAGTTAACATTACTCTCCACTTATCTACATAAGCTATTGTAGATGTAGTGATCTCCATCATACCATGTGAATTTGAGTAGAGTATTAAAAACCTCATTAATTCTCACCAGTGTTTAATCTAAGTTTAAAATGTGGGGTTAGCACTTAGAGGAGTGAGGAGATTATTAAGTGCTTTCAGAGAAAGAAACTCTTTTAAGTAGTATATAGAAGCAACTGTTTTCTGCAAACAATCTTTGCCTATTCAATAAAGCAGATCCAGCAGTGCTTCTTTTTGGCATCATTTTAGTAGCAATTCATTTGTGTTATTATATTACTTGAAAATAATAGGGCTGCATTTTATATTTTTAAAAAACTTTAAGAGGAAGGCCTACCTGACAGAAGTTTTCTTAACAATGGAAGGATATATTTAAAAATACATAAAATGCCTGTTTTAAGGCTATATAGTAATGTAATCAAAGCTAATGAAATATAGAAATCTGCTTCAAAGAATAATGTGATTTGAATTAATACTTCAGTTGCTTTTATGCAAATGAATACTTCCTAAAGCACTAGAAAAATTGTGGGGTCTTTTTTTGTACAAGGTTCCTAGTGCAGAACTTATATACAGTATGAATTTTCTTTATCATGGAATGAGTGCTAACCATTCTCCAAAATAATAAAATATTACTATATTCTATAACTCCAATTATAGAACTTGCCTACTTCAAGCAAGTTTTATTAGTATAGTTTCACTCTATTTGCAAAATAATTTCATAATGAAAGTAGGCTTCTATTTCCTTTATTTTGTATGCTCAGGCTGTACTTCTGACAATGAAAAAAGTTATATCTAAAAGAATATCCCCATTGCTCATTTGTGGATATTGTTCAAATTATTGGATATCCTATTAATACTTCTCTGAAGAAATAGATGTCCACAGCCCATTAATCCTTACTCTATAAATACATAAAATGTTAGCAAACTGATAAATATTGATAAAACTTGTCTCATTCAAGCAATAATACGTTATGAATCTTCTACTTTAGGCTTTCATTTCACTGAACTGTGCCATTTAAATGTAATTATACTTTCATAATATGAAGCTGTGGTGGTTTTGTGTTGTTTTATATTTACTTGGAACATTTTTAACTGTTATAACTTCTTTTTTTTTTTTAGATGGAGTTTCGCTCTTGTTGCCCAGGCTGGAGTGCAACAGCCCAATCTGGGCTCACCGCAACCTCTGCCTCCCGGGTTCAAGAAATTCTCCTGCCTCAGCCTCCCGAGTAGCTGGGATTACAGGCAGATGCCACCATGCCCAACTAATTTCGTATTTTTAATAGAGACGGGGTTTCTCCATGTTGGTCAGGCTGATCTCGAACTCTCGACCTCAGGTGATCCCACCACCTCGGCCTCCCAAAGTGCTGGGATTACAGGTGTGAGCCACTGTGCCCAGCCTGTTTTAACTTCTTATGGGAATATTTTTATTTCCCTACGGTAAGATCTTGGAGATAGTCTATATTTTTTTGAAAGGCTTCCTCAATCACATATCCTATTTGTACTTTAGGGAAAGAAAATATTACTCAGAAGAGAAGGGTAATTTAAGACTTTTACCTTCAGCCAAACAAAATGGCAAAAATGAACAAACACTCCAATGTTCTAAATTTACTTTCATATAAATTTTAAATACTGCATAAATTGTGTTCTGATTCCTGAGAAGCTAAACAGTAAAGTACCATGTTCTACTGAACTATGAAAAAAATAGATAATCTCAATTCCTTTAATATGGTTGTTTTCCTGACCCTGAGTCAGTTTCACCCTTGTCTTTGATATACCACTAGAATTTGTTTTGAACAGAAGGAAAGCAGTGAAGATATACACAACAAAAGGCAAATTTCTAGTCCTCCAAGCACTACTTTTGCACCTGTTATATATTCTGTTAAAATGGTATAAGCAATTATGGATAATACATTAGGAAACTCAGAGAACTACAGTTTATTGAGGATATTGACTTAAATGAGTCAGAAGAATTTTCAATTTGACAAAATTAAAACCTTTTGGAGTTTCAGGGATACGAAAAGCTGATCTGGCTGGGCACTGTGAATCACGCCTGTAATCCCAGCACTTTGGGAGGCTGAGGCGGGCAGATCACTTGAGGTCAGGGGTTTGAGACCAGCCTAGCCAACAAGGTGAAACCCTGTCTCTACTAAAATACAAAAATTAGCAGGGCATGGTGGCAGGCGCCTGTAATCCCGTCTACTGGGGAGGCTGAGGCAGGAGAATTGCTTGAACCCAGGAGGCAGAGGTTGCAGTGAGCCAAGGTGGTGCCACTGCACTCCAGCCTGGACGAAAGTCTGTCAAAAAAAAAAAAAAAAAAAAAAAAAGCTGATCTGGGTGCCTTAGGGAGAAATTCACAAAGAAAATAGCCAACTATATTCTGGCCAATTTAATTTAGAAATAATAGTCTCTCTAGGTTTAGTCTAGCTTCATGATTTGCCTCTTCTGAAGCTATAAGCAGAAATATGTGGTCAACTAAAATGTGATTTATATGTGGACAACATATGCAGCTGAACTGTGCACAACCCCATTTGACTGTGAAGGAAGTTGGTGGGAAAATACTTGTTGAATATTTGCTACTTTACCACACAGGATGTTGAAAAATATTTTGATCCACAGCAAATATAAAAATAATTTTTGCTAAAAAAAATCACTGAATCTAATTCCTCATTTTCAAAACACCCACTTAATTTATAGGAAGATGTGCTTATTTATAGGAGCCAGCCTCTCTCCCCACCTACTCACCGCCTAGCCCCATGGGAGTGGAGGGTTGGAGTGGAAATGCACTTTTGCAAACCCTGCAAAAATCTGAAATTAGTATCCACCCCTTCACAGATATCCTCTTGTGGATGGTAGAATTATTTAGTTGGTTTACATATTTATGGAGCAATCACCAGACAGTAAGATCATTTTGTTTCATAAAACACAGGAAAGTTCCTAAGCACATAACAAAGTTTTCATTTATTTGGATCTCGACGGTTTTTTAAATCTTCCTTTTGAAACTAGCTAAGTGAGCCAGACTTATCCATACCAGAAAAACCTGTGAATATGTATTTAGGATTTATTTATTGCATATCATAGTTAGAGTGCAATTCCTTTTTTCAACCCACTATACAACAGATGACACAGCATTTTTTTGTTCCAACCTTATAAAAGAAAGGCCCAACAGACAGCATGTTGAACATTTTTATGGCTAATTCAAACACTTCAGTACTTGTCTCAAGCACATTTTATTTTGGTTTATTTTTCCATATTTTTTAAATTTTATTTTATTTTAAGTTCCGGGATACATGTGCAGGACATGCACGTTTGGGTAACTTGTTATACTGACATCTGAAATCAAATTTCCAATGTCTTCTGACACCATATGGCAACTGCTTCAATTATGAGAACACCAAGACACTCAGCCAAGGTCAGCCAAATTGATTTGAATAAAACAAAAATCAATCTAATTGATTATTTTAAAACTAAGCATCTTGAAGATGGGAATAAATTCCCAGAATGAATAAGATCAGTAAGTTCATAGAATCTCTTTAGTGGCTACATGCTCATGGGAGTAAGGTGACATACAGAATACAAATATGCTAAGTTTTGCCATTAATTTAATTACCTGCATGTGGCTAGCCCACCGGTGGTGGTTAAATCTCAGGCTAACTTTCTTTGATCACTCAACATACTTCAGAGTCACGTCTTTATATGTCTGAAGAGAATGCCTGCATAAAACAGAATATGAAAATGTGCTGAAAAATGCATTTCAAAGCCAACTTCGAGTGTCTTTTTATTATCTGCTCCTTTGTATCATCTGCATCACTGCTTCCCATCTACTGGTGTCTGTAACTGACTCAATTCCCTTCTAAGGACTAATAAGCAGCAACTCTGAGAAAACTATACATTGCTTTAGGTAGAAAATGAAATTCAATTCAAAAAAGAAAAAAGTTAATTTTAAGATCTCAAGAAGAAAGCCAGTAAAGCAAGGTTATTGTTAATGCTTTAAGCGTATAATTCTTCTAAGAGAAAGATCATTAGAGCTTTGATAAATCACTAACACTTTGAGCATGAGCACCTTCTAATCCTAAATATCTGACAAACTACAATGAACCAGAATGCTACTTTTTGCAAGACAGAAGTTCCCTTATGCATTCTCCACGTTTTTTTCTGCCTACACATCTAAAATGTTACTCAACTCAGCTATTTTTCCCATCATAGTATTTAAAATTTTGCTCTTCCCTCTTAACTGAGTTAAAAGTTAAGTAAAAGGGTTATTTTAATAACCCTTTGCCACAGTTAGTATCATATATGTTTACTAAAATAAAAGATATACTATTTGAACAAAGTCACTGAACATTCCACTTTTAGCCAGTTGTTTTGGTGTTATGTAAATAAGCCTGACTCTTGACTACCTCCTAATATTCTTGAAGTTATGAGTAGATAAAGTTACTTTTTTTTTTTTTTTGAGATGGAGTCTCACTCTGCGGCCCGGGCTGGAAGTGCAGTGGCGCTATCTGGGCTCACTGCAACCTCTGCCTCCTGGGTTCAAACGATTCTCCCGCCTCAGCCACCCCAGTAGCTGGGACTGCAGGTATCCGCCGCTTCGCCCATCTAATTTTTGTATTTTTATTAGAGATGGGATTTCACCATGTTGGCCAGGCTGGTCTCGAACTCCAGAGCTCAAGTCGTCCCCCACCCCCCGCCTTGGGCACCCAAAGTGCTGGGATTACAGGTGTGAGCCGCTGTCCCCAGCCCGATGAAGTTAATTAAAAAAAAAAAATACAAGCAAATCTCAGCCGGGTGCGGTGGCTCACACCTGTAATCCCAGCACTTTGGGAAGCCAAGGCGGGTGGATTGCTTGAGCTTAGGAGTTGGAGACCAACCCGGCCAACAGGGCGAAACCCCGTCTCTACTAAAAATACAAAAATTAGTAGGGCTGGTGGCGCAGCCTGTAGTCCCAGCTACTCGGGAGACTGAGGTGGGAGGATCGCTTGAGCCCATGAGGTGGAGGTTGTAGTGAGCCGAGATCAACCACTGCACTCCAGCCTGGGCAACAGAGTGAGACTCAGTCTCAAAAAATTAATTAAAAGCAAATCTTATTCTGAATGTTCTAGAGAAATGCTGTCCAACAGAACATTTTACAACTATACAAAATTCTATTTCTGTGTTGAATATGTAGCCACGAGCCATCTGTGGCTACTGAGTGCTTGAAATATAGTTAATGCAACTGAAAAACTGAATTTTTCATATAAAAAATGTAAATAACCACATGAGCCTATTGGCTACCATATTGAACAGTATATGAACATGAACATGGGGTCGTTGGATAACTTTCATAAGGTCCATACAACTCCTTGAAATTGTGCACAAAATTGTGTGTGTTGATTTATTTTGTACCTAGGTTTCATCAAATTTTCAGAGGTAACTCTGACCTCAGAAAGGTTAAGAACTACTATAGCAAGGCCGGGCGCGGTGGCTCACGCCTGTAATCCCAGCACTTTGGGAGGCTGAGGCAGGCAGATCAAGAGGTCAGGAGATCGAGACCATCCTGGCTAACATGGTGAAACCCCGTCTCTACTAAAAATACAAAAAAATTAGTCGGGTGGTGGCAGGCACTCCCCAGTAGTCCCAGCTACTGGGGAGGCTGAGGCGGGAGAATGGCGTGAACCCAGGAGGCGGAGCTTGCAGTGAGCCGAGATGGCATCACTGCACTCCAGCCTGGGCGACAGAGTGAGACTCCGTCTCAAAAAAAAAAAAAAAAGAACTACCATAGCAGGAGTACTATGGGCTTTATGTTTCCTGACACAAAGTTAAAACTAGAAACACGGTGATTTTTTTTTATGTTTTAAGAAAATATGCAAATTCTTCAACAAAAATAATTTCCTAAAGTTGAATTCAAATAATGCATTATACAATTCTACAATCAACATGTATTCCTCTTTTTTAAAAAAGAAAAACTTTTTATTTTTTAAAAATGTAGATTTACATGCAGTTGTAAGAAATAGATCTGTGTACCCTTCATCCCTTTACCCAGTTTCCCCCAGTAGTATCACCTCGTATAACGATAGTACAATATCACAACCAGGAAATTGGAGTTGATACAATCCACCCACCTTACTCGAATTTCACTAGTTTTACATGCAATTATATGCATGTTCTGCACAATTTTATCACATGTGTAGGTTCATGTGACTATCACCACAGTTAAGATTCAGAACGATTCCATTGCAACAGAGCTCCTTCGTATTGTCCCTTTATAGCCAAAAGGACCTCCGCCCCGTAACCCCTTATTAACTCTGGGCAACCACTAATCTGCTATTAGTATAATTTTATCACCTCAAAAAATGTTGTATAAATTGAATCTCATTGTATGTAAACTTTTTGGGATTGGCTTTTTTCATTCAGTATAATTCTCGGGAGATTCATCCAGATTGTTGCACATATTAATAGCTCCTTTCTTTCTATTGCTAAGTGATATTCCATGGTATAGATGTACCACAGTTTGTTTTACCATTCACTCACTGAAGGATATTTAGGTTGTTTCCAAGATTTGGCAATTATGAGTGAAGTTGCTATGAAAATTTGTGAATGGCTTTCTGTGAATGTAATTTTTCATTTTTCTGAGATAAAGGTCCATGACTGAAATTGGTGAGTTGGATGTTAGTTTTATAAGAAACTGCCAGACTGTTTTCCAGATTGGCTGTGCCATTTCACATTCCCACCAAAAAAAAATGTACGTATGATCCAGCTTCTCCACATCCTTAACAACATTTGGTGTAGACACATTATTTTTTTTAATTTTAGCCATTCTGGTAGGTATGCAGTGATATCACACTGTGATTTTAATTTGCATTTCCCTAATGGCTAATGACATTTAACATCTTTTCGCGTGCTTATTTTCCATCTGTATTTCCTCTTTGGTGAAATGTTTATTCATGTCTTTTATAATCAGACACAAGCATCCAAAATAGGAAAAAGTTCTTTTTACATAGGAATTCAAATAATCAGTGGATAATATGGTTTTACAAAAGAAAGAAATGCTGTTCAATGGGGATTTTTTTTAATTGGCTATCTGCTAAGACAGATGCCCTAACATTAACTCTTACCCCAGTGAAGATGTTTTTGTGGAGGACTAGGAAAATAGGACCCAGGAACAAAACTTGCCTTTCTGATACCTTGACTGTAGACAGAATTGAGAGAATACAACTGGAGATAAAAGAGAGCTTTTAGCAGGTATCAGATTCAATAATTTCATGAATGCATTTTCTAGCAAGTATCTGTAGTGCAGATATTTTATGTCCTTGGTATGCTTTGGATATATTTAGATGTAGTTTGTTGCCTTGTTTTAGGAGTCCAAGTTGTATACCTACCTGGACAGAGAGCTGTCTACTACAGTTCAGGCAGGGCAACAGAATTACCTGCAGGCTAAACTACTCTTCTCCTCATAAAAGAGATTGAATAAAAAGCCTACAATGACAGTCCACTGCCCAGTGAATCAAGACCAACTCCAAAATATGTTATTCAAGGTCAACAAAGCCCTAACCTACCTTTTCTGCCCAATCTCCCACTACTCCTCCTCTGTACTCTAGCCAAATGAAAATACTGTTTCCCAAATCTGCTCTGCTCTGTCCTGACTCTGAGCTTTTGTTACTGCTATATCCTCTACTGAAATACCTTCCCTCACCATTTGTGTCCATCAAAAATCCCACCTATCCCTCAAGGTCCTGCAGTTATCCATGAAACAGCCCCTACTTCCTTGAGTCAGAGGCAAACATTCCTGCCTCTATTCTAGCACAGGACTTTGTACTCCCTCACAGCACTTATCTCTCTGACCACTCTTTTGTTTAAATACCACACCAACGCAATAACATGGATGAATCTCAACTGCATTTTGCTAAGTGAAAGAAGTCAGACACAAAAAGCTACATGTATATGACAATCCAGAAAAGGCAAAAACCATAGGGAAAGAAAACAACTGAGTAGTTACCAGGGATTAAAAGTGGGAAGGGGTTTTGACTATAAAGGCATAGCATGAGGGAGTTTTTGTGGTAATGAAACCATTCTATATCTTGACTGTGATGGTAGTGGTTAAATGACTGTATATATTTGTAAAAACTTATATAACCATATACTAAAAAGGGTGAATTTTACTCTATGTAAATTATACCTCAACAAAAACGTTAGGAAAAAATCATACCAGCTAGGCAGCAAACTAGATAGCCTGCCCTCAAATTCTTGCCAATCATTTACTTGCACTTCAAGTGATGTGCCAGAGCAAGATCTGTGGCTACAAAAAAGATACATGGTCCCTTCTCTCAAGAAACTGTCTCTAATGAAGGAGATAGGCATGTAAGTAAATAAATGCAATATAGTATGAAAGATGCCATATATATTATGTGTAAAATACAGTGAAGAGGTAAAGGAGGAAGTGGTCAGATTGACTTAGATTGTTGAAGGCCTAGAATTCCAGGTTAAGAAATTTATATATTGCCGGTCACGGTGGCTCATGCTTGTAATCCCAGCACTTTGGGAGGCCGAGGCGGGCAGATCACGAGGTCGGGAGATCGAGACCATCCTGGCTAGCACGGTGAAACCCCGTCTCTACTAAAAATATATAAAAATTAGCCTGGCGTGGTGGCGGGCGCCTGTAGTCCCAGCTACTCAGGAGGCTGAGGCAGGAGAATGGCGTGGACCCGGGAGGCGGAGCTCGCAGTGAGCCGAGATCGCCTCACTGCACTCAAGCCTGGGCGACAGAGCGAGACTCCGTCTCAAAAAAAAAAAAAGAAAGAAAGAAATTTATATTGTATTCAATATGCAATGAAAAGTGACATAATCATAGCTAGGTTTTAGAAAGTATAATCTGGCTGTAATATGAAGGATGATTTGGAATAGGGAAGAGACTAAAATCAATTAGAAGGCTATTTACAATAATCTAAAAAAAATTAATATCACTTCTCTTTTCTAGTAGTAGACAATTGAGATCAGACTGTGCTTTCAATTAAAGCTTATATTGCTGATAATCTAGATATGTGAAAGTAAAAACAAAGAGAGGACCCACAGATCTTTTCTTGATACCGTTAATAGGGTTAACTCTTAATTTAACTTGTCGCATTCATGTTTTTATCTTCCCCAGCAAATTTGTAGGACTTTGTAGACAGCAGAAGCTCTAAGAATGTTTATTCTAATGAATAGAGCAGATGAATTTTATTTTAAATCACTGAAACTCCAAAATAGAAAATTATAATACCTCTATGCCCAATGATAGTTACTGCTTACAATTTTATGTTAGAAATCCCAGAGGGTTAAGGTTGATAAAAATGTTTTGTTCCTTAATTTGTATACTTAATGTAAAGATTAAGTGGGATTCGTCTAGCACATTTTTCCCTAGCAATACTGTTTCATTGAAAGTCTTCTATTCTTTACTTATTCACTGCTACCTATTACAACTTGCAATGAGTGACAAGGGTAAGATTCTGTTGCAAACTGGACAATAGCAGGCAGTATAAATCTACTCTTTAGTAGACTACTCTTAAGCAATTGATTATTGCCTCTGTCTTAGAACTTGGAAACCTCTGCCTAAAATGCCATACATGGGGCATATTGAAAGCACTGACACATGTTAGCCTGCTTACTGGAATGTGTGTACTGAAGAGTTTTTATTCTGTTTTAAATCTAACCAATAGAAGGCCCTAAAACCAGGAGGGAGCTATGCCCTAAACACCGTATAGAGGCCAAACATATGCTCTCATCAGGTCTCTAAATACCTCCATCATCACCTAAGAAAACTAAGACATTTAATGAACTAGTGGGATCATTGAAGATAAACTTAATGAGCCTCTTCTTCAAACAAACAAGAGCTTCAGGGTTTCAATTTCTGCCCTCTTTTTCCCCCTCTCGAAAATCAAACATTGCTGAGCCACTTCCTTGCCTCTGATAAAAGACTTTCTGTGGCTCTAGAGTTGGCAGCATCCAGAATGTTCAACAGTCACAGATTTCTGTGTCTGAACTAGTTTACTATGAAGAAGATAAAATATTTTGATGTTAACTGCACCCAAAGCTACACAGAGACAGCTTAGAAAAAATGTACCTCCCCCCACCCCCCAGCTAATTGGAAGATTGTCAGCTAAGGGAGATGTGATTTTATAGATGCCAGGGTGTGCTCTGATTCAATGCATCTGGGCTTTTTTTTCCTTTTGATGTTCCCGTTAGTATTTTCCCCATTAAAGTTCTTGTACTTTATACTGCATGATTTGTGGTGAAGTCAAAACCGAAGTCATTTTTGTAGCTATAAAATACCTTATTGTTGAAGGCCTGCTTGTTCCTTGCCTGTTTCCTGCTACCAACATAACCGTAACACTTGTCTAATTCTGGTGTGACAGAACTTAATTATTCTGTGAATCATGAGTGGCAAGGCAGCCAATTTCAGTTGTCCCAACTACGTGCTAGCACCTGGTCACTTATTGCCAGATACTTGTTTACTCCGAGTTATTGATCAAGTTTGAGTCCTGTGCAGCTGCCACTAATCCTAATGCATATAGTTGGCAGCTGTGAATTTGTGACTTTGCCCCCTTGGAATACAAAGGCAGCCTTTGCCCACACTCATGAAGGCTTTAACTTCTAAAGGGTAAGTCTTAGCTTAATAGGTGATTGTGATTACATACTACAGTAGAAGGACGTTTATTCATAAATTATTTTTTCAGGAGCCCCAGCCTTATTAGAAATTATCCAGTTAGGTTTCTATCAGAAAAGAATCCCATTGCCTGTAGATTAAAAAAAAAAATTACTGCCCATGGGCATTTTTTTTTTTTTGAAACAGAGTCTCTGTTGCCCTGGCTGGAGTGCAGTGGCATGATCTCAACTCACTTCAACCTCCCCCACCCTGGGTTCAAGTGATTCTCCTGTCTCAGCCTCTCGAGTACCTGGGATTACAGGTGTGCTCCACCACACTCAGCTAATTTTTGTACTTTTAGTAGAAATGGGGTTTCGCCATGTTGGCCAGGCTGGTCTCAAACTCCTGATCTCAGGTGATCCACCTGCCTTAGCCTCCCAAAGTGCTGGGATTACAGGGGTGAGCCACTGCACCTGACCATGGGCACTTTTAATAACTTAATTTCTCCCTAATTTACTAAACTGATTTTATCCATGCCTGACAGGTCCACTTCCTTCTACAGCTCTTCTCTCATTTGTCCTAGGCAATGGCAAGATCATAGATATTTATTTTAGATATACTATCTGATTTGTTAGGCTTTCATCTAATGGAATATTAAGTGATTCAAAATATATCTGTTCAATTTTTTACCAGTAGTATTACTATTTTAGTTGAGAAAGAAGAAACAGAGACTCCCTCAATGTCACATAACCAGTCAACAGCAGAGTTAAAAATAAGAACAGAGACTAAAATAGGGGGGATTCTGTGGATCTAGTATACTGAGTGTCATACTGGATCTGATGAATGGATTGGAAATGAACCTCAAATACGTGGTCATATTTGCAGGGCATAGTTCATTAAAAACATTTTCCTATCCCACTTTCCCCAAATAGTTGTTTTTCTTTCTTTAATAAGATATACAGAAATTCTCTTGTGGTCACAGGTTTAATTCTTTTGGAATCTTCACCTTACTGGAAACCTGAAAAGGAAAGATAGGAGACTGCATGAGACAAGATGTTTCCGAGGTAGGTTTGCCCAATACCAGAGTGGGGAGTAAAGACCACTCATCTCCATAGTTCCTTCCAGCACCTCCCTTGCTCAACTTACCCCCATGCCTTGGGCCTTTCCCCACTCTTTATCCCTCTCCTTCTCAGCAATCTGTGATCCTCTCAATCACCTCCCTAAACTCAAGATAGCTAATTTGATCTCCCAGTAGCAATCAAGTGCATACAATTTAGCTCAAGTTTTCTGCAATGACCTCCACCAACACAATTTCTTTCTTTCTTATTTAAAAATATATATTTTTTATGTTTTGTAGAGACAGGATCTCGCTATGTTGCCCAGGCTGGTCTCAAACTCCTGGGCTCAAGCAACTCTCCTGCCTCAGCCTCTCAAAATGCTGGGATTACAGGCATGAGCCACCACACCCGGCCTCATAATCTCTGTTATCTAGGATTTCTGGGCTGCTCAGCAGGATTCTGGTGAGGGGGTTCTTAGCATGGTAAAATGTGTGGCTGAAGAACACCCATTTTTTCCACCTTGTAATAATGTTCTCCCTATGTATGTGTAGAGGTAGTATAGCAGAATGAAAACAGCATGGAATTTGGAGTCATACATACCCCTGTGTGAATTCCAACCCCACCACCTACCAGCTGTGTGACCTTCAGCAAGATACTTCATTTTTCTGAGTCTCATTTTCCTCATCTGAAAAAATGTAAATTATAATAGGATATCATTACCTGTTGTGAAAATCAAATGATAACATTAATATATGTAAAGTACCTGGCCCATAGTAGGCTCTCAATGGTAGTTATTAAAGTTATGGATATGAAAAGATTGTTCTTAGTTTTAGATACAGCGTATCTACTGTTTGTAAAGCCACTCTCTGTAATTCTGTCCTTTCTTTGGGTGCATGAAAGTTTTGCTTTAAAAAAAGAATCCCTGTTTCCTAATGGTTGTATACTAACTTGAGCTGACCGAGGTTTAATCTTCATTTGCAAGTGACATTATGTTATTTGGAAGTATGCTGTTGGCATCATGCTTTGGCTTTTCATTTTGTTTTGTTGACTGCTTCTTCTCTCCACACACCCACCATTTTCTTCTTGCTATCTACATAGAGCAGCTGCCTGGAGTGGAGATTTATTGTCATCCCTTGTCTACACATTCTCTATACCTATGTTGTCGAGCTGTGTATCCAGCATCACTTAGATGCCAGGATACCGTTTGTCCCAAGTTGTGCTTTGCCATTCATTTAATGGTGAGAAGCCAGATACAGTGTCTCATTCCTTGCAAACATATTAAAAGCTGAACACTATCATCCATCTCAACATCTCTATAGAGTCGGTGTGATGGGAAACTAAATCTGCCACAATGGTTCCCTGCTGTTGCTCCTGCAGAATGCTGCTCTGTTTATCAGTTCATCATTAAATAGTGAAGTGCTCAGGGCAGCTTTCAGTTTAGTATTGCTGATACAAATATTTAGCAGGGTAGGCCTTTGTGGTAGGATTTGAAGAATTCAAAAAGGCTCCTGGCCCATATATATCCTGGCCCATATATATCTCCCTCAATGGTCACAGTGCCTGAAATGCATACAAGAGATATTTCACTTGAACTTTCTCTTTTTGGTATAAAGCAACATCCAAATGCGAATGGCACTCTCCAGAGGGAAAATAGTTAAGTCATTATCAGCTATTAATACTTAAGAGTCAGAACGGCATTGGAATCCTTCTTCTGTTCCTAGCTATATGGATTTTGGCAGGTTGCTGTAATTCTCTCTGGGCCAGTTTTCCCTTCTGTAAAACTGTGGTTAATAATAGATACTTGTGAGGATTAAATGAGATAATGCATGTAAAACATATAGTAAATGCTCAATGAACAGTAGCTGTTATTAGTCTTAGGGAGAGTAGGACTCCGAGGGAATATATTTGGGACTAGTAAATTTGATTTGTCAGATATAAGGTGAAGTCTGGTACAGGGGGACTGCTCAGAGCAAAGGTCCTGGTGGAGTAGTGATATGGCCAGGGAGTAGCATGGAAACTCTGGGGGCCTGGGTTTGGAAGAGGAGGGTGGAAGGAAGAAGAAGGACTGAAACAGGGTGAAACTATACTTAAATTAACTTCCCAACAAGAAAAGTGTAGTCTTACTCAGGATGGGATGCTTGGTGAGGTAGTGAGCTCTGACACTGGGAGTGTTCAAGCAGATGCTGGATGCTAGCTACCTGTCAGGAATACTCTAGTCTACCCTAGGGCTCCTCAAACATATATACATGCAGATCCCCTGGGGATCATGTTAAAAGACAGGTTCCAAGTCAGTTGGTCTGGGTGGAACCTGTGATTCTGCATTTCTAACCAGCTCCCTGATGATGCTGATGCTCCTGATCAACAGACCTCACTCTTGGTAGCAAGGCTCTGTTGTAGTTAGAAAATAACTCACAGTGAAATAGAGGAATACGGTTGGGTAAAACCAGTGGGTTACCCAGGCAAGTCTCCATAGAGTGGAAGTACTTTGTTGCAGTCATGATCTACAATCTGGTTCTTAGCTTTGTAAGCCTCGAAATTTGATTGGTAGTATAACCAGAGACTGGGTTTCTGGGGACTGACTCACACTTAACCAAATTCACGAGAGACCAATATATAAGCCAGAATGCCAGTTGATTAATTTATAATGAGAAGTACAACTTCCAAGTGGACCAGATACTAGTGTTTGCTAATCAGTACATTATCTCCCTGTAGGCATATTTACATGAGGAGCTAACTGATAATAAGTAGGGTTGCTCGGTGAGGATGAACTCAGAGCAAGGGGGGTTCATA
The DNA here is from genome assembly GCF_000001405.40 of Homo sapiens. Lineage (NCBI taxonomy): Eukaryota > Metazoa > Chordata > Mammalia > Primates > Hominidae > Homo > Homo sapiens. Next base: position 106,722,890 of record NC_000023.11, read on the forward strand.
GGATGATTTTAATGACTCACGTTATCAAGCTATGGTAGTCTGATACCTCCATTCCACAAGTGTCTAGACCTCCAGAATAGTTCTGGAGATATTGGCCTCCTCACTAGTCTCTTTTTCATCAGTCTTGTCCTCATACAATCCATATGATCTCTTTAAGTTCAAATCTGGTCATACCATTCATTCGCTCCATTGACTTCAATATAAATTCACAATTTTAAACTCATTATTACAAAATGTTTAAAATACTGTATAAGAAAAGTAGGAAAAAAAGTACAATGAGCACCCATACACCCACCATCTAGATTTATCACTTGTTGTCATTTTGCCATATTTGCTTTATGTATGTGTATACACATGTGCATGCATATTGAGTCCGTACGCTTTAATATAATTTTCTGGCCTGGCGCGGTGGCTCACGCCTGTAATCCCAGCACTTTGGGAGGCCGAGGTGGGCAGATCATGAGGTCAGGAGTTCGAGACCAGCCTGGCCAACATGGTGAAACCCCGTCTCTACTAAAAATACAAAAATTAGCCGGGCATGGTGGCACGCGCCTGTAATTCCAGCTACTTGGGAGGCTGAGGCAGGAGAATCGCTTAAACCTGGGAGGCAGAGGTTGCAGTGAGCCAAGATCATGCCATTGCACTACAGCCTGGGCAACAAGAGCAAAACTCTGTCTAAAATATATATATATATATGTATGTATGTATAATTTTCTAAACTTTTCATGTTCTGGCACAAGTTATTTGACTAGCTTCACTTCCCTTGGCTCCACCTTTGCAACTTTATATCCCAACCATACCGAACTACTGAATGCTAGTTCCCTGAATGTTCTTTGGAGTTCTCATATAATATACTCTTGCCTGTGCCTGAAAATCCTTACTCTCTTTGCTTGGGTCACTCCATTTGTACTTAAAGACTCAGTCACACTTGTCTTGCCCTAGCGCCTTATACTTTTCTCAGTCATAACATGTATTACACTGTACTGTTATTGATAGTTTATCTCTCTGATTGTCTCACTAGACCATGAGCTCATTGAAGGCAAGGGCTGTTTCTTTTGTCTCTCTACACCCCTGTCTCTCCCATGCTTTGCACTTAGTAGGTGTTCAGTGATCGGAAACTCAACTGCCTATCACACAGTTCTACCTGGTTACATCATAGGCACCTCAAAATCGACATATCTAAAGTGAACTCATCTCTCCTTCTACCCATTCTATACATTTAAAACCCTCCTCCTGTATTCCCTGATTGAATGTCATCTAGTCTTCCAAGTCAAAAACCTCAGAGTAATTTCTAACTCCTCCTTCTCTTTCATCCCCCAAACCAAGTCCTGTTGATTCTACCACCAAAGAACATTCCCATTCTGCCCACTTCTCTTCATGTCCACTACCTGTCTATCCAAGCCATCTTCATCTCTCACCTGTAGCACTGCCAACCATCTTCTGTATGGGCTCCCTGCTGCTATTCTCATTCCCTCCAATCTATTATCCACAGAGAAGGATCTCTAAACTTCAGATCTGATTCTATTACTCCCTGATTAAACCCTGATTATATTACTCCTCGTTTTTGGATAAAGTCTAAACTCCCTAGCTTTACCCAAAGGACTCTCAAGAACTGGCCCCCATGTACCTCTCCAACATGATCTGTTACCACCCTCCCTCTGTTACTTTAGGTTCCAACCATTTTGCATTTACTGGGCCTGTAGTAATTGTAGCTTCCTAACATTTCTTTTTCATATTTCAATGCCTTTCCTTGTGTTGTTTTCTGCCTAGAAAAGTTTACTGTCTCAAACTCAGCCCAGGTCTAACCTCCTCTGGGAAGCTTTTCCTTACTTCTCAGTCTGGGTTAGGTGCTTCTCTGTTATCCACTACTACCCTGTCATATCTCCATCATAGTGCTTACACTATATACATATATCACTCTATACTGCACTTTCCATTTTACTTGTCCTTCTCATCAAAACTAATTTATGAGCTTCTTGATAGGAGAGTTGATGTCTTATTTGATTTTGCACCACAATGCTCAGCCCATGGCTTATGGCAGATGTACAACAAATATTTAAGAAAATAATGAATGGAAAAACATTAATAAATGTCTCTCTGAACTTCATTTTTGTAGCTATAAAATACCTTCTTTCTTCTGAACACATTGTTTCTTCAAAGTACAATATAGTTGGCTGTCATTCAGGTAATATCAATTGAATTTTGAATGCTCTTCACCAGCAAAATCAGACAATTTCTGGAATTGTACCATTTCTCAGAGGTGGTTGGTCCTACCCATTTTTCCCCTAGGTAATTTTTATCTCAGAGATTACCATCAGTATTTGGGGGTACCATGCTATTGGTCTCATATACCCACTTTGACCTCTAAAGTCCTTTTCAATACCTAAGAGTATATGTTTCACAAAATTGCACATTTATTTATGTTCTAGGTGTTGTTTGGTATATGATGTTAATTTTCCTCTAGGTTTCTCTCAAGCCATAAGAGTATCAAGTACAGAATTGGTCCATGCTTAATCTTTGTAAATAACATTGATTAAGTAAATGCTGGGCCAGGGATTGAGGGGAGTAATTGATCAGAAATTTAACAAATGTTGAGCTGCATAAAGTAGACTGTATTTATTTGAACTGAAAAAGTGGCTAAGACTGAACATCTTGAACATCATTTTCTCTGATATTACCTCAAATTAAAACTTTAATATTATTTTAGAATTGTGTCTCTGAACCTGTTTAATAATTTTAACATGTTTTTTATATTGCTAAGCATTGTTCTAAGTGCTTTATTACATGTATTAACTCATTTAATCATCTGAAAACTCTGTGAGGTAGGTGCAATTATTATCCCCCTTTTACAGATGATGAGGAAACTGAGCCACAGGGAAGTTCCCCAAGGTCAAAAGTTATTCATAACTATCAGACAGCAGGTATATTAATTCAGCTTAATTCAAGGCTCATTTGTTAACCATCTAGTAAATATAATAGTTGACAGGGTAGACAAAAATTGAATACTTAAGCAAGGATAAATCGTAATGTAATAATGCCATGAGTGAATCGCCTAGGCGAGTCAGGCTCCTTTCAGTTAGTGGGAAATGGAGAAAGATTATGTAGTTAAGGTCATGAATAGCGCAGGAACATCCGCTAGGGTAAGTCAGGTTTGTGAAAAATGCAGAAGAAAGGCTTGGTTCTGAGGTGTGTGAAAACAGTCATTCTTTTGTGAGGACTAAAATTAGTTTTAGAAGAGGCATCTGATGCGGTACATGAAACCTAGGGTAACGGTGAGGAAATACACATGTATGAGGCTTCTTAGGAGCAGGGAAAGAGAAAGGTGCCATTTGAAGTCAGTAAGAAAGGGTAACAGCGCGCTTTTCCTGCCCTTCCCCCCTCTAGAGAATCAGTAAATAGCCTGATTCTACTCAAATTCCTTCCCTACCCAAATTCCCTTGACTACAACTCAGACCCTTTGGATCTGCGCTTTTTAGAAGTACTGTACTTCACATTCTGGCACCGTAAGCCCGAAATGTCCTTTAGGCAAATGTTAGGAGGGAAAAATGTATTCTTGCAATTCAAAACCGACTCGAATCCTGCCAGAAAGCTTTATGTTTGCGGACTTTATCGTTCCTCGCCTGTCCGTTTTTTATAAAACGACGCGACACACCTAGCCACACAGCCTCAGATCCTATTCTAACATCGATCCATCCTGTTACCCTTTTAAGAGGCGGATCCCGCAGTGTCCTTTCCTCCCTCCCAGCCACCTCTACCCCCAGTCGGCTGGGCGGAGCTTCACGCTAAAGCCCCAGAGCCCGACGCGGCAGCCGCGGTAGCGGAGAAGACTGGAGCTCCGAGGAGCTGCATCTGCGGCAACCTGTGTGCTGACGCTACGTGCCTCCTGGCTCCGACGTAGCTCGCAGCTCCCCAGTCTCACTCCATTCCTTCCCCACCTGGCGCGCACCTGCTCAAGACCAGGGTCCTGCCAAGCGCTAGGAGGGCGCGTGCCAGGGGCGCTAGGGAACTGCGGAGCGCGCGCGCCATGGGGCCGCCGCCTGGGGCCGGGGTCTCCTGCCGCGGTGGCTGCGGCTTTTCCAGATTGCTGGCATGGTGCTTCCTGCTGGCCCTGAGTCCGCAGGCACCCGGTTCCCGGGGGGCTGAAGCAGTGTGGACCGCGTACCTCAACGTGTCCTGGCGGGTTCCGCACACGGGAGTGAACCGTACGGTGTGGGAGCTGAGCGAGGAGGGCGTGTACGGCCAGGACTCGCCGCTGGAGCCTGTGGCTGGGGTCCTGGTACCGCCCGACGGGCCCGGGGCGCTTAACGCCTGTAACCCGCACACGAATTTCACGGTGCCCACGGTTTGGGGAAGCACCGTGCAAGTCTCTTGGTTGGCCCTCATCCAACGCGGCGGGGGCTGCACCTTCGCAGACAAGATCCATCTGGCTTATGAGAGAGGGGCGTCTGGAGCCGTCATCTTTAACTTCCCCGGGACCCGCAATGAGGTCATCCCCATGTCTCACCCGGGTGAGTGCAGCTACTAGATTGCACCCCTCCAGACCTCTGCCATGGCCAGTTTCTCTTATTTTCCTCATTGCCCTCCTCGTCCTATCCCCTTGCTCCGAAGGAAAGTGGGTGCTCTTTCTGTCCCCACGGAGTGGGGCAGGGTCCTCCCCGAGATTCACCAGGCCTGGGTGTTGGGCAAAAAAAAATCCTTCATTTGCCTCTCTGGTGGAAAAGGGTAAAACAAACCGGGTGCAGAGGCTGGCAAATCAAGGACTGTTTGAGCTCTTTGCGTTCCCTTTTCCTGGTTTTTCACAAGGGTGTCTAGCCTTGGATTAAGTGGTGGTGGGCATCGGGTCTTAAATGACCGAGGAGATCACCTGGAAATCTCTTCCTCACTCTGCTTTTTAACAACCTCAGACTGGCAGCAGATTTTCCCCTCCTCTCCCTGTTTTTCTCTCCATGTTTCCTGGGTATCAAATACTAGATTGTGCTACTGTGCCCTGTTAACCTCATTGCAATTTTGGTGGAAACTTTGCTTAGTTCTTGGGTTCTTCTCTGCCCAGTGGTCTCAAGTCCCAAGTGACTTGGTATCAGTGCTTTTGTTTGCTTCTGAAAAATCTGATTTAGGTTATTGAGTTGCAAAACAGGTGACTAACGTTCTTGAAAAAGAAGAGGTTTCTGCATGAGGATAGCAAAGGCCTAGACTTTGGAAAAAAAAATAGTCCAGGTAGTTCTTAAATTCTTGGAGATGGTATGAGGTTACTATTTTTCCCCGTCGGTTATCCTTCCACAAACTTCCCTATTTGTGATTAGGTATCCATACCTTATGTATATAGTTATCCTAGACCCTAAAGGACAAAGGGGAAAAAAATGGAGAAAAAGAAAGAGACACGTGTAATAGCAGTGTATCATAGTTTTTAAGAGCTGGGCCTCAAGTCAGAGCTTGGTTTAAATTCCTACTCTGTTGCTTACTAGTCCTGTGACCTTGGGCAACTTATTTCAAGTCTTAGAGTCTGGGTTCTCTCATCAGTCAAATGAGAATGAATAATAAGAAAACTTATCCACAAGTTTGCCTTCAGGATAAAATGAAATAATGCCTTAAAGAGTTTAGTGCAGTAAAGCACATCATCCACTCTCAGTAAGGGTTAGCTGATAGGATTAGCCTTCTGGGAGTCACTGGAAGGAAGAAGCTGCTTATTTGACTACTGGAGGTTTTCTGTTTTTCTTAAAACCTTATGACTGAACCTGCCTAGAGAGCACTTGTATTGAGTGGCTGGATGGCGTAATGGAAAGAACACTGAATTGGAACTCAGGAGATTTGAGTTCTTTTAGCCCCTTCTTTGCCTCTACCGACTTTGTAACCTTGTACAAGTTACTCACATGTCAAATGATTGTATAGGCAGTGGAGGCCAAGTTAGAAGCGTGTACTGAAACAAAACAAAAGTAGATGAACTCTAAGATCCCTTTCAGATCTAAAATGCTATGATTTTTAGTTTTTATATTGATTAAAGGAGAAACTGTATCTCTCTTGGCCGATAATTCATTGATTAGAATGAATCAGTAGCTTTTAGAAGTTACTGAAAATCAAGAATAAAGACCTAATAAAGTTTATAGTCTTTATATTTCAGTTGACTGTCTAATAGCAAGGGTTTGACTTTGTCTTCTAATGAGATTCATTTGCATGAATGATTTGTAATTGAAGAGTATTTAATTACAGAGTCCTACTTAGACCATTTTCCTTTTACTTCTGTTAAGGGTATTTATCTGATAGTTTTAGGAGACAATAAAATTAACTTTTGCTTGGCTCCCACTATATGCCAGGCACTCTACATACATATTACTTATACTTTATTGAGAGGCAATATGGTGTACTAAGAAAAACACAGGCATTTTAGTCAAGATTGGGAATAAAATTCTGGATTTACCACACAATAGCTTTGTGTCCTTGGTAGGATTATTTAACTTTACTGAGCCTTGGATACCCCATCTGTAAGATGGAGATAATATTTATGTTGCTGTGATTATTAAGGATTATATATATATATACTACCCAGCTGATAATAGTCACTGAATGTTATAATAGGTTAATGCTAACAGGATGCAAAAAAATAATGTACAAATGTATGATTGTGCAACTGTCGATTTGAAGACATGAATACACTGAGAATCTAACTATGGGTGTTGTGTTTCAGGATACCATATAGGAATAAAGCCCTAAATATTGATCACTAAATTACACTACATTCAGAAAAGCATTTTGATACTTTAAAAACAATATTATCTGAGATAAAGGCTATACCAAAGTTTGCCATCAAGCTAACTAGATAAAACCAGCAAATTACTTGAGGTAAGGAATCACATTTCTCCTTGAACTCCTGGAAAAACTATTTTTCAATATAGGGGGAAAATCACTGCATATTATCCACATGTGTTATTGAATATTTGTTTGCAAAGTGTTATATTGTTTGCTTTACTCATTCCTCAGAGTAAGCCTAGGGTTTCCTTTTAACCTCTGGTCAAAAACTTATCTTGGATCATAGTGGCAGAGAGATAGGACTGAGATTTAAGTATGGATTAGTTCATTATATATTGCTGTGAATTACGAAGGGGCCACCAAATGTGGAAAAGCCTTCTGTATCTTCTTTGTTTACAAAATCTCTCTTCACTCACTCTCATAGGGGCCTGCACTTGAATTGTTTGCCCTTGGTTAGAGTTTGTGCTGAGTGTCTATATTCCCACCTAACTAATTTAGAACAGTTGCTTTAAAATTTTTGTTTAGGAGAAAGAAACTCCACTATATAAGAGCAATCAATTAGGAAAATGAGACTTTTATGTATACCAAAATTTTTCAAAAGTTAATTGTAGCCTAACATCAACTCATGCAGTTTATTTCTGTATTTTGTTTGCAGAGTATTCAGAAAATTCTGATTCACACAGATAAATAATTGCAAATGACAGATGCTTATTGGCAGTTTGGCTTGCAATCTCTGGATATATTTCAATCAAATCAGTGCAGAAACCTGAAAGGAAATTAGGAGAAAATTTTTATTCCAAAGTGTAATTACTATTCAAATTTCTTATCTTAAAAATGAAAGTCAGATAAGTGGCCAAATCTTAAAGTAAGCATTAAAACCATCTAAAATGTAAGATTGTCACGAGACACGTTAAGCATGTTCTCACTATTGCACAACAAACTGTTCTGCTTACGCCAGGCAGATGGGCCTGAGCTTTGCCTGGTGTCTAATTGAGCACAACCCACAGGTTGAAGAGATATGTATACTTGCTTGTACAATTTTCCTTGAGTCAACATTGTAGGCATGAATTTATTGAAAGACTGGTGCAGAACTACAACCTTCATAATTCATGAAACATTTACAACGTTATGCATAAAACATATGCAAAGGGATGTCAGGAGAAGCATTATTCCTGAGGGCTGTAAAAAAAAAAAGTGAATGAACCAAGCAGTTTAATTAATGATTTGGGGGTCTCCAATGGGATACAGTTTGATATATAACACAGTTGCTTGTGTACATTGTTGAAAGATAGTGGAACAGATTAGTTAAGAGGTTGTGCTCTGCCAATTAGTATTTTTTAAATCTTAGGCCAGTTATTTTACTTCTCTAAGTCTCAGTTTTCTCCTATGTAAGGTAGGCATAATAATAAACTTGCCTCCTAAGGTTGCTGGGATTCAATGAGATAATGCAGATAAAGCGTTTAGCACAGTGTCTGACATATAGGAAGCTACTATTATGTTTTAATCACAGTTAAATATATTTTAGAAAATGAAAGTTGAATCCTGTGTTTGTAGAACATAATTGGAAATGAACAGTCTAGAGTACTTCAAAGTCCACATTACCTGAAATTCTAATTTGATCCCTTTAGGTACGGAGGGTAGACTGAATTTTAACAGGAAAAAGATCTTTTGGTCCTCCTATGTTTGTTGTACTTTTCTCAAATAACTGCTTCTCCCTCCTGCTACCAATCTTTTTCCGTTCACAGAGGACCTTGGAATAGTATGTTTGTACTACTTAATCACCACCCAATCCCTTCTCAACCATTTTATATTTAAGTTTTATTCTACTTTTTCTAGAATGTTGACTTTGAAAATAAATCTTTTTTTAATAGAGAAGTTCAAAAGGGATTGGCCAGTGATGATTAACCAATGTAAAATACTATTCCCAAAGCCATTTTCAGATGTAGCCTTCTTGGTACCTCTGCAGGACTGTATTTGACACTGTTGACTGCCTCTTTAAAACTATCCCAAGTAGTGTCTTCCTTCCTTGCCTCTCTTTTGTTTCATTACTATTTTATTAATTCATGCATCTGACACTTCTCACTTGCATCCCAGACTCCTAGCACTCCTCCTCCAGTAAATAGATGCCACATCCTGTTGATTCTGGCACTTTAAACATTCTCACATATGTCTCCTTCTTCCTTGCTTTCAATACCCTGCTTTCAGTTCCTGTGTCTTCTCATGGGAAAAAATACTTAGCCTCTTGATTGGTCTCCTTGCCTCCAGTAGTTTTTTTCCTAGTATGCAGTTCTTCCTCCATGCCATCAGAACACAGCTCTGATCACATATATGCTATTACTTATAAATTTTGGACTACATTTATCAGCATGGCATATAAAACTCCTAGTAATCTGATCCCAAACTACATTCAAAGCTTTATATGTCTCTTCTTTCATGTTGGTCCCTAAACATTCTCTATTCTTTTCCACTAACATTCCTTTGCTTCTGCTATTGCCAACAGACCTGTTTTTCTTAGCTCTGCTAGTCAAAAATTTACACATCCTTCAAAATGCAACACAAATGCCTCCTCATCTTTGAAGCCTTTCTTAATTCTTTCTTTTCCTCTTCCCAGCACAGCCCACACCCAAAACAAAGTATAGTAATCTCTTTTTGTTCCAATAGCACTTCCTCTCTTATAGTACGTTCTGCATTTTGCTGGTAATTATTTGTTTACATATTTTACCTTCTACTGGATTATAATCATTTTAATGTTTTGTTAATCTTTGTAATCTCTATAGAAACCTTTGTACTATACATGCTCTAGAAATGCTTGCTGAATTGCCTTAAACACTCAAGAACTCTAATGCCAGAAGGGTCACAAGATTCACTAGAAAAGTATCTAGTGGATCGGAATTCAATTCATCGAGCATTTATCAAAGGTCTGCTGTCTGATAGATACTGTGCTTCTTGCCTGAGTATACAAAATAATTAAGGTAAAGTCCCTGCCCTCTTAAGCAATGTAGAGCCTGGTAGAAGGAAGAAGAGCATACAGGAATAGAGTGTACACATACTTCAAGATTGCTGGCTAACTTCTATGGTGATTAGCCTGGTTTTATGGATTTTTAATGGCAAAATGCCCTAGGTAACAAGAAAATAATGACAAATGACTTTTCATATTGAGTTTTCCCTGTGCTGGGGTGTTTTATTTTTTTGATCTTTTAAAAACTACACCAGCATTATATTTATGTCTCCAATTAAAATGCTTCCATTGAACATGTTGGTGAATGTGAAATTTCATAAAGTAAAAATCTTTTTTAAAAAAAGGAAAATAGAGTCAGCCCCCTATATCTATGTCCACATCTATGGATTCAACCAACTGAGGAGGAACAATATTTGGGGGAAAAGAAGCATCTGCACTGAATATGTACAGACCTCATTTTCTTGTCATTATCCCCTAAATGATACAGTATAACAACTATTTACATAGCATTTACATCATATTAGGTATTATAAATAATCTAGAGATTATTTAAAATATACAGGAAGATGTGCACTGGTTATATGCACACATTGAACCATTTTATATAAGGAAATTGAGCATCTGTGGATTTTGGTATCATTGGGAGGTCCTGAAACCAATCCCCCATGGATACTGAGGGATGACTATATAGCTTGATCAGTGAATTGTTTTCTAAGCACATAAATAACTTTTCCCCCCTCAGTCCCTGGAAGATATGTGTTTTCAATACAGAATGCCACATTTTAACTCTGTTCACACTCAAATGGACAGAAAAGAGGAGAGTACTAAAGACATTTTCTAAGTAATTTTCTGATTATAAAATTAACTGTTATAGAAAACTTGAAAAATACAGAAAAGTGTAAAACTAAAATACCCATAATTCTACAACACAGATGACACCATTAATATTCCTTCTTACCTTGATTTCTGTACATAGGCATAACTTTGTATTCTACTTTTGTAATAGTTAATTTTTTATAAATATTAATGTAGTAATAAAATACAGAAAAAAATGAAAAAAGATATACAAATCTGTTTTAGCATTGGGGGGATTAGTCATTTTATTCTTTTTTATTTATTTATTTTTTTTGAGACAGAGTCTCGCTTTGTCACCCAGGCTGGAGTACCATGGCGTGGTCTCAGCTCACTGAAACCTCCTCTTCCCGGGTTCAAGTGATTCTCATGCCTCAGCCTCTCGAGTAGCTGGGATTACAGGCCTGTGCTAACACACCCGGCTAATTGTTATAGTTTTAGCAGAGACAGGGTTTCACCATGTTGGCCAGGCTGGTCTCTAACGCCTGACCTCAAGTTATCTGCCTGCTTTAGCCTCCCAAAGTGCTGGAATTACAGGCGTGAGCCACAGTGCCCAGCTTATCATTTTATTCTTTTGCTCTGTATATAGATATATTATTTAAAGAATTATATACTATATATACTAGTTTTGTATACTGCTTTCTATTGTAAGAATTTCTCCATGTATCTAGAAATAGAAGATGGTCCTCTTGTAGTTGAAGGTTGTGGTCATTGACTGAGAGTTGGGGATTGAGCCTCTCTTTCTTTAGCTACCAGAAAGGAAGTGAAAAAATGGAGATGGGGAGGGTTGTGAATTGGGGCATTTAAATAAAAAATATGCTTCACCGAGGTTTACATTGAAATATACTTACTAGCCTTAAACATGGTCTGATCTAACCCATATGCATTGCCTATTGTGGCCTTGGTATTTCTTAGGGTTTGATCACCACTTGTGCTTCAGTTCATTTTCTCCCCCAATATTCCCATAGGTAATGCCTTTTTATTTTTCTTTTTTTATGTCTTCTTCACAATTGAGGTTTGCACCTGGTTTCCCTGTTGCTTTTAAGTAGCTTTTCTATTATAATGATGGCTACTGAACTATAAACTATTGTTGGTGTTTACCCCAAAGTTTATTTGATAAGGCACCATAGGTATTTCCTGGGAATAAATAATTTTTGTATATGTAAGTTCTATCGAAGTATAATATACATCCCAAAAAGGTACATAAATCATTGATTTAGCTCAGCGAAATTTCACAATTGAGCACACCTGTGTGACCAGCGCCCTGCTCAAGGAATAAAATAGTACCAAACTCCAGAAGAGCACCTCACGCTCCAATATGAAGAATTTTTGATGTAGCACAATTATCAATTTTGTTTCCTGAGGGAATGCCCTCTTGCAGCATGTGGTAGGAGCCCAGTCACCCACAGAAATATTCTCCTCTTCACTGCACTGGGGTTATTTTATGGTGGTGATCCTCAGCTACATACCGTAGGGAGTTATTACCAAGCACAGAGTATATGCACCTTTCCAAGCCAGTTCAGAATTGCCACACTTTGCTGTACACCACCACCTTGGAGCCCTATGGGCAAAGTGGAACACAAGGGCTCTTTGTTGTGTTATTTCCTGTTCTGTCCTTTTCTTTTTCAGCTGTGTGTATGTCCTTCCATGCACCATAGCACGTAGTTACTGCTTGAATTTACCGATAGTCTTAGTGCAATATTGATTTATTTATTAAGGAAAGTTTGGTGATTCATGCTGACCTCTGGGAAACTGGACTTGATGAAGGTTGTTAGCTCCAGAATCTGCTCATGAATTACTTGCTTTTAATACTTGAATGACCAAGTTGGTACAAATCAGTAATTCTGAGTTAACCCTATTCATTTTGACCTTTTTTGAAAGAAGATAGTCCTTGAGCTCAATAGTTGATATATGTTTCTCTTTAAATGTTAACTTGTCATTTCAGACAAAATGTTGAAATAGCTTAGTTAAATACTGCCTGCAACTAAAAGCGTCTTAGCTTTTAAAAAGAAAATGCACCATAATGTTAATATTGTTGGTGAAATTATAGGAGAAAGTATTTGTTCTCTTCATTATTATTTTTCTATATTTTCTGACTTTCTTATAATGAATGTTTTACTTTTATAATCAGAAAAATTCGTAGTTTTAAAGAACCCAAAATACTCCAAAATTATTGATAGATCCTAAAGAAAGCATTACTAATGTGACTATAGTGACAACAGGAACAAAGCATATCTGCTCATAGAAATGATTTACAAACTATTATGAGAATTTAAGAATTGCTTTGGCCTTTTGAATATAGCTATCTAATCCATATGATAGTTGGTGTTACCTTTTATTGTTAACACTGGTTTCTTCATGTGCCTTGACGACTAAAAGAATTTTCAGGACTGACTTTTCCTATTTTAATATGGAATCTTTCTCTTCTCTTTACCCATTGTATCACTAGCTTTTTTTACCCTCCCCCCAACACACACACACATAAAAAAATGCACATTCCATGCCTTTCTTTGTATTTTTGTTTTTTTTTCCCGTAAGAGGCCTGCTTACCCTCATTAGCCCCCTTCAGTATCCATTCTACTCAATACTGTTAAGATTAGTGCTAATAGCTCAATATGAAGAATTCAATATATTGGTAATTTTCATCCATGAGACACTGACTTCATCTAATGGTGATAGATTTTGTCATTCTAGAAAATAGGAGGAAATTGTATTAGATTAAGGGCAGAAGGGAATCGTGATATTCTTATTTTACACTTTATTAATGATAGAACACACAAGCTCATTTAAATTGAGTTACTTGTTTTTAAAATGAGCATTTCCCTTGGGATTTTATTCAGCTATATAAAATTCCACTAGTTGGTGGTTTATACAAGAAACTGTCAAGTTCCAAGGTTGCTTTGGTACCACTTATTTTCCTCTTAGAATGTATTTTGTGTCATACTTTTCTACCCTCCTCTGTCTTTCATAACATGATTAATTTTACCTTAGGTAATCTTACACATACATACACACCCCTCTTAGAGCTTCTTTTTCCTTTTCAAAAATTTTGTGCTTCCTTCTATGTGATTCCACTTCTTTTGATGTAGTAGTAAACATTATAGCAAACCAGTACTCTCAAAATCTAATGACCTTGAAGGTGTCCATAACTTACTCCCATAAATTCTATAAAAACCACCCATTAACCATGTAATCCTCCTGATTAAATACACATTTCCTTCATGTACCAGTATTCATGATAAATTTGATGTGCCTTTGTTTTACTTTAGATATTGCAGTGATACTGCTTTCTGAAAAGTTTTATTACAAATATGGGTTAAATAATAATTTATATTTGCTTTGCAGTTTTTTGTCCTCAAAGCACTTTCATATGTAATAATCTTTGAGCTCATTTGAGAACCCAGTGTTTAGCAACATTACTGTGGGAAAATATGTTGTCTCTACTTCCAAAGAACTGGTTTACAAATGAACTTTTAAAACATAACCTACTAGTGTTTCTATTGTGGCTGTTCATTATGATAGCCCCATCGAGTATGGATTATTATATTATTCCCAACCATGCTGGTTTAGGGAGTTTTAATTCAGTTTCTGTGTCATGTTGACCAAAGTTCTGTCTCACCTTTTCCATGTACTTCACCTTAAAGACTACATTTTGTTTTCTTAATCTTTGAGGATCTCAGATGTTGGCTTATCTTAAGAGCATTTGTAATGTCCCTAAAAGTCTTAAGAATGTATCTTAACTTGATTTGTGGCTTAGTTAGTCATCAGTAGATTTTCTTTTTTTATTATTATTATTATAATACTTTAAGTTTTAGGGTACATGTGCACAATATGCAGGTTAGTTACATATGTATACATGTGCCATGCTGGTGTGCTGCTAGATTTTCAAGTACAGTTGTCCATTGGTGTCTGTGGAGGATTGGTTCCATGACCTCCCGCATATACTAAAATCCACAGATGCTCAAGTCCCTGATATAAAATGGCATAGTATTTGTATATAATATATGCATCTCCTCCTATGTGCTTTAAATCATCTCTAAAATACTTATAATACCTAATACAATGTAAATGCTATGTAAATAGTTGTTAATAGCATTGTTTAGGGAATAATGACAAGAGAAGAAAGTCTGTACATGTTCAGTACAGGCACTTTTTTTCCCAAACATTTTTGATCCTTGGTTAGTTGACTCCATGGATGCAGAACTCATGGATATGGAGGGCTGACTATACATCTCTTATCTTCGAAGATTTCAACAGTCACTTGGATGAAAGCTAGAAAAAATGTGATTATACTGAGTGAGGGTTTCATTCATAGAACCATGGGCAATCTATATTGAACACAATTCCAAAATACTTTCATAGGTGTGTTTCAATCAAATTCTTTCATCACCAGTTCATTTTGGCAAAAGGGCAGGATATGTAAGAAAGACTGAAACTGGATGGTGTGAAATCACCAATTACCTCCCTTGGCACAAACCATAACTGCCATTATTTTTGCTGCTCCTCTATGGCTGATGCTTTTTGGTTGAACTGGCTAGTAAGACAAAAGAATTGACTTACTTTGAGTAATGTAATTAAAGGCCAACAGATCATCATTTGATGGTAAGGAAAGCTATTTGATTGCTCTGTTTTTATTTCAACCTATTGTACCAAGGTGAATGTGTTCCATTTGAAATTGGGGGACAGCATATTGCAATGGAAGCAGGTGTCCTTGAGTCAGACAGCTTGATTTGAATTCCAGCTCTACCAATTAATAAATATGTGATCTTGGGCAAGTTGTTAACCTAGACCTTATTTATCTTGTTCATCAAAAGGGGGATAATAATACCTACATTTTCCATGATATTATAAATCAAGTGTTTGGCAGGTAGTGAGCATTTAGTAAATGCTAGTTCTCTTGAACCTTTGCTAATAATTTCATTACTACTAAACATAATACTTCTCCATTGGTTATTATAGATATTTACTACCACACTTTGAAATATGTAATTGTTTCATATGTAGAAGCAGAAAAAACGGAACATCCATATTGCAATTTTTCTGGGCAGTTCCTGAAAAATGCAGGAAGAAATCACATAATCAAGAAACTGAAACGACTATATTATCTTCCTTCTCCCTGGTGTATTTCCATTTTAAGCAAAAGCAAAACCTTAAAATCAAGATATTAAGCTCTAACAATGGAAATGGCTATGACCCTTTTGCTGGCACAGTGGTTAAGAAGAGGGGACTTAGGAATCAAATGGATTTGGTATGAGTCCCAACTCTATCATGTAAAACTTTGTGACCTTAACCAAATTAATCTAAGACTCAGTTTCTTCTCCCATAGAATGGGTAATATAATTGTCTCTATGTCATAGGGTTATTGTGAGGTGTAAATTAAATAATATATGTACAGTGCTCAGTGCACATCCTGGTTTATTAAAGGATAGCTTGACCATCTCCTTACCCTCATCTATAGCCCAGCTTTGGAGATTGGCAGTGTATATCACTGCAGGGCTTCTTAGAGCCTCTAATATGCAAAAGAAACCCTGTTTGACTTTGTTCAATGCATTATTTTCTGAATTTATCTGCAGAGTCCTTTTTGTCTTTCCAAATACTTAACATCCGAAATACGATTTGGGTAGCACTGATTATCAGACACTTAACAATTTCTCTCTTCTATTCTCTTCTCTTCTCTTCCTTCCTTCCTTTTTTCCTTCCTTCCTTCCTTCCTTCTTTCTTTCTGACTTTTTTTTTGAGACGCAGTCTTGCTCTGTCACCCAGGCTGGAGTGCAGTGGTGCAATATGGGCTCACTTCAACCTCTACATCCCGGGTTCAAGCGATTCTCCTGCCTCAGCCTCCTGAGTAGCTGGGATTATAGGAGTGTGCTACCATGTCCAGCTAATTTTTGGATTTTAGTAGAGGCGGGGTTTCACCATGTTGGCCAGGCTGGTCTCAAACTCCTGACCTCAAGTAATCCGCCCACCATGGCCTCCCAAAGTGGTGGGATTACAGGCATGAGCAACCATGCCCGGCCCTCATATTTTAACTGTGTCAAAGCTTTGTCAATGTCAGAGACTAACCAATAAAGTTAACCTCAGTATGATAGGAACAGAATATATTCAATGTGATGACAAATATTCTTTTTTTGTACTAATATGGTAGCTTTTATATCAGGTTTATGTGGCTTTAAAGTGGTTCTACATGCTAGGTTTATTCTCTTTACTGACTTTCAGAAACAATTTATAGTGAAAAGATAAGGACATAAGTGAGACAGATTCATGTTTGGTTTTATAATTCATGTGTGGACCTTAATGTAGAAGCTAGCTTTTGTAATATGTCATACAGGAGGAAATTTAATATACTCAGGTACTAGAATGTTCTTTTTTATAGATTTTTTGGTACCTATATGATACCAAAAGTCATGCAGAGGCATCCCAAATTCTCCTTTTCTCTAATTTGAGTACATAATGGAATAATAACTAATTGGACTACTGGAACTCTTGCACCCTTGGATTTTGTGGCCAGGTCAAAATGAATACCTAATCTCTCAACATAATATTCTTCCTAACTTTAATGACAAATGCAATTTCCAACCCAATCCCCATATTAAAAACTATACCTGAAGAGAATGCACATAAGAAGAAGCACCAATTTCAATAAAAGTTTGAATGCCCCTTTATGACCAGCATTATGCTGAATGTTGTAGTAGGAGAAGGGGAGTGTGTAAGCAGCATGCTCAAAACAATGATAGTGTTTTTTCCTTCCAGGGACCTCACATTTTTAGCCTCTGTTGTTGTTGTTGTTGTTGTTTTGTTTGTTTGTTTTGCCTAATAATATTTTAGTCTGGCACTTAAATGTCAATTTAGGTAGGGCTTTCAGATCTACACAAAAAAATTGCATTGACTAGAGTTTGGCAACATTTAAGGTACAGAGTACAGGTACCTTTCATGCATTGTTTTACTAGTTCCACCTGGTCTGAAAGGTTCAGGATAAAGTGGTGAAGGTCATGTCCCAGTTTCATTGTAAGTCTAGGCTATGACCTATGCCTGTACCCATATGTTTGCTCCTAAATAAACAATTGAATAAACAGTGGAATTCTCCTTTACAAGGGCTCACATTATAGGAAAATACAACCAACAAATAATTTTTACTTTTTATTTTTAGAGACAGGGTCTTGCCCTGTCATCCAGGCTGGAGTGCAGTGGTGCAATCATAGTTCACTGCAGCCTTGAACTCCTGGGCTCAAGCATTCCTCCCGTCTCAGCTTCTCAAAGTGCTGGGATTACAGACATGAGCAACCACACCTGGCTAGAACCAAAAAATAAAGGACAAAAGGAACACCGTAATTTCTAATGATCATTTGTATAAATTTTCTCTCTCTAAAACCTCAAAGTCTCCTGTTTGCTCCTTTTTTTAAACTGCCCGACAAATAATCTAATTATTTTTAACCACTTGTGTATATCTTGTTAGTCATAGTTGTTTCACCTTTTCTTATCAAATAGTCCTATCAGATTCTGAACAGCTTTTTGTATTTCATAGTTTATGGGATTGAAAATGTTGATGGTATAGAGTTTACTGACTAGCATTCCTCTAGAAAACATAAATAAATAGCAACTGCAAATGTTAAATCTGGCTTCTAGAAACCTTACCACCCCAAAACAGAAACAATGACAATAGAAAACATTGGCATAAAAATTTTAATATAATTACAGAATACCCTATTTATCAATATAATAACATATACACTATAATTTCTGCCTGGCCTTGCAATAGCATATCTTATTTTTTTCCTCAGTATCAGCAGAAATTTAAGGTTTTATAGAGACTCAACCTGTTCTGGATGCTTCAATGCTTCTCTTTTATGCCCTCTGAAATTCCTCATAACCATCCAAGCCATCAGCCTACTAGTGAACCAGGATGACTGTGTTTTAACTTGAGCTTTGGGCTAAAATGGCATGTGTACCAGCATCTGAATGGAAGTTTGAAACTGAGGTATACCAAAGCCCCATGTTGGAAGGGGATTATTTGTCACCATTAATGCAGCTCTGGAAGTATGGTAATTTCAACAGAATCAGCACTGTGGCAATAAGCATTCCACTAAACCCAAGGTCTATAGGATAGAATTAGTATTTAATTTTTTATCTGTTTTTGTGATAGGTCTTTGCTGTAGGCAGACATGTCTTGTCTAGATATGCCATCTTTATATAGAGAGAGGACGCACACCTTAGACTGTTAACCACAGTTATCTTTAAAAGATGAATTTGTTTTCAGATTAAATCAAAATTCAAATTATCACTAAATATATTATACTTAAAATTGCATTCATCAGAAATTTATTTGACATGTGTTATGTGGTAGGCACTCTGCTAGTTGCTATAGATACAGTGATGAAAGACCTAGTCCCTAACATGAAGTTCATAGTTTATGAAGGACAAATAAACCAGATAACTTTAAGGGAAGTCTGTAGTAGATAGTGTAAAAGCAGGACATCTAACGCAGTCAGGTCAGAATCTTATAAAAGGAGGTTCAATTTTATTCCGTAGGTGAAATGGAGCTCTTTAAGGGTCTTTTGAAAAAGAATAATGTACTTTTTCCTTTTAGAAATGTTTCATTAGTAGCCATGAGGAGAATGAATTAGAAGTCTAAGACTGGTGGCTTGGAGACCAGCTAAGGGGTTGTTAATGGTGATTTAAGTGAAAGATAATGGTGACAATGGAGATATAATATAACAGGAAAGGAATGGGACTATTTCTGATATAGCAAATTTTTAAAATTCTATGTGAAGTACATTACATACTGAGGAAAACAAAATAATTCTATTGGCAGAGTTTTTCTCTGCATGGTAAAGGATTGGCATTGATCTGGACAGAGGGAATAGACTGCTATCTTGAAACTCTTTGACCTTAATGTTTGAAAAGCTATAAACAAACTCCAATCCAGTATTTCTCAATGTATTTTCCACAGACCACATGCAGCAAAATAACCCACAGAACTTGTTAAACCTGCAGATTCCCAAGCCCCACCCCAGACATACTGAATGAAGGAATGGGGCCCAGAGAGCTCAGTGTTTTAACAAGTTTTCCAGGTGATTCTTCTGCCTATTAACGTTTGAGGATCATCGATCCAGCACAATGGTTCTGAAATTATGATCTGGGGACTACTAGTCTCTGAGATTCTTTCAGGGGTCCATGAGATCAAAACTATTTTTATAATAATACTTACACATTGTTTGCCTTATTCACTGTGTTAATATTTACACAGATGATATAAAAGCAATGGTGGGTAAAACTGCTGTCACCTTAACACAAATTAAGACTGTGGCACCAAACTGTATTAATTGTATTCTCTACCTCCATGCACTTCAGGAAACAGAAAGTGCTAGTTTCACTTAAGAATGCCCTTGATGAATCAAAAAGAATAATTAATTTTATTAAATCTCTACCCTGCACAACTATGTATATAGTGTGTGTACATATTGATATACATATATGTATATGCACATATATATACATGTGTATATATACACATATATATGTATTTCTGTGTCATGAAATGGGAAGTGGGCATAAAGCACTTCAACAGCATACCAAAGTATGATGGTTATCTGAAGGAAAAGCACTTGTATGACTGAGTCATGAGATGAAATAGCCACTTCAAACAACTCTTTAACTTGAAGATCCACTGACAAACAACAGTTATTCAGACTTCAGTCCTATTTGGAAGATATTTTCTCTAAAGTTAACTGGGTGAGCCTGTCATTTCAGGAAAACAAATGACAATATTTGTTGCCAATGATAAGATTTAAGTTTTTAAGCAAAAATCAGAATTTTGAAAAACTTTTATCTACTATGTAAGCATAACTTCCCAATACTTAGACTTTTCTAATGGGATCAATGGTGATATTAACAACTGACTTTTTTGTTATTGTTTTATCTTGAAATGAGTCACCATATAACTGCATAACTCAGTGAATCTGCATAACTGAGTCTGCCTAACTGGGATCTATGTAACACAGTGAGCCAATATTTTCCAAATGACCAATGCATGATATTGCAAAACCCCATATAAATAAAAGATCCATTCAATGTGTGAGATAGACCAATGGATTTTCATTTAACCAAGTAGAAAGAATTCATTGATATTGTTTCAAATTCTACCTTGCACATAGTATTTAAGAAACTACCATTTGTTGAGTTTTGGTGTAGTATCAAAGGATAATATCTACAGTTATCTGAAAATGCTATTGAGACATCCATCAGTTTTCCAATTGCATATCTGAATATAGTTTCCCTTCTTGTGCTTATTTGACCCAGCCATCCCATTACTGGGTATATACCCAAAGGATTATAAATCATGCTGCTATAAAGACACATGCACATGTATGTTTATTGCAGCACTATTCACAATAGCAAAGACTTGGAACCAACCCAAATGTCCAACAATGATAGACTGGATTAAGAAAATGTGGCACATATACACCATGGAATACTATGCAGCCATAAAACATGATGAGTTCATGTCCTTTGTAGGGACATGGATGAAGCTGGAAACCATCATTCTCAGCAAACTATCACAAGGACAAAAAACCAAACATCGCATGTTCTCACTCATAGGTGGGAATTGAACAATGAGAACACTTGGACACAGGAAGGGGGACATCACACACTGGGGCCTGTTGGGTGGGGGAAGGGGGGAGGGATAGCATTAGGAGATATACCTAATGTAAATGACGAGTTAGTGGGTGCAGCACACCAACATGGCACATGTATACATATGTAACAAACCTGCACGTTGTGCACATGTACCCTAGAACTTAAAGTATAATAAAAAAAAGATTTCCTTCTTGTGCTTTAACCAAAACAACATATCACTATAGATCTCATGCAGAAACAGCTATGAAGATTCAGCCATCTTTTATTACATCTGATATTACAGGTTGGCACAAATGAAAAACAATGCCACTCTTCCTTGTTACATTTTGTTGGGAAATATAGTTATTTTTAATACAATTAGGTTAATTACTTTAACATGAACTTATGATTATTTTAAATGAATATATATATATATTGAGATGGAGTCTCACTCTGTCACCCAGGCTGGAGTGCAGCCACTGCAACCTCTGCCTCCCAGGTTCAAGTGATTCTCCTGTCTCAGCCTCCCAAGTAGCTAGGACAACAGGCACGTGCCACCATGCCCAGCTAATTTCTTGTATTTTTAGTAGAGACGGGGTTTCACCGTGTTAACCAGGATGGTCTCTATCTCCTGACCTCGTGATCCACCCACCTCGGCCTCCCAAAGTGCTAGGATTACAGGCGTGAGCCACCAAGCCCAGCCGAATAAATAAATAAATATTTTTTAAATTCCTCCGTGTTAATTTCTAATGTGGTAAATATCAATAGAAATAATCTACTAAACAAAAGTTATTTGGAGTTCTCAATAACTTTAAAGAGTGTAAAGGGGTCCTGAGACCAAAAAATTGGAGAATTGCTGATCTAGCCCTTAGGTTCTATGTGATACGTTAAACATAACCACTAGTGGAAGTCAGAATAGTTCAAGCAGGATCAGGTGTTTTATATAATATTTCTAAGAATTGTTTACCTATGAGTGTGACATGTCATCCACAAATTATTCATCTGTGACCTTTTGAACAGTGTCATTTCTAATTCCCTAATGTCTTTAATATACTGTTTCCTGAGGACTCCATCTACCAGAGAATTTTTGTGCTATATCAAGTATGTGACCCATTTCCTAATGTATTATTGCCTTCAAAAACTACAGCAAAATTATCTAGAGGTGCAGGGCAGAAAGGCAACTTGCTGTACTCTACATTAGCTATGTGCCTTTGTTGATTTTAAAAAATGGTAATAAAGGTGATTTGGGTCACATTCCCTGCGATACACCCTCCCTCCAAAAGATGATCTGTGATAATCCAGAATATTAAGAACCATTGCTTTAATCAACAGCTAATCTGTACTAATGCCTATTCTGCAACAGACTAGATTTTAACAAAAGGCTAGATAGGAGGTGTCTAAGTTCATTTGTGTGGCTATAAAGAAATACGTGAGGCCAGGTAAAGAAAGAAAAGAAATTTGGGGGCCAAATAAACCATATTCAAACCATAGCAGGAGGATAATCACTTTATACAAGGGTATGCACTACTGATTTTGTCTGGTTCCTAGTGAAACACCGATATATAATCCAGATACTTTTAAGAAATCACTTGTGTATTTGTTTCTTTGATGAGGTACACTGATAGTAAATACATATATATATTGCAAGAACTGCTATGAAGGAATCAAGAAACGCAAATTTGGTTCATCTGTGACTGAGACCAATCAAAAGGAAACAAAAAAAGTTGCCACTAAACAGGACTTTGAAGAAAGAGAGGCTAGTTTGGCTTAAAAGTTTAGATTTTTTTTTTCTGTTTTGAAAAATCACTACTTAGGATTCTTGGTCTGATGAAGTTTGGTATCACCCTTTGAAATAATTGTCCTTCCCCAGTTGTCTGAAGAGTTTGGGATATAGGAGGAAAAGCCAAGCCTTTGAAAAGCTACTGTGGACAAAATGAATATTTAGAAGTCCACTTGAATTGGTTCCAGATTTTATAATGGAGGAAATGTTTGTTACGTTGGAACTCTTTACACCTAGATCTTGTTCATTCTGGATATCAGCAAATTCAGAAGTGCTGACCCTATTGTATTATCAGGATGTTTGGACAGTATTGAATGTAGTTTTATAAGAAGAACTACTTTGCCCTTCAGTTGCCCTTATTATTCTCATTGTGAATAACCTCTATTTTCTAATATGTTAATATTAGAAAATGTTAGTTGAAAGAGATACTAGAACAGCTTCCTTCACCTTGTATTTTGTATTTCAATGCCAAGGTGCTGTAAGTATGTTATCACTATGCTAGAATATTTAATATATTGTAAAAATATTTTAGAATTTATTTTACATTTTAACACGTTAATATTAAATGTGGGGAAAAAAAGGTCCAGAGGCACAGAACTTATTACATAGTTGGTGCTTAATAAATATTTGTTCAGTGAATTTGTGTTTACAAATAAGATTAGACAAAAACCATAATATCATTAGCTTTTTGAAGGAAATGAAAGAAGTTGGCCACCAGCAGGATCCTACAGTGGATTTCTATACGTTGTGAATAATAATTTTTCCCCAATAATGCCCAAGATAGACATTCTTTGTATTAACATTTTAATTGAATGATATTCAACAGCAATAGGTAAGAGTTGCTACAGCTTATTTCATTACCTTTGTTCCCAAGATAGGTAAATGCCAAAACCTTTTTTCACTGTTAAACATTTGAAATTGAATCTCTATTTCTTCTTCTACTTAATTGCTACCTATTTCTAATCTGTCCCTTCTCCTAAGATACTTTAGATAGCAGAATGAAAATGCATGAAACTCTAGCCATGTCTCGTTATTATTAATGACTATTAAGCTTGAGAATTTCTCCTAGAATTGGAATCTGTAACTACTATATACATTTGTTGTATCAAGATAAGTGTGCTTTAAGTTATAATGGACTCAGGAATCTATATTTAAGTAATAAGGGTCCAGATTAACTACTCTTGATGACTAAATTGTCAAATACAAAGTGGTATAAATACACTGGAATTATAAAAATGACAGCTTTTTCTGCTATTCAACTCTGAAAATGTAATTATTAGATATAAGATTTATGAGTAAATCCTTGATTGATCTCTACAAATCAGATAGGCATTTAACAAATAAATTTTATAGTTTGTGTTAATGATTTTTGCCTAACAGTCCATGAAAGAAAAGGGTGTGAATGATCTCACAATTACCTTTGAAACAAAGTACAGATTTAGAAAGATTGAAATCTTGAAAAGACAGCTGTTCTGTGATTGGGGTTTAGACTATCTGTTGTCCAATTATCAGTTTTTCTCATCAGATACTTTTAGCAAATTAAGGACTTTTTTCTTTTCTTTGGGATGAGCGCTATGTTTGTTTAGAAAAATAGGATGAAATTAATAAATGATTTGGAGAGATTCTATAAGGATAGAAGAAATGTAGTGATCTTCCTTTGCCAGACTTGATTATAGAACCTTAGAAACCTAGCACAGCCTGACCTCCTTCATGCAGAAGATGCAACCCAATCTTCTGATCCCATTTGAGTTACTTTGGCTACATTATACTGTTTCTCTCTCCCAAACTGTAGACTGTTTCAGGTTACCAGTTTTTAAATAAAGAACACTATCAAGTTGAGAAATATCAAAACCAATACAAAACAATTTGTTATTTTACAAATCATTGGACATTGAAGGAAAATAAATTTTCCTTTTTATTCTACTTGTATCAGTTTGAAATGTGATTTGGGAATTATTATTTTCTACTACTGGCCATAATAGTAGATATATACAATTCATTTCACTGGCTTGGATCATATTCTTCCTAGTGATGAATATCTAACATACGGAAGATATTTGCAAGTGTGTAGAGGGCAGGGACTGCACTTTATTACTCTCTATAGCCCCACAGGCTAGCATAGTGCCAGGCATGTGTGTAGATATTCAGTAAAACACTTAATGAATGAAATTAAGAGTACTGTCTGTCTTCTGTATAACCGGTCCACAAGAAAGTTAATGGAACCATAGCTTTGATCTTATTAGTGCTACGTTTTAATCAACTGAGCTATGTAACCCATTTTTGGCTTCTTAAGCCTGGTACTTTCCAAAGGAAATAGTTGTTACAGTGAAATTTTGGACAGAAAAGTGGAAAACTCTAGAACTTGTACAGGAATCTATGTATTAGCATATCAACATTGGTTTTAAAGATCAGCTCTCAACATTTTGAGAAAAAAACATAATTTTACAGACTGTGGTAAAACTGATTCCATTTGTATAATATGGTGTTGTTTTATTATGAGAGAATAACAAAATTTGCTGATAAGCAAAACTCAGCAACATAAACAACATAGATTCAGTGATATGGTTTCTGTTCATTGGACTTGTGTTCTTGAGGGCCTGAACTCTTGTTTTCAAAGATCAATTTTTATGAGCACTTAAAGAAATGCTTTGATATTGCAGCACTATTTACAATAGCCAAGATATGGAATCAGTCATCAAAAGATGAATGGATAAAGAAAATGTGGTATGTGTACACAATGGAATACTATACAGCCTTAAAAAATGAAATCCTGTCATTTGTAGCAACATGGATGAAACTAGAGGATATTGTGTCAAATGAAATAAGCAAGGCACAGAAAGACAAATGTCACATGTTCTCACTCATGTGGGAGCTAAAAAAGTGAATCTCATGAAGATAGAGAGTAGATTGGTGGTTATCGGAGGCCAGGAAGGGGAGGGATGAAGAGAAGTTGTATAAGGGGCACAAAAATACAGTTAGACAGAAGAAATAAGCTCTAGTATACAATAATACAGTAGTGAATAACTTACAGCTAAAAGAATTGTAATCTTCTCAACACAAAGAAAAATAAATATTTGAGATGACAAATATCCTGATTACCCTGATTTAATCATTACATATTATATACAGTTATCAAAATATCACATTTATCACAAAAATATGTACAACTATGATACATCAATTTTTAAAAAAGGAAGTGAATTTTTTTCTCAGGCAAAAGATGATATTTTAATCTATCTTTGAAAAAAATGCCATCCTTCACATTTTCCAAAATCTTGTTTAATATGAGAAAAGCTTCTGGTCCTGTGTATGTTTTAAATATTCCCTTCACTTTCTATTCCCTAACACACTGAAAATCGGGAGATTAAATATCTATGATAAATTCTGAACATGACCACATCTATATTGCTTATAATAAATGGCTAACTTTACATCTGAATGTTTTGTGGTCCTTTAGAAAGATAACTTACAAAGTCACTAATTTTAATTTGAAAGGTTTGGAATTCGCTGGCGCATTATAAGAGACCCTTTCCAATATTTTAAGGATAGAAAAAAGCTAAAGGGAAAAAGAGGCTCAACAAGGCCTGCTGTAGCAACAGAAACACACAACACCACACAAAAAAGCACACACACTAAAAGGGTTTCTTTCTTGTTCCACAAAGGAAGTTTGATTGTTCTTCCTTGGAGTTTCAGGGTACATATTTTGTGGTTTTCAACAGAGTAACAAGTAGAAACACTTAATTTGGGAATGTGCATGGGTTTTCACTAGTTTTTAAACATAAGTATGAGGCCAGCCATGGTAGTTCACACCTGTAATCCCAGCTCTTTAGGAGGCCATGGTGGGAGGATAGCTTGAAGCCAGAAGTTTGAAGCCAGCCTGGGCAACATAGTGAGACCCCTGTTTCTACAAAATAAAAAAATTACCCGGGTGTGGTGGTGTACACCTGTATTCCCAACTACTCAGGAAGCTGAGGTGGGAGTATCACTTGATCCTGGGAGGTGGAGACTGCAGTGAGCCGTGATCGTGCCACTGCACTCCAGCCTGGGCAACAGAGCGAGACCTTGTTTCAAAAAAAAAAAAAAGGAAATTAGGTATGCACAAGTGAAAAGAATAGCAAAGTAAAATAGTTACAGATTTTGAATTGTATTTAGTTGTAGTTAAGCTTTTTTAAGACTAGGTAAGTTCAGTAGTGAGAAGTGGGGAAAGAGTAGAATAAGCAGTTCAATCTGTAACTGAGTGAATAATCAATTGTACTTAAGTTTTGAATCTGTAATGTCCAGTGGTGAGCTTGTTCAGTCAGTTGTACACATTTCATCCCAATTCCACATTCACGTGGCTATGGTGGGAGTATTTACACCATGGAAACTGGCACACACTACACATTAGGGCTTTCTCCAACCCTGAGAGCAGATTTCTAAACATTTACTACTGCACCCATGAATGTGCCTATTTAATTTTCACTTTTACAGTTAAATAACAGCTTTAGGTTTCATTGAAGATAACTAGTGTAGAATGGTGAAGAGCAGAGATACCAGAGCCAAACTATCTGGGTACAAATACCATTTCTTCACTTACTAGCTTGTGTTACCCTAGGCAGTTAGTCAAACTTATCATTAATGGGGATAGTAGCAATGCCTACCTTATAGGGTTGACGTGAGGATTAAATATGTTAAGGGTCTGTTTTATAGATAAATCTTATCTGGCAACCTCAGAAATCCAGTGCATAGCCAGGATTCAGGAAATAAACAAAAACATCACTGAGCCACCAATGTAAATGTCAGACAGAGGGTACTTGCCCTGAAGCCCCCAAGCTTTCTCTAGAAGCTAATTTTACTCTTTCTGTAGAACCAAGCTTGATTGTCTTTTCTGAGCCAAAGGGATATTAGAAGCATGACATCACACAAAAAAAAAGAGAGAGAGGAGAGATGCTGCTAGAAGCAACAACTGAAGTGAGAACCTTCCTCCCTCAAAGAAAATTATCCAATGTGAGAACTCAAAAATGAGTCAGACTGCTTGATTGCTAAGATCTGTTCCATTTCCAAAAATTTATGACAAGAGTGAAAAATTGCAACAGTTTAGAAACAAATAATCTTACTACTATGTTAAATAATGGCATACAAAGATAATCCACTGTCAATAATAAATCATAATCAGTATCTATTAGTTAAGAAAATAGGACAGGGAGCAAGATGGCCAAATAAAACCCACCAGTGATCATCCCCTCCATAGGAACACCAAATTGAACAACTCCCCACACAAGAAAGCATCTTTGTAAGAATCAAAAATCAGGTGAGCAGTAACAGTGCCTTGTTTTAACATCATATTAAGGAAAGAGGCACTGGATAGGATAGGAAAGATAGTCATTAATTTCTTACACCACCCCTCCCTCATCCCCTGGTGGTGCAGCTTGGCACAGAGAGAAAATCTGTGTGTTTAGGGGAAGGAGAGCACAGTGATTGTGGGACTTTGCATCAGAACTCAGTGCTACCCTGTCACAGAGGAAAACAACATGGGGCATAATTGTGCCCATACCCATGGAGGGAGCATTTAGACCAGCCCTAGCCGGAGGAGAATTGTCCATCCCTCTGGCAAGCCTCACCACTGTGAGCTAAAGTGCCCTGGGGTCCTAAATAAATACGAAAGGCAGTCTAGACCAAAAGGACTGCAATTTTGAGGCAAGTCCTGGTGGTTCTGTGCTGGGCTCAGAACCAGAGGACTTGCGGTGCATATGGCCAAGAAAGCGTTTGCATCACCCCTCCCCCAACTCCAGGCAGTACAGCTCACAGCTCTGGGAGGAGAGGAAAGATTAAAGTGGACTTTGTCTTAACATTTGGATACCAGCTCAGCCACAGTAAAATAAAGCACCAAGCAGAGTCCTGAAGCCCACACTCCAGGCCCTAGATCCTGGATGACATTTCTAGACACACCCTGGGCCAGAAGGGAACCCACCAATTTGAAGGAAAGGACCCAGTTCTGGAAGGATTCATCACCTGCTGACTACAGAGCCCTTGGACCTTGAATAAACATTATTAGTAGCTAAGCAGTACTCACCATGAGCCTTGGGCAAGGCTTCAGGTGTGACCCAGCACATTCCCAGCTGTAGTGGCCAAGGGGAGAGACTCCTTTTCTCTGCTTGAGGAAAGGAGAGTGAAAAGTAAAAAGGACTTCACCTTGCAATTTGGGTACCAGTTCAGCCACAGTAAAATAAAGCACCGAATAGATTCCTAAAGTTCCTGACTCCAGACCCTACCTCCCAGACAGCATTTCTAGACCCACCCTGGGCCAGAAGGGACACCACCACCCTGAAGGGAAAGACACAAGCCTGGCTGGATTCACCACCTGCTGATTAAAGAACCCTTGGGCCTTGAACAAACAGCAATACTCACCATAAGCCTTGGGCAAAACCCAGAACTATGCTGGTTTCTGGTCTAATGCAGCTCAGTCCCAGCAGTGGTGGCCACAGGGGTGCTTGCATCACCTCTCCTCCAACTCCAGGCAGCACAGCATGGTGAGAGAGATTCCTTTTGTTTGAGAGAAAGTAAGGGAAGAGAACAACACATTCTGCCTGGTAATCCAGGGAATTCTCCTAGATATTACCCAAGACCACCAAAACAGTACCTCTACTAGTCTGCAAGAGCCACAGCGTTACTGGGCTTGGGGTGCCCCCTAATGCATATATGGCTAAAGTGACCAAAAACTTAGATCACAACACTCAATTCCCTTTGAATGCTTGAAAAGCATTCTCAAGAAGGACAGGTATAAACAAGCCCAGACTGTGAATATTATAATACCTATCTCTTCAGTGCACAAGCACCAAGAAATATCCACAAGCATCCAGATCATCCAGGATAACATTACCTCAGAAAATGAAATAAAGAAGGAACCAGTGACCAATCCCAGAGTAACAGAGGTATGTGACCTTTTAGACAGAATTCAAAATAGCTGTTCTGAGGAAGCTCAGTGAAATTCCAGATAACACAGAGAAGGAATTCAGAATTCTATCAGATAAATTGAACAAAGAGATTGAAATACTTTAAAAAAATCAAGCATAAATTCTGGAGCTGAAAAATGCAATTGATATACCGAAGAATGCATCAGAGTCTTTCAACAGCAGAACTGATCAAGCAGAAGAAAAAAGTATTGAGCTTGAAGAGGGGCTGTTTGAAAATACACAGTCAGAGGAGACAAAAAAAGAATAAAATAGAATGAAGCACACCTACAACATCTAGAAAATAGCTTCAAAAGTACAGATCTAAGAGTTATTTGCCTTAAAGAGGTGGTAGAGAGATCGAGATAGAAAGCATATTCAAAGGAATAATATTATAACACTGTAGTTGTGGTGTGTGAACTACTCATACCTTGAGTAGGAAGACTAAGAGATGAACCTATCAAAAATAATAACTGCAAGTTTTGAAGACATAGACAGTATAATAAGATATGAATAGAAACAATAAAAATGTAAAAAGCCATGGAGGGGATAAAGTTAAAGTATAGAGTTTCAATTAGTTTTCTCTTTGTTTGTTTGTTTGTTTTAGCAATCACTGTTGTCATCAGTTTGAAATAATGCAATATAAGATGTTATCTATAACATTCATGGTAGCCTCAAATCAATGAACCTAGAACAGATACACCAAAAAATAAAAAGCAAGAAATTAAAACATACCACCAGAGACAATCACCTTCACAAAAAGAAGACAGAGAGGGAACAAAGGAAGAGATCACAAAACAACCAGAAAACAAATAATAAAATGGGAAGGGAGTAAGAACTTATCAATAATAACATTGAATTTAAATAGAATAAACTTTTCAATCAAAAAACATAGAATGGCTGAATGCATTAAAAAGCCCCAACTAGCTGCCATCCTTAAGAAACACACTTCACCTATAAGGACACACATAGACTGAATATAAAAGGATGGAAAAAGATATTCCATGCAAATAGAAAACAACAAAGAGGAGTAGCTATACTTATATCACACAATATAGATTTCAAGACAAAAACTATAAAAAGAGATAAAGAAGGTCATTATATAATGATAAGAGGATCAATTCAGCAAGAAGATAGAACAAGTGTATATATGCACCCAAAGCTGGAGCACCCAGGTGTATAAAGCAAATATTATACAAACTAGAAGGTGGGATATAGACCCTGATATAATAATAGCTGGAGACTTCAACACCCTACTTTCAGCATTGGACAGATCATCCGGACAGAAAATCCACAAAGAAATATCACACTTAATGTGCAGTAGAGAACAAATGGACCTAATAGATATTTACAGAACATTTCATCCAACAGCTACAGAAGACACAATTGTCTCTTTGGCACGTGGATCATTCTCAAGGATAAACCATATGTTAAGTCATAAAACAAATAATTTTTTTCTTTTTTCTTTTTTTTCAGACAAGTTCTCACTCTGTTGCCCAGGCTGGAGTGTAGTGGCATGATTTCGGCTCACTGCAGCCTAAACCTACCAGACTTGAAGGGAACCTTCCACCTCAG
This sequence comes from Homo sapiens, assembly GCF_000001405.40. Classification (NCBI taxonomy): domain Eukaryota; kingdom Metazoa; phylum Chordata; class Mammalia; order Primates; family Hominidae; genus Homo; species Homo sapiens. The sequence continues at coordinate 106,754,340 of NC_000023.11, forward strand.
CCTTCCAAGTAGCTGGGACTACAGTGGGACTACAGGCACATGCCACCACACCTGGCAATGTTTTCTTTCTCTTTTTTTTTTTTTTTTTTTTTTTTTTTTTTTGTAGCGACAGGGTCTCACCATATTGCCCAAGCTGTTCTCAAACTCCTTGGCTCAAATGATCTGCCACCTTGGCCTCCCAAAGTGCTGGGATTACAGGTGTGAGCCAGCATGCCCAGCCAAAATTTTTTTTAAATTGAAATATCAAGCATCTTCTCTAACCACAATGGAATAAAACTAAGTCAATAATAACAGAAACTTTGGAAACTATACAAATACATGGAGATAAACAGTATGCTCCTGAATGACCAGTGGGTTAATGTAGAAATTAAGAAGAAAATTTTAAAATTTCTTGAAACAAGTGGAAATGAAAACAAAATGTAACAAAACCTATGAGATATAGCAAAAACAGTACTAATAGGAAAGTTTATAAAAATGAGTGCCTACATCAAAAATGTAGAAAACCTTCAAATTAACAACCTAATAATAGAACTAGAAAAGCAAGAGCAAACCAAATGGAAAATTAGTAGAAGAAAAGAATTAATAAAGATCAGAGCAGAAATAAATTGAAATAAAAAAACACAAAACATCAATGACATGAAAAGTTGTTTTCTTTAAAAAATAAATAAAATCAACAAACCTTTAGCCAGAATAAAGAAAAAGAGAAAACCCAAATAGATAAAGATGAAAAATGGGACATACAACCAATACCACAGAAATTCAAAGAATCCCTGGAGACTACTGGGAGCAGCTATACGCCAATAAATTGGAAAACGTTGAAGAAATGGATAAATTCCTAGACACACAGAACCTTCCATGATTGGATCAGGAAGAAAACCAAAACCTGAATAGACCAATAACAAGTAATGAGAAGAAAGCCATGACAAATAGTCCCCCAGTAAAGAAAAACCTGGAACCCAATGACTTCACTGCTGATTTTTGCCAAACGTTTAAAGAAGAACTAATGCCAACCCTACTGAAACTATTCTGAAAAAACGGAGCAGGAAGAAATACTTCCAGACTCATTCTATGAGGCCAGTATTACCCTGATACCAAAACCAGACAAAGACATATCGAAAAAAAAAAGGAAACTACTACAGGCAAGTCTCTCTGATGAACATCAATGCAAAACCTCAACCAAATATTAACAAACCAAATTCAGCAACACATTAATAGGGTAATTGATCATGATCAAGTGGGATTTATCCTAGGGATGCAAGGATAGTTATACATAAATCAATCAATGTCCTACATCCTATCAACACAATGAAGGACAGAAAGCATATAATTCCAATTGATGCTGAAAATCATTTGATAAAGTTCAACATCCTTTCACGATTAAAAACCCTAAAAAAGGGCAATTAGGCAGGAGAAGGAAATAAAGGGTATTCAATTAGGAAAAGAGGAAGTCAAATTGTCCCTGTTTGCAGATGACATGATTGTATATCTAGAAAACCCCATTGTCTCAGCCCAAAATCTCCTTAAGCTGATAAGCAACTTCAGCAAAGTCTCAGGATACAAAATCAATGTGCAAAAATCACAAGCATTCTTAATACACCAACAACAGACAAACAGAGAGCCAAATCATGAGTGAACTCCCATTCACAATTGCTTCAAAGAGAATAAAATACCTAGGAATCCAACTTACAAGGGATGTGAAGGACCTCTTCAAGGAGAACTACAAACCACTGCTCAAAGAAATAAAAGAGGATACAAACAAATGGAAGAACATTCCATACTCATGGGTAGGAAGAATCAATATCTTGAAAATGGCCATACTGCCCAAGGTAATTTACAGATTCAATGCCATCCCCATCAAGCTACCAATGCCTTTCTTCACAGAATTGGAAAAAACTACTTTAAAGTTCATATGGAATCAAAAAAGAGCCCGCATCACCAAGTCAATCCTAAACCAAAAGAACAAAGCGGGAGGCATCACACTACCTGACTTCAAACTATACTACAAGGCTACAGTAACCAAAACAGCATGGTACTGGTACCAAAACAGAGATATAGATCAATGGAACAGAACAGAGCCCTCAGAAATAATGCTGCATACCTACAACTATCTGATCTTTGACAAACCTGACAAAAACAAGCAATGGGGAAAGGATTCCCTATTTAATAAATGGTGCTGGGAAAACTGGCTAGCCATATGTAGAAAGCTGAAACCGGATCCCTTCCTTACACCTTATACAAAAATCAATTCAAGATGGATTAAAGATTTAAACGTTAGACCTAAAACCATAAAAACCCTAGAAGAAAACCTAGGCATTACCATTCAGGACATAGGCATGGGAAAGGACTTCATGTCCAAAACACCAAAAGCAATGGCAACAAAAGAAAAAATTGACAAATGGGATCTAATTAAAATAAAGAGCTTCTGCACAGCAAAAGAAACTACCATCAGAGTGAACAGGCAACCTACAAAATGGGAGAAAATTTTCGCAACCTACTCATCTGACAAAGGGCTAATATCCAGAATCTACAATGAACTCAAACAAATTTACAAGAAAAAAACAACCCCATCAAAAAGTGGGCGAAGGACATGAACAGACACTTCTCAAAAGAAGACATTTATGCAGCCAAAAAACACATGAAAAAATGCTCATCATCACTGGCCATCAGAGAAATGCAAATCAAAACCACTATGAGATACCATCTCACACCAGTTAGAATGGCAATCATTAAAAAGTCAGGAAACAACAGGTGCTGGAGAGGATGTGGAGAAACAGGAACACTTTTACACTGTTGGTGGGACTGTAAACTAGTTCAACCATTGTGGAAGTCAGTGTGGCGATTCCTCAGGGATCTAGAACTAGAAATACCATTTGACCCAGCCATCCCATTACTGGGTATATACCCAAAGGACTATAAATCATGCTGCTATAAAGACACATGCACACGTATGTTTATTGTGGCATTATTCACAATAGCAAAGACTTGGAACCACCCCAAATGTCCAACAATGATAGACTGGATTAAGAAAATGTGGCACATATACACCATGGAATACTATGCAGCCATAAAAAATGATGAGTTCACGTCCTTTGTAGGGACATGGATGAAATTGGAAATCATCATTCTCAGTAAACTATCGCAAGAACAAAAAACCAAACACCGCATATTCTCACTCATAGGTGGGAATTGAACAATGAGATCACATGGACACAGGAAGGGGAATATCACACTCTAGGGACTGTGGTGGGGTGGGGGGAGGGGGGAGGGATAGCATTGGGAGATATACCTAATGCTAGATGACGAGTTAGTGGGTGCAGCGCACCAGCACGGCACATGTATACATATGTAACTAACCTGCACAATGTGCACATGTACCCTAAAACTTAAAGTATAATAAAAAAATAAATTTAAAAAAAACCCTAAAAAATCTGTGTATGCAAGGAACATACCTCATTGCAATAAAAGCTATATGTGACAGATCCACAGCTCAGTATCATATTGAATAGGGAAAAACTGAAAGCCTTTCCTTTAATACCTGGAACAGGACAGATATATCCACTTTTACCACTGTTATGCAACGTAGTACTGGAGGTCCTAGCTAGAGACATCAGACAAGAGAAAGAAGGGCAACAAAATTGGAAAGGAAAAAGTCAAATTATCCTTGTTTGCAGATAATATGATCTTATAGTTTGAAAAACCTAAAGGCCCCACAACAAACTATTAGAACTGATAAATTCAGTAAAGCTGCAGAATGCAAAATCAACATATATAAATCAGTAGTATTTCTAGATGCCAATGGCACACAATCTGAAAAAGAAATCAAGTAAGTATTCCCATTTACAATAACAACAAATAAAATAAAGTACTAGGAGGAAACCTAACCAAAGAAGAGAGCTCTACAATGAAAACTGTAAAACAATGATATAAGAAATTGAAGATGGCACAAAAAGATGGAAAGATATTCCATGTTCATGGATTGGAAGTTTCAATTTTATTAAAAGGTTCATACTACCCAATGCAATCTACAGATTTAATGCAATCCCTATTAAGATATAATACCAATGACATCATTCACATAAATAGAAAAAATAATTATAGAATTTATATGAAACCACAGAAGACCCAGAATAGCCAAAGCCATCCTGAGCAAAAAGAACAAAACTAGAGGAAACATATTACCTGACTTTAAATTATACTACACAGTTATAGTAACCAAAGAAGCATGGTACTGGCATAAATACAGACATATAGACCAAAGAAAAATAATAGAGAATTCAGAAATAAATCTATACATTCACAGTGAGCTTATTTTCAACAAAGTGCCAAGAACATACATTGGGGAAAAGATAGGCTCTCCGATTAATGCTGCTGGCAAAACTGCATATCCATGTGCAGAAGAATGAAACTAGACCCGTATCTCCTGCCATATACAAAAATCAAATCAAAATGGAATGAAGACTTAAATCTAAGACCTCAAAATATGAAACTACTAAAAGAAAACACTGGGGAAACTCTCCAGGACATTGGACTGAGCACAGATTACCTGAGCAATACCCCACCACAAGTACAGGTAACCAAAGCAAACATGAAGAAAGGAGATCACATCAAGCTAAAAAGCTTCTACCAGCAAAGAAAACAATCAGCAAGTAGAAGAGACTACCCATAGAATGGGAGAAAATATTTGCAAACTATTCATCTGACAAGGGATTAATAACCAGAATACTTAAGGAGCTGAAATCACTAAATAGGAAAATATCTAATAATCCGATTAAAAATGGACAAAAGATCTGAATAGACATTTCTCAAAAGAAGACATACAAAAGGCAAACAGGTATATGAAAAGATGCTCAACATAATTGATCATCAGAAATGCAAATAAAAACTACAATGAGATATTATCTCATCCCAGTTAAAATGGCTTTTATTCAAAAGTCAGGCAATAATGAATGCTGGCGAGGATGTAGAGGAAAGGGAACCCTTGTACACTGTTGGTTGGAATGTAAATTACTACAGCCACTATGTAGAACAATATGGAGGTTCCTCAGAAAACTAAAAATAGAATTACCGTATAATCCAGCAATCCCACTGCTAGGTATATACCCAAAAGAAAGGAAATCAGGATATCAAAGAGATGTCTACACCCCCGTGTTTATTGCAGCACTATTCTACAATAACCATGATTTGGAAGCAACCTAAGTGTCCATCAAGAGACAAATGGATAAAGAAAATGTGGTACTTACACACAATGGAGTACTATTCAGCCATAAAGAAAAATGAGTTCCTGTCATTTGCAACAACACATATGGAACTGGAGAATTATTATGTTAAGTGAAATAAGCCAGGCACAGAAAGACAAACTTTGCATGTTTTCCACTCATTTATGAGAGCTAAAATTTTAAACAGTTGGAGATAGATATCAGAAGGATGGTTACCAGAGGCTGGGAAGGGTAGAGGTGGGTAGAAAGAAATTGGGGATTATTACTGGGCACAAAAATATAGTTAGATAGAATGAGTAAGACCTAGCATTTTATAGCACAAAAGGGTGACTGTAGTCAACAATAACTTAATGTACATTTTAAAATAACTAAAAGCATAACTGGAATGTTTGTAACACAAAGAAAATAAAAATGCTTGAAGTGATGGATACCCCATTTACCCTGATGTGATTATTACAGATTGTATGTCTGTATCAAAATATCTCATGTAACCTAGAAATATATACACCTGACATGCACCCATAAAAACTAAAAATTTTATAAAAAGAATAAAAAATTTAGGAAAATATAGATTACTTTTTCGAGTGTTCATTCAAAATTGTTAAAACTAAGTATTTGTGTAAAACCTTTTGTTACCTATAAATTTTACTTTTATGGAACATCTAATTCCTAAAAATAGCAGATAAAGGCATTACTGTCATTAAGAGACTGTTAACTCAAACAATTAAATAGCAAAACAACAAATAATCTGATTTTACAATGGGCAAAAGACCTGAATAGACAGTTCTCAAAAGAAGCATACAAATAGCCAACAGTTACATGAAAAAATATTCAACGTCACCAATCATCAGGAAAATGCAAATCAAAACTGCAATGTGATATCACTTCACTCCAGTTAGGATGGCTATTATAAAAGAGACAAAAAACAAACAAATACTGGCAAGGATGTGGAGAAAAGGGAACTCTTATATACTTACTGTTGGTGGGAATGTAAATTAGTCCAGCCATATTGGAAAACAGTATGGAGAGTTTTTAAAAATGTTAGAAATACAATTACCATATAATCTGGCAATTCAATTACTGGGTATCTATCCAAAGGAATGGAAGTCAGTTTGTCCAAGAGATATCTGCCCTCCCATGTTTATTTTAGCACTATTCACAACAGCAAAGATATGGAATCAAGCTAAGTATCCATCAATGGATGAATGGATATAGAAAAAGTCACACGTGTATACAATGGAATACTATTCAGCATTTAAAAAGCAGCAAATCGTGTCATTTGCAGCAGTGTGGATGAACCTGGAGGAAATTAAGTGCCAAAAGCAATTGCAACAAAAGCAAAAACAAAAACAAAAGTTGGCAAATGCAACCTAATTAAATTAAAAAGCTTTTGCATAGCAAAAGAAACTATCAACAGAGTAAACAGACAACCTACAGAATGGGAGAAAATATTTGCAAACTATGCATCCAACAAAGGTCTGATATCCGAAATCTTTAAGGAACTTAAATTAACAAGCAAAAATCCAACAACCCCATTAAAAACTGGACAAAGAACATGAATAGACACTTTTCAAAAGAAGACATACATGCAGCCAACAAATGAAACATATGAAAAATTACTGAACATCACTAATCAGATTACTAGAGAAATACCAATCCAAATCACAATGCAATACCATCTCCCACCAGTCAGTATGGCTATTATTAAAAAGTCAAAAAATAACAGATGTTAACAAGGTTTTAGAGAAAAGGGAGCGCTTATACACTGCTCGTGGGAATGTAAATTAGTTCAGCCATTGTGGAAAGCAGTTTGCTGATTTCTCAAAAAACTCAAAGCAGAATTGCAATTTGACACAGCAATCCCATTATTGGGTATATACCCAAAGGAATATAAATCATTCTACCATAAAGACACATGCACATGTATGTTCATCACAGCACTATTTACAATAGCAAAGTCATGGAATCCACCTAAATGCCCATCAATGGTGGACTGAATAAAGAAAATGTGGTGCAAATACACCATGGAATATTATACAGCCATAAAAAAAGAATGAGATCATGTATGATCTCATGAGTACTCAGATACAGCCACATAGGACTATTGTCATTCACTTTTCTTAACTGTTCATTCTGATCTTTCTGCCTAAAATACCCATATTTGCTCTGACACTCCCTGTCCTCTGCTTATCTATGTATTACTTAAGTCCCAGCTCAAATGATGCTTCTATACAGGTTCCCCAAGCTCCAAGTGAGAGAATAAATGTTTCCTCTTTGGTCCCCTGTCACTTGGTTTCTAACCTCTATCTAGTATTTCATTTTACTTTGCATCTCAATTGGCATGCCTCTCTAAATTAAGAACTTTTTTATTTTGGGCAGACACTGTCTTTTTTTTTTTAAAGACCCTTAATTTAAAAATTTATAATTGACACATAATTGTATATATTTATGGGGTACAATGTGATTGTAAATGTAAGTATACTATGTAGTATAATGATCAAATGGGGGCAATTACCATATCCATCACATGGAACATTTTTCATTTGTTTGTGGTAACATCATTCAAAATCTTTTCTTCTAGTTATCTTAAAACATACACTACATTGCTGTTTGCTATAGTCACCCTACTGTGTAAAAAAACACCAAACTTATTCTTCCTGCCTAACTGTAAGTTTGTACACATTGGCCAACCTCTCTCCATCCTTCCCTACCCTGTACCCTCCCCAGCCCCTGGTAATCACTATTCCATTCTCCACTTTTGATTTTTTTTTTTTTTTGAGATGGAGTTTTGCTCTTGTTGCCCAGGCTGGAGTGCAGTGGCACCATCTCAGCTCACCACAACCTCTGCCTCGGGTTCAAGCGATTCTCCTGCCTCAGCCTCCCGAGTAGCTGGGATTACAGGCATGCACTGCCACGCCTGGCTAATTTTGTACTTTTAGTAGAGACAGGGTTTTTCCATGTTGGTCAAGCTGGTCTTGAACTCCTGACCTCAGGTGATCCGCCCCCCATCGGCCTCCCAAAGTGCTGGGATTACAGGTGTGAGCCACCAAGCCCAGTCTTGAAATTTTTTAAACTTTTATTTTAGGCTCAAGGACACATGTGTTGGTTTGTTGTATAGGCAAATTGTGTGTCACAGGGGTTTGTGTACAGATTATGTTCTTTGCAGCAACATGGATGGAGCTGGAGGCCATTATCCTGAGTGAACAAACACAGCAACAGAAAACCAAATACCACATGTTCTTATGTATAAGTGGGAGCTAAACTTTGAGTACACATGGACACAAAGAAGGGAACAACGGACACCGGGGCCTACTTGAGGGTGGAGGAAGGGAGGAGGATGAATACCTATTGGGCACTATGCTTATTACATGGATGATGAAATAATCTGTACACAAACCCCTGTGACACACAGTTTGCCTATATAACATACCAACACATGTGCAAGATCAGTTGAGATCAGATCATATATGGCTTTACATGTTAGGCTAAGGAGTCAGATTGTAATGAGTAATTAGGAGCCACTAAAGACTCCTGGGCAGAAAAAGAGGCATGATTCAACCATGTTATGGCAAAAGTCAAGCAGAAAGGTCAACTCTAATGAAACTTTAAGGGAGGGACTGGATATAGGATGACCAGCTAGGAGGTTACTGTAATAGTTTCAGTACCCTATTTCAAAGAAATTATGAGGGTCTATATTAAGACAGCAGAAATAGAAAGATCTGATAATGGAGACACCAAGAAAGTAAATAGCATCTCCATGACTGACTAGGTGAGCAGTGAGGATTCAAACATGATTCTGAGGTTACTAAACTAGGTGACCAGAGGGGTTGTTACACTGTTAACTGCAATTGAGAACAGTGGAGGGGGAGCAGTTTACAGATATTTTCAAGTGCATGGGAAGTATCAAAATGCTTAGAAATAGGTCTTTTACATGATTAGGAAGCCAATTCAGGGTTTTTTGTTTTCGTTGAGACGGAGTCTCGCTCTGTCGTCCAGGCTGGAGTGCACTGGCACGATCTTGGCTCACTGCAAGCTCCGCCTCCCGGGTTCACGCCATTCTCCTGCCTCAGCCTCCCGAGTAGCTGGGACTACAGGCGCCCGCCACCACGCCCGGCTAATTTTTTGTATTTTTAGTAGAGATGGGGTTTCACCGTGTTAGCCAGGATGGTCTCGATCTCCTGATCTCATGATCCGCCCGCCTCCTCGGCCTCCCAAAGTGCTGGAATTAAAGGCGTGGGCCACCACGCCCGGCCAATTCAGGTTTTTTAATAGTTGGACTGTATATAGCACGTATGAATATAGATTGTGAGGACTGAAGCACAGCATTGTTGCTAAGATGTATACAATGTACATTTCTTGCCTATCCTTGTTTTTTGGTTTGGTTTGGTTTGGTTTGGTTTGGTTTGGTTTTTGTTTTTGTTTTTTGAGATGGAGTCTCGCTCTGTCGCCCAGGCTGGAGTGCAGTGGCACGATATCAGCTCACTGCAAGCTCCACCTCCCGGGTTCACGCCATTCTCCTGCCTCAGCCTCCCCAGTAGCTGGGGCTACAGGTGCCCGCCACCACGCCCGACTAATTTTTTTTTGTATTTTTAGAAGAGACGGGGTTTCACCATGTTAGCCAGGATAGTCTTGATCTCCTGACCTCGTGATCCACCCACCTCAGCCTCCCAAAGTGCTGGAATTACAGGCGTGAGCCACCACGCCCGGCCTTGTTTTGTTTTTCAACCTTCATCTGACCACAATGGCCCATGTGTTCCTGAGTATCCACCCCTGCCACCTACCCCATATGTTCTAAAAGAACAAAACATTTCTATTAGTTAAAAACTTATGGCCAGGTGCAGTGGCTGACGCCTCTAATCCCTGCACTTTGGGAGGCCAAGGTGGGTGGATCACCTGAGGTTAGGGGTTTGAAACCAGCCTGGCCAACATGGTGAAACCCCGTCTCTACTAAAAACACAAAAATTAGCTGGGTGTGGTGGCATGCACCTGTAATGCCAGCTACTCGGGAGGCTGAAGCAGGAGAATCACTTGAACCCAGGAGGCAGAGGTTGCAGTGAGCCAAGATTGCACCACTGCACTCCACTCTGGGTAAGGAGCGAAACTCCGTCTCAAAAAAAACAAAACAACAACAACAACAACAAAAACCAACTTATTAGCAGTACACATCTGTGATTCAAAAGAAATATTTAAAAATATATTCCAAAGCCTAACTTTTAGAATTCTCTATGCTTTCAAAGATTATACAGTTTATAATATCGGAAATGAATGCTACATTATATAATTAATCACAACTTTATTACTATACATTTTCCTGAGAGATGGCTCTTAGAGAAAAGACAAATAATGTCTGTGATTTTAGTGCCATAGCTAAAAATTTAAAGCCCCTAAATAAATAGAAAAAAAGGGCCACTGTTTGGTAAAATTATCTCCAGATCCATAAGGGATATTTGGGTCATATACTGATATTGGAAGAAAATATAACAGAGGGTCTCTACATTTCAGACTCCTTCACTCCCCATTGTTTTTGAGATTTTCCTTTTGTAAATGAGAACAAGGTGAGTCATTAATCTCTATCAAACTGAATGATCACACATGACTCAGTAGAGTTTTAAAAAGGGCTTAACTAAATGGCTATCATGTAAAAATAGTGTCTTTTGGAATGTTAAGGATCTATAATAAAATGCTTTGAATAAAATGTTTAAATTAATAACTTCAAATAAAGAGAGAATCTTAGCATACTATGAGATATTTCTTTTTGGCCCCATCTTTTGAAAACTTTGGCTACTGAGGACCATAAATTTAAGGGATTGCTTGATTAACAATTTTACTGTGTACATTGCCATTTAAGGTTTATACCCTTAATTTGAAAATTAAAACTGTGAATACTATTTTAATATTTTACTGAGAAATGGCTTTTAGAGAAAAGACAAATAATGTCTGTGATTTTAGTGCCATAGCTAAAAACTTAATGTCCCCAAATAAATAGAAAAAAGGGGCACTCTCTGGCAAAATTACCTCCAGACCCATAAGGGATATTTGGATAATACACTCATATTGGAAGAAGATACAACAGAGGGTGTCTACATTTCAGACATTCAGTATTTTTGTATTTAAATTCTAGTCTAAAAGTCCTTTCATTTTATTTTTATTTTATATTTTGTTGGTTTTTTTATTATTATACTTTAAGTTCTAGGCTACATGTGCACAACATGCAGGTTTGTCACATATGTTTACATGTGCCATGTTGGTGTGCTGCACCCATTAACTAACTCGTCATTTATATTAGGTTTATCTCCTAATGCTATCCCCCCCAGCCCCCCACCCCACGACAGGCTCCAGTGTGTGATGTTCCCCACCCTGTGTCCAAGTGTTCTCATTGTTCAATTCCCACCTATGAGTGAGAACATGCGGTGTTTGGTTTTCTGTCTTGGTGATAGTTTGCTCAGAATGATGGTTTCTAGCTTCATCCATGTCCCTACAAAGACATGAACTCATCTTTTTATGGCTGCATAGTATTCCATGGTATATATGTGCCAAATTTTCTTAATCCAGTCTATTATTGAAGGACATTTGGGTTGGTTCCAAGTCTATGCTATTGTGAATAGTGCCGAAATAAACATACGTGTGCATGTGTCTTTATAGCAGCATGATTTATAATCCTTTGGGTATATGCCCAGTAATGGGATGGCTAGATCAAATGGTATTTCTAGTTCTAGATCCTTGAGGAATCGCCACACTGTCTTCCACAATGGTTGAACTAGTTTACACTCCCACCAACAGTTAAAGGAGTTCCTATTTCTCCACATCCTCTCCAGTACCTGTTGTTTCCTGACTTTTTAATGATCACCATTCTAAGTCGTGTGAGATGGTATCTCATTGTAGTTTGGTTTGCATTTCTCTGATGGTCAGTGATGATGAACATTTTTTCATGTGTCTTTTGGCTGCATAAATGTCTTCTTTTGAGAAGTGTCTGTTCATATCCTTTGCCCACTTTTTGATAGGGTTGTTTGATTTTTTCTTGTAAATTTGTTCAAGTTCATTGTAGATTCTGGATATTAGCCCTTTGTCAGATGGGTAAATTGTAAAACTTTTCTCCCATTCTGTAGGTTGCCTGTTCACTCTGACGGTAGTTTCTTTTGCTGTGCAGAAGCTCTTTAGTTTAATTAGATCCCATTTGTCAATTTTGGCTTTTGTTGCCATTGCTTTTGGTGTTTTGGTCATGAAGTCCTTGCCCATGCCTATGGCCTGAATGGTATTTGCCTAGGTTTTCTTCTAGGATTTTTATGGTTTTAGGTCTAATATTTAGGTCTTTAATCCATCTTGAGTTAATTTTTGTATAAGGTGTAAGGAAGGGATCCAGTTTCAGCTTTCTATATATGGCTAGCCAGTTTTCCCAGCACCATTTATTAAATAGGGAATCCTTTCCCCATTTCTTGTTTTTGTCAGGTTTGTCAAAGATCGGATGGTTGTAGATGTGTGGTATTATTTCTGAGGGCTCTATTCTGTTCCATTGATCTATATCTCTGTTTTGGTACCAGTACCATGCTATTTTGGTTACTGTAGCCTTGTAGTATAGTTTGAAGTCAGGTAGGGTGATGCCTCCAGCTTTGTTCTTTTGACTTAGGATTGTCTTGGCGATGCGGGCTCTTTGGGTTCCATATGAACTTTAAAGTAGTTTTTTCCAATTCTATGAAGAAAGTCATTGGCAGCTTGATGGGGATGGCATTGAATCTATAAATTACCTTGGGCAGAATGGCCATTTTCACAATATTGATTCTTCCTATCCATGAACACGGAATGTTCTTCCATTTGTTTGTGTCCTCTTTTATTTCGTTGAGCAGTGGTTTGTAGTTCTCCTTGAGGAGGTCCTTCACATCCTTTTTAAGTTAGATTCCTAGGTATTTTATTCTCTTTGAAGCAATTGTGAATGGGAGTTCGCTCGTGATTTGGCTTTCTGTTTGTCTGTTATTGGTGTATAAGAATGCTTGTGATTTTTGCACATTGATTTTGTATCCTGAGACTTTGCTGAAGTTGCTTATCAGCCTGAGGAGAATTTGGGCTGAGACGATGGGGTTTTCTAGATATATAATCATGTCATCTGCAAATAGGGACAATTTGACTTCCTCTTTTCCTAATTGAATACTCTTTATTTCCTTCTCTTGCCTGATTGCCCTGGCTAGAACTTCCAACACTATGTTGAATAGGAGTGGTGAGAAAGGGCATCCCTGTCTTGTGCCAGTTTTCAAAGGGAATGCTTCCAGTTTTTGCCCATTCTGTATAATATTGGCTGTGGGTTTGTCATAGATAGCTCTTATTATTTTGAGATACGTCCCATCAATACCTAGTTTATTGAGAGTTTTTAGCATGAAGCGCTGTTGAATTTTGTCAAAGGCCTTTTCTGCATCTACTGAGATAATCATGTGGTTTTTATCTTTGGTTCTGTTTATATGATGGATTACATTTATTGATTTGCTTATGTTGAACCAGCCTTGCATCCCAGGGATGAAGCCAACTTGATTGTGGTGGATAAGCTTTTTGATGTGCTGCTGGATTCGGCTTGCCAGTATCTTATTGAGGATTTTTGCATCATTGTTCATCAGGGATTTTCGTCTAAAATTTTCTTTTTTTATTTTCTCTCTGCCAGGCTTTGGTATCAGGATGATGCTGGCCTCATAAAATGAGTTAGGAAGGATTCCCTCTTTTTCTATTGATTGGAATAGTTTCAGAAGGAATGGTACCAGCTTCTCTTTGTACCTCTGGTAGACCTCGGCTGTGAATCCATCTGGTCCTGGACTTTTTTTGGTTGGTAGGCTATTATTTATTGCCACAATTTCAGAGGCTGTTATTGGTCTATTCAGAGATTCAACTTCTTCCTGGTTTAGTCTTGGGAGGGTGTATGTGTCGAGGAATTTATCCATTTCTTCTAGATTTTCTAGTTTATTTGCGTAGAGGGGTTTATAGTATTCTCTGATGGTAGTTTGTATTTCTGTGGGATTGGTGGTGATATCCCCTTTATCATTTTTTATTGCATCCATTTGATTCTTCTCTCTTTTCTTCTTTATTTGTCTTGCTAGTGGTCTATCAATTTTGTTGATCTTTTCAAAAAACCAGCTCCTGGATTCATTGATTTTTTGAAGGGTTTTTTGTGTCTCTATCTCCTTCTCTTCTGCTCTGATCTTAGTTATTTCTTGCCTTCTGCCAGCTTTTGAATGTGTTTGCTCTTGCCTCTCTAGTTCTTTTAATTGTGATATTAGGGTGTCAATTTTAGATCTTTCCTGCTTTCTCTTGTGGGCATTTAGTGCTGTAAATTTTCCTCTATACACTGCTTTGAATGTGTCCCAGAGATTCTGGTATGTTGTGTCTTTGTTCTCATTGGTTTCAAAGAACATCTTTATTTCTGCCTTCATTTTGTTATGTACCCATTAGTCATTCAGGAGCAGGTTGTTCAGTTTCCATGTGGTTGTGTGGTTTTGAGTGAGTTTCTTAATCCTGAGTTCTAGTTTCATTGCACTGTGATCTGAGACAGTTTGTTATAATTTCTGTTCTTTTACATTTGCTGAGGAGTGTTTTACTTCCAACTATGTCGTCCATTTTGGAATATGTGTTATGTGGTGCTGAGAAGAATGTATATTCTGTTGATTTGGGGTGGAGAGTTCTGTAGATGTCTATTAGGTCTGCTTGGTGCAGCGCTAAGTTCAGTTCCTGGATATCCTTGTTAACTTACTGTCTCGTTGATCTGTCTAATGTTGACAGTGGGGTTTTAAAGTCTCCCATTATTATTGTGTGCGTGTCTAAGTCTCTTTGTAGGTCTCTAAGGACTTGCTTTATAAATCTGGGTGCTCCTGTATTGGGTGCATATATATTTAGGATAGTCAGCTCTTCTTGTTGAATTGATCCCTTTGCCATTATGTAATGACCTTCTTTGTCTCTTTTGATCTTTGTTGGTTTAAAGTCTGTTTGATCAGAGACTAGGATTGCTACACCTGCTTTGTTTTTTTTTTTTTTTTTTGCTTTCCATTTGCTTGGTATATCTTCCTCCATCCCTTTATTTTGAGCCTATGTGTGTCTCTGCATGTGAGATGGGTCTCCTGAATACAGCACACTGATGGGTCTTGATTCTTTATCCAATTTGCCAGTCTGTGTCTTTTTCTTTTCAGTCTATGTCTTTTAATTGGAGCATTTAGCCCATTTACATTTAAAGTTAATATTATTATGTGTGAATTTGATCCTGTCATTATGATGTTAGCTGGTTATTTTGCTCGTTAGTTGATGCATTTTCTTCCTAGCATCGATGGTCTTTACAATTTCGCATGCTTTTGCAGTGGCTGGTACCAGTTGTTCCTTTCCATGTTTAGTGCTTCCTTCAGGAGCTCTTGTAAGGCAGGCCTGGTGGTGACAAAATCTCTCAGCATTTGTTTGTCTGTAAAGAATTTTATTTCTCCTTCACTTTTGAAGCTTAGTTTGGCTGGATATGAAATTGTGGGTTGAAAATTCTTTAAGAATGTTGAATATTGGCCCCGACTCTCTTCTGATTTGTAGAGTTTCTGCCGAGAGATCCGCTGTTAGTCTGATGGGCTTCCCTTTGTGGGTAACCCGACCTTTCTCTCTGGCTGCCCTTAACATTTTTTCCTTCTTTTCAACTTTGGTGAATCTGACAATTATGTGTCTTGGAGTTGCTCTTCTCAAGGAGTATCTTTGTGGCATTCTCTGTACTTCCTGAATTTGAATGTTGGCCTGCCTTGCTAGATTGGGGAAGTTCTCCTGGATAATCTCCTGAAGAGTATTTTCCGACGTGGTTCCATTCTCCCCGTCACTTTCAGGTACACCAATCAGACGTAGATTTGGTCTTTTCACATGGTCCCATATTTCTTGGAGGCTTTGTTCATTTCTTTTTACTCTTTTTTTTCCTCTAAACTTCTCTTCTTGCTTCATTTCATTCATTTGATCTTCAATCACTGATACCCTTTCTTCCACTTGATCAAATCGGCTACTGAAGCTTGTGCATGCACCACGTAGTCCTCATGCCATGGTTTTCAGCTCCATCCGGTCATTTAAGGACTTCTCTACACTGTTTATTCTAGTTAGCCATTCGTCTAATCTTTTTTCAAGGTTTTTACTTCTTTGCGATGGGTTCGAACATCCTCCTTTAGTTCAGAGAAGTTTGTTATTACCGATCATCTGAAGCCTTCTTCTCTCAACCCATCAAAGTCATTTTCCATCCAGCTTTGTTCTGTTGCTGGCGAGGAGCTGCATTCCTTTGGAGGAGAAGAGGCGCTCTGATTTTTAGAATTTTCAGCTTTTCTGCTCTGGTTTCTCCCCATTTTTGTGGTTTTATCTACCTCTGGTCTTTGATGATGGTGACGTACTGACAGGGTTTTGGTGTGGATGTCCTTTCTGTTTATTAGTTTTCCTTCTAACAGTCAGGACCCTCAGCTGCAGGTCTGTTGGAGTTTGCTGGAGGTCTACTCCAGACCCTGTTTGCCTGGGTATCACCAGCGGAGGCTGCAGAACAGCAAATATTGCAGAACAGCAGATGTGGCTGCCTGATCCTTCCTCTGGAAGCTTCGTCTCAGAGGGGCACCCCACTGTATGAGGTGTCAGTCGGCCCCTTCTGGGAAGTGTCTCCTAGTTAGGCTACTGAGGGGTCAGGGACCCACTTGAGGAGGCAGTCTGTCCGTTCTCAGATCTCAAACTCCGTGCTGGGAGAACCACTACTCTTCAAAGCTGTCAGACAGGGATGTTTAAGTCTGCAGAAGTTTCTGCTGCCTTTTGTTCACCTATGCCCTACCCCCAGAGGTGGAGTCTACAGAGTCAGGCAGGCCTCCTTGAGCTGTGGTGGGCTCCACCCAGTTTGAGCTTGCCCGCCACTTTGTTTACCTACTCAAGCCTCAGCAATGGCGTACGCCCCTCCCCCAGCCCCACTGCTGCCTTGCAGTTTGATCTCAGACTGCTGTGTTAGCAGTGAGCGAGGCTCCATGGGCATGGGACCCTCTGAGCCAGGCGCGGGTTATAATCTCCTGGTGTGCCATTTGCTAAGGCTGTTGGAAAAGTGCAGTATTAGAGTGGGAGTGTCCCGATTTTCCAGGTACGGTCTGTCACGGCTTCCCTTTGCTAGGAAAGGGAATTCCCTGACCCCTTGCACTTCCTGGGTGAGGCGATGGCCTGCCCTGCTCCGTGGGCTGTACCCACTTGTCTGGCAAGCCCCAGTGAGATGAACCCAGTACCTCAGTTGGAAATGCAGAAATCACCCGTCTTCTGCATCACTCACACTGGGAGCTACAGACTGGAGCTGTTCCTATTCGGCCATCTTGGAACCTCCTCTAAAAGTCCTTTTAGAGTTGCATGTGTGTATTTGTATTTATTCCAGATTGGAGTTGGATCATTAACCCAGATTAGCACCTTAACTTAATATCAGTGGGAGGTTTCTCTAGTTGGTTATACCTTAACATTCAATAAGTGCTCTTCTTTTGCTTAAGATTATTGGTCTCAGGTCATATAAACTAGAGGGAATATAAACCTTGATAAGCATTGGAATGGCATGAGCAATCTGACATTCTTTTAACATTGGGAAAGATAATGTTTGTACTTTATTTTTTTCCACAAAACTTATATAATTGGTGGTAGAGAGGTAAGTATTTTAGATAATTAGACCTTTAGTAATAAGATTAGTCTTAGTTTAGGCTTGTCTTTAATAGGTAGTGAATAGAAATGTGCATTTCTATATGTTATCTTCATTGCTAACCTGATCACGTCTGTGTAAAACCTTAGAACACCTTGAGCAAATTTTATATTGCTTTTGAGGATATAGAAAAATGGTACATCATGGACATATGTAGTTTGTACATTTGGGTTTGTAAACATTGTTTGGCTCAAATTACTATCCCAATATGTAAATCCTTATACATGCTAGTAGTGAGCTCTTGAGATAATTTATCATCTTATAAATTGGGAAATATTTCTGTATTCCCCAAATCTTAGATTCCTTATCATATAAGCCCTATTTTCTACAATTTGGGGGACTATTTGTCTTTAAGCAAGCCTTCATATAAGATGCAAATTGGGTCTCAAAGGCAATACTGTTGAATTATAGATAGTTAATCTGAGGAGGGGGAGGTGTTTGTTGTATATAATAGCTTCCTTACTAAGTTATGAGTTCCCTAAAATCGGTAACCAAATCTCATGCGTGTTTATATAACCTACAACTTTCATATAGATAGTAGGTGCTCAAAAATGTTAATTGAATGAATGGGTATCCTTCCTTTGTCTCATTGAGACCCATTTAAAATCATTTTAGCAATTGGGTTATTATACTAAGAATGTTTCACCAAACTAAAACTGAATTTGTTTTATTTTACAGGTGCAGTAGACATTGTTGCAATCATGATCGGCAATCTGAAAGGCACAAAAATTCTGCAATCTATTCAAAGAGGCATACAAGTGACAATGGTCATAGAAGTAGGGAAAAAACATGGCCCTTGGGTGAATCACTATTCAATTTTTTTCGTTTCTGTGTCCTTTTTTATTATTACGGCGGCAACTGTGGGCTATTTTATCTTTTATTCTGCTCGAAGGCTACGGAATGCAAGAGCTCAAAGCAGGAAGCAGGTTTGTAATGGTCCTTTCTTCCACTATTAAAAAAAATTTACTGTTCTAATTGTAGTTTCAGGGTCCTGCATTTTAATACATTGTACTTGCTAGACAATGATCTCCCCATATGTTTTACAAAATCTGGTAGTTTTTAAAAGTATGTCAGCTCTTCTCAAAGGTTTATTTTCTATATTTGTCAAAGAACTTAATCCTACCTGATTAAATTTTCTAACACCTCATTAGAGAACACATCCAGCATTTAATTACATATAGGTGTAAATACATATGTTCTTTTAAATAAACATTTTTTTCTAAATTACAAAAACATTTCATACTCAATATAGAAAACTTAGAAATTAGAAAGTACACGGGAAAAAAACTCACCTAAAACCTGATATAGCAATATAACTATAGTCATCGCCCAAAGGTAACCACTATTATTTTATATGTACGTCTGTATTTGCATGTGGGGATGGGGCTGAGAAGAGGGACTAGGCTGAGAAGGCAGGGTAGAAGATCTGATTGTGCATGATATATTGTTAGGCTTCAAGTGGAGTCAAATATTAATAGTTTCTACCATATTATAACAGTGTATAAAAAGGTACAAGGTACACAAACAACAGAGCAAAAATACCAAAGCATTACTGAACAGTAAAGTACCTATGGTTGTATGGCATTGTTCCTGCCACCATTAAATTGTCCCCCTCAGCCCCCTGATATGCTCACATTTCTCCTTACCCAGCTTAAATTCCATGGTTACTCCCATGCATACATCTTCAGTTCCCGTGGCCCTTCTTTCTCTTTGTTATAGTTGCTGGAAAAACAAATCCAACCCTGGTTAAATTTACTTCCCACCTACTCTATGTCTTCACCTTGCACAACTGAAGTATCAGAAAGGCATTTACAGCTGTACTGACTGATCTCACTTTAAATTTGTGACCGTAAAATCAGAGTGGGCCCTTAATGCTACCCAGGAATCACACTATGTTTTCTTGGCCATTTACTCTCCTACTGTTGGATAACCATATGTGTTCCTTTCCCTTTCTCCAACACCTCCTCCAACTTTACTCTCAATTTGTATTTTATTTTACTGAGAAAATTGAAGCAATCAATAATACTTCCACATCTTCTCATCTATCTTCATCTGCGTCTATCCTATTCCCCTGCTTTGTCTTCTGTTTTTATGGATGAACTGTTCCTTTGCAAAGGCTAACTCTTTCACTCAGGTATAAGATTATTTTTGTCTTTTGTATACTCAAGGACATCACTCCAGAAATTTTCCTCTCTCACTCTCCTACTTTAACAATTTCTCCCTCTCCTCCTCATCTTTTCCACCAACATGCAAACATAGTATTATTGCTCCCATTTTCAAAAGATTTTCTCTTGGCCCCAGGCCAAAAACCTTGAAGTTGTTCTTTATTCCTTTTTTTCTGTCACCTCCCATGTAAACTATCAGCAAATCCTATTATTTCTACCTTCATTATATATCCAGAATTTGATTATTTCTTATTACCTTCATTGCTTCTGCCCCAGTCAAAGCCACCATAATTTCTTACCTCCTCCTCCCTTCAGGTATTCTCAGTATAACAGCGGAATGGTGTGCCACTTCTTTAGAAAGCTCAGTAGGGATTTAATGCTTTCAGATGAAAATACATTTTTATATGTACTGAGCAGTTTCTCTAAAGGCGATCGATTTCTGGTCACTTCATGTACTCTTCCTCCAATAAGTGAAAAGGAACTCAATTTATTTAGGGGGCGGAAGGAGCAGTGAGGATTTTTATATAGCAAGAAAGTTAATTTAATTTAGGAATAGATGAGAAATTGAAATTTTATTATAAAAACTTCATAAAGATTAGATACCAGCATATGGTAATAAGTGATGGTTATCTCAGTGTTTAAAGTTAATTGGCTTCTATCCTTCTCCTTAGAGAAGCAGCTTATCACATTGGTGGCAGGTTCAGCCTGATACTAGCTGCAGTCAAAAAGATGTTTAAAATTCCTGTACCAGGCCACTCAGTAGTTTCACACTGTGTTAATATTTGACATTTGTATATTGTGCGGTTTTTTATCTGCGAGGCTGGAAGGAAATTGGTGTCCAGTGTGACTAACTATTCAAAGGTTATAGTTACAATGACAAGAGTGTTTGGTTTGCATATGTTCATGGTGGGGTATGTGTTTCAGTATTCTCAGTGCTATAATAAATTTATTGACATGGCATTAAACCCCATCAGAAAATAATAAGGTTTATAAAGAACTTTGTCTGGTGTTACAGAGCTTCATTGGACATTTAGCTCTGGTCTACGCATTTAATTTTCATAGTTTATAATACATCTTATGATAATTAACCTCTGTAGAAATGGTCAAGAATAGCATTAAAACTTCTCATCTATTTGGAGAAGGCTTTTGAAGGGGCTTTTAAAAATTACTTAATGGACTATATCTGTTTATCCTTTGAGGACTAAAAGATTAAATATATGGCTGATAATCCTTTTTGCTTATAAATATTTGAGAGTGCTAGAATGTCATTTATATATTTAATTTTCATGACAGTATTAATTTTTAAAAGGTAGAGCTTAATGCATATGCTGATTATAATTATCACTAAACATTTAACTATATTATCTCCATTTTACTGGTAGAAATGATGATGAAGCTGAGTTATGGAAATTTGGCTTCATTAGAATGTTAGGCAAATTTAATATATTCAAGAATTTCTTCCTTCTGAAGGTTATGATACATGGTATATAATGTCAGGAAACTGATAACTGTAACCATAAATTCTGATGACTGAATGCTCAGATGAGCCCCCAGACAGAATAGCCTCATATGTTGTAGTGTGATGTGTAAGAACACATATCATCCCTGTTTTTTAGATACAAAGCTTTTAAACAGAACAAAAAAGTATCAATGGATTATAAATGAAAATAACATATTAGGCCTTATAAGTTAGTTTCATGTCCCTTCCGGGAACAACCCTAACTTGAGACAAGAAAGATTATGGGAAACCTTATGGCATACACAAATTAAACTACATTCAGGAGTGACCACTATACACTTGACTCTAGCATGGAGTACCAAACATTTTCGGGTACCGTAAATGTATCCTAACTGTATTCAAGCAGTTAATACTCAATAGCCACAATGCATGTGTTGGATTAAACATTGGCAAGTGAAACAAAAGAGGGCTGTAGGTGAAATAGGAGCTGGCCTAGATATAATGTGAAAAGCTGAATTTACTTTTAATGAAGAGTGGCTTTCAGAAGAAAAGGATTTACTAACTAAAATAGACAGATTAGAAGGAAATCATCTTCCAAGAGGAGGGAAAAGAATGGGAATCCACTTGCAAAGGTCATAAAGCTTTGATAAACTGATCACACAGACCCAACACATAATGCTAGAGAATGCTAGGAATCAATATTGGGAAAGAGAATATACTCTAACACAACAGAATCTATTAACTATTTTACTTAAAAGTGATCCCCAAGTAGCCATGGGGGTAATGACCTTCCATTTTTAGCTGTAGAAGCTCAGGCAGAGAATCTTTGAGACACATGCAGATCCTCAAATTTATGGAATTTTTTTTTGTAAAATTGCAACTTGCACTGCTGATCTCTGACTGATCTGGACCAAAGGATGGGCCAAAATAAGGCTAGTAGGAATAGAACTAATACTGAATGATACCCATGTACTCCCATGGGAGGGAAATGGCCTTGCTGTACAAAGTTAACAGGAACCTATAACTTGATAATAATATAAGTTGAGACAAATGATTGGCTTTGTCCCCAGCTAACATGGAACCTAGAAATGACAGAATGATTGCAACTGGTGACAGCATTTGTTCCTCATCATATCTGGCATATGGGCAAAGGCTAATTCTTCTAGGAAGGTTTAATAAATATTTCTGTGACATTTCCGGATTTTTTTTGTAACCAAACCAAACTGTATCATAACCATGCTCTGATATGGTGTAATACTGGTATTGTTAGTAAAATTCAACTATCTTATATAAATAAATCATATGGTAATCAAATATATTTGAGACATTGAACTAAAAACTCCTCACAGTGTGATACCAAGGGAGAGTGACTGGCATGAAGAAGAAGTAGAATGATTTAGTTCATTACTATATTAAATTGCTCTGTGCAAGTCTATCACAAAGTTCAAGTGGCCATAGATCAAGGGAATAAATGGATAATTAAATTGGTATAATAATGTAAAGATGTTTGTGATGGTCTTATAAACTGGATGAATTGTTCCTTTGAACCTGTTTCCACTCCTTGTTGGCTTCTGCAAGTATTAGATAGACTTGTGTTGTTCTTATGGCACCTTATATAAAAATACTGTGCTAACTGAACAGTATATACAGTTGACCCTTAAACAACTTGGGTTTCAACCACACGAATCCACTTTTACACGGATATTCTTCCACTTCTGCCACACCGGAGGCAGCAAGGCCAATATATCCTTTTCCTCCTCCCCAGTCTAGTGAATGTGAAGAAAGAAGGATGGAGGCCTTCATGATAATCCACGGCCTCTTAATTAAGATAAAATTTATTTTCTCTCACACCTGTCGTACCAGCACTTTGGGAGGCCGAGGCGGGTGGATCGCTTGAGCCCAGGAGTTCCAGACCAACCTGTGCAACATGGCAAAACCCTGTCCCTGCAAATAATAGAAAAATTAGCCAGGCATGGTGGCATGTGCCTGTAGTCCCAGCTACTTGGGAGGCTGAGGTGGGAGAATCACTTGAGCCCGGGAGGCAGAGGTTGCAGTGAGCCGAGATCATGCCACTGCTCTCCAGCCTGGGTGACAGTGAGACCCTGTCTTTAAATATATATTCTTTTCTTCCTTATGATTTTCTTAATAACATTTTCTTTTCTCTAATTTACTTTATTGTACAAACACAGTATATAATTTATATAACATACAACATAGGTGTTTATTAACTGTTTATGTTATCAGTAAGGCTTCCAGTCAACAGTAGACTATTAGTAGTTAAGTTTTGGGGGTGTCAAAAGCTATATGTGGAGTCTTGGCTGTGTGAGGGTCAGTGCCTATAACTGCCATGTTGTTCAAGGGTCAACTGTATACTGTATGTAGTACACTGTTTATAAATATTATGCTAACTGTATAGTAACTATACTGACTACTGTACCAACTGAAGTGATAATATATAAATACTGTACAAACAGTTACTGTACTGAAAGTTTTATTATAAAAAGGCTTTGACCAACAGGATGGATTGTGAGGAAAAAGGTAACACAACAGATGCAGTTGCTTACTCCTTCCATGTCCCCAAGGGAACCATGATTGGCCCCTGGCCAACCCTGGGAATGTGGCTCTCAAACTGGTCTTTATGTTAGTGATTGATAATTTTGTTATATACACCTGGAAAAATGGACCATGTTGTACCAGCCTGTCAGAGTTGCTTTTCACAACAATCAAGATTGATGATATCCTAGTTTCATTGTTGGGGTCCTCAGTTTCCGGCAACATGGCCAGTTGCTAGCAGGATGCACCTAGTAAGCAGTCCCTTCATCTGAGTCTTGGACCCCAACACTTAAATTGGTTCCCTGGGCAGAGATATGCCACACATTTCTGTAGTTTGCTGCCAGACAGAAAGAGCACTCCTGTGTGCTCTCAGATGAGGAAGGACTAGGCTACATTAATATTTTAAAATCTGTCCTTCAACTTAAAGCATTACTAAAAATTATCTAAACTATTTCTGGTTACATTAAGTTTTTTTCTACTCCACTAGTACACGAAATTATCTGGAAGATTCATTAAGTACCTGCACACTGTACCACTATTAACATATATACATTTGCAGTTGGTGTGTTCACATGTATGTATCTATTTCTGCCTACATTTGAGAGTAGTTCAGGGTCTTTTACAGAAACCATGAGAATTTTGACTCTTGTATAAGAAGAACAGATTAAATCCTTGTCTAAGTAAGACTTAGTTTTACAATATTTCTTCTGACTTTCTCACTGAACAAAAGAAAGCTCTTATAATGGGTCTCAGGATTTTTATATATTCACTTACTCTAATTTTAAATTTATACCACTAATTCTTTTTCCAGCTTTATTGAAGTATGATTGACAAATAAAATTTGTATATATTCAAGGTGTACAACATTATGATTTGATATACATATAAATTGTAAAATGATTGACATAAATTAATACATCTATCCCTACACAGTTACGTGTGTGTGTGTGTGTGTGTGTGTGTGTGTGTGTGTGTGTGTTGAGGATACTTAAGATCTACTTTCTTAGCAAATTTCAAGTAAACCATGCTGTAAATAAGATCCTCAGGATTTATTCATCTAAAAAATTTGAACTCATAGATGCAGAGAACAGAGAAGTGGTTGCCAGGGGGATTGGGGAAATGGGGAGATGTTAGTCAAACGATACAAACTTGCAGTTATACCACAAATTCTAAAGGGTGTTAATCACATTTCTTTGAAAAAAATGCTGTAATCTGAGCTATAACCTATCTACTGAGTCAAATTCACCCTTTCTTCACTGTTCTTCCTTATAGTGTATTTCCTTACACTGCTCACAGTTATGTTCTTCATGAGAGTGGTCTGCACTCTTGTTTATCCCCTCATCTGTAGTTCCATAGATTTATAGGAAGCTGTTTTATAGCCTGCACCTCCTCTTACCTGTAGGAATATTTTCACTCAAATATTGTGGATAGGTTTTTATTGAATAAAATGGATTTCTTTCAGTTCTCAGATACCTAAACAGCTACATGGCTCAGACTTTTATTTTGTCCTAGGAATATATCTGAGGAAAAGAATCCTCTTACTATAATTCTTGATTTTAAATATCTTGTGTTAAAACTCTTAGCCAAATTTTTAGGAAAATGTTTATTTTTAAAATATGGTGACTTAAGTACAGAAAAATCTAGTTTGCTTATATCTCTCTCCTTTCTTGCTTTTTGCACACCCTGTCCTCCATCAAGTAATTAGGTTTGACTACATACTTAATACTATTCATGTGGGTTTCAGTTAAGCTAAAAGCTGAACGCCCTGGGACCAAAAATCAGGCTGAAAAATCACCAGACTGAAACATATACTTTACCTAATTGGATATAAAGACACCAGTGAACTAGGTAGAATATCTTTGCTTTCACCATAATTTCAAAATTGAACATTGTAATAAAGAATGATCATTGGTTTGACATTTTATCATCAACCCCAATATATTCCCATTCAGAATCAAGAAAAAAAACCATGTAGTGGAGATTCTTCACTAACTAGAGCGAATGCAGCTTTTGATTAGTCAGAATAGTCACATTAAGCTTCTGTTAAGAAAATTGGCCAACAACCAGCTTCTTTGAATCAGTCTTCAGTTCTACTGCCAAATATTCTTAGACCAGGTATCTCTTAGGATTAGAGAGGAGGAGGGGAAAGGCAAAAGGCGTTTGACATCATATACTTGCTTTTTAAAATTCCCCAAATCACAGTAAATAGCCAGTTTGGGAAGAATTTTAAGATTGGATAATTGCTGGCTTTAAAGGGGTTTTTAAATTTCCTTCGTTTGTCTTCTTCACAAGAAATGTGAAGCCTCTTAAAGGCTTCTTTGCCATTACACAATGGAGGCAGTGTACAATAGTGGAGAGATCATGGGCTTTAAAGCCAGATAGAACCTGGGCTTGAATTGAATCACAGCTCTGAAGCTTACCAGCTGTCTGGACTTTAGTCAAGCTTCTGAACCTTACTTTTCTTGTCTATAAAACTTGGATATTAAAATAGCTATTTCACAATGTTGTTAATGATTAAACAAGATGACACATGTAAAAAGCTTACAACCTGACACATGGTAAAGGTTCAATTAATTTGTAAACCTTTCTTTCCCCAAACTTAATGGAGTAGAGACTTTTAATAATTGAAATGAGAAGTGTCTTGCATGAGAAAATCAAGAAAGTCTGTTTATATTTTCTAAATTCAGAAAATAATTTTTGAGCAAACTCTAGCCACTGGGGAATTTTTTTCTAAGTGACTAAGGCCCAGTCCTCCAGCTACTCAAGAGAGAAAGGCACATTAATAATACAATTACTGAACAAGATAAGAGGTGGAAATAATGTGTTACTGGAATTTATAGACTAAGGAAATTCTGATCTGGTAGCAAGGCATTGGAAAAGTATCTCATGTAATTTGTATAATGTAGATATGTTCTTGAAATTCTGTTTTTTAAGGAGTAAGGTACAAATTACAGTTCACATGGGGCATATTGTCTTTAAATGTTGAGGTATATTTGGGCACTGTAAAGTTGACATAATGTTGTTCAAACACGTGTTGAATATAATCTACTGGGCCCTAATGGTGTTCTCATATTTCAGTTTTTTTAAGAGGGAGGCTTGCATCTTGGAACTCTTGCTATCAGTGTCACAGTGAAATATCTTGAGTACTATCTTGAATATCGTGAGGCAGTTTTTTTGTGAGTGACTTTCCTTTAAGCTCTAAAAATAGTTTGTGCTTTTTATTAAATCACTTGTCTTGCATCCATATTTAAAGAAAATAGCTTTTCTTTATATCAGCCCAGTAGGAGCTATTGAAAATACTCAAATTTTCTTTTAAACACATTTTTATTCTAAGGCTGCTTTGTTAAACATTAGTTTATGCTATGCTGCAAATCTTTTAGAGATCCTTTATAATCAAATCTCTTGTCTAGTGTCTTCTGGCATTTTGGATTTGGCCCTGTTTTTTTATTTTTTGTATTCTCCCCCACCATCATTTTCTAGCATCGCCCTTAATGCAAGTTCTACTGTTCTCCTGGGCATAGACTCAGACATTACATACAAAGTTTCCCTTTGATCCCACACTTCAAATTAATTTGCATTATAGTCTTGGCTATAATTAAGAAAGTTATATATTTGGCATTAATGCCTAATAAATTGATAAGCACTATCACTGGAGATTCAGACATTTATATTGTATTGAATCAAATATTTTGCAATGAGAAATCAGACTGTATAGACTGAATCAAGTAAATACCCTAGAGAGGTATCAATTCCTTATGAGAGCTTTCCCCAACTGTGTGATACAGCTTGTTGCCTAAACCTAAATTAGAATTGCTTTAAGCACAAAGAGCAAAACGATTGTGAAAGACATCATCAACTACATTACATTTTTTCCCCTTTCTTCTTGCTGGCTCTATTTTTTTATCATTTGCATTTTTCTCATCTCGATGTCCAACTGACTCATGATCTATGTGGAAAGAAAGTAGTGAAGTGTAGGTGTGTGGGCCAGGGCCAGGACCCTGTAGGCATACAGGTGGAAGGATTGCCACAGTTTGACAGACCCTAGAATCCAGGAGCTAGAAAAACATCAAAAGACAGATGAGTTATGGATGGTTGTATTGTAATGGACTCTTGGAATATGAAGAGCAGAGTTCCAGTACCAGCTTTATTATTTAGATGCTGCATTCCCTTTTGAATAAGTTATTTTACTTTTTCAACCCTCCACTTGAGCATCTCTAAAATGAGGATATTACCTTCTTCTGGGGGTTGTTGTGAGGATTAAATGAGGTAATGGATATAAAAAATATATTTTAAACTGTATAACAACTGTATATTGTAAGGAAATGGTAGGAGTAGCTTCCTACTCCATGCTACAGTCAAAACAGATAGCTACTTTGATATAACTCTGGACTTCAGTGGGGCTGACACTAGCTCTGATATTTCAAGCAAGACATTCTTCCTCTTTGAGCATCAGTTTTCTTCTCTGTCTGATTAGATGTCGGGCTCGGTAATCTAAAGATCCTAGGTGTACCTTTGTTCACTGTCACTCTATTATTATCTTACAAGTAACAAAATAGAAGGGAAGATATTTGTGCTGAAATTAAGTCCCATCATAGAATTTTTTTAGTTCACAATTATGTCCCAAAATGGGAGTGAAAGTGCCTTGATTATCACCTCTTTTCCTTTTTAGGGTCTAGGCCTTCCTATTCACTGTTTCTGTTAGACTTATTTGCTGGTCAGGTAATAATCTGAGAGGTTTCTGCTTTTCCTGTGACAGCAAAGAAATACTTTGGCTAATATTCTCCTTGGCATTAAGCTAAATATCTTCCACAAAATGATATCTTATATAGGAGACAGGTTTGGGCATCAATGAGATTCCTCACCTACTGATACTTATAGATTCTTACCTTCCAAAATATATTTGCTACAAATATTTGTAGCATTTGTAGCAAATATATATTGGCAAGTACCTGTTATGCTTATTGATGAATGGTAGTTTACATTTTGTGTAATAAACATTTTATTGAGTATCTGCTATATGCCAGACATTATACTAAATACTTACATTATCTCTAATTTTCATGTAACATAAATGTCAGCTGGGGACGGGGGTACATATAGGAGGGAAGCTGCTTACATTCTCCCAAAGGTCTGGGGGCCTACTTTTTGCCGAATTTCTAAGTTTGTTCATTTTACAGTTCAAAATAGAAAGATCACTTATCTTGCCATGCTGCACATGCTACCATTATATTCCACACATGTATTAGTCGGGTTTGTGTTGCTGTAAAGGAATACCTGAGGCTGGGTAATTCATAAAGAAAAGAGGTTGATTTACCTCATGGTTCTGCAGGCTATACAAGAAGCTTGGCGCCAACCTCCGCTTCTGGTGAAAGCTTCAGGAATCTACCTATCATGGCAGAAAGGAAAGGGGAAGCACGCGTGTCACAGGGAGAGAGAGGGAGCAGGCGCCAGGCTCTTTTAAACAACCAGCGGGAACTGAGAACTCACTCATTACCATAAGGATGGCACTAAGCCCTTCATGAGGGATCCTCCTCCATGACCCAAATACCTCCCACCACGCCCCACCTCCAACATTGGGGGTCACACTTCAATGAGATTTGGAGGGGACAAATATTCACCATTTCAACACAGCATCTACCAAGTGTCATACTTAGCCTCTACTTCAATTCATATGTATATTATATTCACTACTTCAATTCATATGTATATTATATTCACTTGAGGCATTCCTGTCTGTAGTAGACCTTAGTGAAGGGGAATGAAGTATTTGCAGCATCACCAGTAACTTCAAATTGACAAATATCTTAACAAATATCACCTGGGATTTTTTCCTCTGGCTAGTTCACCATACATAGAGGGACAATGTGTTATTGAACTGTATAGACTCTCTTTATAGTCTTTCCCTCACCTGGTAGATTCTTCCCACACCCCAACTTCACTTCTGACTCAATTATGCATAATGTTTTAGTTTTTATTCCATAAATGAGCCTGTGGCTTGCTTTTGCATATCCAGACACATCTAGATATATGCTCAGTGAAACAATAAAAGGCGACCACTCTCAGAATCAATCTTCTTCATTAAGCAATCGTGGTTATAAGCACCAATATTTTTCTTAATACCAAACAGTGTAAAGGTTGGTACTACCCTCATTTTATAGATAAGTAAACAAGCTCAAAGAATTAAATGACTCGTGCAGGGTTATTCATTGAGTAAGTGATAAAGTCAGATTTTGAACCATTGGAATCCAAATCCTATGCACTTTCCACCAAACAAGACACGATTCAAAAAGGAAATTGGAAAAAAAATGCATATTAATGTCCTCTGAGCTTGCAAATAGGAAGATTGCTTTGAAAATTCATAGTATTTGAATCCATTAGGGGTGGGGGAAATGTATTTTTACCATTATGGTCCCAACAGTATTGTTTAAGAAAGTAGGGAAACATAAGTTAAGTAAAAAGTCTCAGTAACTTGGAAAATCCTGCCTTATATCAGGTAAATGGGACATTTATTATGGCTAATTAAGTTTTATCTTTTAAAATTGATTTGTACATTGACTTTTACCTGATAAATATTTATTGATCCTCTCTATCTTTTTCATCATACTTCTTTTAAAAAATAGTTTTTCTAATACCTGCTGTTTTTTTTTTTACAGAGGCAATTAAAGGCAGATGCTAAAAAAGCTATTGGAAGGCTTCAACTACGCACACTGAAACAAGGAGACAAGGTACATTCATGACTTTTAAATGCTATTTATTTTAAAGCAGTGCTACCAAGCCATTGTTCAGGCTAAATGTTCTTCCTAAGTATGCTTTTATTGGCATTTATGAACCTTATTGACTTTATATGCATTTGATTCTAGAGGTTGGCTGAATAATGGCCTCCCAAAGATATCTAAGATAACTATTCCCTTGAACCTGTGCATATTACCTTATATGGCAAAAAGGACTTTGCAGATATGATTAAGTTAAGGGTCATGAGATGGGGAGATTATCCTGGATTATCCAGATAGATTCAAAATATAATTGCAGTGTCCTTATAAGAGGGAGAGAGAGGGAGATTTGACCACAGTACAGTAAGGGATGTGACAAGGGAAGCAAGAGGGTGGGGTGATACAAGAAAGAGGCAAGGAGCTAAGGGATGCAGACAGCCTCTAGAAGCTGGGAAAGATAAGGAGAGGGATTCTCCCCTGGTGCCTCCAGAAGGAGTGCAGTATTGCCAATGCCTTGGTTATAGACTTCGGATTTCCAGAACAGTAAGAGAATAAACTTGTGTTGTTTTAAGCCACTGAATTATGATAATTTGTTACAGCAGCTACAGGAAACTAATACAATGCTTTAGTGTTACTTTGGTTGAATACGCATTTTCAGATTTAGGACAGTTGAAAACTACCATTCATGGGTAAAACATGTATTTCAAAAAATAGCTATAGAACTTATGGAAATAATACACCATTTTAAATCTTACCAAAGTCATGAAACTGTAAAACACTAATGAAAGAGATAAATCAAAGAAGATCTAAATAAATGGAAACATATACCATGTTCATGGGTCAGAAGACTTGCTGTTGTTAAGATGTCGGTTCCCCACCAAACTAATTTATGGATTTGATGCAGTTTCAATAAAAATCCTAGTGTAAATCTTTTATAGAAATTGACAGGCTGATTCTAAGCTTAGATGAAAATGCAAAAGAACTAGAATGAACAAAACAATTTTGATAAAGAACAACTTTGGATGATTCATGCTACCTGATTTCAAGAATTATTTTAAAGTCACAGCAGTCAAGATAGTGTCGTATTGGAAAAAGGATAGATTTATAGATCAAAGAAACAGAAGAGAGAGTACAGAAATAAACCCATATATATATGGTCAGTTGATTTTCCATAAAAGTGCAAAAGCAATTCAATGAAGAAAGGATAGCCTTTTCAGGAGGATAGCCCTTTGTTGGCTATCCATATGCAGTGATTGGATATCCTTAAGCAAAAAACAAGCAAACAGACAAAAAAGAACTTAAATCCATTCTTCATACCCTATGTAAACATTATTTCAATAGATCATAGACCTTAACATAAAACCTAGAACTATGAAATTTTTAGAACAAAACGTTAAAGAAAAATATTTTCATGACTTGGGTGACAAATATTTCTTAGATATAACTCCAAAAACAAGTCCAAAAAAGAAAAAAGTTGATACATTTGGCCTTGTCAAAATTAAGAATTTCTGTTCTTTGAAAGGCACTGTTAAAAGAAGGAAAAGATAAGGTACAGACTGGGAGAAAATATTTGCAAATCATATGTCTGTTAAAGGGCTGTACCCAGAATATAAAGAACTCTTAAAACTTAACAGTAAGAATACAAACAACCTAATAGAAAACTGGCAAGCAAAACAGACAATTCACCAAAAAAATATATATATGAATGGCAAATAAACACATAAAAGATGTTCAACATCATTAATAATTAAAGAAATACAAATTAAAGCCACAATGAAATACAACTACGCATTCATTAGAATGGCTAAAATGCATACAACTGAAAATACCAAGAGCTGGGCGAGATTTGGAGCAACTGGTACACTCATTCATTTGCTGGTGAGAATGCAAAATGTATAGCCAATTTGAAAATGTTTGGCAGTTCCTTATGAAGTTAAAAATACACTTACCATAGCACCTAGCAATCTCACTACTAGATATTTACCCTAAAGGGAGAAAAAATCTACGTTCACATAAAAACACAACTGTTCATAGCAGCTTTATTCATAATTGTCAAATACTGGAAAAAAGCCAAATATTGTTCAACTGGTGAATGGATAAACTGTGGTACATACATATCATGGTATACTATTTAGCAATAAAAGTGTGATGGGAATCCCATTGATACATACAGCATTATGGATGAATCTCAAATGCATTATACTAAGTTTAAAAAGCCAGACTCAAAAGCTAGATAATGCATGATTCCATTTATATGACATTCGGGGAAAGCCAAAACTATAAAAACAGATCAGTGGTTGCCAGGAGGTGGGGATGAGAGGAAAGGTTAACTACAAAGAGTTTAGAGGAGTTTGTTGGGAGTAATAGCACTATTCTATATCTTGATTGTGATAAGGATTAAGTGACGACATATTTTTCAAAACGTGCAGAACTGTACACTAAAAGGGTGAATTTTACTGTATGTGAATTATACCTTAATTTTTTAAAAATGAGAAAAGTTATAGAGCTTGCACAAATGGTATTTTATATATCCTAAATCAGGAAAAATAAATCAGTGCTACATGTTTCCCTTTGTTCTGTTCCCCTTTTGTTTCAGTTTATTCTTTTACCTTTTTAAAGTCTGGATACTTTTAAATCACCTTTGGGAACTTTACAGTTACATAATCATTCAGTGATATAATGCTCCTCCTTTTATAGGAATTTAGGCTGGTTAAGTACATGTATGTTCTGATCTTGTTCTGTAGTTTAATGTATTTTTTCTTATCTGTCAGAGTAACAATAACTACTTGCTTGTAGGAAATTGGCCCTGATGGAGATAGTTGTGCTGTGTGCATTGAATTGTATAAACCAAATGATTTGGTACGCATCTTAACGTGCAAGTAAGTTTGATTTTCTTCTATATCTTCAATAAAATAGCTGACCCACAAAAATGACTGTGATGGAAGAAAACTATTTTGAATATTTCCAAATTAATGTAAAAAATGTTTATTTTTTAACTTATCTTCATTTAAATATAGAATGGTTTATTTTTATTTTTATTCATTTCTTAATACCACTGAAATTGGTATAAGTCTAATTGTAATCTGCTTCAATTTGTTCTAAACTAATTCCATAGAAAACTGAGAACCTAGCCAGCACAATTGATATATATGTATTATATATATATTATATATAGTATATATACTATATAATATGTATTAATATTATATATACTATATATAATATATATTATATACTATATATAATATATATTATATATTATATATAATATATATTATATATAATATATAATATATAATATATATTATATATAATATTATTATAATTATAATATATATAATATTATTATAATTGTAATTATATATTATAATTATAATTATATAATTATAATTATAATATATATAATATGTATTATATATTAAATATAATAATATATTTATATATTATATAGTATATATCTTACATAGTATATTATGTATAATACATATACTCTATATTATATATACTATATAATATAGTATATAATATATAATTATATATACTATATAATATAGTATATAATATATAGTTATATATAAATATATTTTATATATAGTATATTTTAAATATAGTATATAATATACATAGTATACTATATAATATATATACTATATATAATACATATTTTATATAATTATATATACTGTATATACTATAATATATAATTATATATACTACATATAATATGTATTATATATTATATATTATATAATGTATAATATATTATATATTATACATTATATACTATATACTGAGTATATATACTATATAGTGTATAGTATATAATATATGTATATGTACATGTACATATATATACTATATGTACAGTATATATACTATATACTGAGTATATATACTATATAGTGAGATAATATACCATATATTATCTATTATATAGTATACAATAGTGTATATATACTATATAGTATATAGTATATATATACTATATACTATATATACTATATACTATATAGTATATAGTGTATATATACTACATATATATAAATTGTGTATATATTATACATATATGTAAATTGTATATATATAATACATATATATAAATTCCAACTAAGGAGTGAACACTTCCAAATAGATGCTCATAACTTGATTTCATTTTATTTTTTCTTGATAGATTAGAATAAATTTAAAATTAATCCAGTACTATCCTTATATTTATGTGTATTTATATTATATTATGTATATATGTATATTATATATTTATGTATATATATGTACATTATATAATATATATACTCTACATAATATATAGTATATATTATATACATTATACACTATATAATATAGTGTATATATTATATACATTATACACTATATATAATATAGTGTATATATTATATACATTATACACTATATACATTATATATAATATATACTATATAATATTATAATATGTAGTATATATAGTTACACATGTAAATATAAGGACAGTACTGGATTAATGTTAAATTTATTCTAATCCATCAAGAAAAAAATAAAATGAAATCATGCATCTGTTTGAAAGTGTTCATTCCTTAGTTTTTTAAATTATCCCTCTCCTGAAGGTTGTTCTTAACACTACTTCTTTTAGCTATTTAATACAATAGTGATGCTCTTGGAACATATCACATTGCCTAAAGCATCAGTACAGTGTTGTTGTACTCAATACTATATTGGACTATATTATTGAGAATGACTGTACCATTTATCAGTTAGGGAATTCTAACTGTTTAAGATTTGAAATAATGAACAAAGTCTTAGGTCAGGTAGTGTCCTAGCCATTTTCAAATGAGTACTGAAAATATTTTTTTTTGGAGCTAGAGTAATGAGGCTTTTACATTTAAAAGTACCGTATTATGGAATTTCCAAATTTTGTTTCTGTGACTCCTTCATTTTATGAATAGTGTGTTTAAAAGGAAAGGCATCCATTCAAAGACTAAATAAAGTTACACTAAGTAATCTGTTAATATATATTAGGTAAAGTGTTGCTACTTTACAACTGATAATTATGTTTTTTTCCTGAATTAGCCATATTTTCCATAAGACATGTGTTGACCCATGGCTGTTAGAACACAGGACTTGCCCCATGTGCAAATGTGACATACTCAAAGCTTTGGGAATTGAGGTAAACATTAATATGTTATTTATATGAAGAATATATGCCTGGGCTTTGGAGAAAATAACAAAATAACATCCTTATTTTTTCGCTATGTAATACACCATACTTATAGTTTATACCTAAAACCAGACATATTTATATCATATAGACAATGAGGTGCCATCTTGGGCCATCTCCATTTTCCTTCTTCCTCCCTCTTTCCAAATAGACTCATTATTTGGTCAGAATTTGAAATGATAACCATATAAACCACCAACTTGGCATCCCTCTTTCTGTTTTTGTAATCTTTTACTATTGCATAGTGACCAAACTTGTAGTTAAATAAGCAGACATAATTTGAGAAAGCATAATAAATATTAAATTATAATTTTATATTTGGTAAATGAAAAAAAGGCCTATTTTCAAGATACAACATAAAATCGAGCTCAAATCTTGACTTGGGAAGGTACATAGATGACAATGATTCTCAAGTTCCATAGGGGACAGCATGATGTTTTTTTAGGGCCTAACTTGTACCCAGCATTATTTTATGAAGTGCTGGTATCACCCAAATGAACATACCAGATGAGAGTGCACTCCGCCTATAGCATCTTTCATCCCATTGGTGGACCCAGTTACTCTGTTTTGACTGGGGCTAACAAGAGACTTGTGATCATCAAAAGGGATCATAGGTTTAAAAGGTTAAGAAATATTGCTCCAATGAGTCACCTATAAAGAAACTTTGAAGTGATATGTCGAGGAAAAGCGTGTACACTGAGAGGCTTTTAATTTGTTACATGTTCTTTAAAGGTGGATGTTGAAGATGGATCAGTGTCTTTACAAGTCCCTGTATCCAATGAAATATCTAATAGTGCCTCCTCCCATGAAGAGGATAATCGCAGCGAGACCGCATCATCTGGATATGCTTCAGTACAGGGAACAGATGAACCGCCTCTGGAGGAACACGTGCAGTCAACAAGTAAGCATCATACTAAAGGTTAACGAGTGCCCTGCAATCCATTGTAGATCATATGCCTGTATAGTACTCTTGCTTTTTAGCGTTTGTTCCATTCAGCCATTATCATGATCCAGGTTTTTTCTACTTAAAATAATGCCGTGAAGGATGCACCCCTACCTTAATATACATATATTCAAATGTATTTGAAATAGATGAAATGCATCAGAGTGGGGATTATTTACAAAAGAAAGATTTATTGGAAAGCTTCTCTCTGATGCATTTAAATCTTGGCTTATTAACTAATTACAGAGGGTAAGGAGAAACTTTAAACTTTAGGAGCCATTGTTTATTGCAGATAAAGCAGAAATTAAAATAAAGGAGTTCTGAAATGATAAAACAGAATTCAATTTATAAAAGTTTGATTTATACCCAACTTCTCTGGAACCCATGTTTTGCAAGTAGGAAACTGTTTAAGAATGGTATGTGCTGCCACCTGTTGACTATTTACCGTGAAATGAACAAACTGTTAGAAACTAAAATTGAATATATCATTTTCAAAATTCATGTGAATTTGTATTGCAACTTAGTAATTTTATGCCAAATGAGAAATTTTAGGGAGTTCTGTTTTTCCCTATAAAGATAAAACCCCTATAAAAATTATTTTCCCTTTCTTTTACCTCAATCTTTTCCATGTTTTTGTTGGTTTGAAAGTCTTCTCTCAATCCTCATTTTGAGATAATTTAATTCTAGTATAAAAGTAAAACAAAAACTGATTGTCAAGATGACTTATGAAACTTTCAGCTTCCTATTATATAAACCTTTGTCCTCTATAGGCTTATCAGTGCCATAGATACCACTTCTGAAGATATCACAATGAATATAACCACACAAAGGCAAACTTTGTATTTCTTATATCTAATCTTCAGACATTCCCTTGAATATAAACTAGTTATAAGTATCTTAATAATCTGTGGATTATTCTACCTGTAATAGAGAATCATTGTCTGATTGCCCCAGATGATCTTGTACTCTCATAATTGTGTGGTAATAGAATTCAGTAAAGATAAAAGAGAGTGTACGAGATAATTTATTGCTAGTCTTTTAAAAAACAACATTCCAATCTACTCTTTTTGTGTTCTGTTCTTCTGTGGGTAGGGGTGGGGTGGGGGAAAAAGGTAAGCACAACAGATTTTGCAGAGATTTGAAAAGCAAATGAAATAATGATCCATGTTTCTCCTCCTGTATTCTTAATTTGGATGATAGTAATACTCACCCAACCGCCCCAAACCAGAAACTAGGGACATCCCAAATTCTTCCCACTTCCCCTTCTGTGTTCTCAATTCTGTCCCCTAATTTCCAACCTTAATTCCACAGTCATAGTTTGAGCCACTATCTTCTCTTTGCCTATTCCTTCCATTCTTCCTTACCCAAGAAGTTAGGGGAGCCCAGTATAACTCCTGTTTCTCCTTTAAGACTGACACCTCTTTGAGAAGCCTCTCTTGACTAGATGTGATGGCCCTACTGTTGGCTTCCATAGAACTTCGATCATTGCACTTACTACACTGAGTTGTATTAAAACTTTTAAAGTTCTTTTGGATAAGAACAGTGTCTTATATTCACTGTTGTCTATCCAGCACCCAGCACATAGTAGATACTCAAATTTATGTTGAATGAATTACCACTTAAACCAGATTTAATTTTGTCTGGGATTACATATTACTAGTTTAAGAATCTTGCGTATTAGCCATTGATTCTTATGGTGATAGTTGATTTGCATAACTTTGTAAATACACATAGTTCATGTCGTGTGTCACATCATTGGGCTAAGTTCTATTAGAGCACTGGTTTTCAAACTTAAGTATTCATTGAGTCACTTGGAGGGCTTATTAAAACGGAAAGGTCACCACCAGAGTTTCTGACTCAGTGGGTTTTGGGTGATGCCTAGGAATTTTCGTTTCTAACAGGTTCACAGGTGATACTGATTCTACTAGTCCAGGGACCACATTTTGAGAACCATTGAATAAGGGCCCTACTGTCAATCCTGGCTATACATAAAAATCACCTGGAGAGATTTTAAACTTTGCTGATGTTTGGACTGTACCTCAGAGCAACTGTGATTTAACATGAGGTGCAGGGCCTGGGCACAGGTATTTTTTATTTTAATTTGAAATGATTTCAGACTGACTGACAAAAACGTTTCAAAAATAATACAAAGAATGCCCATATACCATTCACCCAGCTTCTCCAAATGTTAACATATAACCATATACAATTATCAAAACCAGGAAATTTGCTGATAAAATGTTATTATCAAAACTATAAACTTGACTCAAATTTCACCAACTGGCCCACTAACGTCCTTTTTCTGTCCCAGGATCCCACATTGCATTTAATTGTCATGTGTCCTTAGTCTCCAATCTGTGACACTTCTTCAGTCTTTGTCTTTCATGACCTTGACACTTCTGAAGATTACTGGTCAGTTATTTTCTAGAGTGTCCCTCAATTTGGGCTAGTCTGCTGTTTCCGAGTGATTAAATTTATTGTCCATTTTTGTCAAGAATACTACAGAAGTGATGTTGTGCCCCTTTCAGTGCCCCCATATCATACCAGGAAGCACGTGATGTTGGTGTCTTATTAGTGATGATTCAAACTTTGCCCACTTGGTTGAGGTGGTGTCTGCCAGGTTTCTCCCTTTAAAGTTACTATTTTTCCCTTTGTAATTATTAAATATCTTATAGAGAGATACTTGGAGACTACACAAATGTCCTGGTACTTATCATACTTCTACCCACTACTTTTAGCAATCATTGATGCTTCTTGCTTGCAGTAATTATTGAAGTATTTACCAAATGGTGATTTTCTGTTTGCATCATTCTTTGTACATTTATTGATTAAACTTCTAATATAAGGAAGAGCTCTTCCTTCTCCTCCATTTATTTATTGAGTTATTTATTTATTGTACTATAGGATCCTAGACGTTTCTTTCATTCTATAATATCATTCTCATCGTTTATCCCTTGCTCATATCATCCTAGATTTGGTCATTGGGAACTTGTTCAAGTTGGTTTTTGTGTTCTTTCAACTTTCTTACTTTCTGGTAACACAAGGTGTTCTAGGTCTGGGATTAGCCAACTTTTTCTGTAAGGGGCCACATAGTAAATATGTTAGGCTTTGAAGGCCTTAAGTCTTCATTTTCATACTCTTATTTTTTTGTTTTTGTTGGTTTGTTTTACAACCTTTTACAACCATGATAAGCACTTTTAGCTATGGTTTGTAGGCTGGAGTTTGCTGGCCCCTAGGCTAAAATCTAGGTTAACCTTGTACTTTCCCTCTCCTAGCCCTAGAATCAGCCAC
This sequence comes from Homo sapiens, assembly GCF_000001405.40. Lineage (NCBI taxonomy): Eukaryota > Metazoa > Chordata > Mammalia > Primates > Hominidae > Homo > Homo sapiens. Next base: position 106,794,568 of record NC_000023.11, read on the forward strand.
TTCTTCAGGAGGCCTTTTACTGGAGAATAGTATTTCAAAACCAGGATCTGAGCAACGGGCATGCTTATTGCTACCGGGGTGTCATTGCTATTGGCCCTTTTAGTGAACAAGACTAGAAAATATATGTATTTACTCTCACAAATATACACATACATATACATTATTTCTCTATCTGTCATTTTATCTATCTATCTGAAAAACAATGACCCTACTAATACATCTGATTCCAATCCCACACTACAGGGTTCATTCTAGCCTCCCCCTTTATTTATTTGTAACTCCTTTCTCCGACAGTGAAAGGAGAAATATTCTTTTTATCCACAGTATTTTTACTTATTTGTTCAATTATAGAATATACATAAAATAGTTTCAGCATTGCTAACACATACCCCTGTGTAAAACAATGTCAGTAACTAGTGTACAGTTCTTTTTGTTTTTAGCCTTACAGGTTAGAGTCAAAATACTGTTTTCCAAAGTTATTTAAGTTTAGTTGTTTTCTTCCCCATTCTCTTCACATGGTTATGTATTTCATTTATAATACAATTAAGTTCATTTATTACTGTTTGTATTCAATTCAATTTTGGGCATCCTTCCAACTTCCTGGTTGATTTTTTAAATCTGTCTATCTATATTTATGTGAATGAAGAAGCACTGGTAATTTTTTAAGTGCCCAGGTGATTGAAATGTATAGCCAGATTTAACAGCTTGTTATATTTAAGGTAAGGAAGAAGTAGAAGACATAATTTTTGCTCTTAAGGAGGCTATAATCTAGGTAGAAATAAGCACATGTACGTGAATCAAAAAAGCAATTATAAATCAATATAATAATGCCATATGTGCTTTATGTAAGATATAGCATAAATCATATAATTATTAGAGGTACAGGGAATGAATATGGTAATCAGTGTATGTTGAAATTAAATAAGAAAGACTTCTTGGAAGTAAATGTTGAATTTTGTCTTAAAAGAGGAGAGGGGCAAAATCATCCTAAAATTGCTATTTCTTTTTAAAGATGAAAGTCTACAGCTGGTAAACCATGAAGCAAATTCTGTGGCAGTGGATGTTATTCCTCATGTTGACAACCCAACCTTTGAAGAAGACGAAACTCCTAATCAAGAGACTGCTGTTCGAGAAATTAAATCTTAAAATCTGTGTAAATAGAAAACTTGAACCATTAGTAATAACAGAACTGCCAATCAGGGCCTAGTTTCTATTAATAAATTGGATAAATTTAATAAAATAAGAGTGATACTGAAAGTGCTCAGATGACTAATATTATGCTATAGTTAAATGGCTTAAAATATTTAACCTGTTAACTTTTTTCCACAAACTCATTATAATATTTTTCATAGGCAAGTTTCCTCTCAGTAGTGATAACAACATTTTTAGACATTCAAAACTGTCTTCAAGAAGTCACGTTTTTCATTTATAACAATTTTCTTATAAAAACATGTTGCTTTTAAAATGTGGAGTAGCTGTAATCACTTTATTTTATGATAGTATCTTAATGAAAAATACTACTTCTTTAGCTTGGGCTACATGTGTCAGGGTTTTTCTCCAGGTGCTTATATTGATCTGGAATTGTAATGTAAAAAGCAATGCAAACTTAGGCGAGTACTTCTTGAAATGTCTATTTAAGCTGCTTTAAGTTAATAGAAAAGATTAAAGCAAAATATTCATTTTTACTTTTTCTTATTTTTAAAATTAGGCTGAATGTACTTCATGTGATTTGTCAACCATAGTTTATCAGAGATTATGGACTTAATTGATTGGTATATTAGTGACATCAACTTGACACAAGATTAGACAAAAAATTCCTTACAAAAATACTGTGTAACTATTTCTCAAACTTGTGGGATTTTTCAAAAGCTCAGTATATGAATCATCATACTGTTTGAAATTGCTAATGACAGAGTAAGTAACACTAATATTGGTCATTGATCTTCGTTCATGAATTAGTCTACAGAAAAAAAATGTTCTGTAAAATTAGTCTGTTGAAAATGTTTTCCAAACAATGTTACTTTGAAAATTGAGTTTATGTTTGACCTAAATGGGCTAAAATTACATTAGATAAACTAAAATTCTGTCCGTGTAACTATAAATTTTGTGAATGCATTTTCCTGGTGTTTGAAAAAGAAGGGGGGGAGAATTCCAGGTGCCTTAATATAAAGTTTGAAGCTTCATCCACCAAAGTTAAATAGAGCTATTTAAAAATGCACTTTATTTGTACTCTGTGTGGCTTTTGTTTTAGAATTTTGTTCAAATTATAGCAGAATTTAGGCAAAAATAAAACAGACATGTATTTTTGTTTGCTGAATGGATGAAACCATTGCATTCTTGTACACTGATTTGAAATGCTGTAAATATGTCCCAATTTGTATTGATTCTCTTTAAATATAAAATGTAAATAAAATATTCCAATAAAAGTTTGTGTCTGGTGTTAGTTTAACTATCTGTATTAGGATGTTTCTTGTGTCACTATAAAGGAATACCTGAGACTGGGTAATATATAAGGAAAACAGGATTAATTGGCTCATGGTTTTATAAGCTGTATAGTAAGCATGGGGCCAACATCTGCTTCACTTCTGGTAAGGGCCTCAGGAAGTTTACAGTCATGATGGAAGGCTAAGTGGAAACACATCACATGACAAGAGCAGGAGGAAGAGAGAGAGAAGCAAGAGGTCCCAGACTCTTAAATAAGCAGATCTTGCATGAACTGAGTGAGAACTCACTTATCACCAAGGGGATGATGCTAAATCATTCATGAGGGATCCACCTTCATGATCCAATCACCCCCACCAGGCCTCACCCCCGACATTGAGAATCACATTTCAACATGAGATTTGGAAGGGACAAATATCCAAACCTTATCACTGTCCATACACTAATTTTTCTCATATAATATGTCTGGATTTGGGAGATAAGAAAATGGTTGGATATAAATGGTCATTTATATATTTGATCAATAAACACTGAAACATTAGTATGATATATTTACATATTACATAGAGAGGAATGGATGCCATTGTAGTATCATTCAACTTACCATGAATTATTGTTAAATGTCAGCCAGGTAAAAAGGGTTTGACCAGTAATAATATAACATTAAAATAGACCTTGATGCCAGTCCATCTTCATGCTATACATGACAGAGGAACTTTTATTACTTTAAAGTTTTTCTTCAGACTTCTCTTTGTCAGTGTGATTGTCAGGATGCTGTTAATAAGTTAAGTGCATCTTTCTTTTGTCAAGCATGTTAAGAATACACAGATGCTTGGAACGCCTCAGCACTATGATTATCAAACCAGGTACATGTGTCTTATGTGACGATATGCCGGGGACGAGGGTGGATGTGTGATGCCTGTATTCTTGCCCTATATTCTTAGATAGTTAACCTCTTTTCAAGTTTTGTGGGACTTCTTTGGGGGCATTTTTAAGTGTTTTTTAACGGCTGTACTGAAGTATAATTTACCCATTGTAAATATATCATTGGAATGTGTTTAGCAAATGTGTAGATATGTACAACTATTACCACAATCCAGTTTTAAAACACTCCATCACCCCAAAACATTCCCTCATGCCCATTTACAGTTAGTTCCCCCTCCCATTTCCAGCCCCACATCACCACCAATCTGCTGTTTCTATAGATTTGTCTATTGTGGACATTTCATATAAATGGAATCATACATTATAGGCCTTTTGTGACTGGCTTCTTCCCCTTAGCATAATGTTTTCAAGGTTCCTCCATGTTGTAGCATATAACAGTATTTCGTTCATTTTCCTTGCTGAGCAATATTCTATTGTATGGCTATATCGTGTGGCTATCCATTCAACAGTTAATGAACCTTTGGACTATTCTAACTTTTTGGCCATTACGGATAATGCTGCTATGCACATTCACATACAAGTATTTGTGTAGATATATGTTTTAGATTCTCTTGGTTATAAACCAAGGAGAGAAATTCTGTAACACTTGGGAATTTTCTTCCTGCTATTATCATTTGACATTCTTTAGCCTGAGCATCAGACTTTATGCTACACTCTCACATCGTAGTAAAAATATAAGCTGGTGTTTTTTAACAGTGGCAGTAATATTTGTATGTCTATGGAGTCTCCAACTTAAGAAGGGTTTTCACAGTTTATTTGTAAGTTTAATGGAATCCAGGTTGTGTTATCTTATAAATAAGAATATACATGGTTCCCAAGTCAATCAGTAAAAATATATTTAGAGATACAATTGGAATGCTAGGAAGATTCCTTCCCTCACCTACATCTAGTTTCTGTTCACTTATGAAACATTTTATTTAAGTTCTATAATGTCTGGAAAAATGTTATCACGTTAGGCTGTAACAAATTTTCAGTTATTCACCTTGTTCATTGCTTTTGTTTGGAGTTAATTTTTTATATTTTTAAACATTGAACAATATAAAATTTAAACAAATATACTACACGAGACTTAAAAGAAATTCATTATTATGATGGGCACTTTGAGAGATAAACGTTCATTATCCTCTACCGTCAGAGCTAATGTGAAATTCAGTTTGAGAAACACTATCCACTAGTTCTCAACCTTTTTCTACATAAACAGTCTCATGAATGTGGGACACTAATAGGCATACCTAGACATTGATGGTTAAGAGAATAGTATAGATAAATAGGATTTAGCATGGAAGATTAGTGGCAATTTCCCCTTCTAGTTATAATACCAACTGATATCCCACATCTAAACCACGGCCTTAGAAAATTAAATGGTCATGTGCTGTTATAAACATTTTTTTGGGGGGGGACAGCGTCTCTCTGTCACCCAGGCTGGAGTGCAGTGGCACAATCTCGGCTCACTGCAACCTCTGCCTCCCAGGCTCAAGCAATCCTTCCACCTCAGCCTAGTGAGTAGCTGGGACTACAAGCACACACCACTATGTCAGGCTAATTTTTGTACTTTTTGTAGAGACAGGCATGTTCTCTTGGCATGTTCCCCAGACTGGTCTCAAACTCCTGAGCCCAAGAAATCCACCCGCTCTTCAGCCTCCCAAAATGCTGGGATTACAGGCGTGAGCCACCGCATCCAGCCCCTGTTATAAACCTTTTTAAAAAGCAATTCAGTTATCTAAAATTCATTAATAGCCTATTTTTTAAGAAGATATCTATGTGGGTCTTAATGGAAACATGAGTACCCTCAATTTGTTGTAGAGTTTGATTTTCAAATTCTAATTTGCTTTAACTCAGTGCAACTAAAACGTTAATGTGCCTACAAGTTACTTGGGGATCTTGTTAAAATGCACATTTCAATTCAGCAAGTGTAGAAGGAAGTATGAGGTTCATAATTTCTAGCAAGCTCCAGGGTGATGCAAATGTTGATGGTCTGGGGTCCACACTTTAAGTAGCAAAGCTTTAAATGGCTCTCTTCTGGCAGTAGTCCACCTGTTTTGAATCTTACTGCTTCTAAACTAGCTGCAGACTGCAAAAAAAGTATAACCTAAGCTAGTGACATTCCTTTCAAAAAAGCCAGTAAAATCCTGAGTGACAGCCTCAGTCTTTCCATAGCACAGGGTTTGGAATTGCTATTTGGGGTTTCCAAATACCTTTTCTTATAGGTGTTTGAGGCTCTTAGAAGGCTGAGTCAGCTGGAAGACTGACCTTCAGAAAAATGAAGTATTATTTATCTCTACATGGTGTATTATTGGGTCTGTTAATATGTGGCTTGGATAAGTCAGAAAACAAGAATGGAAGCAGACAGATGAGTTGGGAAGCTATATTATCATATGGCGGGAAAGTGTTGTGAGGCTAATCTAAAGCCATAATAGGCAGATGGGATGGACTTTTGAAAAAGAAGTAGAGGAGTGTGTGTGTGTGTGTGTGTGTGTGTGTGTGTCAGAGAGAGAGAGAGAGACTGGCCAACCAATGGACTAACACCAAGTTCTTACTTTCAGTGTCTTGGTAAACAGTGGCCTTTGAACTAGGAAACCTAGTAGGAGAAACATCAACCAGGGGGAATATTGGAAAAATAAGTTTGGCTTTGAACATATTGTATTTGAGGTAACTATGGACCATATGCATAAGCAGTATAGTGTCATGGTTTGTAATCAGACAAATCTAGGTTCAAATTCCAGCTTTGCTGTTTATTTAGCTATACGATCTTAAGCAAGTTACTTCTCTGAGCCTCCTTTCCTTCATTCGTAAAGTAAGCATGTAAAAATGTGCAAGCTTATTAATGAAAATTAAATGACATAATACATATACAGTACCAGTACAGCACCAGTACTGTACCAGCAATGCAGACAGTGTGCAATCCCAGTCCTTCCCCAAGCAATTTATATTGACATTGAATAGAGTGGCACGCTCTATTTTTTTAAGGTGCTTCTAGGAAAATACTTTTATTTGCAAGGGTGCGAAATTAAGTCGTTTATTATTGAGCCAAAAATTTAGATCACATAAGTAATTTAATTAGAAAAAAATGTTTACATAATTGGTGAAATGTTTATTTACTAAAGCAGGAGCTCTCTAAACGCCCTGCTGTAAGCCAAAAGTGGCCCTGATCCTGTAACAGGGAGCATGTGGGTATACCTGGAAGAAATTGCAGAGTAAACAGGTAGAAAAGCCATCCAGTTCTGGATAGCTTTTGCCACACTGTAACCTTTAAGGGTATTGGAAAAGGATGTGGTTTGATGGGGAAGGAAGTAAAAAGGGGAAGGAAAGGTAAAAAGAAAGGAAGATATCTCTCAACGTTTGCTACATTTACTGATCTTTCTCCAGGAAGAGAAGAAGAAATTACCTCCCTTAGTACACATTCAAATTGCGATGGCTTTTCCCAAAGATACATTGCAGTCTGGACTCTGAAAGGATTATCTCTTTCCAAACTGTCCAGATAGCTGCCTTGGGACTACTTACTGCCATTTAGTAGAAGAGAATCCCAGATTGCCCCTTTTCTCATTCACAAGAAAAATCCCTGCTTGGAGCACACGCCTGCCTCACTCGAGATGGCACACATCTTGGAAGGTTACCCCAGAGATGCTCCTCCAGGGCAGAGTTCCTTGGCTTGGCATCTGCGTGTGCCCCACCCCATTTTTTTTTAATCCACATGACTTTGAGGCTCTATTCTCAAAACAGCTTGCCAAGAGCCCTTTGCTTATACATGGCCTCCCAACTCCTTCCTCCCTCTAAACTTTTTTTCACTTTTAATGCACTCTTTAATTCCGGTGGACTTAGTTATTGCAATAAATAAAAACATCTGTCAAATATTTCCTCACAGCGATATCATGCAAATTATTGACCTCATTCACCTTAGTGTTCAAACCGCTGCGCATCATTGCCAAGATACAAAGAGATCAAGTTTGCTTCCAAAGGGATTTTTTTAAGAGTTTAAGAAAAAAAAAAATGCACATAAATTGTTTAGATTCCAAAATAGGAAGCTGGACAAGAGATTTTCTGTGGTTCATTACAGCAGTTTAATAAACAGATAGGGGCGACAGTGAAGGAAAGGAGCGGTGCACGGAGTGAAGAAAACGCGTGGCTTCTGGAAATTTTATATTCTTCCTATATAACCAAAAAGAGCTTAATCTAGGCATGAATTTTGGATTTAGAGAAGGAATCGTATCACTGACTGTGTGACCTTGGATAAGTCGCCTCACCCGACAGTGCTTTCCTTTATTAATGTGCAAAGCGGGGACGAATGTCCACTTCGCAAGACTGCTGTGAGGATTACGTGAGATCGCCTGAGTCTATAGTGAGAGCTCATTAAATGTTAGTTGTTGCTACTGCTACTTCCTGGAATGAACCGATATTCCAAAATTCCAGAAACTTTGTTTTCTACAGTTTAATGCCTTCGGCTGTAAAATGATAAAAAGAAGCAACACCTTTACACCTGGGACTCACTTATTTGAACCAAAAAAATGCTTTAAACTTCAGATAGGCAAAACACACTTAACTGATGGCTGGGACCCGCTTTGAAAGCACCCCCACCCATTCTCACCCCAGTGTATTGTGGGAAGGGTAGTCCCATGTTCCAGTCGCTTGAGCACAGAAAAGCGCGTAGGAAACTACAACTCCCAAGAGGTAAAGAAGCGGGACTATTTCCCAGTCTGGCGGTAGCGCTGTGGGAGGGAATTGGCAATCTCTCTGCCTACGTGGGAGAGAAGGGAGGGTTGGGGGAAGTGTGGAAAACCTGAACCTGAGCTGCTGTCGCCTGAGGAAGATTTGGTGGGAGGAGAAGCAGAGGGGAAGAGACGGGTTGAGAGTGAGGTGAGGAGGGCATCTAGGTCACTGCTCCCGGGGGGCACAAAGTTCGCGATGTGGCTGAAGCCTGAGGAAGTGCTTCTGAAAAATGCGCTGAAGCTGTGGCTGATGGAAAGGTCCAACGACTACTTCGTGCTGCAGCGGCGTCGGGGCTACGGGGAGGAAGGCGGAGGGGGGCTCACAGGTAAGCTGTGGCCACCCTACCTGCCTCTGGGCTGTGTTCGCTGTTACTTAAAAGGTGGTGAGGACAACAGTTACTCGTCGCTACCAGTTTCCCGATCCTAAATCGTGGGCGGAGGGACTGGGGTTCTTCTCCCGACACCACCTTTCCGCCACCACCTCCAAGTCCTGAGAATGTCTCACTGGACGACGAGTTGCTCTTTGGTTGGGACAGGTGAAGGGAGGAGCGCGGTTCTTTCTGAGGCCAAGGAAGAAACGGGTACCTACCTTGTCGCTTCCCATGGGGGGAGGGAGGCTGATGATGAGTGTTAGACCTAGACAGGTCGCATTTAGGCTGGTGACAGGGGCCAGTTCGCAGTTGTGAACTTAACTTTTTTCACAGAACCCATACCGATCATCAGCACCCTGGGGAGATTAAGCGTATGGGGGATGGGATGGAGTGGGTACGCGGGGATGGTGAGGAGAAAGGGAGGCGCCCAATCACATCCTGAGAAATAGACTTCAAAAGAAATATTAGGGAGGAGGGAGAACTGGAGTCAGGAGAGGTGGAGGGGTAGGCTCAGAATTGCTGATCTCTCCCAATTTAGCATCTTTTACTTTGTCTCCAAGTTTTCAATCTTTGGGATCCCCTCTCAAAGGCTATTAACAACGTCGTAATAAATTAATCTCTTGAGTGACTGGTGCTGCCCCTTCATTCAAAGCTGTGATTGTAAGCCAGACGGTAAGAGTTTAACTCTTCCTGTCTAACCCACCCTGACCCCAATTCTTAAAAAGTGTTTTTTGGCCAAATGTTTAAAGTTTCCAGAGAAAGTTATTTTGAGACCACTCATCTTGGGTAGGGATATTTAAAGTTTTGGACGTTGGGAAAGCAAGAGCTCTTTTTCTAATCAATCTCTAATTTGGTATTGTGACCTTGAAGTGGTAGACCAGGCAGCGTGATGTAATGGAAAGAGGGAAGAGTCCCGAAAACCTGCATTTTAGTCCCATCCTACTCTCTTACTTGTTGGATGACATTCCTCAAACTCTTTCATTTACTCAACCTTAAGCACCTACTGTGTGCCACAAGGTTCACAAGATTCAGTTTCTTGGCTTTGCAGTGCTTATAATCTGGATAAGAAGGGTGGGAAGGTCTAAAGGAAAAAGAAAACCACCTAGTAAACTAGGCAAGTTATAATTCATGGAGGAGATGACCTTGCTTTTTCTCTCTTGGAAAATGGTGCCTACCTCACAGAGTTGAGAGGATAAAACGAAAGATAATAGCACCAAATCAATGTATGTCGTCAAGATGGTGATAAACGTATGCTGTTATTTCGTTTTCAAGCCACTCCCGGGGTGCAAAGAATTCTGAGGTTCTACAGGACATTTTTTAAAATTTTGCTAGACCTATTAATCTTATCCAGCTTCTAAAAAGGCCCTCTCGAAAATATGGCAACAAAAATTGCCCTGTTAAATGTGACATTTTGTCATTTTCTAATTTTTAAAAATTACAAATGCTATTTTGCAGAAGAGTCTTTCCATTTAATAGATGCAGATATTTTCGAGATCAAAATTTTAGAATCGATGTTCATAATTACCCAGTGACATAAATTATCCACTTGAGTCCATTGAGAATAGTTCAGGATATATTTAAAATAGATTTCAGGCCGGGCACGGTGGTTTATGCCTGTAATTCCAGCACTTTGGGAGACCGAGGCAGGTGGATTGCTTGAGACCAGGAGTTCAAGACCAGCCTGGACAACATGGCGAAACCCCATCTCTACAAAAAATACTAAAATTAGCCAGCCATGTGGCCCCAGCTACTTGAGAGACTGAAATGGGAGGATGGCTTGAGCCTGGGAGGTCAAGGCTACAGTGAGCCGTAATAGGGCCACTGCACTCCAGCCTGGGCAACAGAGGGAGACTCTGTCTCAAAAAGAAAAAAAAAATTAAAATAGATTTTATAGTCCCGTGTTACAGCCTCAGGAATAGTCTTATAATTTATTTTCGTTCCTCATACTAAAACTGTGTTCCTTTAAGTAGGTAAATCAAATTCTTGAAAATATAATCACTGTAATGTAGTATTGCATGTTTTTTTTAACTTGTTGCAAGTTTCCTTTTTTTTTTTTTTTTTTTTTTGTTTGAGACAGGATCTCTCACTCTGTCACCCAGGCTGGAGGGCAGTGATAGTGATGTGATTATAGCTCACAGCAGCCTGGAACTCCTGGGCTCAAGTGATCTTCCCACCTCAGCCTCCGGAGTAGCTAGGGCTTCAGGTACAAGCCACTAAGCCTGGCTAATTTCTTTTTTTTTTTTTAAGAGACAGGCTGTGTTGCCCAGGCATGATCTTGAACACCTGGCCTTAGGATCCTCCCACTTTGGTCTCCCAAAGGACTGGGATTGGGATTAAAGGAATGAGCCACCTCACCCAGCCTGACATGCTTTCTTCTTAAAGCATGGACCAACTGCACTAGTTTACCTCTATCCTGCCCACTCCATTTACTAGTCCCCATAGTCTAGAATAAGAGAAATTTGTCTGAAGAAATAAACTAAGATTTCTACCACATATATATGTTGTGACTAGTGATATCCACACTTATTTAGTGGTCAGTTTATAACTCTTCATGATTATTTTATCTGTGGTATTGACAAGATGCTTGAAATTACCACATGAGAGCTACCACTGTAATTCCATGTAAATTAAACAAAATGGATAAGAAAGAAACAAAGAGGTGCTTTTAAGGTTCATTTGGTTCTTTTTGGTCCAGAGCATAAGTGTGTGCTGATTTTCCTAGCTGCTCAATTACTGTATTCTTACTTAAAATCATGAAGCCAAAAGCTTTGTTGTGCTTTACCACAAATCCACATTTGGATTAGCTCTCACAGGAGCTTGACTGTGTGCCAGCATAAGTTTGCCTCTGTTCACTTTGTTTGCTAAAATCCAGTGTTATGTGTTATCCCTTTAAAAGATTAGTTTATGCATTTTGTTTAATGAAGAAATGATAATGATCATCTAGAAACCTTAGTGGTTATACTTTAAGATTTCATTTCTTTGCCATATGATAATTGGTGGTAATCACCAGCAATGTAATGACTCTTAAGTGTGGACTTGATAAAGTTAGTTGACTCCATTTTTTTCTAATAATGGAATAGCAGCAACAGAGAACTCAAGGATTATTAAAACAAGAGATGAGTTTGTAAGTTAGAATTCTGAGGTACCTCTTTTAAATTGTTGAAACACTTCTAGTGGATATCTGATAGATTACTGACCATTTGCCTAACTTTATCTTAATTGTTCTGGCTCACAGCAGGATGGAATATCTTGTGGAAATTTTTGGTATACATAAGCGGTTTTATAGATAAAGCGATTTTCCTTCATTTAGAGAAATAATTCACCCTTCTGGATTTTACGGTCCCCTTATGTTATCTCTTGCTTCTCCTAGCTAATAATGACTTTTCTATGACACCTACATTTAGCACCTGGTTTTAAAGAGTTAAAACTAATTTATGCATATTTGTCTTATTAAGCACAAATCAATTTGCTTTGCTTGGCAGATGGGAACTACTACACGAATGGAGCTATGGGGCTACATTCTACTAAGTACTCTAGTATATGGGATTTAGGAAGGTCTGCCAATCAGGAAGCCTTCATATAGGTAGTTTTTAAAGAGTATTTTAGTCTTGAATTTTCCATATCTGAATAGTGTAAGCAGGTTCTTCAGTGTTAGATTGATAAGCTCCCTCAGTAGACCTTTTTTGTGTGGTGTAGAACAAAGCTACGAAGTAAAACTTATTAAAATGGAGAATTTTTAGACATTCTGTTTCTGATTTCCTTTTTCATCTTGGTACCATTACTTTGAAATTAAATTGTCTGTAAAAACCAGAATATGATAATATTTGAAATAAGCTTTTCATTTTATGATATTTATATAGACTGAGCAAATCACTGTGTAAACAATTTGTCATAAACCCATACATAATAAACAATAAGGTAACCTTTTTAAAACCTCTTAGTGACCATCCCTTGAAAATATAAAGCTTCTTTCCCCTATTTCCTCACCCCAGACTCAAGGAGTCCAACTCTGAAAATGTGCGCCTTAGTTATTAGCAAAATATCCCTGCATTTCATGCTTACAAAGGACATATCTGATAAAAAAATTTTGGCCTTCTAAGTACCTGTCTACTGAGATGAGGGTGCCCAAGTGCCAAGCATGACATTTCATTTAAGGTAAGGAAAGATCTACCCGCCCCCCCCCATACACACACACACAAACACACACACACAAAATTAATAAGTTAACATTTTGGCTTATTAAAAAGAAAATCCCATGGGGCAACCCCTAGAGAGGGCAGATCACGCTTTGTGCTCCCATCCCTCTCTGGAACATCTTGGTCCCTGTGAAATCAAGTTAAAGATTACTTTTAAAGATCTCTGAATGAGAAAGAGCAACTTTGTAGGAGGTTTTGAGTAATGAAGGATGATCAGTGTTACCCTCACCTTTTTTTTTTTTTTTTTTTGGAATAGTGGAAAGATTATTGACTGCATACCTAAGTAGAAAACTAATATTTGGTTTCAAGTAGATTTAATTCTAATGAAAGAAAAAACAAGACTGAAAAGTCATGACATTGACCGTCCTTTATTTCTCAAAATCTCCTACAAGGCTGCCCTTTCTTATTCAAAGAGATCTTTAAAGGTAATTTTTTACTTGATTTCAGAGAACGAAATGTTCCAGGGAGGGAGAGGAAAACAGTGTGATTTGCCCTCCCTAGGTATTGCCCTATGGGATTTTAAAAAAATAAAAAATAAATAAACCAGGCTGGGCACAGTGGCTCACGCCTGTAATCCCAGTACTTTGGGAGGCCAAGGCGGGCGGATCATTTGAGGTCAGGAGTTTGAGACTACCCTGGCCAACACGTTGAAACCCCATCTCTACTAAAAATACAAAAATTAGCCGGACTTGGTGGCGGGTGCCTGTAGTCCCAGCTACTGATGAGGCTAAGGCAGGAGAATCACTTGAACCCAGGAAGTGGAGGCTGCAGTGAACCGAGATCGCACTGTTGTACTCCAGCCTAGGTGACACAGGGAGACTCCATCTCAAATAATAATAATAACAATAATAATAATAATAAATAAACCAACTACAAGCCAACATCCACAAATATATGAATATAACACCAAGTTCAGTGATTCCACTTGCCCCATTAACCCTGTTTCTTTTATCTTCCTTGATTTTTTGATAGTTTTATGTCTCTATTCAGCTATAATTATTTTATAAAGGCTTAGTTTCCTCATCTGTAAAATGGGGATAAAAACTTGTCTTTCCTACCTCACAGCATTTTTTATGTGGGTCAAATGAGTTTTGAAACTTGTGAGCAACTATACAAATACTTGACATTTATCTATTAATGAAAGAGAAAGACGTTAAAATGCCATTTTCTGGGCCTGAAGAACAAAGGGGTTATATATTTATGCCATTTTCCCTAGTAATTACTTTCCCCATGTTGTATATAGAAATTGATTTGGAGTGGTAACATAGATTATATCTGATATGCAATGATATCACTACAAAAACAAAACACTGATAGTTACTAATTGAAGAATTTGGGCATGATAGTGATTATGCATTTATGGTTTATAATCAGAATAATGTACAAGAATTAGAATAACTTATCATGACATCATTTCCTTTTGATCTGTCATCGCCCAAAACCTGGAAGTTCTCAAACAGTGCTTCCGTAGATATCAGCATCACTTGTCTTGCTGAGTGGTGATAAAGAGTACATATAACATTGGTTACCTTAGTAGTATTTTTCAAAACAATACTTAAAAAATAATTATTCAACTGGTGAAAACTCATGCTGTTTGTGAACAGTTGTGGAAGGCTTATGGCTATAAGGTAAGCTAAAAATAAAAAATAAAAAGCAGTCAGGCATGGTGGTGCACACCTGTAGTCCCAGCTACTTAGGAGGCTGGGGCGGGAGGATTGCTTGAGCCCAGGAGTTCGAGGCCAGCCTAGGCAATATAGTGAGATAAAAAATATTTTAAAAAGTAAAAGGCATTATAATGTTTGCCACATTGCTGTACAGCTATGACAGATTTTATATTGCCTTTATTTTAGAACATTTGCCCAGTTTTCCACCTTTTGCTACTGCTATGTAAGCACAAAAGGTAAGATTAAATCCTAAATGTGATGGTATACAATGCTTTAATTCAACAGATATTTACCGAGTGCCTTTTAAAAAACAAGCACTGTTTTAAGTGCTGGAGATAAAGCAATGAAAAAAAACAAAGTCCCTACTCTCATGGGGCTAATACCGTAGTTGGGGGAGGCAAATAAACAAATAGTATATGATATGACTGGTGCTGATAAGCAATATGAAGAAAAATAAAGTAAGGTATCATGATAGAGAGGGGAGGGGGTTGGTATATTAGAGAAATTGGTCTGGGAAGGCCTCTTAGGATGAGCTGTGGACAGAGACTTGTGGTACTAGAATATATGAGCCAAACAAATATTTGGGAACAGAGTGAATACATATAATTTTTTCTAGAAGTTTTTTCTGTGAAGGGAAAGAGAGAAATAGGGTGGTAGCTGGCCCTTGTCCTGGGTGTTGAGTATACAGTGGTGAATAAGACAGGAATAGTTCTGGCCAGGCGCAGTGGCTCACACCTGTAATCCCAGTGCTTTGGGAGGCCGAGGCAGATGTATCACCTGAGGTCAAGAGTTCGAGACCAGCCTGGTCAACATGGTGAAACCCCATCTCTACAAAAAATACAAAAATTAGCTGGGCGTGGTGGCACACACCTGTAATCCCAGCTACTTGGGAGGCTGAGGCAGGAGAATCACTGGAACCCACGAGGCGGAGGTTGCAGTGAGCCGAGATCACGCCACCGCACTCCAGCCTGGGTAACAAGAGTGAGACTCCGTCTCAAAAAAAAAAAAAAAAAAAAGACAGAAATAGTTCCAACCCTTACGGAGTTTATCATGTGATGGCTCAGACAGTTGATAAATAAGTAAGCAAACCAATACAATTGCTAGTGTAGTCAATAATAATAGCAGCCTTGTTCTGTTGGCTTAGAAATCTCCATAATGCAGGGAAACCCTCAAAGCAATTTTCCAAGGCCAGCTGTCTTATAAAGTATGCTTATCTGAAGTCCTGTTAAAGATACAAATATTTCCTAAAAGCAGTGATTAATAATAGGTGGTGTACTGGTGGCAAAGTTCCAGTGTGGCATCTGTGAAGCATCTTGCCAAAAACCAGTTTGGGGTGTTTTCAAATTAAATCATCCATCTATGAGCACTAACAATATCTGAGAGGTGGTTTGGTAGAAGTGGTGGGAGGAGGGGGGACGTTCTAAGTAGGAGGAATAATGTGATAGTGCAAAAGCAAAAGATAACAGTTGTTGGGGACACAGCAAATATTCTAGATTCATTTACGTGGAGTTGAAAATATGAGACTCAATATATAATGCACTTAGCGACTAGAAAAAGGTTATTAAAGAGCAATGTCTTAATCTATACCAGAGGAAAACCTGAGATAGAGAATTAAAGGGACCTAATAATTAAACCTTTGTTTTTTGTGTCCACTGTTCTTTCAGTGGACATAAAACAGCCTATGTATAACAAAAATTTCCACAAGATATTCCATCCTGCTCTGAGCCAGAACAATTAAGTAAGATAAAATTAGGCAAATAGTCAGTAATCTATCAGATATCCACTAGAAGTGTTTCAACTCATAAGCCAAATAAATTAACATTTTGGCTTATTAAAAGGAAAATCACGTAGAGCAACCCCTAGAGAGGGCAGATCACACTGTGTGCTCCCCTCCCTCCCTGGAACATCTTGGTCCCTGTGAAATCAAGTAAAAAATTACCTTTAAACATCTCTGAATGAGAAAGGGCAACCTTGTAGGAGGTTTTGAAAAATGAAGGATGATTAGTGTTACCCCCCCACTTTTTTGGTAGCAGTGGAAAGATTATTAACTGCATACCTAAGTAGAAAACTAATATTTCCTGTCAAGTAGATTTCATTCTAATGGAAAAAGAAGAAAGAAAAAAAGAAAAAGAAAAAACAAGACTGAAAAGTCATGACATTGGCCATACTTTATTTCTCAAAATCTCCTATAAGGCTGCCCTTTCTTATGCAAAGAGATCTTTAAAGGTAATTTTTTACTTGATTTCAGAGAATAAAATGTTCCAGGGAGGGAGAGGAATACACATTGTGATATGCCCCTTTTTCCCCCTCCCTTACTACACTATAAAGAACTGAAGTTTTAAAACAAGGTATAGGGCTGGGCACGGTGACCCATGCCTGTAATCTCAGCACTTTGGGAGGCCAAGGCAGGAGAATTGCTTGAGCCCGGGAGTTGGAGACCAGCCTCGGCCACACAGTAAGACCTTGTGTCTACAAAAAATAAACAAAATTAGCAGGACGTGGTGGTATGCGCCTGTAGTCCCAGCTACACGGAAGGCTGGGGTGGGTGGGAGATCGTTTGAGCCAGGG
This sequence comes from Homo sapiens, assembly GCF_000001405.40. Taxonomy (NCBI): domain Eukaryota; kingdom Metazoa; phylum Chordata; class Mammalia; order Primates; family Hominidae; genus Homo; species Homo sapiens. Next base: position 106,811,457 of record NC_000023.11, read on the forward strand.
ATGTGGAGGCTCCAGTGAGCTGAGATTGCATCACTACACTCCAGGCAGGGTGACAGAGTGAGACCTTGTCTCAAAATAAATAAATAAAACAAGGTGTAATCACATTTTCTGATTATTATTATAATATTAGTTGCTCTCTTGTTTTAAACTAACCAAAATGATGGGCCTGGTTTAGTTCTTCTAAATAATGTTTAAAAGTACTACACTGTATACCAGTTTATTCATTTGCTATCATATTTGCTTTCTTCTTTGTACCTAGAAATTCAGGTGTTGCAATTTATTTGCTTTTCTGAGGGTTACTCTTTTTGTGCATTGGTGTATAGGTCTTGAAGAGTAAGAAGTGGCTGTAAATATAGTACCAATTCTCATATTTTCCTGTGTCTCTATCTTTAGAAATGTTTCTGGGTTTGATTAATAATTCATCTATTCTTTTTTTCCCAGAAGACATTGTAATCTGTTGTTTGTTATATCAATTGCTTCCCTAAAAAATTCTAAATCCTTTAATGAAAAAAAGATTTCAGTTAGGGAAGGAAATGAGTGCTTATATATATATATTCAGTTTTCAAGTAAGTCCCTTTAAAAGAATGCAGGGAGAGAGAAAACAGGACCAAAGAAGAATTATTTTTATTAACTGTTTTCCGAAGCTCTTAATATAAAGTTGGCAGCTTTCAAAATGCCAACTGTGGCTATTGAATTATTCCAAAATAAGCATTCATAGTGTCATTTTAAGGACTTACATCTGGTAGCAAAGTAATAGAATCAGGAAAATCCACAAACTTTATTGAGCACACTACCTTCTCTTATTTGAATATATTTCCTGCTAAGTGTATTGGCAGTTTACTAATTAGTTTGTTTATTAACATATAATGAAACTAAGTTCAGTAAAGTTGTACTTGTTTGACTTTGTAAGCATGACAACTTATGACAAGATAAAGAATCCACTGTAAGTTTCCAGTAATCATTACCGTGGAAAAAATTATAATTGAACATTTTACTTAGAATGGAAATAAATCTTGTTTGTAATTAGGAAGTTCATTACATGGCTCTTCTGCAGCTAGAGCAGTATTCACTTACACAGTGCCCTCAATCCAGTTTACAAACAGAAAGAGCAACTTGTCAAACTAAAGGACATTTTAGTTTGTGTACTAAACTAGCACATTGATAATGAGTATCATTTTCAAGCTGTGGCTGTTTTACTGGTCTTTCCTCTAGCACTCAGCCCATTGCCCTACCTGTTCATCATTACCATTGACCTAATACAAAAAAAGAAATGTTTATGAAATTTGCAGGTGTCTAAATATTGGAAGGGGCAATTAATACCATAGATCAATGTGCTCAATATTGGCCACAGGTTAGATTCAAATGAGGACCTTTTATTTTTATTTATTTATTCATTTATTTATTTATTTTTGAGATGAGTCTCACTCTGTTGCCCAGGTGGGGGTGCAGCGGCGCAATCTCAGCTCACTCCAAGTGATGCAACCTCCGCCTCCCGAGTTCAAGAGACTCTCCTACCTCAGCCTTCTGAGTAGCTGGGATTACAGGCACCTGCCACCATGCCCAGCTAATTTTTGTATTTTTAATAGAGACAGGGCTTCACCATATTGGTCAGGCTGGTCTGAAACTCCTGACCTCAGGTGATTCACCCGCCTCGGCCTCCCAAAGTGCTGGGATTAAAGGCGTGAGTCACCAAGCCCAGCCTCTGAGGACCTTTTAAAATAAACTAAAAGATACTGGATATTCATGGATGAAATGATACAATGTCTAGAATTTACTTTAAAATACTCCAGGAGGGAGTATTTAGAACCCAGAAATTGGTACATATTAATTTCTGAATGACTTGCAGGGACTTGATGATGATTACAGCTTAATGAGCTGGAAGAGTTCCCCAAGTGACTAGAAATGTAGTCTAGCACTAGTTTCCAAATTATTTCTTGCATAGTTTTATACTAACTGCCTGATTTCACACTTAACAAAACTGAGCAATTTTCTTTCTACATAGTACAAGGCGCTTATAATCTTGTGAACATTTCTGCTGCCAAAAAGTGACCTTTCTTGCCAGTGATTTTGACTACTCCTCTCACATCCACATAGCCACCATTAATCTTTCAACAGTATCTTCAAAAAGATAGTTATCTTTTATCTTTATCTGTTATCTGCTAAAGCTATCCTGTATTCAATAAAGTGCCTTCATTTGAAATTCTAATTCCTTTATTTTGACAAATTTGACAACTTATGTTTATTTATATACACACACATTTATGTACTTAATTCTGTTTTTCAACATAGTGATAGCTCTTTTGGTTGTCTTTTGCGACTACTCTTTTATCCCTTTTTTTAGTATTTTCACATTCCTATCTTCAAATTGAAAACATTCTCCTCTTCTCTATTTCCTCAGTAATTTTTTTTTATTATTACACTTTAAGTTTTAGGGTACATGTGCACAATGTGCAGGTTAGTTACATATGTATACATGTGCCATGCTGGTCTGCTGCACCCATTAACGCGTCATTTAGCATTAGGTATATCTCTTAATGCTATCCCTCCCCCCTCCCGCCACCCCACAACAGGCCCCAGAGTGTGATGTTCCCCTTCGTATGTTCATGTGTTCTCATTGTTCAATTCCCATCTATGAGTCTGAACATGCGGTGTTTGGTTTTTTGTCCTTGCAATAGTTTACTGAGAATGATGATTTCCAATTTTATCCATGTCCCTACAAAGGACATGAACTCATCATTTTTTATGGCTGTATAGTATTCCATGGTGTATATGTGCCACATTTTCTTAATCCAGTCTATCATTGATGGACATTTGGCTTGGTTCCAAGTCTTTGCTATTGTGAATAGTGCCGCAATAAACATACGTGTGCATGTGTCTTTATAGCAGCATGATTTATAGTCCCTACAAAGGACATGAACTCATCATTTTTTATGGCTGCATAGTATTCCATGGTGTATATGTGCCACATTTTCTTAATCCAGTCTATCATTGTTGGACATTTGGCTTGGTTCCAAGTCTTTGCTATTGTGAATAGTGCCGCAATAAACATACGTGTGCATGTGTCTTTATAGCAGCATGATTTATAGTCCTTTGGGTATATACCCAGTAATGGGATGGCTGGGTCAAATGGTATTTCTAGTTCTAGATCCCTGAGGAATCCCCACACTGACTTCCACAATGGTTGAACTAGTTTACAGTCCCACCAACAGTGTAAAAGTGTTCCTATTTCTCCACATCCTCTCCAGCACCTGTTGTTTCCTGACTTTTTAATGATCGCCATTCTAACTGGTGTGAGATGGCATCTCATAGTGGTTTTGATTTGCATTTCTCTGATGGCCAGTGATGATGAGCATTTTTTCATGTGTTTTTTGGCTGCATAAATGTCTTCTTTTGAGAAGTGTCTGTTCATATCCTTTGCCCACTTTTTGATGGGGTTGTTTGTTTTTTTCTTCTAAATTTGTTTGAGTTCATTGTAAATTCTGGATATTAGCCCTTTGTCAGATGAGTAGGTTGTGAAAATTTTCTCCCATTCTGTAGGTTGCCTGTTCACTCTGATGGTAGTTTCTTTTGCTGTGCAGAAGCTCTTTAGTTTAATTAGATCCCATTTGTCAATTTTGGCTTTTGTTGCCATTGCTTTTGGTGTTTTAGACATGAAGTGCTTGCCCATTCCTATGTCCTGAATGGTAATGCCAAGGTTTTCTTCTAGGGTTTTTATGGTTTTAGGTCTAATGTTTAAGTCTTTAATCCACCTTGAATTAATTTTTGTATAAGGTGTAAGGAAGGGATCCAGTTTCAGCTTTTTACATATGGCTAGCCAGTTTTCCCAGCACCATTTATTAGATAGGGAATCCTTTCCCCATTGCTTGTTTTTGTCAGGTTTGTCAAAGATCAGATAGTTGTAGATATGCGGCATTATTTCTGAGGGCTCTGTTCTGTTCCATTGATCTATATCTCTGTTTTGGTACCAGTACCATGCTGTTTTGGTTACTGTAGCCGTGTAGTATAGTTTGAAGTCAGGTAGTGTGATGCCTCCAGCTTTTTTCTTTTGCCTTAGGATTGACTTGGTGATGCAGGCTCTTTTTTGGTTCCATATGAACTTTAAAGTAGTTTTTTCCAATTCTGTGAAGAAAGTCATTGGTAGCTTGATGGGGATGGCATTGAATCTATAAATTACCTTGGGCAGTATGGCCATTTTCACGATATTGATTCTTCCTACCCATGAGCATGGAATGATCTTCCATTTGTTTGTATCCTCTTTTATTTCATTGAGCAGTGGTTTGTAGTTCTCCTTGAAGAGGTCCTTCACATCCCCTGTAAGTTGGATTCCTAACTGTTAGAACCAAAGACAAAAACCACATGATTATCTCAATAGATGCAGAAAAGGCCTTTGACAAAATTCAACAACGCTTCATGCTAAAACCTCTCAATAAATTAGGTATTGATGGGTCGTATCTTAAAATAATAAGAGCTATCTATGACAAACCCACAGCCAATATCATACTGAATGGGCAAAAACTGGAAGCATTCCCTTTGAAAACTGGCACAAGACAGGGATGCCCTCTCTCACCAGTCCTGTTCAACATAGTGTTGGAAGTTCTGGCCAGGGCAATTAGGCAGGAGAAGGAAATAAAGGGTATTCAATTAGGAAAAGAGGAAGTCAAATTGTCCCTGTTTGCAGACGACATGATTGTATATCTAGAAAACCCCATTGTCTAAGCCCAAAATCTCCTTAAGCTGATAAGCAACTTTAGCAGAGTCTCAGGATACAAAATCAATGTACAAAAATCACAAGCATTCTTATACACCAATAACAAACAGAGAGCCAAATCATGAGTGAACTCCCATTCACAATTGCTTCAAAGAGAATAAAATGCTCAGTAATTTTAATCACATAGTTCTGAAGACACTATCTGCATATTTTGGCTCCTACTTTTCTTTCTTTTTACTTTACCAAATCTCCAATTTCTCATAGTCACTATTTCAATGCTAAAAGTGATAGAATTATTTTTCCTTTTATCCCCAAACCCATCAGTAATTCCCTCCTCATTAGTTGAAATATAATTATTTTCTGTTTCCCTCATCCTCATTCCCATTGTCTTTTCCCCAATACTTTCTCTTTCATAATATTTGTCAGTTTTCTCATTTCTATTTTTTAAAAGCTTCAATTCATACTTGAACTTTTTTTCATATCAGATAACTTCTTATCTCTATAATCTGCACATACTGCCATTGCCAAAATCTTCTTTCTTGAACTTTGCCCTATCAAAATCCTCAGAAAATTTCTAATTGATGCTATGCTGCATTTGTGACTCCTGTTTTTACTTTTTATCAATTCCTGTATCTACTCTCCTATCCTTTCCTTTCAGCTAAGCCAAATTTCTCTTTATGTCTTTGTCTTATCTCCTACTCTTCTAGTTTACCTCCTTCTATGCATGTAACTTCCTAATGTGATAGGAAGTGATGTGAGGCAAATGTGAGCATCTGCCAATCTATCTATATTCTCATTCAAACCTTGCTTAAAATCTCAATTCTTTTTAAGTGGGTCAAAATAGGAAGAGAGCCAAAAGCCTGGTTTATAATTGAATTAAATTTTTCTTAAAAATCTGTATTCTAAATTAAAGGGAAATGCCTCATAAAGCAAAACCAACACTCAACCAATCAGAGCTTCCAGAAAAGGAAGGTAAATTTATATATTTCAGCCATCCCATTGATATGGTTAAATCAACAAACTATATCCTTATTGTGCAGCAATATGTTGAAAGTTATGGATATAAACACAGAGACAGAAGACATGGTTATTGTCCTCAGAGGACAAATAATCTAGATAAAGAGACAAAAATTATATACATGAAGCTCTTAGAAAGTAGTTATAATAACCAGCCTAATATATGCTAGGTTGTGTAGTACAGGTTAAACATCACTAATCTAAAAATGAAAAATCTGAAATGTTCCAAAATCCGAAACATTGATTGCTGACATGATGCCGCAAATGGAAAATTTCCACACCTGACCTCATGTGACAGGTTGCAGTCAAAACTCATGCATAAAATTATTTAAAATATTGTATAAAATTATCTTCGGGCTATATGTATAAGGTATATATGAAACAAATAAGTTTCATGTTCAGACCTGGGTCCCATCCCCAAGATATCTCAGTATGTGTATGCACTTAATCCAAAACCTGAAAAAATCTGAAATCTGAAACACTTCTGGTCACAAGCATTTCATATAAGGGATACTCAACCTGTATAGACTCTAAGTCCTATGAATATTCAGAGAAAATGGAAAGTATTATTGCTTGGGATAGCCAGTGAGGATTTCATAGGGGAAGTGGGTCTTGAAGAAAATGTAGAATTCAGATTAGTTGGACTGGACTAGAAGACTTTCATTAGGATTTCTTTTTTTTTCATTAGCATTTCTAGGTAAAATGATAATTGCTTAGCAAAGACCCTATGGGAGAAATTAACTGGTTGTTTAAGAAAACAGTGAACTTTGTTCTAGGAAATAGTAGGAAATATAATTAGATTATTAAACTGGAACTAATTGATCAAGAACCTTGAATTCCTAATTGAGGAATTAAGAATTGTTGAAAAGAAAATCCCTGTACAGAAGCATTTTATTTAATCAAGGTTTTATCTTGTTTAAATATCTAAGATTTTCTTAAATAATAATAGTATTAACTAATATCGGGTGTTTTACTGTGTGCTAAGCATTGCTCTAAGTGCGTTAAATGTAACAACTCATTTAATCTTTACAACAGCCCTTTGTAGTAGGATCTGTTTTAACCTTATTTTACAAATGAGGATGCAGAAAGGGTAAGTACTTTAACTTGCTCAAGTTGACACAAGCGACAGAGCCAGAATTTAAACCCAGTTAGTCTATAGTACTATATTCTACATTCTTATCTAATATACATACAACCTTATGAACGAGATACATAAGTGCTGCAGATACATTTTGAGATTTGGACAATTGAAGCTGACTTAACTCTTTTATTGAAAGATAATTTTCTCAGATACTACTCACATTGGCATACTGTAATCTCTCTTTATCCCAAATGTATTTTTTCTTTAAGAAAAATCTCTGTAAGGACTCTATGGGCTAGAAAAGTTTTAAAATAAATTTATTAGTTTGTTATATGAAGTGATACAGATTTGATTTATCTCTTGTAAAGTCCTTATTTCAACAATCTTTCTATTACAACAGGGCTTCTGGTTGGGACTCTTGATTCAGTCTTGGACTCTACTGCTAAAGTAGCTCCATTTCGCATCCTACACCAGACACCAGATTCTCAAGTTTACTTGTCAATTGCATGTGGTGAGTATGATTTTTAAAACATAATTCAAATTAAATAAGGGTACTACAAAGCTGAGTATTCATATTTATTTATAGTCTGTAGTTGCTTTGAGATTTAAAAACAAATTAAATGTGCAACTTTACTTTGAGAGAATAGCAAGACCTCTATTTTTAAAGGATATGGGTTATTAAGTTTTTTTTTTTTTTTTAATCCATTGGTGTGAGGGACCTGAAGCATGTGGTCTAGCAGGGCTGATTCTGCACAGATTTTGGTCAGTGTTACTGCTATATAACTCCTTTCTTCAACTTCTGCTTTATCCAACTGCTGGGAAGATGAGAACTTCTCCATGAAATAAATTGTTTCATTACTAATAACTCAAATGAGAAGAATCTGAAGTTATCTGTGAACCCAAAACATAATGACTCCTAAGGAAGTATAAGCCTGGAAAATTAAACCTTTTTTATTCATTCCCACCTTCTCAGAAAAAGCATCATATCCTTGAAATATGAAGGAATGTCTTACAGTTAATGTTACATATTCATTCATGCCAGGGTGGTTCAGATGCTTCAACATATATATTATGGGTAGAAAAGGAATTAGGATAATCCTTTCTAATAAAGCAAGTCAAAATAAATTTTTAAAAAGCTGCATTGACAGTTTCTTACTTCCTTTTATGATGCCATTATAATGTTGGTCTAAATTAGAATCCCAGATTTCTAGCCTTTTTGATATTGAAAAACTGCCTTTCTTCTTATCCCCCTCTCTTCTAAAGTAGATATATTATAATTTTTTAAAAAGAACAAAAGCACATGAGTTTCTGGAACATTCATATGTGTGAACATATAGCATACAATTAATTTTTTAGGTTGTGTGGCTTGTTTTTTATATTTCCGCCTAAATTTCTTTTAGTGTTGCCAGTGAGTCTTTCCTCCTGGCCCTCTTAAAGTGAATGTCACTTAACCTAAATGAGGTTGACATTATACCTGCTGACATCACGAGAATTCTGTAATCTCAACTCTAAATCTGGTTAGTAAAAATTATTTTTTTTAAAAAAAGGCCTTTCTACTTAAATAAAGATGATTGTATAACTTATTTCCCCCAAATTAACCTGATGCAGAAATAGTGTAGTTACCTACTAATGAAGCTTCCTTATACCAAAAGAATCAAACTTAAGGCCTTAACATTTCCCCCATGGCTTTTATTTGTGGTCCATTAAAGACAGTTATTACTCTTGCTATGGTGACTTAGTAGCATGAATAAAATTCTGATTGAATTGTAGGAAATAGGCCATTTGCAATGTCAACAAATTTTTTAATATGCCAGTCTCCATATATTATAAAATATACTAAAAAGTCAGCATATTTCTTTTGAATATTTATATAATCCATAGTGCTGAGAAGACTTTAATGGTATGTGAGTGATAGGAAGAGATTGATAGATACTGAAATATTCTTCAAGTCAAAGCAACTAGGGCTAATAATGTTTAATCTCACCCTCAGCAAACCTCTTAACACTGATTCAGCGGGTCACATGGATTTAACCTTGCTACAGAATTTCTAACCTCCTGTATGAAATTTCTGTAAGTTTACTAGGTCTTTTGATGAATGGGGTTGCTCTGAGCAAAGGTTTTGTGGCTTCTGAAATAAGTAGAGTGGCCACAGTTAAAATCTACATTTACTTAGCATGCATAGGATTGTCACATACATGCTGTTTTCAGCCACACATATTATAGACACAGCACTAACTGCATTATTTGGAGACCAAGGATTGAATTACACATTATGTATTTTCTGGTACTCTACATATTTTCTTAAAAGATACTGGTTATTCTTTAGGCACCAGTTACTAGCATCTTGTTTTCAGAATTTTATATATTTTCTCATGAGCTGGATTTACTTTACTCCCCTTTCATTAAATGTTTTGTTCTTTCTATTTATGAGAAGTACTGTTCATGCCCACATAGAGGGATAAAGTAGGAATAAATGTAAATATTTTACTCCTTTATGACCATCATTTTTTAAAGTGAAAATGTTATTTCTTTTTAAACTATGCTTTTAAATAACAAGAGCAGTTTTATTGTGGAGTTTTCCTTAAGTGTTTTATTTTCTTGTGTTATTAATCAGGAGCCAACAGAGAAGAAATAACCAAGCATTGGGATTGGTTGGAACAAAATATTATGAAGACCTTATCTGTATTTGATTCAAATGAAGATATTACTAATTTTGTACAAGGAAAAATAAGAGTAAGTGGCACGGATATATCTTGTAGATGGAGTGCCAAAACCTTTGACTCTCATGTATGAGGATCAAAGTTTGCATGGAAGGTCATTGTTTCACTGGCACCTTTCAGGATTGGTAGAAACGAACATATGAATTTCAGAATCAGTGTGCTAAAGAAAACTGTAAAGTCTTTAGCACAGGGGGAGATTGATAGATATTGAAATATTCTCTTAAAACATACTGGTTATTCTTTAGGTACCAATTACTGACATATTGTTTTCAGAATTTTATATATTTTCTCATGAGCTGGATTTACTTTTTTCCCCTTTCATTAAATGTTTGTCTTTGGTGCCCTTGTGAATGCTTTTAGGGGCATTTTTGTTTCAATATCTCTTGAGTTTTGAGTTGAATAAACCATTTGTTCATTCAAAAAAATATATTTAGCACTTGTATTTGTAGTAGTTCCTTATGAGGCATTCAGAAAAAAACCTAAGCACAAAACTGAAGAAAATTTGCTTACCTCTGTCCTAAGAGAATTATCTATGTACACACATATGATATATGTACCTGTATAGATATATACAGTCGTCCCTAGGTATCTATGGGGATTGGTTCTGGCCGCCGCTGTAGATACCAAAATTCACAGATGCTCAAGTCTCCTAATATAAAATGGCATAGTATTTGCATATAACCTATGCACATCTGCCTATATACCTAAAGTCATCTCTAGACTATTCATTCCTAATACAATGCCTATGCATCACTTCATTTGAGTGGACTCTGCATAGTCTTCGGTGCATGGCAAATTCAAGTTTTGCTTTTTGGAACTTTGTAGAATTTTTTTCCCAAATATTTTCAATCCCTGGTTGGTTGAATCCATGGATGAGGAACCCATGGATATGGAGGGCTGACTGTACAATTGTATTCAATCAACTGTTTGAATGTATGAAATATATTTTTGTTGGTAGGTGATGAATTTTCAGAAAATATTTTGTCTCCTTTAGGGATTAATTGCTGAAGAGGGAAAACATTGTTTTGCAAAAGAAGATGATCCTGAGAAATTTCGAGAAGCCCTTTTGAAATTTGAAAAATGTTTTGGTTTACCAGAGAAGGAGAAGTTAGTGACCTATTATTCATGCAGTTATTGGAAAGGACGGGTTCCTTGTCAGGGTTGGCTTTATCTTAGCACCAACTTTCTGAGCTTCTATTCTTTTTTGTTGGGATCAGAAAGTAAGTGGTTTCTATTGCTTACTATGGCCTTGAATTTGCTGTCTGACCTACCAACTCTAATGATGTTAGGTTGTAAATAAAATAATAGGATTGATATTAAAGGTAATTAAACTGTACAATAAAAAGTTTATTTCATCTAGGGAAAGAACTCTTTTAAGACTGGTTGCTTAACATAAAACCATTAGAAGTGTATATAGAATGCCTTGCATATCGTGGGAAGTGAGTCAGTATTAAATGATGATCTGGCATATGACTGCTTTCAATTCCTTGTTATGAACTACCTACATGCTTTAGTCTGTGTTTTAATCTATTTTAAACATACAATTTGAATATAGTGGCCATAGTACCTAATGGCCCACATCTCACTTTGTAGCTACAAAGAAGAATCAAACAGTGCTATTTATAGCATACAAACAGCTTTTACATTGGTAGTTATATAATTATGTAATTATATAAAGAGATAGATTTAAATATCAAATCAGAATCATTTTTTTTAAAAATTATCTAAAATTAAATTGGGCACAGTGGCTCACGCCTATAATCCTAGCACTTTGGGAGGCCAAGGCAGGAGGATCACTTGAGCCCAGGAGTTCAAGACGAACCTGAGCAATATAGTGAGACTCTGTCTCTACAAAAAAAAAAAAAAAAATTACATTAGCTGGGCATGGTGGCACATGCCTGTAGTCCCAGCTACTTGGGGGGACTACTTGGGATGTGAGAATCACTTGAACCCGGGAGGTCAAGGCTGTAATGAGCCATGATCATGTCACCTCACTCCAGTCTGAGCAACAGAGTGAGACTCTATCTCAAAAGAAATTATTTAAAATTAGATCTCTTCCTGGAATCACCAATTCTTGCACGTTCATGTTGATGCTTCAAATTTTTAACTAATCTTGAACTCTAAACTATTTTAGCTGTTTATAGTATTTTTCAAGGGATTAACTATTGTTTCAGAAGAACTGATTAATAAACATAAATCACTATGAAAATTTAATCATACCTGCTTATACCTCTTATTTGCAGTAAAACTCATTATCTCCTGGGATGAAGTCTCAAAACTTGAAAAGACTTCAAATGTCATACTGACAGAGAGTATTCACGTGTGTTCCCAAGGAGAGAATCACTACTTTTCAATGTTTTTGCACATTAACCAAACATACCTTCTTATGGAACAGCTGGCAAACTATGCCATTAGAAGACTTTTTGATAAGGAAACATTTGATAATGACCCAGTCCTTTATAATCCTCTACAGATCACCAAAAGGTATTCAAAGCTTAATTTTTAGTTTTCAAAGTATTGTTTGACCATAAGAATGAAGATAGTATTGCTTACCATTAAAAGTTAACTCTTCTATATTATATGATAGGGTTTTTTTTGGAGTTGATTGTGGGTGTGTGTGTGTTTTGTGAGTTTATTCATATGCATTACATAAATAGTACCCTTCTCTCCAGGAAATTTAATTGTAAGAAATAATAGAAGTTAGATTTGAAAATTATTTCTTGAGATTCAGATAGGACTTGCCCTGGAATGCTTTTAGAAATGCAGAGATTTTTATGTGTGGTTAGTCTAACTCTAAATTTCTCTATGAATAGTCTAGACAGTTTGGGTCTGAAATTGTTAAACATATTGTTTATTTTTTAAAATAACTTACAGAAAACATTTTTTAATGAAGAGGCAAGTTCGTGGAGTCAGTGGAGCATGGACTTTAGAATGAAAGTAGAACAACCCTTAGACAAGTCATATCTCTCAGGACCTCAGTTTCCTCATCTGTCATTTCTACCTCAGAGGGCACTTATGAGGAATGGGCATGATATGTGTGAAAGCACTTTGTAAAATATAAAATATGAGGCAAATATTAATCATTATTAGTGCCTCCTTCAGAAGTATGTGTCTGATAGCTGTTTGCCATTATATTTGGTTTGTTGAAACTGACCAGATATCTTTTATCCTGCTGAACATTCTGAACAGTTGACTAAAATGAGCATGCCAAAGGGGAAAAGGAGAGGAGATGATCCAGAAATAGCTAGTGAAAGCAGCTTCTGGCAAGGAGGATGTCAGTATAGACTATATGGGAAAGTATAAGAGGAACCTAAGCCAAAGTCCTATGGATAGACCAGAACAAGTGACCTAGAAGGTTGTATGATCACTACATAGCCCTCATTGGGTACAGTTGTTCCTCTTACCTGTTCCTAAACTATTCCTAAAATTGATATACATGAGGATTTGTTTGTGAGCCTCCCTGCTTTTATGGAAATTAGATCAGCAAGGTAAATTTTTTATACTTCAGTACCAAAACTAGGTCTCAGTATGCATGATTTATAAATAGAATTCTATAAGGATTAAGAATCCTGTTTGTATTATATTATAGGTGGGCGTTTGTTTTTGTATTTCATTTCTTTATTGGCAACCATAAACAAACTGTTTTGCCATTTTATTTCCCTTAAAATACAGTCTAAAAGGCTATCAATGAGTTATTCATCACCAAATCGGTATTTAATTAAGATATAATAAATCCATTTTTGTCTGTGTGCATTTTTAGGAGAGCCCATTGAAAATCGTACATATCTACATCTTTTTTTCTAGTAAGTTAAAAAGAACAGTAATTTATTGGGACTTAGTCTCCAAATGGCTTTTTTATAAAATGGAATATCTTTATTGCTCTGCTTATTGTTTTTACAAATATGTATTACTTTTATAGTTTAAACAATACAGAAGCACAGTAATGATAGTTAAGTTTAGCGTATATCCTTCTAGGCTTTTTAATGCATGAATTTATAAATATTTGCAAAAATAGGTCTGGACATCACACATTGTTCTACAATCTGCTTTTTTTCTCTTGTATCATGGACAACTTTCTATTCACATAAATGGACTTTATTTTATTTAAATAATAGTGAACCCACAAAATTGCAATTTATTTGTTTTATTAGCTTTCCCAGTTTGAAAAAAATACCATTTAACTGAGGTAAAAATTAACATGGTTGTGTTTTTCTGTTCATGTTTATCCGAAGTATTTTGAAAGACATGATGAACTACCACATATTTAAATAGTATATGCAGGAAGAATGAATTTAGTTTTAGCTTTGTTGGATTTGAGTTAGAACTTGCATTATTTACTTATTATCCCAGATGGCATTGCTGCTTAATGCAATTGTTTCGTGTGCCTAGAAAAAATTATACTATTTAAAGCAATTGCTTTTTACACAAAGGCTACATTTGTCTATCAGTTAATAAGCCCTCTGTATTTATTGACACCTATCCTGTGCCCAACATAGTACAAGCAGTATTATTTTATCATACTTCTACTTTAGATTTTTTAAAACATTCATTTAAAATTTTACTTCACTTAATTTTTAATATCGTCTTTAATAGACTACTCTTTCCCTCTAAATTTTTATGCCACAAATTTTCATTATTTTATTTTACTTGAACTGGGTAACTCGCTTGATTTTCTGGTAACCAGATAGGAACATTGTTGTCTTCCAGGATTGATTTTAACCATAGTCACATATTATGCCTATATGATAATATAATAGTCTTCTAGGAAATCACCCCTTAGAGATAGTTTGAAGACCTACATGATCTCTAACTTTTGTGCATTTTAATCTACTAATAAAATGAAATTGGAAGAAAAGAACAAACAAAAGGAGTTTGCAAGGAATCAGTGTATTTTTTTCTATTTCAGAATTTGTTGAAAAATATAGCATTTTTAGTGTTTAATCTGTGTGCACAGTGTATGTAGATTAGTCAATATAGGCATATGTATACCTTAGAATTCATTTCTAAAAATTCATTTGTGCCTTATCCCATTTTTTCTTTCCTACAGAGGTCTGGAAAATAGAGCCCACAGTGAGCAATTTAATGCCTTTTTTAGGCTGCCCAAAGGAGAGAGTTTGAAAGAAGTACATGAATGTTTCTTATGGGTACCATTCAGCCACTTCAATACTCATGGGAAAATGTGCATCTCAGAAAATTATATCTGCTTTGCTAGCCAAGATGGCAATCAGTGTAGTGTAATCATTCCACTACGAGAGGTAATGTAAATTTGGTTACATATCAGTTTTTAGTTTGAAAATGTTATCCTTCACAGAGTAAAATGTCCTTTAATTCTATAAATTATTAAAACCTCAAGATGCAATATCCTTTTAGTAATTTAAAATAATTATTCTTCAGAATAAGAGTACAGCCTTCTGAGATATTCTCAGTTCCATTTAGTAAAGTCTTTTTTTATTATTATACTTTAAGTTTTAGGGTACATGTGCACAATGTGCAGGTTAGTTACATATGTATACATGTGCCATGTTGGTGTGCTGCACCCATTAACTCGTCACAACATTAGGTATATCTCCTAATGCTATCCCTCCCCCCTCCCCCCACCCCACAACAGGCCCTGGTGTGTGATGTTCCCCTTCCTGTGTCCATGTGTTCTCATTGTTCAGTTCCCACCTGTGAGTGAGAACATGCGGTGTTTGGTTTTTTTGTCCTTGCGATAGTTTGCTGAGAATGTCATACATTTTTGAATGATCAAGCTCCATTTTGCATTAACCTAAATGCTTATCTTGTTTTTAAATTTTAAAGTTTTAAAATTTTCACTTTCAGTAAGAGCTGTAAGACTTTACTAAATGGTAAAGTTAGACTATCACTTTTGATGTACTCTGTCAGAAAAAAATAACATTGACATCTTTTACGTAAGTCAGAAATAAATTGTTGGTATTTGATACTGAATTTTTACATTTGTACTGTCATTTTTAAAGGATACATGTTAGACCTTTTTCTTGAGAAGTGAAATAACTTGCACTGAGGTTAATTGTATGATTGGTGCAACTAGTACCCAAAGTCTATTTCTTAATAAGTCATACTATAGACCAAAACTTTTGGCCACAAAAGAGTAAGCCAAACACATTTTACTTGAAGGTGTCAACAATAAAGGAAAATTTAATTGACCTCTATGTTTTTCACCCCCTAGGTCTTAGCTATAGATAAGACAAATGATTCCAGCAAATCTGTCATCATTAGCATCAAAGGAAAAACAGCTTTTCGCTTCCATGAAGTTAAAGACTTTGAACAACTGGTAGCAAAACTCAGGCTCAGATGCGGAGCAGCTTCAACTCAATATCATGATATTAGCACAGAGGTAATTAATTATACAGCAATCAAATCATTTGGAAAAAAAGGTGTGTGTTTAGTGTAGCCCATTCTTCAAGAGGAATTCATAGTACCTTTCCTATTTATGCCCAGGGGTTTTTTTTAAAGATAGAATCTAAGAAATTATATTGTCTAACTCACATCCTTAAGCAGAAGTGAGAATTAAGGACTTTATTCATTTTTAGGAACCCATACATTATAAAATTACTATAATTTGATCTTTCTTTTACTCTATTTGCTGTTTACCATATAAATATACCTTGTACTTTCACATAGTTTGGTTTTTAAGAAGTCAAAATATATTTGAGAATTCAGTGAGGCCTCGAAAAAGGACTCCTCTTACTGTTGCAAAGACATAGCAATTTTAAACCTGTCTGGATATCTTTTATTTAATATCTTATAGGTCAGCCTTATTTACATAATCTGGCCAAAAGCAAAATAGTGGTATATCTGTTTACTAGTAAAATATTAGAGAGGACAGAGAAATCAGGAAAGATCCAAAATTGACACCCTAACATCACAATTAAAAGAACTAGAAAAGCAAGAGCAAACACTTTCAAAAGCTAGCAGAAGGCAAGAAATAACTAAAATCAGAGCAGAACTGAAGGAAATAGAGACACAAAAAACCCTTCAAAAAATTAACGAATCCACAAGCTGGTTTTTTGAAAGGATCAACAAAATTGATAGACCACTAGCAAGACTAATAAAGAAAAAAAGAGAGAAGAATCAAATACACGCAATAAAAAATGATAAAGGGGATATCACGACCAATCCCACAGAAATACAAACTACCATCAGAGAATACTACAAACACCTCTACGCAAATAAACTAGAAAATCTAGAAGAAATGGATAAATTCCTCGACACATACACTCTCCCAAGACTAAACCAGGAAGAAGTTGAATCTCTGAATAGACCAATAACAGGAGCTGAAATTGTGGCAATAATCAATAGCTTAACAACGAAAAAGAGCCCAGGACCAGATGGATTCACAGCCGAATTCTACCAGAGGTACAAGGAGGAACTGGTACCATTCCTTCTGAAACTATTCCAATCAATAGAAAAAGAGGGAATCCTCCCTAACCCATTTTATGAGGCCAGCATCATCCTGATACCAAAGCCGGGCAGAGACACAACTAAAAAAGAGAATTTTGGACCAATATCCTTGATGAACATTGATGCAAAAATCCTCAATAAAATACTGGCAAGCCGAATCCAGCAGCACATCAAAAAGCTTATCCACCATGATCAAGTGGGCTTCATCCCTGGGATGCAAGGCTGGTTCAATATACACAAATCAATAAATGTAATCCAGCATATAAACAGAGCCAAAGACAAAAACCACATGATTATCTCAATAGATGCAGAAAAGGCCTTTGACAAAATTCAACAACCCTTCATGCTAAAAACTCTCAATAAATTAGGTATTGATGGGACATATCTCAAAATCATAAGAGCTATCTATGACAAACCCACAGCCAATATCATACTGAATGGGCAAAAACTGGAAGCATTCCCTTTTGAAAACTGGCACAAGACAGGGATGCCCTCTCTCACCACTCCTATTCAACATAGTGTTGGAAGTTCTGGCCAGGGCAATTAGGCAGGAGAAGGAAATAAAGAGTATTCAATTAGGAAAAGAGGAAGTCAAATTGTCCCTGTTTGCAGACGACATGATTGTATATCTAGAAAACCCCATAGTCTCAGCCCAAAATCTCCTTAAGCTGATAAGCAACTTCAGCAAAGTCTCAGGATACAAAATCAATGTACAAAAATCACAAGCATTCTTATACACCAATAACAGACAAACAGAGAGCCAAATCATGAGTGAACTCCCATTCACAATTGCTTCAAAGAGAATAGAATACCTAGGAATCCAACTTACAAGGGATGTGAAGGACCTCTTCAAGGAGAACTACAAACCACTACTCAAGGAAATAAAAGAGGATACAAACAAATAGAAGAAAATTCCATGCTCATGGGTAGGAAGAATCAATATCGTGAAAATGGCCATACTGCCCAAGGTAATTTACAGATTCAATGCCATCCCCATCAAGCTACCAATGACTTTCTTCACAGAATTGGAAAAAACTACTTTAAAGTTCATATGGAACCAAAAAAGAGCCTGCATCGCCAAGTCAATCCTGAGCCAAAAGAACAAAGCTGGAGGCATCACACTACCTGACTTCAAACTATACTACAAGGCTACAGTAACCAAAACAGCATGGTACTGGTACCAAAACAGAGATATAGATCAATGGAACAGAACAGAGCCCTCAGAAATAATGCCGCATACCTACAACTATCTGATCTTTGACAAACCTGACAAAAACAAGCAATGGGGAAAGGATTCCCTATTTAATAAATGGTGCTGGGAAAACTGGCTAGCCATATGTAGAAAGCTGAAACTGGATCCCTTCCTTACACCTTATACAAAAATCAATTCAAGATGGATTAAAGACTTAAACATTAGACCTAAAACCATAAAAACCCTAGAAGAAAACCTAGGCGTTACCATTCAGTACATAGGCATGGGCAAGGACTTCATGTCTAAAACACCAAAAGCAATGGCAACAAAAGCCAAAATTGACAAATGGGATCTAATTAAACTAAAGAGCTTCTGCACAGCAAAAGAAACAACCATCAGAGTGAACAGGCAACCTACAAAATGGGAGAAATTTTTCTCAACCTACTTATCTGACAAAGGGCTAATATCCAGAATCTACAATGAACTCAAACAAATTTATAAGAAAAAAACAAACAACCCCATCAAAAAGTGGGCGAGGGATATGAACAGACACTTCTCAAAAGAAGACATTTATGCAGCCAAAGAACACATGAAAAAATGCTCACCATCACTGGCCATCAGAGAAATGCAAATCAAAACCACAATGAGATACCATCTCACACCAGTTAGAATGGCGATCATTAAAAAGTCAGGAAACAGCAGGTGCTGGAGGGGATGTGGAGAAATAGGAACACTTTTACACTGTTGGTGGGACTGTAAACTAGTTCAACCATTGTGGAAGTCAGTGTGGCGATTCCTCAGGGATCTAGAACTAGTCATACCATTTGACCCAGCCATCCCATTACTGGGTATATACCCAAAGGACTATAAATCATGCTGCTATAAAGACACATGCACACATATGTTTACTGCGGCATTATTCACAATAGCCAAGACTTGGAACCAAGCCAAATGTCCAACAATGATAGACTGGACTAAGAAAATATGGCACATATACACCATGGAATACTATGCAGCCTTAAAAAATGATGAGTTCATGTCCTTTGTAGGGACATGGATGAAATTGGAAACCATCATTCTCAGTAAACTATCGCAAGGACAAAAAACCAAACACCGCATATTCTCACTCATAGGTGGGAATTGAACTATGAGAACACATGGACACAGGAAGGGGAACATCACACTCTGGCGACTGTGGTGGGGTGGGGGGAGGGGGGAGGGATAGCATTGGGAGATATACCTAATGCTAGAGGACGTGTTAGTGGGTGCAGCGCACCAGCATGGCACATGTATACATATGTAACTAACCTGCACATTGTGCACATGTACCCTAAAACTTAAAGTATAATAATAATAAATAAATAAATAAATAAATAAATAAATAAAATATTAGAGAGGACAAGGAGGATTTTGATGTTTAATATGTCTCTCATGGAAATGCAGACAGGTCAAATTCAAATGAATTTTCTTTTACAATGTCCAGGAACCCCAAGTTTTAATAGATTGATACAACTTATCAAATTATAGCTATTTGTATTTTAATTAAAATTCAAAGAAAAACTAAATGTGTCTTTATTGGCTATATTATTTTATTTGAATTGGAGTATAGAGCCTTTTACTGCTATCTCCAGAGTAGAGATTGAAAATAATATGCTAAGTCAATTATAATGCAGTATTGATAAAACTAATTTTCCCTTTGATAATTAAAAAGCACAATGAAAACATGTAATTAAATTTTTTTTTCCATCTCAATTCCAGACGCAGAATTTCTACATTGGCCATCAAGGGTTTTCCTTGCCCCAACTTTATTATCTCTCATTCTCTTTTAGTATGTACCCAGGATATTCCTTAGTTTGATGTGGGAATACAAGTAAAATCTGACCAGCCTTAGTAGTTTTCTCTCCCAATGCTCCCAAATTCTTACTTATATCATGTTTTCCTTGTTCTGTTCTATTTCACATTCAGTCCACGTGTTAGCTTCAAAGCTCAACATATCTTTCTTTTTCCTTTAATTTGCTTTTCCAAAACCTGAAGAGCTGTAACTGTTCCCCTTAAAACTTTCATGTGCTTTTAGTAGCTGAATATGCTCAGTTGTCAAGAAAGGATTTTGTTTCAAAATGAGTTTACCATCTTTCCAAATATGCATCAGAATTCTACAGTTTTCTAGTTTCTCACTCGTTTTTAGAGGTTTTAATAAATATATGTACAAAATACCAGCTAGTATACTATCTGCTTGGAAATATGTATTTTTAAATTGCCATAATATTCTGTTTTCACTTAAGATTTTTATCTTATCAATGATGAAGAATATTGACCCATTTTAGTATCTGTATATATCTAGTTTTAATAATAGTACACGTAAAAACTTAGTAAAGAGAAAGCTTTTTAAACAAGAGCTAGTTCCATTTGATTTCTAAGTAACAGAAATTATAGCTATATTCTTTTATAACTACACTTTTACTAAAACGAAGAGAAAAATTGCATTCTATAATTTTAATAAACCTGGTGACTTTTGTACAAACAGCAAGACTTTTTATTTTAAATCTCCAAGAGTCTAAATCAACAAGTCTAAATATGAATACAGGAAGTACTTTAGGAAATCTTTCCTGTGAGAATGTCAAAGACATTATACAAAGAACAAGTCCTACCAGAAGTAATTGAAATTATGCATGAGTACCAGTTCTATCCAAGTTTTTATATGGGTATATATTTAAATGTTCCACATTTTAATAAGTTATACTAAAATCTGGGCATATAAAGAGATTTAGTAAAATTCTAATAAACTGCTTGGAAAAATACATGAATCTTTTACTTTCATTGACACATATAATCAAGAACTATTACTAGATAAGGTAATTTTTCAAAACTACTCAATGAAAGAAAAATGGGCCCTCTTAGGTTAGTTTTAAGCAAAGTGGCCTAAGAATGGAAAGCACTACTGAAGATCCCTTGCCTGATGCTTTTAAACTACATTATGAATGAATTGTAGAAACTATGGAATGTCAAGAAAGGTAGTAATTGAGTTTATGCCTTAAAGTTTTTAGATGGGCAAATAAGTATCTTCTACATATTATCACAGAATATGTAAACATAACTTGTTTCATATAGTTAGTAAGATAGTTACTAACTGTATGTAATATAGTTATTATCTTAATAAGATAGTTTCATAACCAGGACTATCTTACTAAGTTTTTAAATAGAAGTAATGGGTTTCCTACATGATAATGTAGATCAAAATTGTAGTTTAACCAACATAACTGATTTTTTCTTGCCTTGATAAGAATAAGGTGCTTCCTATGACCATAATATAAATTTGGAAAATGATTTTTAGCTGTGGGGGTAGATTTATTTCTAAGTTGGGAAACCAGAAACTATTAAAAATGAAATTCACACCCTTTAAATTGTGGACTATGAACAGGATCCTATTTAAGATAAGCTTCTGATATTTGAGAAAAGCATTTGTTTATATTTTTTTGTTTTAATTATTGGTTTTACAGGTCAACTCTGGCCCCCAAACCACCATTTATTATACCGAGTTTATGAAGTATTCTAATTTAAATATAGTATTTTGTAGAAATTTACACATAAAGAAATGTTAATCTTTGCTTTGTCTTTCCTTCACTTTTAGAGCCATATGATAATTGTAAAATCAATGTCAGATAATAAAAATGAAACAGATTAAGAATACCTGCTATAGAGTTAACAATCTATGTTGCTTTCTAGATGTGATTGGATTTTGCTCAGGCACTAAAAGTCTGATGAGTGCCAAGTTTATTTGTCGTAAGTGTGAACACCCAAATAAATGGAGAGAAATATAGATATTTATCCAAGTATATATATAAAACACCATGGGTAAAAGTTTCCATTCAAAAGAGCCAGAGCAAAAATGTTCAAAAACTTTAAGTTTAGTTCCTTGAATAATCTACTTTATTACACTCTTCAAAATTTCAAACATTAAACTACCATCTTTGAAGGTAAATGTTTTTTATTTTATTTCTTTTGTCATTTTTTTAAATTTTCTAACCACCTACTGCCTGTTGATGAAGGTGAAGGTTTTAACGTGACTTTATGAATACTTAAGAGGCAATAATGGATAGAACTGACATACTTGTCATCACTCTTATAAATTTATGTTTAGGGTTTCATTGCTTAAGAGGTTATTTTTTTCCCTCTGGGATACTTTTCCTGTAGTTTAGAACAATAGATAAACTGATGATTCAGTCATTTAAATTAAAGGAATGTGCTGTGCTTGAGATCCAGACTACAACCATGAATTTTCCAACCTGTATTTGCAAAAATGTAACTCCTCGTTCAAACAGCTAAACTTAATATTAAGTTGTCAAGTATGTGATTTGTCAAAATAAGCATTTAAAAAAAAAAAGAAGGGAATTGTTGCAATTTGAGACCTATACTCTCTAATCATTAATTTTTCCTTTATTGGCTTCTTCTACCTTACCCTTTCATTTACACATTGATTTGAATACTCCTTAACTTTCCTTGAATCCTATCTATACTCATCTGTTCTCACGCTGCTATGATGAAATACCCAAGACTGGGTAATTTATAAAGAAAAGAGGTTTAATTGACTCACAGTTCTGCGTGGCTGGGGAGGCCTCAGGAAACTTACAATCATGGTGGAAGGCACCTCTTCACAGGGTGGCAGGAGAGAAAATGAGTGCTGAGCGAAGGGGGAAGCCCCTTATAAAACCATCAGATCTCATGAGAACTCACTCACTATCATGAGAACAGCATGGGAGAAACTGCCCATGATTCAATTATCTCCACCTAGTCCTGCCCTTGACACGTGGGGATTATTACAATTCAAGGTGAGATTTGGGTGGTGACACAGAGCCAAACCATATCATTCCACCCCTGGCCCCTCCCAAATCTCATGTCATGTCCTCATATTTCAAAACACACTCATGCCCTACCAACAGCCCCCTAAAGTCTTAATTCATTCCCATATTAACCCAAAGTCTGGGTCCAAAGGCTCATCTGAGATAAAGCAAGTCCCATCCACCTATAAGCCTGTAAAATCAAAAGCAAGTTAGTTACTTCCTAGAGACAATGGGGGTACAGGCATTGGATAAATACACTATTCCAAATGGGAGAAATTGGCCAAAACAAAGGGGCTACAGGCCCCATACAAGTCTGAAATCCAGCGGGGCAGCCAAATCATAAAGCCCTGAAATGGTCTCCTTTGACTCCATGTCTCATATCTAGGTCACACTGATGTGAGAGGTGGGCTGCCACAGCCTTGGGCAGTTCCACCCCTGTAGCTTTGCAGGGTACAGCCCCCCTCCTGGCTGCTTTCACAGGCTAGCATTGAATGCCTGCAGCTTTTCCAAGTGCAAGGTGCAAGCTGTCAGTGGATCTACCATTCTGGGGTCTGAAGGATGGTGGCCCTCTTCTCATAGCTCCACTAGGCAATGCTCCAATGGGGACTCTATGTGGGGGCTCCGACCCCACATTTTCCTTCCATACTGCTCTAGCAGAGGTTCCCCCATGAGGACTCCACCCCTGCAGCAAACTTCTGCCTGGACATCCAGGCATTTCCATACATCCTCTGAAATCTAGGCAGAGGTTTCCAAACCTCAGTTCTTGACTTCTGTGCACCTGTGACTTCTGTGCATCTGTAGCCCAACACCATGTGTAAGCCACTAAGGCTTGGGGCTTGCACCCTCTGAAGCAATGGCCCGAACTGAACCTTGGCCTCTTTTAGCCACAGCTGGAGCTGAAGCAGCTGGGATGCAGGGGACCATGTCCTGAGGCTGCATAGAGCAGGGGGGCCCTGGGCCAGGTTCACGAAACCATTTTTCCCTCCTAGGCTTCCAGGCCTGTGATGGGAGGGGCTGACGTGAAGATCTCTGACATGCCCTGGAGACATCCAAATTTGGTGATTAACATTCGGCTCCTGTTGCTTACACAAATCTCTGTGGCTGGCTTGAATTTCTCCCCAGAAAATGAGTTTTTCTTTTCCGTCACATCATCAGTCTACAGATTTTCCAAACTTTTTGCTCTGCTTCCTCTTGAACACTTTGCTGTTTAGAAATTTCTTCCATCAGATATCCTAAATCATCTCTCTCAAGTTCAAAGTTCCACAGATCTCTAGGGCAGGAGCAAAATGCCACCAGTCTTTTCACTAAAGCTCCATTTCCCAAGAAGTTCCTCATCTCCATCTGAGACCACCTCAACCTGGACTTCATTATCCATATTACTATCAGCATTTTGGTCAAAGCCATTCAACAAGTCTATAGAAGTCCATTGTCCATATTACTATCAGCATTTTGGTCAAAGCCATTCAACAAGTCTATAGGAAGTTCCAGACTTTCCCACATCTTTCTGTCTTCTTCTGAGACCTCCAAACTGTTCCAACCTCTGCCTGTTACCCAGTTCCAAAGTTGCTTCCACATTTCTGGGTATCTTTACAGCAGCGCCCCACTACCTGGTACCAATTTACTATATTAGTCCTTTCTTACACTGGTATGAAGAAATACCCAAGACTGGGTAATAAAGCAAAGAGGTTTAATTGACTCACAATTCCACATGGCTGGGAAGGCCTCAGGAAACTTACTATCATGGCAGAAGGCACCTCTTCACAGGGTGGAAGGAGAGAGAATGAGTACTGAGTGAAGGGGGAAGCCCCTTATAAAACCATCAGATCTCTTGAGAACTCACTCACTATCATGAGAACAGCATGAGGTAAACCGTCCCCATGATTCAGTTATCTCCATCTGGTCCCATGCTTGACACATGGGGATTATTACAATTCAAGATGAGATTTGGGTGGGGACTCAGAGCCAATCTTAATGTCCAGCCCTGCTAGGGCTTGTACTGGCTTCTTGGATTTCAAACTAAAGTACCACTGGATTGGTCCACCCTAAGCTGCTACTTTTCCTCTGCCTCAGTCATGGGCATTCTTTATCTTACTTAAGCTACTAAGGTTTACTAAAGTTTAAGGGATGAACTTAAGTGAGTCTTTTCTTCTTTTTTTTTTTTAGCACTCCTAGTAATAACTTGCAATAGCTGGTGTAGTTATAATCCATAGAAGCTGGGTAACTGATATGTTTTAAGAGTAAAACTTTGGTGTTCATAAAGTTTTATGTGGAAATACAAAAGACTCAGAGTAACTAAAACAGTATTGACAAGGAAAAACAAAGTTGGAAGACTCATGCTTTCCAATTTCAAAACTTATTATACAGCTATAGTAAACAAGACATTGTGATACTGGCATAAGGGGAGACATGTAGATCAATGTAATATAGTTGAGACTCTAGAAATACATTCTTACATTTATGGTCAGTTAATTTTCAACAAGAAGGCCAAGCTAACTCAATGGGGGAAAGAACTATTTTCAACAAATGGTGCTGAAACAATGGACAGCAACATACTCCCCACCCCCAAAAAGATGTTGTACTCTTTTCTTAAAACATACACAAAAATTAAATTAAAATGGATCAAAGACCAAAATGTAAGAGCTGAAACTATGAAACTCTCAGAGAACACATAGGAGTTAATCTTCATGATCTTGAATTAGGCAATTGTTTATAGATATGACAACAAAAGCATGTGACCTTAAAGAAAAAATAGGTAAATTGGATTACATCAAAATTAAAAACTTTTGTGCTACAAATGATATCATCAAGAAAGTGAAAAGACAACCCACAGAATGGAGGAAATATTTGCCAATTATATGTCTGGTAAGGGACTGCTGTCTAGAATGTATGAAGAACTCTTACAACTAAATAATAAAAGGCAAACAACCCAATTTTAAAAATGGTTAAAGGATTTGAATAGACTTTTCTCCAAAGAAAATAAAGAAATGGCCAATAAGCACATTAAAAGATTTTTCATATCATTAGTCAATAGAGAAATGCAAATCAAAAGCATAATGAGATACCATTTCATACCCACTAGGGTGGCTATAATTAAAAAGAAATATAATA